>NC_000019.10:49115874-49740874 GCF_000001405.40 Homo sapiens
GCCTGTAATCCCAGCTGGATTACAACTCCGGAGGCTGAGACAGGAGAATCGCTTGAACCCAGGAGGCCGAGGTTGCAGTGAGCCGAGATCATGCCATTGCACTCCAGCCTGGGCAACAGAGTGAGACTTCATCTCAAAAAAAAAAAAAAAGTAAGATTGGCAAGTATGGGGTATTCAAGACACACACCAAATGGACACTTTCTCTTGCAAGTGAACAGAAAGAGACGCACAGTCATTACAGGGGGATCGTGCATTGTGCCATGACAAGTGTCCCATGCTTGGGGATAGTAACCCAGGCTAAATCGCTGTCCTCGGTCCACATCCCCCACCCCAGCTTTCATGCCTACCTGGAAGGGGCCCTCATCTTCAGTCGCTTTCTCTCTCCCAGGCCACAGTGGCTGCCTTCACAGCCAGCGAGGGCCACGCACATCCCAGGGTAGTGGAGCTACCCAAGACGGATGAGGGCCTAGGCTTCAACATCATGGGTGGCAAAGAGCAAAACTCGCCCATCTACATCTCCCGGGTCATCCCAGGGGGTGTGGCTGACCGCCATGGAGGCCTCAAGCGTGGGGATCAACTGTTGTCGGTGAACGGTGTGGTGAGTGGAGGGCTGAGGCAGGACTGGGGGACACAGTCTGTCTAACGTAGCATAGCCCCTGCTTTTGACATTCACTCAACACACACTGAGTGTTGTCTGTATGGCTAGCCCTGTGCTGGGCAATGTTACAGACTCTGAGAGATGTTGGCCTCAGCTCCCTACACTCAACCTTCTCTCTCTGGGGAGGGCAGTAGGCCCCGGCTGAAATAGTCCTAATCCAGAGACATAATAATGAGGAAGTGCAAAGTATTGTGACAGCCCAGATGTGGCACCAGGCCAGCATAGATACAGGAAGGTTTTGCAGAGTAAGGAACATTTGGGTTGGGTGTTAAAGGATGAGTAGGAGTTCTCCAGGCAAACAAGGTACAGGGTGTTCCTGCTGAGGGTACTGTAGATAAGGATACTGACTTGGCATACCTCTGAGCTGAAAAGAAAGGGCTTAGTTCTGATGGAGGTCTGGGGCATGCAGGTAATTAAAATCACTGTGGTTAGGCTGGGTGCGGTGGCTCACACCTGTAATCCCAGCACTTTGGGAGGCTGAGGCACGTGGATCACTTGAGGTCAGGAGTTCAAGACCAGCCTGGCCAACATGGTGAAATCCCATCTCTACTAAAAATACAAAAATTAGCCAGGTGTGGTGGCAGGCACCTGTAATCCCAGCTACTTGGGAGGGTGAGGCAGGAGAATCGCTTGAACCTGGGAGGCAGAGGTTGCAGTGAGCTGAGATAGCACCACTGCACTCCAGCGTGGGTGACAGAGTGAGACTCCCTCTCAAAAAAAAAAAAAAAAAACAAAACTCACTGTGGTTAGAGTTGAGGGAAGCATAACTGGAGAGATGGCTGGGGTCAGCCATACAGGACCTGAGTGCCAGCCTGAGAAGCTGGGACTTTGTCCCATGGGTGCTGGGGAGCTATGGGAGGGGTGAGCCAGGGATAAACTCAGCTTGCAGGTGCAGAAGGACCACTCTGGGACTCTATGGGAGATGAACTGAGGGGAGAGATTAGAAGCCAGGCCAGGGAGGAGGCTGGGGTAAGAGTCCAGAGAAAAGAGGACAAGGCCTGAGCTGGCCCAGGGCTGTGGGGACAAAAAAGAGGGAGTCAAGGCGGGCGGACATTAGTGGGCTGTGGGCAGGGAGGCCACAAAGATGGGTCTGGACGTTTGGCCAGGGACTGAGGGAACACGGGGCTGTCCCTGACATGGGAATCCTGGGAGGTTTTGGAGGAGGACACTGAACCAGGAGTTAATGACTCCCACGAGGAGGACATGAGGCATTGACATCTCAGGGCTGGCACCAGGCTCACTAGCAGTGGGTCCCATCTCCCAGTGGGGGCTGGACGAGGGCAGCGGGCCCCAGGCTCAGCTGTCTGTGTTGGGCCCTGCAGAGCGTTGAGGGTGAGCAGCATGAGAAGGCGGTGGAGCTGCTGAAGGCGGCCCAGGGCTCGGTGAAGCTGGTTGTCCGTTACACACCGCGAGTGCTGGAGGAGATGGAGGCCCGGTTCGAGAAGATGCGCTCTGCCCGCCGGCGCCAACAGCATCAGAGCTACTCGTGAGCCCCTGGGTCACCACACCCCTGGGGCCTCCACGGGCTCCCTTTAACCCCAGGCTCCCAAACCAGGCCAGTGCTTCCTGGATCTTCCAGCCCTGGCCCCTCCTCTGGGATCCTGACCCTTGACCCTTGGCCCAGGCTCTCACCCCAGGCTAGTTTGGCCAAATCCCCTGGGGAGCCCTTAGCTTCCTTCCATCCCAAGATACGGAACCTACTGTGGCTGGGATCCCTCAGCCCACTTACCTGGGCCCTTGCCTCTGCAACCCCAGTCCTGCCCCTCTTGTCTACCCGGAGCCTCCCTGATCCCGGGTCCCTTGTCCACCCCCCTTGCAGGTCCTTGGAGTCTCGAGGTTGAAACCACAGATCTGGACGTTCACGTGCACTCTCTTCCTGTACAGTATTTATTGTTCCTGGCACTTTATTTAAAGATATTTGACCCTCACTGAGTGTCTGTGTGTCTGTCCTGCATCCCTGGGTTGGTGTCTTGAGATGTGGAGGGAATGCGAGGAGCTGAGGTCAGGCCAAGCCGTTGAGAAGCCTTTTCCAGAGTCTGAGAACAGAGGTTAAGACCTCTCCCTAGGTCTGAAGGCGGAGACAGGCCGGCTTCCAAGAGACTAGTCCGAGGGCGGAGGGCGGAGGCAGGGACCCAGTCTGGGTCTGAGTGCTGGGGCAGAACTGAGGACAACGCTGCCTACCCTTAAGAGCGTCTGAGGGCGAAGGCCAAGTCCCTTCCTCCAGAGTCCTGAAACGCAGCCGGAGCCAGTGGGCGGCCTCTGTGTGGGCGGGGCGGAGCGAACCATTAGCCTCGTCCGCCGGGGGAACCCTGCAGGCCGCACTACTGTCTGCGTGGGAGTCGCGGGTGGGGGTGCCGCGTGCAGTTCCCGAGGCGGGCGCAGGGGTGCAGAATGAGGTGCCCTCGCCCACCGGGCGCTCACTCCACCTTCCAAACACAGCGCGTCTTTCCGGAAGCAGCCCCCGCCTTGAAATCCAACCTTTAGCCTCATCCCGCTGCCCGCCCAGCCCTCGTGTCCCGTGCGGCGCGAGGGCTAGTGCGCGCCACTGCCGGGAGCCGGGGTCGCGACTCGCGTTCCACGCCGCGCGCTACTCGCTCCAGGTGACATCATCCCCCTGCCGGGCTCCGCCTCCCGCCCCAGCCGCCTCACGCCGCGTGCCTATTGGTCGACGCGCCTTATGCCCCGCCTCTCGCTCTCCGCCCGCGCGACCCCTCCCGGCCGGTGTGGAGGCGGGGTCTAGTCGCCGGCCGGCGCCGACGCTCTCTCCCATTGGCCGCTCTTCGCCGTCTGTCAGTCTCCTGTTAAAGGGGCCACGACCGCCCGGGAGCCGTGGGGGGGGAGGGGGAGGGAGGAGGAATTTTTTTGGGGGGAAGGTGGGATTTGGGGGGCGCTGGTGGGCACCCCTGGATCTGGCGGCTGCGGCCTCGCGGGGGGAGGCTGATCGGTGACAGGGGCAGGGGGCTATTTTGGGGGTAGAAGGCAGTGAGAGCGTGAGGGGGAGGGGGGTCCCCAGCGCCCAAGCCGGAGCCAGAGACGCGGAGCCCGCGCGAGCGTCGGAGACAGGGCTCCAGGGCTCCGAAGCGACAGAGCCGGGCCCCGGCCGCTGCCAGGGGCCCCGCCCGGCCCCCCCACTCCACCCCACGTCCCTCCTGCAGCCCAGCTCCGCCCGCAGCCGCCGCGGACCAGGCAGGTAAGAGCCCGGCCCGGCCCTCCTGGCAGCGCCCACCCTGGGGACCCCTTGGCGAGCCTCCCCCGCCTCCCCGAGATCCCGGATTCCCTTCCTCATCCCAGGGGACCCCCGAGCCCAGATTTCACACCCCAACCCCGGGGACTCAGGCGTGCCCCTCCCGGCGCCCAGAGTCCCCGACCGAACCCTAGAATCCCGGGCGCACCGCCGCCTCGCGCCTCCTCCAGGGCCCAGGAGCTTGGATTTCCCGGTCCGGCCCCGGGACCCCTCCTAGAGCCTAGATCCCCCTTCCTGACCCTGTCCTGGGAGCTCCAGACACCCGCCGCGGCGGTGCCAGACTCCCCAGACGCGTCCGCATCGTCCCCGCTTCGCGCACTCCGTCTCCCGTCGCCAGCCTCGGGCTTGCACAGCCGGCTGCGTCCCACGGTCCAGGCAGGCTCGGCGGCCGCCCTGGACACAGGCCCGCTCTGGAGCTGTCCATGGTCAGCGCGCTCGGCAGCCTCGCCTCCCCCCACCTCCTGCCGCCGCCACCAGGGAGGGGGCGCAGGCGGCGCGGGGATCCCCCCGCCGCGCCTTTGACCCGGGAATACCCGGGCCCTCCCCGACCAGGGCGCCCCAGCCTCTGGGTTCTGCCGGCCAGGCTCGTGGCCCCGTCCTCGGCACCCCAGGTTCCTGGGACTCCAGCTGCTCCCTGAGGATCCAGGGCTTCTGAATTTTCCTATTCTGGTCGCCGTGGGGACCATGGCACCCGGGGATGCAGCTCCCACCCCGTTCGGGAAGCCTGTCCGTGTCTACACCTCTGCTGGCCCCAGGTGGTAGCCCTCACCCCGTCAGCACCTAGGAATCCTGTTCCCCAGCGTTTGCTCTGCTTAGAACCCCGCTGTGCCCTGCAGACACACAGACTTAGCCTCCTGGCACCCAGCATCTGCTCCCCGAGGGACTCAGGCGCCATGACTCCTTTCCTTTGGGGGACCCGGAATGTGATTCTCAATGCAGTTCTCTGACTTCTGTTCACACTCCCACTTGGGGACCTAAATGTCTTGGTCCCAGTCTCCTATCCCCTCAGGGACCCAGGAGTTCAGACCCCAGCTTCCGTACTGCCCACCAGCTTTTACTGAGGCTGTCTGCCTCAACCCTCTCTCCAAACAAGACCTCAGGCTCTCACCTTCCAATCCCCCATCATTTACCTCCACAAGGATTCAGGAGTCCAGGCTCCCAGCTCTGTCCACTGCCCTCCCCAGCAGGTATCTAGTTTCTCAGGTCTCACTTTTAGGAACCAGGTCTTCACAGCCTCATCACTCTGCCCCATCAACTTCACATCTCCTGTGGCCCTACCAAACCCCTGTCTCATCCTCATGTCACCCCAGGTGGCGGGCTTCAGGACTCTCTACTCTTTCCCCTAAGATGCAGCTTGTTGAGATGTTTCTAGCACTCCATTGCCCCCTGAGGCTCAGATGAGTTCCCCTTCTCCAAGTACACTCTCCCAGGCCAATGAGCCGAACACACATCACCTCCTCCAGATGTATTCTGTGGCCTGGGCTCATAAGGAGATCTAGAAGCTACCTGCTGCCATACAAATTTCTTTCTTTCTATTTATTTATTTATTTATTTTGAGACAAGGTCTCTGTTGCCCAGGCTGGAGTGCACTGGCACAATCACAGCTCACTGCAGCCTCCACCTCCTAGGCTCAGGTCATCTTCCCACCTTAGCCGCCTGAGTAGCTGGGACCACAAGCACTCACCACCAGGCCTGGCTAATTAAAAAAAAATTTTTTTGGCCAGGCGCGGTGGCTCATGCCGGTAATCCCAGCACTTTGGGAGGCTGAAGCGGGCGGATCACCTGAGGTCAGGATTTTGAGACCAGCCTGGCCAACATGGAGAAACCCTGTCTCTACTAAAAATACAAAATTAGCCAGGCGTGGTGGCACATGCCTGTAATCCCAGCTACTCAGGAGGCTGAGGCAGGAGAGTCGTTTGAACCCCGGAGGCGGAGGTTGCATTGAGCTGAGATCGTGCCACTGCACTCCAGCCTGAACGACAAGAGCGAAACTCTGTCTCAAAAAAAAATTTTATTTATTTATTTATTTATTTATTTTTTGTAGAGATGGGGGTTTCGCCATGTTGCCCAGACTGGTCTGAAACTCCTAGGCTCAAGGGATCCTTCTCTGTTGGCTCCCAAAAGTGCTGGGATTACAGGCATGGCCATCGCGCCTGGCCGGGCCACATTTCTTGTCGCACATGTGCTCTTGCATTGCTCCATGTTCTAGATTCCTTCTAAACACCAGAACACTCCCAGCTGATGTCTGTTCTGTGTTCCATTTTCATTCCAGGCATGGTCTGAGTTCTAGGCCAGATGCCAATTTTTTTTTTTTTTTTTTTGAGACGGAGTTTCACTCTTGTTGCTCAGGCTGGAGTGCAATGCTGCGATCTTGGCTCACCACAACCTCTGCCTCCCGCGTTCAAGCGATTCTCCTGCCTCAGCCTCCTGAGTAGCTGGGATTACAGGCGCCTACCACCATGCCCGGCTAATTTTTTGTATTTTTAGTAGAGATGGGGGTTTCTCCATGTTGGTCAGACTAGTCTCGAGTTCCCGACCTCAGGTGATCACCTGCCTCGGCCTCCCAAAGTGCTGGGATTATAGGCGTGAGCCACTGTGCACAGCCTTTGTTTTTTTCATATATTTAGATAAGACCCCTGAGCCAGATTCTGATCCCACCATATCCTCAGACATGTTCCAAAGTTCTAACAACAAGTCCTTCCTTCTTTGCTAAATGTTCATTTCAAGTGTGTTCCAGGTTTCAGCCACGTTGTTCTAGATTCCATTCTCTTCCCAGGAGCAATCTAACTTCTAAGATGTGTGTGTTCCAAGTATGTGCTCTAGGCTTCCTAATTCGTGCCATTGATTCTAGAATGCCCTTCCCTGTTTCCCTGTTTTAGGTTCTAAGGAAGTTCTATCTAATTGCACATTCTTTTTTGTTGTTGTTGTTGTTTAGTTGTTTTTTTTTTTTTTTTTTTTGGCGGGGGATGGAGTCTCACTCTGTCTCCCAGGCTGGAGTGCAGTGGCGCAATCTCAGCTCACTGCAAGCTCCGCCTTCTGGGTTCACACCATTTTCCTGCCTCAGCCTCCCAAGTAGCTGGGACAACAGGCGCCCACCACCACGCCCGGCTAATATTTTGTATTTTTGGTAGAGACGGGGTATCACCGTGTTAGCCAGGATGGTCTCTATCTGTTAACCTCGTGATCCACCTGCCTCTGCCTCCCAAAGTGTTGGGATTACAGGCAGGAGCCACCACGCCCGGCCTGTTGTTTAGTTTTTATTTTATTTTTGAGACGGAGTCTCACTCTGTCACCCAGGCTGGAGTGCAGTGGTATGATCTCAGCTCACTGCAACCTCTGCCTCCCGGGTTCAAACAATTCTCCTGCCTCAGCCTCCCAAATAGCTGGGACTACAGGCACATGCCACCACGCCTGGCTAATTTTTTTTGTATTTTTAATAGAGACAGGGTTTTGCCATGTTGGCCAGGCTGGTCTCGAACTCCTGACCTCAAGTGATCCCCCTCCTGCCTCCCAAAGTGCTGGGATTACAGGTGTGAGCCACCACGCCCGGCCTGTTATCGTTGTTTAGACATTGGATCTCATTATGTTACTGAGGCGATCCTCTCACCTTGGCCTTCCAAAGTGCTGGAATTACAAGCATGAGCCACTGTGCCTGGCCCTAATTTCACATTCTTTTTTTTTTGAGATCGAGTCTCACTCTGTTGCCCAGGCCAGAGTGCAGTGACGCAATCCCGGCTCACTGCAACCTCCGCCTCCCGTGTTCAAGCAAATTCTCCTGCCTCAGCCCCTCGAGGAGCTGGGATTACAGGTGTGTACCACCATGCCTGGCTAATTTTTGTGTTTTTAGTAGAGATGGGGTTTCACCATGTTGGCTAGGCTGGTCTCGAAATCCTGACCTCAAATGATCCCCCGGGCTCAGCCTCCCAAAATGCTGGGATTACAGGCGTGAACCACCGCACCTGGCCTCATGTTCTTAAATGTAAAAGATTCCCAGTGAAGTGTTCTACATAATGTTTTCCTTCCCCCGGTTCTAGGTTCTAGGCCCATTCATTTTCTGTCATTTTTTCCCCAGTGCAGCCTTAGTTTAGAACTTGTCCCCTGGTGGATCGTGGGTTTTCTCCTCCATCTGCCACTTTGGCATTCTAAGCTTGTTCTAGGCTCTCTCTTCTTCTGGAGCCTTCAGCCTAGAAATGTCCTTATTTCCAGAACAGCCCCCCTCCTTTGCCAGCCTCAGTCTTTATTCCAGGAAATGCTCAATTCTCAACATGCATCCTTTTGATCCCTCCCCCTCCCCGCCCTATAGACACTTGTAAGTTCCAAGCAAACTCTTAGACACATGATAAAACCAAGGATGTGACTCCTGCTATATTCTTTTTTAAAAATGTAATTAAATTTTTAAAAAATCTATTTATTTATTTATTTTGAGACCAGGTTATGAGACTGGTTAATTTTTGTATTTTTTTGTAGAGACAGGGTTTCACCATGTTTCCCAGGCTGGTCTCAAACCCCTGGGCTCGAGTGATCCTCCCACCTTGGCCTCCCATAGTGCTGGGATTACAGGCATGAGCCACCGCGCCTGGCCCCCTGCTATATTCTGTGTTATACCTTCATCCCTAGCAGGCTCTGAGTTCTAGATTTTATCTGCTGACTATGTTTGTTATGTGTTGCATTAGGTATATTAATGGGTGTCATTATGTATGTGGGGTTCTGGGGTGACCTGGACACTAAGTTATTGGGTTGCTCTTGGCTGGTTCTAGATTATAGGCTTCAGAACTTAGTTCTAGATTACTTAGGCCTATGAGCGGTTCTTACCCCAAGCCATTGAAAGCGTGGAAGCATACGTCTATTCCCCACCCTGTACTGTGTGTAGTAACCTTCTAGGTTCTATGTCCAGCCTTGCTGTGTTTTTTATTTCCTTCTCGGTCAATTTAAGGCTCTGGAACAGGCTCCCCAAAACATCTGTGTTGCATCGTCAGAGTGGGTTGCTGGTTTTAGATATCATGTTGGGGCTGGGCGCGGTGGCTCATGCCTATAATCTCAGCACTTTGGGAGGCCGAGGCGGGTGGATCACGAGGTCAGGAGATTGAGCTCATCCTGGCTAACATGGTGAAACCCGTCTCTACTAAACATACAAAAAATAATTAGCCGGGCGTGGCGGCACGAGCCTGTAGTCGCAGTTACTTGGGAAGCTGAGGCAGGAGAATCGCTTGAACCCGGGAGGCAGAGGTTGCAGTGAGCCGAGATCACGCCAGCGCACTCCAGCCTGGGCGATAGAGTGAGACTCCGTCTCAAAAAAAAAAAATAGAGATCATGTTGGTTTTTTGCCTATGGCTGGCTTGCCCTCTTAGAATCGTTTTCCTGAATCTTTCCTCTGAGTGCTGGGATTCGCCTGCCTAGATTCTCAGATGCACCACTTCAAACACCCAAGGGGACAGGAACCCAGCTGCCTCCTCTCCCAGGGCCCACGGCCCTCAGGCCCTCCTCTCCTCACAGAAGTCCAAGGCCCCATTCCCAGGCTTTGGACACAGTCCGCATATTGGGCGGGGCTGGGAATTATCCACGCTCAGACCGGTTATGCGTTGCCCGCAGGGAGAGAAGGAAAAGAAGGAACTGAGTGAAAGTCCCTCCTGCTTTCCGCCGGGCCAGCTGGACCCGTCGGACCTGATGTGTGTGGAGGGAGCGGTTCAGGGGGCCTGGCTTCATCTCCGCCCTGCCCCTGGCTCTAGGGACCCAAGTCCAGGCTTCCCGCCCCAGAAACCCCGCCCCTTCCTTGTCCCCCGCCCTTGGGTATAGCTTCAAGAGGGCTGGGGCTGGGGTTGGTGGGAGCGTCCCAGAACTCCTGGGTCCTGGAGGAGGAGCTGTGCACCCAGGGGCCTGGGGGAGGAGGAGCCTGAAGCCTGGGACTTCTGGGTCTAAGCGAGGAAGCTGAGAGCCCAGACTGTTGTCTCTTAGGGGAGGAGAGGGGTGCGGTCTCCGACTCCTGGGAATGGGGAGGTGGGGGCTGGAGGCGCAGGCTCCTGGGGTCTGAGAGACGAAAGGGACTGGGTCTTAGACTCCTGTGACCTGAGGGAGGCGGGAGCTAGTTCTTGGACTTCTGGGTCGTGAAGAGGGTGAAGAAGTGACAAGCATGGTCCTGGCCATACTGGTATTTTTTTTGTTTTTTTTTGTTTGTTTGTTTGTTTTGTTTTTTTTTGAGACTGGGTCTCTCTATATCGCCAAGCTGGAGTGCAGTGGCACGATCTTGGCTCACCGCAACCTCTGCCTCCCGGGTTCAAGCGATTCTCCTGCCTCAGCCTCCCGAGTAGCTGGGACTACAGGTGCGTGCCACCACGCAAGCTAATTTTTGTATTTTTAGTAGAGATGGGGTTTCACCATGTTGGCCAGGCTGGGCTCAATCTCTTGACCTCGTGATCCAACAGCCTCAGCCTCCCAAAGTGCTGGGATTACATGAGTGGGCCACCTTGCCCGGCCGTTACTGTGTTTTTTTTTTGAAATGGAATCTCACACTGTTGCCCAGGCTGGAGTTCAGTGGTGCTATCTCGGCTCACTCTAACCTCCACCTCCCGGGTTCAAGCGATTCTTGTGCCTCAGCCTCCCCAGTGGCTGGGACTACAGGTGCATGCCACCATGCCCGGCTAATTTTTTTTGTATTTTTAGTAGAGACGGGGGTCACCATGTTGCACAGCCTGGTCTTGAACTCCTGACCTCAAGTGATCTGCCCATCTCGGCCTCCCAAAGTGCTGGGATTACAGGCATGAGCCACTGCGCCCAGTCCTGGCCTTGCTTTTTTTTTTTTTTTTTTTTCTTTTCCCGAATGGAGTAGGTCTTTAGATTCTTAGGGAGCCGGGGTCCAGATTTCTGGGAAATTGAAGGAGGCAGGAGTTGGGCTGGCTAGTAGGTGAGACCAACCCTGTGACATTATACAGGTAACCACATCCTAGTGACCTAATCCTGGGTCCCTTGGCCCTGTGGCCTTCTTAAGGCATGGTTCTGGTCTGGGCCTCAGTTTTCCTACCCATGCAGTGGGTTGAGGGGGATTCTCAGTAGAGCCAGAATAGGTAGACACTGATTTTCTCCACATTCACTCATACGATACCAGGGTCGGCCAGCTTTGGTTCCTTTGAGTGGGCTAGGCTTAGGTTTGCTGCCACTGTCTGTTGGAGTCTGACCTCAGTTTTCCCAAATCCTCTCACCCAGGTAGCCAGGACTGTTTTCCTAAGAGCAATGGCACAGGCACAGTGGCATACTTTGGGATGCTGAGGCAGGAGGATCCCTTGAGTCCAGGAGTGAGACCTCATCTCCACAAAAAAAAAAAAAAAAAAAAAGGTCAGGCGCGGTGGCTCACGTCTGTAATCCCAGCACTTTGGGAGGCCGAGGCGGGCAGATCACGAGGTCAGGAGTTCGAGACCAGCCTGGCCAACATGGTGAAACCTTGTCTCTACTAAAAATACAAAAATTAGCTGGGCATGGTGGCGGGTTCCTGTAATCCCAGCTACTCGGGAGGCTGAGGGAGGAGAATTGCTTGAACCGGGACCCGGGAGGTGGAGGCTGCAGTGAGCCGAGATCGCATCACTGCACTCCAGCCTGGGTGACAGATCACTCCAGCTAAAAAAAAAAAAAAAAAAAAAAAAGAAAGTAGGGAAAGGAAAAGAAAAGAAAAGAAAAGAAAAAAATTAGCCAGGTATGCTGGTGTGTGCCTGTAGTCGCAGCTACTCAGGAGGCTGAGTTGGGAGGACTGCTCGAGTCTGGGTCGTTCAGGCTGCAGTGGGCCGTGATCGCGCCACTGAACTCCAGCCTGGGTGACAGAGTGAGACCCTGTTAAAAAAAAATAATAATAATAATAGGCCTCAGTTTCCCCTGGCAGCACCTGGTGGCCAATCTTTGGTTTCCCCGGTGGAGTGACAGGGTGGCGGTGCCTGTTTCCCTGTGTCATGATCACAGTGCCTGGGCCTCAGTTTCTTCTGTGCAGTGCTTGGTTTGCCCCCAACTATTTCCCCTACGTGGTATCCGAGTGGCTGTGCCTCAGTTTCTCTGTTGTGCCTTGACAAGGCCGGTCTGTTCCTTGCCCTCCCCGCCCCGCAGGCCCGCACCGCCGCCATGATGTGCGAGGTGATGCCCACCATCAGCGAGGATGGCCGGCGGGGCTCGGCGCTGGGCCCGGACGAGGCGGGCGGGGAGCTGGAGCGCCTCATGGTCACGATGCTCACGGAGCGCGAGCGCCTGCTGGAGACGCTGCGCGAGGCACAGGACGGGTTGGCTACAGCGCAGCTGCGGCTGCGCGAGCTCGGCCACGAGAAGGACTCGCTGCAGCGCCAGCTCAGCATCGCGCTGCCCCAGGTCTGGGCGGGACAGGGGCGGGGCATGAGGGGGCGGGGCCTCGGGGGGAAGAAGGCGGTCCGGAAGGGGCCGGGCTTGGCGCCTGGAAGGGAGGAGTCTGGGCGAGGCTTGCCGTTAATGGGCGGGGCCTGAGTGGCAAGGGACAGCGGGACTTAGCAGGGAGGGCGGGACCTTCAAACTTCCAGTCCCAGTGAATGAAGGAGACAGGGAAAGGATTGAGCCGAATGTCCAGATCCTGCCAATGTCTGGACAGGAGTTTGCAGCTCTGACGAAGGAGCTGAACTTATGTCGGGAGCAGCTGCTGGAGAGGGAGGAAGAGATTGCAGAGCTGAAGGCGGAACGGAACAACACGCGGGTGAGGGGTGTTGAGGGCGGGGCCTAAGTGGGGGCGGGGCCTCGTGGTGTTGAAGTGGGGGGCGGGGCCTCTCAGTGTTGCAGCGTGACCTATTTTTTTCCCCCATCTCGCCTTTCTGTCTTCTCCTCTTCCCTGCTCCCACTTCCTGGCTGGTCTCCCACTCTGGTGCCACTCCTTCCTCCCTGTCTCCATAACTTTTCTCTTTTCTGTACCACCGGTTCCTTGACCCCGACCTCCTCTCTTTTCCTGACCTGTCTCGGTGCTCCTTTATATGGCTCCATCTTTTCCTCCATGTGTCCGCCCTACCTGTCACCCTTTTTCTCACATCTGCCCCTTTTCCCTTGCCTCTTTTCCTTGACCCCATGCCGTGTGCTTGCAGCTGCTCCTGGAACACCTGGAGTGCCTGGTGTCCAGGCACGAGAGGTCACTGCGCATGACCGTGGTGAAGCGCCAGGCCCAGTCCCCGGGTGGGGTCTCCTCGGAGGTAGAAGTGCTCAAAGCTCTAAAGTCTCTCTTCGAGCACCACAAGGCCCTGGATGAGAAGGTATGAGAATTAGAAGAGCAGGGGTGGAGAATGGAAACCTATAGTTGACTGGGGCTGTTCTGAGTGGGAGAGATTCTGGCCGTGATTGGTTGGGGATGTTCTGAGTTGGAAGAATGTTGACTGTGATTGATTGGGACAGGATACATAGACTGGGACCTGACTGGTTGATAGCAGAAAAATAAACCAGGATGGGGGCTAACAGTGGATGGGGCAGATTGGATAGCTGGTTGCGGCTGCATACCCGTTATGGAGACAGGAGCCCCAACGCTGCCCTATCGGATCCGTCCCAGGGGTGTTCTGGACCAGGGGCAACTGTCCTAAACTGGATCTTGTCTCCAGCTGACTGTTGCCCTGCCCCGATCCCCAGGTCCGGGAGCGGCTGCGGATGGCGCTGGAGCGCGTGGCAGTGCTCGAGGAGGAGCTGGAACTGAGCAATCAGGAGGTGTGGGTGTGGCCAAGACAGGGAATTTGAATCCAAGGGGAGGGGCTAAGGGGCTGCCCACGGGGCGGAGCCGGTTGGGTGGGTTCCAGAGAGAATCTATTGGGGCAGGACTAGGGCAGACAAGCTATGGGGTTGGACTATGGAGAGAAACCAGTGGGGTTCCTAAGTGGGCACGCATTGCGCAGGGCTACGGGGAGAATCTCCCAGTGAGAGTGAGATTAAGGGTAGAACCAGGGGCTGGGGCTCAGGCTGGGACTAAGGAGGAAGTGATTGAATGGGGAAAAGCGGGGCTAAAGCGGAAACTTTGTCCAGGAGGCTAAGGGGAAGAGTAAGGGTAGACGCCCTCCGTGGTGGCAGCTAAGGAGGGATATAAGGAGGGAGGGAGCCTAAGGGTAAACCGTGGGGTAGGCATGGCCCCAGCACGACCGGAGGCATCTCATATGGGGCCGCCTATCCCCTTAGAGGGCCAATGCCAGTGAGAACTAGAGCTGGGGGTTCAGGGAGCCCCTGTGCTCTGATTCCCCTTTCACACTTCCAGACTCTGAACCTTCGAGAACAGCTGTCTAGGCGGCGGTCAGGGCTGGAAGAGCCGGGCAAGGATGGGGATGGGCAGGTGAGACATGGAAGTCCCCTCTCCGTGAGCTCCATTCAACTCCCTGACTTTGTGATAGTGTTTGTAACGTTTGGTATCATCCTCACTGGCCCTAAGACGGCTGCACCTGTAAGAGTGTCACAGAGCTTGGACCTCTGATTCAGGTCACCTAGCGAACTTCTGTGACCTCCTTCACTGACCCCCGTGGACTCTGACCAGCATGATCCTTATTGATCTTTGATCTACTTTCAGCTGATTGACTTTCTCCTTGGATTTCCTCTGTGTCTCCGGAGACACTCTGGGATCTTGTCCCCTCCTTCCCTCACTCCAGACTCTTGCCAATGGCCTGGGTCCTGGCGGGGATTCCAACCGGCGCACAGCAGAGCTGGAGGAGGCCCTGGAGCGGCAGCGCGCCGAGGTGTGCCAGCTGCGGGAGCGCCTGGCGGTGCTGTGCCGTCAGATGAGCCAGCTGGAGGAGGAGTTGGGCACCGCGCACCGTGAGCTGGGCAAGGCAGAGGAAGCCAACTCCAAGCTGCAGCGCGACCTCAAGGAGGTGAGGCCCCCAGGGAGGCGGGCTGCCCTGGGTCCCTCGCCTTTCCGTAGAGCTCTCCCTCGCGCATTGCTCATGAATGGCGGAACCTCGATTCAGTCCACAGGCTGGGTGACTCCTCTTTGAGATTCAGTTTTCCCACCTGTGAAAGGAAATGTATGATTCTCATCAGAGGGTGAGCCTGTGGCGCAGAGTAGGCGCTCCATAACTGCTCGTAATTACTTTGTTACCTAACTTTGGGTTCTTCTCTGGTGCCTCTAAATGGATTTTTTTTTTCTTTTGTGAGGCAGAGTCTGGCTGTGTCGCCCAGGCTGGAGTGCAGTGGCGTGATCTTGGCTTACTGCCACCTCTGCCTCCCGGGTTCAAGAGATTCTCCTGCCTCAGCCTCCCAAGTAGCTAGAACTACAGGCACCTGCCACCATGCACCGCTAATTTTTTTTTTTTTTTTTGTATTTTTAGTAGAGATGGGGTTTCACTATGTTGGCCAGGCTAGTCTTGAACTCTTGATCCGCCCACCTCGGCCTCCCAAAGTGTTGGGATTACAGTAGTGAGCCACCGCACCCAGCCTCTTTTTTTTTTTTTTTTTTTTTGAGATGGAGTCTAGCTGTGTCGCCCAGGCTGGAGTGCAGTGTCGGGATCTTGGCTCACTGCAACCTCTGCCTCCCAGGTTCAAGCGATTCTCCTGCCTCAGCCTCCCTAGTAGCTGGGACTACAGGTGTGCACCACCACACCTGGCTAATTTTTTTTTTTTTTTTTTTTTGTATCTTCAGTAGAAATGGGGTTTCACTATATTGGCCAGGCTGGTCTCGAACTCCTGACCTCAAGTGATCAGCTCGCCTCGGCCCAAAGTGCTGGGATTACAGGTGTGAGCCACTGCGTCCAGCCTCTAAATGGAATGTTTTGTGGGTATTTCACCCCTTTCTGGCTTAGGCCGCTTTATCCTAATCCCAGTGACCCCAGGGAGCTGCTGGGAAATGTGGACCTGGATTCTTGAAGGCAGTGGATGAGAAAGAAGAGTGAGCACTAGGACTAGCCTGGGCAACATAGCGAGACCCCGTCACTACTTAAAAAAAAAATTAGCCGGGCGTGGTGGTGGGTGCCTTTAGTCCCAGCCACTAGAGAGGCTGAGGCATGCCAGGTGCGGTGGTTCACGCCTGTAATCCCAGCACTTTGGGAGGCCGAGGCGGGCGGATCACGAGGTCAGGAGATCAAGACCATCCTGGCTAACTCAGTGAAACCCCGTCTCCACTAAAAATACAAAAAATTAGCCGGGCGTGATGTCGGGCGCCCGTAGTCCCAGCTACTCGGGAGGCTGAGGCAGGAGAATGGCGTGAACCCGGGAGGCAGAGCTTGCAGTGAGCCGAGATAGTGCCACTGCACTCCAGCCCGGGCAACAGAGCGAGACTCCGTCTCAAAAAAAAAAAAAAAAAAAAAGTTGAGGCATAAGAATCACTTGAGCTTGGGAGGTGGAAGTTGCAGTAAGCCGAGATCCGTACCACTGCACTCCAGCCAGAGTGCTGGTTGCTCATGCCTGTAATCCCAGCACTTTGGGAGACCAAGGCAGGCACATCACCTGAGGTCAGGAGTTCAAGACTAGCCTGGCCAACATCGTGAAACCCCCGTCTCTACTGAAAATACAAAAATTAGCCAGGCATGGCAGCGGGTGCCTGTAATCCCAGCTACTTGAGAGGTTGAGGCAGGAGAATCGTTTGAACCCAGGAGGTGGAGGTTGCAGTGAGCCGAGATCGCACCACTGCACTCTAGCCTGGGTGACGGAGCAAGACTCTCTCTCTCAAAAAAAAAAAAAAAAAAAAAAAAAAAAAAGAAAGAGAGAGAGAGAACCTTCATCTGGGATTTTAAGCCTGGATAGCCGCAGGGGCTATTGGGAAATGTAGCCCCACCACGTGGGCTACCAGATGAGGGTCCATCTCCCATAAGAAGTTGAAGCACTTCTTTTGGGGTTCTAGGCCTCTGGTACCCTGGTAGCTCTTGAGAGGTGTTGCCTTCTAGGTAGAAGGGATCCTTATTTCCCATGAGACCCCAGGACACTTGCTGTTTGATTCTAAGTCTGCTCTATGCCAGAAATTAGTGAGAAATCCAAGGCCTGGGTTTTGAGGAGAGGGCTGGAGTGGAGACTTCACATCCCACAGGCCTCAGATCCTCTGAACCTGGAGGATCTGAGCCTGCAGTGTCCTAGAAGCTCATGGGAGGTGTAGCATCACCATTTTAACTCGCAGGTAGGTGGCAGGGACTTAAGATGGGCTAGTCCTGGGAGCTCTTAGCGGGTGTGACACCACCATTCTGACTCCCATGTCAGGGCACTTTGTTTCCCAGGGAACAAGGGGGTTCCCCGTCCTCTCCCCCAGGGGCTCGCAGTCCACGGGGCCCTTTGCTACCTCCGCAGGCGCTGGCGCAGCGGGAAGATATGGAGGAGCGGATTACAACACTGGAGAAGCGCTACCTGAGCGCCCAGCGGGAGGCCACGTCTCTGCACGACGCCAACGACAAACTGGAGAACGAGTTAGCTAGCAAGGAGTCGTTGTATCGGCAGGTGGGGGCGCGGCCGGGAGGGGCGATGGGGGCGGTGCCGGGGCCCAAGTGACCCAGCCCGTCCCCTCCCCCTGCCTCTCCCTCCCCCAGAGTGAAGAGAAGAGCCGTCAGCTGGCCGAGTGGTTGGACGACGCCAAGCAGAAGCTGCAGCAGACGCTGCAGAAAGCGGAGACCTTGCCCGAGATAGAGGCGCAGCTGGCGCAGCGCGTGGCGGCGCTCAACAAGGTGCGGGGAGGACTCGGGTCGGGGCCTTGCGTGGGGAAGGGGTGGGGCCTAGAGGAGGCGGGGCCGTGAATCTGGAGGGGTAGGAGCGAGGTCAGAACCCCGGATTTGGGGGAAAGGGTGGGGCCTAGGGGCTGGGAAAGGGACAGGACTTGGAATGGGGAGGGCCTGGAGGTTTGCGCGGGGGACGGATGGGAGCGGGGTTCTCTAGCCTGGACTGAAAGGACCGGTGGCCTGGAACCTGAGAGGGAAGGAACAGGTCCTGAAAAAGTGGACTAGGCGCAGGGGCGGGGCCTGACTCAAAGGTGCAGGGGAGGAGCCTGGCGCTGTGGGGGCGGAGCCTGGCGCTCAGCCTTGGAGGAGGTGGGGCTGGGAGCCTGACTGATCCTGGAAGGGTAAGTCACACGCCATGGGTTCCATCTCCTAGGCCGAGGAACGTCATGGGAATTTTGAGGAGCGGCTTCGGCAGCTGGAGGCCCAGCTGGAAGAGAAGAATCAAGAGCTGCAGCGGGTGAGGGGGCGGAAGACTGCACAGAGGGTGGGGCTTCGAGGCTGGGGCGGAGCTTAATAAGGAGGCTGGGCTGGGCCCGGGGGTGGGGCTTAGAGGAAGGGCCGTGGTCTGGGCAGGGTGGGCTTAACAACCCGCCCCGCTCTGCTTTGCGCAGGCCCGGCAGCGGGAGAAGATGAACGATGACCACAATAAGCGGCTGTCCGAGACGGTGGACAAGCTGCTGAGCGAGTCCAACGAGCGCTTACAGCTTCACCTCAAGGAGCGCATGGGGGCGCTGGAGGAGAAGGTGCGCCCCCCATACAGGACTGCGGGACGCGGAATTCCGGGACTACCTCTTGCTGGAATCCTGGGGCCCCAGGCCTTTCCCTCAGATCTGTTATCGGAGGCCTCCCTAAACCCCGGCATCCTGAGTTGGGCAGCCTTCTCTGCTCTATTGCCCAGACCGCTTTTTCACCTATTCTAGACGTTCCAAGAGCCGAATTCTGGGGCACCCATGCCTCGAGTCCTTGACTTTTCCCAAAGCCTCCAACCCCATGGGTCTCCAAACCCTGAACCCTCTGAGATTGCACAGGACGTCGCATCCCGGGGCTTCTCTCCCCAGAAACATCGTTGCCCCTGCTCCCCCGAAACTCACCACTTGTGTCCATCTCATTCCTCCTGGGTCCCCTCAGGCCTGTCTGTGTGCACTGGGAGCTGCCTGCAGCCCCACGGGCGTGGCCCCTCAGGCCTCACTCCCTCACTTCACCTCTGTCTCCACAGAACTCCCTGAGCGAGGAGATAGCCAACATGAAGAAGCTTCAGGATGAGTTGCTGCTAAACAAGGTAGGGGGCCCTGAGGGGACAGGAGGAGGATGTTGGGGCAGTGGTTGCTGAGGCTAGGGTCTGCAAGTCTGGCAGGGGCTGTTCCTCCTGGGCGGAGCAGATTCTAACCCGACACCTCCAACACCGGCCCCCAGGAGCAGCTCTTGGCCGAAATGGAGCGGATGCAGATGGAGATCGACCAGCTGCGGGGGAGGCCACCATCCTCCTACTCCAGGTGACAGCAGCCCTTCTGCCCTGCCCCCACCATGGAGCCCCGTTGGCCAAGCGCCAAGCTCCTCCCTTCTGATCCCCACTTCCTGTCCTCCTGAGACTTCTGACCCCTCTGTTTTTGTTTTTTGTTTGTTTGTTTGTTTGTTTTGAGACAGAGTCTCACTCTGTCGCCCAGGCTGGAATGCAGTGGCACGATTCCGGCTCACTGCAACCTCCACCTCCTGAGTTCAAGCGATTCTCGTGCCTCAGCCTCCCAAGTAGCTGGGACTACAGGCGTGCACCACCACAGCCGGCTAATTTTTGTAGTTTTAGTAGACACGGGGTTTTGCCATGTTGGCCAGGCTGGTCTGGAACCCCAGGCCTCAAGTGATCCTCCCCCCTCGGCCTCCCAAAGTGCTGGGATTACAGGTGTGAGCCACTGTGCTCAGCCCACTCTGGTTTTTTACCCTGACTTTATTTATTTATTTTTTCTTTCTTTTGAGACAGAGTCTCACTCTGCTGCCTGGGCTAGAGTGCAGTGGCATGATCTCAGCTCACTGCAACCTCCGCCTCCCCGGTTCAAGTGATTCTCCTGCCTCAGCCTCTAGAGTGGCAGGGATTACAGGAGCCCACCACCACATCCAGCTAATTTTTTTTATTTTTAGTAGAGACAGGGCTTCACCAGGTTGGCCTGGTCTCAAACTCCTGACCTCAAGTTATCTGCCCACCTCAGCCTCCCAAAGTGCTGGGATTGCAGGCTTGAGCCACCAGGCCTGGCCCCTTGACCTTGACTTCAGGACCCCTGGCCCTAGGTCTGTCTCTGTGACCCTTACCTCTGTGCTCTTTTCCTGACCCCTTGGTCTCTGACTGCTTTCCTCATGCCCACAGGTCTCTCCCTGGCAGTGCCCTGGAGCTCCGTTACTCTCAGGCACCCACTTTACCTTCTGGTGCCCACCTGGATCCCTATGTGGCTGGCAGTGGTCGGGCAGGCAAGAGGGGCCGCTGGTCAGGGGTCAAGGAGGAGCCCTCCAAGGTCAGCAGCTGCCTCTGGGTCCTGGACTGAGCAGGGCTTGGGCGGGCAGCTGTAGGAAGTGGAACTAAATCTGTGGGGCTCCGGGAGGAAGCTGGGTTGAGAGGCAGGATCTCTTGGACTCATCCACTCACCCTTTCTTCTCTCCTTCCCTGCAACCCTCTTGCCTGGATGTCTCCTCCTGTGGATGTCCTGCCACCTGGTGAGAACCTGAGAGTAATCATGGGACAGGGAGGGGTGTGTAGAATCCCAGAGTAGGTGGGGTTAGGTGAGGAACAGGAGCCAGCTGAGTCATGGGAATCAGGGGCGGGGGTGGAGTCATGGGTGTGGGCGTGGCTTGGAGAGGATTTGGGGAGGGATCAAGAACAGGGACCTGTCAAGAGAGGAAGTTGGAGGCCGGGCAGGGTGGCCCATGCCTGTAATCCCAACACTTGCTGGCGCCGAGGCAGGCAGATCACTTGAGGTCAGGAGTTCGACAGCAGCCTTGCCAAAATGGCATCGCTACTAAAAATGCAAAAATTAGCCGGGCGTGGTAGCGGGCGCCTGTAATCCCAGCTACTCAGGAGACTGAGGCAGAAGAATCGTTCGAACCTGGGAGGCGTAACCCGAGATTGCGCCACTGCACTCCAGCCTGGGCGACAGAATGAGACTCTGTCTCAAGAAAAAATAAATAAAATAAAAAAAATAAAGCTGGGCTGGGAAAAGCATCAGTGAGGTCGGGCAAGTCAGGATCATGAGCCAAGACCCAGCGCCAACCTCGGCCCCCAGCCACCTAATGTCCCTCTGTCCCCACACAGGGATAGGATTGGGAGCGGTCTGCCCCTGCGGGCTCCATACCACCCCCATTCCCTGGGGAACTGGACGGCTCCGATGAGGAGGAGGCAGAGGGGATGTTTGGGGCCGAGCTGCTGTCCCCCAGTGGGCAGGCTGACGTGCAGACGCTGGCCATCATGCTTCAGGAGCAGCTGGAGGCCATCAACAAGGAGATCAAGTGAGCCCTGGCCCCGCCCCGGCCTGCCCTGCCCTGCCGGAGCTGACTCCACAGCCCTTCTGGCTCTGGAGGCCTGAAAGCCTGAGTCCGTCTCCTCTTACACCATCCACAAGGAATTCTTCCAGCCCAACACTCACTCCGCTGTCCAGGCATCCCCTAGGATACACTCAGAAGTCTTCTATGTGCTACCTACACATATACCCCCCAGCCAGTACTCACCATTCCCCAACACACCAAAGCCTGCATCCCCAAATAGCCCAGTTCCTCTTGATGCATCAAGAATCTTCCATTACGCCATCGATTTTGTGGTTTCACATAACCAGTGCCCAGAGTCTCCCACTACCCTAGGAATCTCAAGACAACACAAGGTTCCCAACCTCAAACACCAAGAATCTCATCCTAACATGCTAATCAAAAACTTCAACTCCAGGCTGGGCACAGTGGCTCACGCCTGTAATCCCAGCACTTTGGGAGGCTGAGGCCAGCGGATCATGAGGTCATGAGGTCAGGAGATAGAGACCATCCTGGCTAACATGGTGAAAACCTGTCTCTACTAAAAATGCAAAAAATTAGCCAGGCATGGTGGCAGGCGCCCGTAGTCCCAGCTACTCAGGAGGCTGAGGCAGGAGAATGGCATGAACCCGGGAGGCGGAGCTTGCAGTGAGCCGAGATAGTGCCATGCACTCCAGCCTGGGCTACAGAGCGAGACTCCGTGTCAAAAAAAAAAAAAAAAAAAAAAAAAAAAAAGTCCCCAACTTATTAAGAAGCCCCCAGTGATGTAAAGTCTACCCTGATTCACCAGCAATGGCCATATTCAGCAATTCTCTTATAATGTACTCCCCATGAGCCTTCGGCAAATATACCATGACCACCACTTTCCATACCAAATGAGTCCATGCCCTTCCCAGATCCTAGATTGGCCTGAGTCCCTGATCTCACAATGCTCCTATTATGACCTTGCTCTTACAGGCCACCTTGAACTTGACCTTTTGTCCATAGTAATCCCTTCATGATTTTCCAAACCCCTTGACTATCATCAGGGCCACCCTGATACAAACCCCAATCACCTTGATAGCCCTAATCCTGCAATGACTTCCTGAGACTCTCAGGACCCCTTGACTCTCCTTGAGCCTGGAAGGCCTTCAGAAACCCACCAAAGTCCTCTGACGTCATTGCACCGTCCCCAGAATTCCCATTGCCCCACCAGGCCTTTCTGGCCCATTGTGCTCCCAGATTCCCTCTCCCGCTGTCTGCTGCGGCCCCTCACCCAGTTTCCCCTATTTCCCTCCTCAGGCTGATCCAAGAGGAGAAGGAGACAACAGAACAGAGGGCAGAGGAGCTGGAGAGTCGGGTGTCCAGCTCTGGCTTGGACTCGTTGGGCCGCTACCGCAGCAGCTGCTCCCTGCCCCCCTCCCTCACCACCTCTACCCTTGCCAGCCCCTCCCCTCCCAGCTCTGGCCACTCAACACCCCGCCTGGCACCCCCTAGCCCTGCCCGTGAGGGCACCGACAAGGCTGTGAGTGCTCTGAAGTCTCCCCAGCCTAGTAGGGGGATGGGGAGAGGTCAGAGGCAGGGCTCCCCAGTGTACAGCAACAATAACCCCTCACACCAGTGGTTTTCCAAAGCAACCTCAGCTTTCCCTAAAGGTTCAAACTCAAAGGGCAAAGGGGAGGCTGAGTCACTGGGATCTTGAACCCTAACTTTCACTTTAGTCAGATCTGGTCTACTTTTATTTCTCATGCGTCAAGTTTCTGCATAGGATTTTAAAAAGTTTCTGGCTGGGTGCGGTGGCTCACGCCTGTAATCCCAGCACTTCGGGAGGCCAAGGTGGGCAGATCACTTGAGGTCAGGAGTTCGAGACCCACCTGGCCAACATGGTGAAACCCCCACCTCTACTAAAAATACAAAAATTAGCCTGGCCTGGTGGCACGTGCCTGTAATTCCAGTTACTCGGGAGGCTGATGCAGGAGAATCAATTGAACCCAAGAGGCAGAGTTTGCAGTGAGTTGAAATTGTGCCACTGCACTCCAACCTGGGAGACAGAGTGAAACTGTGTCTCAAAAAAAAAAAAAGTTTCTGTGACAACATGCATTGGAGAACTACAAATTAGATCCTCAGAATTGACCTTTGAGGGAGACAAAGAGATATTGGCCCTATTTTACTCCCTTAAATTCAGCTTTCCTGCTTCCAGAACCTGTAACTCATTAGCTTTCTTTGAGGCCTGACCAACATGGTGAAACCCCATCTCTACTAAAAATACAAAATTATCCGTGTATGGTGGTGTGGGCCTGTAGTCCCAGCTTCTTGGGAGGCTGAGGCTAAAGAATCACTTAAACCCGGGAGGCAGAGGTTGCAGTGAGCTGAGATCATGCCACTGCACTCCAGCCTGGCGACAGAGCTAGACTCTGTCTCAAAAAAAAAAAAAAAATTACCCGGGCATGGTGGCACATGCCTTTAATCTCAGCTACTTGGGAGGCTGAGGCAGGAGAATCTCTTGAACCTGGGAGGCAGAGGTTGCAGTGAGCCGAGATTGTGCCATTGCACTCCAGCCTGGGCCACAAGAGTGAAACTCCATCTCAAAAAAAAAAAAAAAAAAAAGTTTCTGCAACTCACCCTGACTTGAGCTAGACTACCTTCGTATACTGTGTTCTAAACCAGGGTCACCCCACACACACCTTAGTAGACATCTCAGTTAATAAGGAGCCCCCGACATGACTCTTTGAACTCAATCCAGCATCTGTGCCCTCTGTCCTCAGAATCATGTCCCTAAGGAGGAAGCTGGAGCTCCACGAGGGGAGGGGCCGGCCATCCCAGGAGACACCCCACCACCCACTCCCCGCTCTGCCCGTCTTGAGAGAATGACCCAGGCCTTGGCACTGCAGGCGGGGTCCCTGGAAGATGGGGGACCCCCACGGGGAAGGTCAGCAGGGACAAGGGATAGGGACAGGGAGAAGCTGGCTTGGGAAGATGAGAAGGGGGTGGACAAGGACTTGGGAGGAGAGGGGGCATCTCAGCAAGCATATGCTCTCATTCTCTCCTGCTTTCCCAGTGAGGGCACCCCAGATTCTCTGCACAAAGCCCCCAAGAAGAAGAGCATCAAGTCATCCATAGGCCGTCTCTTTGGCAAGAAAGAGAAGGGACGAATGGGACCCCCAGGCCGGGACAGCTCTTCTCTGGGTGAGTACCTCACTCTAACCCTTCCCTCCTTTGTTCCTTCCTCCCTTCCTCCCTCCCTTTCTTTCTTCTTTGTATGTTCATTTGACATCCATTCATGTCTTCATTCATTTGGTGATTTATTTAGAATTTGGAAGGAACACAGCTTGCCAAGGTAGGCGGGAGGAGGAGGGAAAAGGAAAGGGCACTCTGGGACCTGCTTGGGTGACTGGGTAGGTAAAGGAATTTATTTCCTTTACTTATTTTTTTGTTGTTTTTTGGTTTTTGTTGTTGTTGTTTTGAGATGGAGTTTCACTCTGTCACCCAGGCTGGAGTGCAGTGGCAACGATCTTGGCTCACTGGAACCTCTACCTCCTGGGTTCAAGCGATTCTCCTGCCTCGGCCTCTTGAGCAGCTGGGACTATAGGCGCCCGCCACTATGCCTGGCTAATTTTTTTGTATTTTTAGTAGAGATAGGGTTTCCTCATGTTGGCCAGGCTGGTCTTGAACTCCTGACCTCAGATGATCCACCCACCTCGGCCTCCCAAAGTGCTGGGATTACAGACTCATTTACCTTTTTTTTTTTTTTTTTTTTTTTTTTTTGTTTGGAGACGGAGTCTTGCTCTGTCGCCCAGGCTGGAGTGCAGTGGTGCTATCTCGGCTCACTGCAAGCTCCGCCTCCCAGGTTCATGCCATTCTCCTGCCTCAGCCTCCCCAGTAGCTGGGACTACAGGCGCCCACCACCACGCCCGGCTAACTTTTTGTATTTTCAGTAGAGATGGGGTTTCACCGTGTTAGCCAGGATGGTCTTGATCTCCTGACCTTGTGATCTGCCTGCCTCAGCCTCCCAAAGTGCTGGGATTACAGGTGTGAGCCACCGTGCCCAGCCACCTATTTTTTAAACAGAGGAAGAGGGTGGGGCATCCTCAAAGCAGGGCACCTTCCTGTGGTGTGCTGGAGCCCGCTGGCACTGGCTCAGGAGATCCGCTATTTCAGGAATTGGCTGACATCACACTGGTAGCTTGAAATTGGCCATGGTGGGATTATTTACACCATGGAAATGGGCAAATGCTACAAATCAGGGATTCCCTTCTGCCTCCCCAAGGAGCCGGTTGTTAGGCATTTACCAGCATACAACTGCCACCTTACCAAGGGCATCCCAGTGCATCCAGCCGTATTTTGGGGATGACTCCAATTCATGGGCGCTTGTCTGCCTTTATCACTTCCTCGATGTGCCCTCACTCACTACTCCCTCAGGGCCTCTGCCTTTCCGGCATTTTCCTCATCACCTCCAGCATGAAAGATTCTGCCTCCCCCTTGAGATTTTCCAAATTTCGACCCCTCCCTGCCTCCAGCTGGAACACCCTCAGATGAGACACTGGCCACTGACCCTCTGGGGCTAGCCAAGCTGACAGGCCCAGGAGACAAGGACCGAAGGAACAAGAGGAAGTGAGTGTGTGTGAGTGTGAGCGTGTGTGTGTGTATGTGAATGTGAGAGTGTGTGAGGGTGTGTGTGTGCGTGTATGTGTGTGTATGAGTGTGTGTGTGTGTGAGAGGGTGTGTGAGTGTGTGTGTGCAGCGGTGGTGGTGGTGAACAGAAATGGGAATTCAATGCTGGGAGGAGGTGTCCGTGATCCTGAACTTGCTTGCCTGGAAACCCAGGAGCTCCTAGAGTTTTTATTTTTTCTTTCTTTTTTTAAAAATTTTTTTTGTATTTTTTACATTTATATTATATTTTTTGTTTCTTTTGTTTTTCTTATTTTGTTCTCTCTTTTGATAGGGGTTGGGGGGAGAGGATTTACAGATTCACATGTATTTTTTGACCTTCTGCCGTGTTTTGTACATTCATAAAAGCTGCGTGTGCGTATGTGCATGTGTGTGTGTGTGTATGTGTGCTGATGGGGGCCATCCACAGAGCAGGGGGTCTCCATCCCTGACAGCTTCTATCCTGGCCCCTTCACCCTTACAGGCATGAACTCCTGGAGGAGGCCTGCCGCCAGGGCCTACCTTTTGCTGCCTGGGACGGGCCCACCGTGGTGTCCTGGCTGGAGGTACTGGGGCCCAGAAATGCCCTGACTGTTGGTCCCCAACCCCTCTGACAGCCCCACTGGTAGGGGCTGCCTGGTCCTCCTGGCGCACCCTGCTTCTAGCCCAGAGGTGGGGGTGGCCATGGGCCTGGCAGGTGAGGACCCAGGAGGGCTCGGGCTTCCTGTTCACCTAAACAGTTTCTTTCTCCTTCTCCTTCTGCCCCTGCCACTCTGGCCTTGCCCACCTGGGTCATGGTCTCCTGTCGTTCTCTCTACTCTCTCTTTCTGGATTCTCTGTCTCTATTTTTCGGCACCATTCCCATCTCTGACCACGCTTTTGTCATTCCCCATATTTCTCCTCATGTCTCCGATCGCCCTGCCGATGTCTCCCTGTCTCCGGCTTCCTGTCTCTCCCCACCCTCTATTTCTCTCTCTCTATTTCTTTCTCTCTCTCTCTCTTTCTCTCTCCCTCTCCCTCTTCCCCCACCCGCCCCCCGCCCCCCGTTTCTCTCCCTATTTGTCTCCCTCGGACTCTCCCTCATCTCGTCCACGTCTCTTTTCCTTGTCCTGTTTCTTCTCCTTGCGAACTTTCCCACGTCTCTGTTTCGCTCCCCACCCCCTTGCCTTTCCCCACCTCCCTGTTCCCCCATCTCTCCGATTTTCTCCTCCTCTGTCCCTCTGTCCCCTCTGTCCCTCTGTCCCTCCGCTGCAGCTGTGGGTGGGCATGCCTGCCTGGTATGTGGCCGCCTGCCGGGCCAATGTCAAGAGCGGTGCCATCATGGCCAACCTGTCAGACACGGAGATCCAGCGCGAGATCGGCATCAGCAACCCGCTGCACCGACTCAAGCTACGCCTCGCCATCCAGGAGATGGTCTCGCTCACCTCGCCCTCAGCCCCCGCCTCCTCCCGCACTGTGAGTGTCCGGCGGCCAATTCCAGCCTTCGCTTCCTCAGAGCCCCGCCTCTTGCCCTCAGTCTAGCCAATCCTGGGCCTGCTCACTCCCCTGTCCCACGACCCTGCTTCTCATTGGCTTTTACCCCCCTCAGCCTCCCCTCCACTCCTAACTTGGCCTGTGGTCCGTCCCTGTGGTACTCCAGGAGGGGCCCAGGCCACCTCCTTCCCTGACTCTCTCCCTCTCCTCGGCATTTGCTGTCCCACTCAAATGTCACCACCTCTAAGAAGCTTTCTTTGTCAGCTAAACGAGTTTCCCCATCATTCCGGCATATCAGCACCTTCTAATTTTCCCCATAGCATTTATTGCCTTCTAATTATTTTATCTTTTCTTTCCTTTTTTTTTGGAGACAGAGTTTCGCTCTTGTTGTCCAGGCTGGAGTGCAATGGCGCTATCTCCGCTCACTGCAACCCCTGCCTCCCGGGTTCAAGCCATTCTCCTGTCTCAGCCTCCTGAGTAGCTGGGATTACAGGCGCCCGCCACCACGCCCAGTTAATTTTTGTATTTTTAGTAGAGACAGGGTTTTGACACGTTGGCCAGACTGGTCTTGAACTCCCGACCTCAGGTGATCCGCCCGCCTCGGCCTCCCAAAGTGTTGAGATTACAGGCGTGAGCCCCTACGCCTGGCCCTCGTTCCAACTTTTGATTACGAGACATTTCAAACATACAGAAAATCATGTGTACCCAGTTCAGCGATTCTCAAACTTTTGCTGTACTTGCTCTGTTGTGTGTGTGGGGTGGAGGCGGGGAGTGGGGAGTACAGGTTGAGTGTCCCTTACTTGAAATACGTGGGACCAGAAGTGTTTAGAATTTCTGATTTTAAAAAGTTTTTTTTGAATATTTGCATATAAATGAAATATCTTGGGGATGGGAGCCAAGCCTAAACATGAAATTCATTTATGTTTCATATGCATCTCATACACATGCCTAAAAAGAATTTTATACAATATTTTATTTTTTATTTTTATTTTATTTTTTCGAGATGGGAGTCTTGCTTTGTCGCCAAGGCTGGAGTGCAATGGTGCGACCTCGACTCACTGCAACCTCTGCCTCCTGGGTGCAAGCAATTCCAATCCTCTGCCTCAACCTTCCGAGTAGCTGGGATTATAGGCGCCCACCACCACGCCCTGCTAATTTTTGTATTCTTAGTAGAGATGGGGTTTCACCATCTTGGCCAGGCTGGTCTTGAACTCCTGACCTCGTGATCCACCTGCCTCAGCCTCCCAAAGTGCTGGGATTACAGGCGTGAGCCACCGTGCCCGGCCTACAATATTTTAAATAGCTTTGTGCATGAAACAAAGTTTTGACTGCATTTTGTTTGTGACTTGTCACATGAGGTCAGGTGGGGGATTTTCCTCTTGTGGCTTCGTGTCAGCACGTAAGTTTAGGGCCAAGCACTGTGGCTCACACCTGTAATTCCAGCATTTTGGGAGGCTTTGGATGGCCGATCTCTTGAACCCGGGAGTTCGAGACCAGCCTGGGCAACATGGCAAAACCCCATCTCTACTAAAAATACAAAAATTAGTCGGGTGTGGTGGCGTATACCTGTAGTCCTAGCTACTCAGGAGGCTGAGGTGGGAGGATCCTTTGAGCCCAGGAGGTCGAGGCTGCAGTGAGCTGTGATTGTCCCACTGTACTGCAGCCTGGGTGACAGAGAAAGAGTGCATCCAAAAAAAAAAAAGTTTAGAATTTTGGAGCATTTTGGATTTTGGATTTTCAGGTTGGGGATGCTCAGAGACCTGTACTTGAATGTAATTGGAGAAAGTCATAACATCTTAGCCCCCAAAATTACTTTAGTGGGTCTTTTTCTTCCTTGTAAACACCACATCCTTTATCACACCTAAGGGCATTCACATTGTTGTTAATTTCTTTTTCTTTTCTTTTCTTTCTTTTTTTTTTTTTTTTGAGATGGAGTTTCACTCTGTCGCCCAGGCTGGAGTGCAGTGGTGCGATCTTGGCTCACTGCAACCTCCGTCTCCCTGGTTCAAGTGATTCTCCTGCCTCAGCCTCCTGAGTAGCTGGGATTAAAGGCACACGCCACCATGCCCAGCTAATTTTTGTATTTTTAGTAGAGATAGGGTTTCACCAACGTTGGCCAGGCTGGTCTTGAACTCCTGACCTCAGGTGATCCACCCGCCTCTGCCTCCCGAAGTGCTAGACCACTCTCAGCCTAATTTTTGTATTTTTAGTAGAGATGGGGTTTCTCCAGGTTGGCCAGGCTAGTCTTCAATCTCCAAAAGTGATGTGCCCGCCTCAGCCTCCCAAAGTGCTGGCACTACAGGTGTGAGCCACCACGCCTGGCCACAGTTGTTAATTTCATTTACTATTCACTCTGTATTCAAATTTCCCCAACATACTTAAAATATGTTCATTGTTTCTCCCCCACTAGGACGAAAAGTGTCTGTCGTGTCCCTTGCCATATCCCACACCCTATGACGGTGACTGGTGCCTGACACTCACCAGAAGTACATAAATGTTTTTATCCTTGTATGGATTCCTAACTCGTGAGGTTGTTGGGAGCAGAAGCTCAATAAATGTGAACCCCCCCCGCCATACTCCCTAAACATTTGCACCATGGCTGTGTCTGTCCCCCACTTCTGAATCCTCATTCTGTACCTCTGTGTGAGGTCAGCGAGGTGACGTCATTTGCACAGGGCCACACAGCAAAATGCATGGCAGGGTCCCAATTCCAACCTGAATTTGTTCAACTCCAAAGTCACATTGCCTGGTACATGGCAGGTGCCCTATAATAAGAATCATTCCTTTTCTCTGTTACTGCTTGCCCCAGAAAGCAGGAGGGACATAAACGTGTGGCCCAGGGCCTTCAGGAGGACACCCTCCTTCCTCTCCCCCACGCGAAGCCCTCTCCCACCATCCATTAACACTCCCTGCCCCTCAGTCCACAGGAAACGTGTGGATGACACACGAGGAGATGGAGTCCCTTACGGCCACGACCAAGCCCGTGAGTGCCCCCTGCCGGCCGCCTTGGGGGTGGCACTAACCTTCTTTGGGGGTGGGGGCGGGGACCGAGTCTGTGGCCATCCCTAAGTCCGCTCCTTGCGTCCTCCTCTGCCTGCCCCTTAACTCACCCCTTCTCTCCCCTCTTCCTACTAACGGGTCAGGAGACCAAGGAGATCAGCTGGGAGCAGGTAGGGGGCGCGGGGCGGGGCGTGAGCGCATGAACAGGCTGTGCACGACGCATGGATGCCCCTCCTCCGAGCCCTGCCCCTGCCTTCACCAGAACATGCCATCATCCCCATGGGGGGGCGCTGCGCCAAGCTTGGCTCTGGACTGTTCCATTATGGCTTGGCGGTGGGGAGGGTAGAGGGGATGCGATGTGGAAGCCCAGACTGTTGCATAGTCAGCCTTATGCATGGACCATTTCATCATCGTGGGTTGTGGGGGCTCTAAGGGGCTTCAATTCTGTAGCTCAGGAGAGACTGAGCAGCCGGTGTCCCTATAGTGGAGGGGGCGGGGGCTACAGTGGACTGCTCAGTGTACCAGGGCCAAGGAGGACACACTGGCTGTGGTGGTGGTGAGGCAGCCAGGCTGAATGAGAAGTTGGGGAGGAGGAGCTACACTTTGTTCTCAAGAAACAAGAGGCGGCCGGGCGCAGTGGCTCACGCCTGTAATTCCAGCACTTTAGGAGGCTGAGGTGGGCAGATCACCTGAGGTCAGGAGTTTGAGACCAGTCTGGCCAACATGGTGAAACCCTGTGTCTACTAAAAATACAAAAATTAGCCGGGTGCAGTGGCTAGCGTATGTAATCCCAGCTACTTGGGAGGCTGAGGCAGGAGAATCGCTTGAACCCAGGAGGTAGAGGTTGCACTGAGCCGAGATTGCACCATTGTACTCCAGCCTGGGTGATAGAGCCAGATTCCATCTCATAAAAACCAAACAAATAAACTAACAAAAAAACCCAAGAGGCATGAACTCACTGTCCACGGAGGAATTATGTTTGACTGTGGTCATAGATCACATATTTCCAGCCAGGGGGAGGCGTGGATTTTGTGCTGATGCTGAAAGGAGTGAGGGACTTGGGACTCATCTGGAATATTGTCCTGGGCCAGATATAACATTAGACAAGTATTTTCAGGACATTGCAAGAGTGATGGCCCTTTCTTAGTGGGAGAGCTGCCTTGAAAGAGTCCATTGTCCTGACTTGGGGGTTTAGTGACGTTGGACTGCAGTGAGACAGAGTTAAAGCAGTGCTTCCCCAAATTTAATGTGTAGTGGGGTGGCACACACCTGTAGTCTCAGCTACTTGGAAGACTGAGGCAGGAGGACCGCTTGAGCCCACGAAGCTGAGGTCAACCTGGGCAACATAGTAAGACCCTGTCTCTAAAAAATAAACAAATACAGCCAGGCGCGGTGGCTCATGCCTGTAATCCCAGCACGTTGGGAGGCTGAGGTGGGCGGATCCCTTGAGGTCAGGAGTTTGAGACCAGCCTGGCCAACATGGTGAAACGCCGTCTCTACTAAAAAATACAAAAATTAGCCGGGCGTGGTGGCTCGTACCTGTAATCCCAGCTACTCGAAGGCTGAGGCAAGAGAATTGCTTGAACCTGGGATGGGGAGGTTGCAGTGAGACGAGATCGTGCCACCGCGCTCCAGCCTGGGTGACATAGCAGACTCTTTCAGAAAGAGAGAGAGAGAGAGAGAGAGAGAAAGAGAGAAAGAAAGAAATTTAAAAATAAATATAATGTATATTTCGAATCACCTGAGGGTCTTGTGAAAATGCCGATACCGACTTCAGTAGGTCTGGAGTAAGGTCTGAGATTCTGCAATTCCAGCAAGTCCACAGGTGATGGTGACGCTCTAGGTCTCAGGACAACTGTTTGAGTAGCCAAGAGTATATGCTGTCATGAAGGGCTAGGAGACAACTCTGGATTGGTCCATTATCCTGAGCAGAGATTGGTCATTGTCCTACCATGGGGTGGGAAAAAACCTTGGATTGGGAGGTTGGACTGTACCCCTCTCATGCACAGTGGGAAGGGGCCAGAGGGCCTGACTCTTCCCTCACCTGCCCATGGCCCCAGATCCTGGCATATGGCGACATGAACCACGAGTGGGTGGGGAACGACTGGCTGCCCAGCCTGGGGCTGCCCCAATACCGCAGCTACTTCATGGAGTCGCTGGTGGACGCTCGAATGTTAGATCACCTTAACAAGAAGGAGCTCCGGGGCCAACTCAAGATGGTGGACAGCTTTCACAGGTGGGGGCTGCCTGGCCAGTGGGGACAGTCCAAAGGGAAGCCCCACCCCAGAGAGTCTTTGGCCAATAGGATTGGCCATGGGAGATTCCCAGGCTTATCTTGGCCCTTTTAGCCTGAGTTCTCAGGAAATCCTGACTCTGTGCTCCTTTCACCAATGAGATGGTCCACAGGAAAAGTTCAGATCCTGAAATGGCTTGGCTAGTTAACCCTGGACCCCTTCCAGGCTGGCCAGTAGGAAGTGCCTATTATTGAAAATGCCTCACCTCCTGAGGGGGTCAACAGTCAATAGAACTTATCAGCTCCCCACCCTTTCCAAGAAGAGCGCAGCCAGTGGGGAGGGACCCGTAGGAGCAGCAGTCTAGGGGACTGGAAAGCTCATCCGTGACTCCACTTCCCCTGCTGCTCAGGGTGAGTCTACATTATGGGATTATGTGCCTGAAACGGCTCAACTATGACCGGAAGGACCTGGAGCGGAGGCGGGAAGAAAGTCAGACCCAGATCCGAGGTGAGTAGAGCCTAAGGGTCCCTTTGGGAGCCAGGTGGAGGGCGTGGAGCTGGATGGGGAGGAGAGGGGGTAGGGGGAGACCGGAGAAGCAAATTGGCACCATAACCGTGGGGGTGGAGCCAGCGTGGGGGGCGTGGCCCGAAGAGACCAAATGGAGGTGGAGGTATGGGCTAAACTGAACTCTCCAGGCCACGGGAGGGGCACGGCTGAGGGTCCCTTCCGTCCCCAGACGTGATGGTGTGGTCCAATGAGCGGGTCATGGGTTGGGTGTCCGGGCTGGGCCTGAAGGAATTTGCCACGAACCTCACGGAGAGCGGGGTACACGGGGCACTGCTCGCCCTGGACGAGACCTTCGACTACTCCGACCTGGCCTTGCTCCTGCAGATCCCCACGCAGAATGCACAGGTGAGCTGCCGCTGGGCCCGGAGCATGCTGGGCGTCCCCACCTCGCAGACTGCACGCTCCAACCGCCCCCTCCACCTCCTCTTTCCAGGCCCGGCAGCTTCTGGAGAAGGAATTCAGCAACCTTATCTCCTTAGGCACAGACAGGCGGCTGGACGAGGTGGGCGCGGCAACAGCTCAGAGGGCTCTGCTCCCAGCGGCTCCTCGAGAGGCTGAGCTGAGGGGGCGGGGCCTGACTATTAATGGTCACGGTTGGAGGCGGGGCCAGGAGAGGGGCGGGGTTAAAGGAGAGGTGAGACCCGGAGAGGGGTGGAGTCAAAGGAAGGGGCGGAGTCAGACAAGGCAGGAGTCCCTCACCGGCTGTCCGGCTCCTATACCTAGGACAGCGCCAAGTCTTTCAGCCGCTCCCCATCCTGGCGGAAGATGTTCCGGGAGAAGGACCTCCGAGGCGTAACTCCCGACTCAGCTGAGATGTTGCCCCCCAACTTTCGTTCGGCTGCAGCGGGAGCCCTGGGCTCTCCGGGGCTCCCTCTCCGCAAGCTGCAGCCAGAAGGTGGGGGGCTCCCAAATGCGACAGCCCTTCCTCGCTTCCCTAGGGTGGGGCATGGACCACCTCAGTAGTCCGGGTTCTGGAATGGCCTAGTCCTTTCTCGCCCACCCCTGAGGAATGGACTGCTCCAACGTTCCGGACTCCCCCGTCAGGATGAAATGGATAAATCCCACTCCCCCTTCCCAGGGCGGGAGTGAACTCGCCCAATGCGAGTTTGAGTCCTTGGCTGCGGGGAAGGGAGGGAAACCCATGTGGAGCCCGGCGATCGTTGTGACATCGGGAAGGGAAGTCCAAAGGGAGGAATCCTGGAGAGGAACAGGGAGGAGGGTGCTCCAGGCTGAACCGCTGCTCGCTCTCCCTCCAGGCCAGACTTCTGGGAGTTCCCGGGCAGACGGCGTTTCGGTCCGGACCTATTCCTGCTAGTGCAGGCCTCCAGGTGAGGACCGTGCTGGGCGACCTTGGGGGTGCGGGGCGGCACGGTGGATCTTCACTGCTCCACGCGCTGCCCGGCGTCATGCAGGTGACCTCACTCGGACGGAAGAATCTTCCCGAGGCTGGGCTGTTCCCTCTCCTGCCCGGACTGTGGCCTCGCCGGGGAGAGCGGGCGGGGGAGCTCGCGCCGAGGACTGGACCATCTGTACAGACCAGCGGGAGTGCGCGCGCCCGCCTCGCACAGGGCCGGGGCCTGGACCAAACCACATGAACTGGACTGAGAGGGGGAAGAAGCGGGGAGGAAGAAATCCCGCCCCAAACGTCCGCTTTCCTTTTCTCTACTTTGTAATTTATTGATCAGTTTCTGTTGGGAGACGGGTGTCCTTTACCCGCGGGAAGGGGGCGGGGCTTCCCTCCCGGGCCGCATGCGGGGAGAGGCTGCTCCCTCCCCTTTTTCCTGCCCAGTCGCGGGGCCCAAGTCTTCCTTCTTCGTCCGAAAGGAGGGGAGGGGGGACTCGCTGCTACAAGCCTCGCCCCCTGTGCCACTCAGCTCCGCCCCGCCGCGTCCGGTCGCCGGTCCCCCGGGTCATCTGCGGGCGGGTTCCCCTCTCCCTCCCCCGTGTCTCGTGTCCCCGGGGCCTCACCGCCCCCCGTGCTGTGGCCGTGTCCGTGCCCCGGGGGTAGGGGGCGCAGAATGGCGCTTCCCCTTCTCCTCTGGCTCCGGGGTTTGCATGGGAGAATCCTCTTTCCACGATGCCGCTGGGCGACGTGGCGTGGGGGCAGGGGGACGGTGGGGGAGCCCTCGCCCCCGACTCTCGGTCGGCCTCCCCGCCCCAGGCGTCACTCAGTGATCACGGGTAAAGAGAACTGTTTCAAAAAGCTTCCTTGTTGACTGATTTTTTTTTTGCGGGGGGGGGGGGGGCTGTTCAACCAACCACCTCGAGCCAGGAGTCCAGGCCCCTCATCCCTCAAGTCTAGGTCCAGGTCTCTAGACCCTACCCGCATTCCCCGATGCCCTGAGATTCCCAGACCCCACGTCTGACAATGAGGTTTCGGGGAGCACGTTTATTCGGAGAAATAAATATAGCTCGTGGAAAGGGGTTGGAAGGCAGGGGGAGGTACACCTGCGTCGCAGTCGAGCGACTGGGTCAGGGTTCCGGCGTTTCCAGCATGTCTGCCAGGGCCCTGGAGACGAGAACGCCAGAAGTTAGACAGCTGGTGTTCAAAGCCCACCCCAGGACGCTTAGAGATCATTAACCTGCCCATTTCATGGACGGGGAAATGGAGTCCCAGAGTCATCTGATAACTCATAGCGAGACAAGCACTTCTCTAAACGGGGCTTTTACACGCTCCCCTTTTACACACTTACTGATAAAGGGACGAGGAGAAATAGTCAACGTAGCTTCCTGTGGGACAGCAGAGAAAAGAGGCTTGAGGGGTACTGCACGAGCAAAATTAGGCAGCCACTCAGTATAGCGTGCGAGATTAGTGCTAGCTCCACCTCCTTTTCCCTAATTCCTTCTTCCAACTGAATCCCTTCTACCGGACCCCTTTTTCGTTCTGGGTGATTCCGTTCTCCAGTAGCCCCGCCCCTTCGATTCCTACTTGAGTTGGCCTCGCCCATTAGGCTCTAAGCCCGCATCTCAACCCTCCACTCATTTCTGTCCCTTGGCTCCAGCAACTCCACCTGGTGTTCCTCGAGCCAGGCCCCGGCCCACGTGCTCAGAGCCTTGGCCACGCCTCCCCTCTTAGCCCCGCCCCACCAGCCTACCGGGCCAGGCTCCGCCCCCACCAGGATTCACCACGCTGGGCCCGGCACCTTCCTCAGGTTTTTCCAGGGCCCCGCCCATGCTCACCTGGAGCGCAGACCGTTTCGCAGACCAGCGGGCAGAGATAGCAGAACTGACAGTGCTGGAGGCGGGGACGGGGAGAGAGAGTGAGCGTGGGGCGTGGCCGGGGGCGGAGTTAGGATGGGGCCGGGACCAGACCCGGACCAGAGGCTAGGTCTAGGTTAAGGTTGGAGTCAGGATCGCTTGTGGAGTCAAGGTTGCATCAGGGGTAAGGGGTTGGGTCAGAGGCCAGGATTTAGGGCTGGGGGTCCTCAGAGGGTCCCGGTGCATCCTGAGGCCCAGTGGAGCCTTGAGTGTGAGGTGAGGTCTCACCTGGCACTGGTCGCAGTGCTCACCCATGTTCTCCTCATCACAGTGACAGCTCTCACATTCAGTGCATCGCTGGGGACCGGGGGAGCCTGGTTAGATGGAAACTCTAACGCCACTTGGGAGGTACCCGCCCCTGGCCCACCCCTGCACCCTGGACGCTTCCCCAGACTCTACCCTCTTTATCTCTAACACTGAGCTCTGTATCTGCCCCCCAAACCAGCCTCCCCTCCCCTCCCCTGCCCCTGGTTTCCTTCCTTTCCCTTTTTTTCCTTTTTTTTCTTGAGGCGGAGTCTCTCTCTGTCGCCCAGGCTGGAGTGCAGTGGCGCAACCTCAGCTCACTGCAACCTCCGTCTCCCGGGTTCAAGCGATTCTCCTGCCTCGGCCTCCTGAGTAGCTGGGATTACAGGTGCGTGCCACCACGCCCGGCTAATTTTTTTGTATTTTTTAGTAGAAATGGGGTTTCACCGTGTTAGCCAGGATGGTCTCGATCTCCTGACCTCGTGTTCCGCCCACCCTGGCCTCTTAAAGTGCTGAGATTACAGGCGTGAGCCACCACACCCGGCCCTGCCCCTGGTTTTCTATCTCAGGGCGACCCCATGTCTCCCTGTCAGGGTGGGCTCAGGTGCTCTCTCCACCCGCTCTCTGCCTATTCTCCCCCTAGCCTATCAGCCCCTGTGCCATCCCTCCTTCCCCCGACTCTCTTTGCCACAGACCCCTGTCTCTGTCCCCACACCCCAAGATGCAGCTTGGGTCTTGTCCTCTCCTTCCTGGACCACTGCCCCAGCCTCCCAGCCTTCAGTCTGTCCTCACCTCACATGCCTGCAGAAGGATCTCTTTTCTTTCAGAACTGACCCTGGCCTGCCCTTGCTCTGAGCCCTCCCACAGCACCACCCCAGGGCCCCTGGGACAGATTCTGGGGACACCTTGGTGGGTGGATCTGGGCTGGGGACATACATTGCAGAAGGAGCAGTAGCCACACAGGGACCCTGGCTGGTAGTTCCCATACTCCTGAGCATCCTGTGGACCTGCGGGGACAGGAGGGCAGCAGTGACCCAGGCTGACTCGGTTCCTTCCCACCCACACCAGCCCAGGCCACTTACCTGTGTCCTCACCGCTTTCCTCCTCGCTGGAGGCACCTCCAGCCTCCTCTCTCCTGTCCAGTGGGTTGGGGATGATGGTGAAGCGGGGCTCATCTTCCTCCAGCCCCTCCTCCTCCTCCTCTTCCTCCTCGCTGTGGTCTGGGCTCAGTGGGGCCCCAACCTCAGCCCTCTCTTCCCTCCTCTCCTCGTCTTCTTCCTCCTCCTCCTCCTCCTTGTCTTCCTCTTCTTCCTCCTCCTGGTTCAGGCTGAGGCCATGACCTTCCTCCTCATCCTCCTCATCTTCCTGGTCCCGGCTGCCATGATGGGTGCCTTTCTCTCCCTGCTCTGAACTTTCATCGTCTTCCTCATGGGAGCCGGGGTCCTCTTCCTTCTCCTTTTCCTCCTCAGAATCATCCTTCCTCAAATGGCTTCTATCCTTGACCACTGTGTGTCCTGGGGGGTGATGGCTCATCTCTTTGATGGACCCTCTTTGACCATGGCCAGTTTCTTCATCTTGGTGGCTTTGCCTGTGGCTGGGGGCCTGGTGGCCAAGCTCAGCAGAGACCTCCTCATCTTCCTCCCTGGGGACTCTGTGGTGGTGATGGTGAGGGACTTCTGTTTTATACTCATCTTGGAAGTCCTCTTCATCACTCTTGTGGCCTCGAGGTTGGTGGCTTGCAACATAGTGGCCGAACTGGACTGTGATCTCCTCTTCTTCCTCTTCCTCATCTACAAGGCCATGGTGGACATGTTGGGGACCCTGGTGCCAACGTTCAGTGGACACATCCTCATCTTCTTCCTCGTCTCTGTGGCCTTGGTGCCTGTGGTCAGGGACATGATGGTGGTGTTCACCTGAGACAGCCTCAACCTCTTCCTTTCTGTGGTCTTGGTGCCTGTGGGCCTGGTGTCCATACTCAGTGGAGACATCATCATCATCATTGTCATCTTCTTCATGGCTTCGGTGCCTGTGGCTGGGGTCGCGATGATGGTGTCCATCTGAGACATCTTCATCCTCTTCAATCCCGTGGCCTTGGTGCCTGTGAGCCTGGTGTCTATATTCAATGGAGACATCATCATCATCATCATCATCATCATCATCATCATCATCATCGTCATCTTCTTCATGGCCTTGGTGCCTGTGGCTGGGGCCATGATGATGGTGTCCATCTGAGACATCCTCATCCTCTTCACTCCCATGGCCTCGGTGCCTGTGGGCCTGGTGTCCATACTCAGTGGAGGCCTCCTCTTCCTCCTCCTCCTCCTCCTCCTCCTCTTCTCCTTCATCATCTTCCCCATCATGGCCTCGGTGTCCATGCCTGAGGATATGATGGTGATGCTCACTGGACACAACTTCATCCTCATCCTCGTCTTGATGGCTGTGGCTCCTGTGGCTGGGGAGGTGGTGCCTGTGCTCAGCTGAGTCTTCCGTGTCTTCACTCCCGTGGCCTCTGTGCCCACGGGCCTGCCCACCATGCTCTGCAAAGACCTCCTCACCTGAGACACCCTCATCTCCGACTTTGTGGTCTTGGGACCTGTGGCCTGGGAGTAGGTGCCCATATTCCTTGGAGACATCTTCATCCTCCTTTTCACGGTCTGGGTGGCTCCAGAAATGATGCCCATTCTCTGTGGAAACATCCTTGTTCTCATCTGGATGGTCTCTAGGGCTGTGGAGGTGGTGGCGAAGCTCTGCTGATGCCTCCTCGGAGAGCCCGGCGACTCCAGTGCTGTTGTTCCGGTTTCTGAAGCCTAGCCCATCCCCTCTGAGCTGCTGGGTCATGGCCGGGGGGAGGAGCAGGCTGGCCACCCCAGCCCAGAGGACAGAAGCGTGCAGCCATGGCCTATGGTGGCCCATGGGGACGGACAGGCAGCACTGGCTCCAGCTGCCTCTGCGGCAATGTGGACAAACGTTGGGGTCTTTGTCCCTTTGGGGTTGGTCTCTTTTTTTCTCTGTGTCTCTCCTTTGTCCTTTCGGTCTCTGTCCACCTTCCTCTGGTCCTTGCTGCCTGGCTCTGGACACCCCTCTGAGGCTGTCTCCGGAGCCCCCTGACCCCCCTCTGGGGCCCTCCCTCCCCATTCCCCAGCCAATAGGGTCCTTCCCCTCCCCTCTCTCCAGCTAAATTTACTCTCAGCCCTGAGTTATTCTGGGTCAGTCCCCGCCTGCCTGCCTCCTGCTCCTCCTCCTCCCAGCTGGGGAGGGGACCAGTGAGGGGTCTCTCCCTGGCCAGGAGACGGTGGCCAAGGGACTTGACTTTGAACTACCAACAAGCTCACGTTTGGCAGCTGCAAAGACAAAGGCTAGACTTTTAGCAGGTTTTTGGGGGAGCCTGGGGCACCTGGGGGAGGCAGAAGAGACTTATCAGAGGGGAGAGACTCCTGGGACGGAAGGACTGGGGGTTCGATTGCGGGGTGTTTCCAGCTGGAATGATACGTGCTGGTGAGAGAGTGATGTCAGTATTGAGGCCCTAGAATGGGGGGAAAGGAACATGGCCCCCAACACACGTGCCCATGACCTCCTGTCCCTGGAACTCAGATCTGGGGGCAGGGACTGGGCTAGGCCAGGGCTATAAATACAGCTGGGAGGGGTAGGGGGACTCAGGTTACGGAGGCCACAGCTGTCCCCATCACAGAGGGCTGGCAGGAGACAAGTGGCCTTGCCCGTCTCTGTGTGTCAGTATTTCCTACTCCTCACCCTTCATGACTGCCCCCACTAGGGTCTCCTTTCCTGTTCACGGGTCCTCCTCTCTCTTCAATTCTGTCATCTGCTCTCTCAGGGTCCCTGTCCCTCCTCCATGGGATTGCCTCTCCCTCTCACTCTGGGCTTCTGTCCCACTCTTATCTTAGTGTCAGTCCTCCCCCAAGTCTGTGTCCCTCTCTCTCCCCTAAATCTCTGGCCCCTCCTTTCTGAGTTCCTGCCCTTCCCCCAATTCTTTGGTTTTTGCATCCCCCTCTGCCCCTTGCCTCAGTCAAGGTGTCTCCTCCCCATCTCTGGCATCCACCTCTCTGGGTCTCTGTCCCCACTCTCTCTCAGAGTCTCTGTCCCCCTCTGTCTCAGAGTCTCTGTCCACCTCTCCCTGGGTCTCTGTCCCCCTCTCTCTGGGTCTCTGTCCCCCTCTCCCTGGGTCTCTGTCCCCCTCTCTCTGTGGATCTCTGTCCCCCTCTCTCTGGGTCTCTGTTCCCCTCTCTCTGTGGGTCTCTGTCCCCCTCTCTCTGTGGATCTCTGTCCCCCTCTCTCTGGGTCTCTGTTCCCCTCTCTCTGTGGGTCTCTGTCCCCCTCTCTCTCTGGGTCTCTGTTCCCCTCTCTCTGGGTCTCTGTCCCCCTCTCTCAGGGTCTCTGTCCCCCTCTGTCTCAGAGTCTCTGTCCCCCTCTCTCTGGGTCTCTGTCCCCTCTCCCTGGGTCTCTGTACCCCTCTCCGTGGGTCTCTGTCCCCTCTCCCTGGGTCTCTGTCCCCCCATCCCTGGGTCTCTGTCCCCCCCTCTCTGGGTCTCTGTCCCCCTCTCTCTGGGTCTCTGTCCTCCTCTCTCTCTGGGTCTCTGTTCCCCTCTCTCTGGGTCTCTGTCCCCCTCTCTCTGGGTCTCTGTCCCCGTCTCTCTGGGTCTCTGTCCCCCTCTCTCTGGGTCTCTGTCCTCCTCTCTCTCTGGGTCTCTGTTCCCCTCTCTCTGGGTCTCTGTCCCCCTCTCTCTGGGTCTCTGTCCCCGTCTCTCTGGGTCTCTGTCCCCCTCTCTCTGGGTCTCTGTCCCCCTCTCTCTGGGTCTCTGTCCCCTCTCCCTGGGTCTCTGTCCCCCTCTCCGTGGGTCTCTGTCCCCTCTCCCTGGGTCTCTGTCCCCCCCTCCCTGGGTCTCTGTCCCCCCCTCTCTGGGTCTCTGTCCCCCCCTCTCTGGGTCTCTGTCCTCCTCTCCCTGGGTCTCTGTCCCCCTCTCTCTGTGGGTCTCTGTCCCACTCTCTCTGGGTCTCTGTCCCACTCTCTCTGGGTCTCTGTCCCCTCTCCCTGGGTCTCTGTCCCCCTCTCTCTGTGGGTCTCTGTCCCCCTCTCTCTCTGTCTATCCCTGGGTCCCTGCTGCCCCACCTTCTGATTCTCTGTCCCCTAAGTCTTTGTCTCCCCCTCTTTGGGTTAAATTGTCCCCTCCCTGTCTGGCATCCTCCTTTCTGAGTCTGTTCCCTCTCCGCCACTGGCCCCCAACTCCTTCTGTTCCCATCTCGCGCTTGCCCTTGGAGTCTCCCCTGTGTGTCTCTCTCCCCCCGGCCCGGACCTCTGCACCCCCCAGGTCGCTGTCCCTCTGTCCCCTTATCGCGGCCTGGGACCCGCCCTCTCCCCGCCTCCCGCTTTGGCGTCTCCAAGACTCCCCGCCCCCCAGACCTCGCCCCGCCCCAGGCTAGGCTGGAAAGTGGAGGATCCGGTTTGCTCTGGGCGGGTCTGGAAGCAGAGCCGGCGGAGGGAGCGCCGGGGCCCTGGGCTGCAGGAGGTTGCGGCGGCCGCGGCAGCATGGTGGTGCCGGAGAAGGAGCAGGTGAGCGCCGGACCAGGGTCTGCGGGAGCGCGGAGCTGGGGACCTCGCCTCCAGGCTCCCAGAGAGGAGGGCGCTGGACACCCAGATTCCTGGGTCAGACGGAGGAGGGGGATGGGAGGGTCCAGGTTCCAGGGTCCAGGGCATGGGGGTCGAGACTCCTGAGTCTGGAGCGGGAGGGCGCTGGGGGCCCGGACTCCTGTGTCCGTGGGGAGCGCACGGGGTGGGTGGCTCTGTGTCCCATAGGACAGAACTGGGTGCCCTCTCACCCCACTTCCACCCCTACATTTGTTCCTGTCCCCAGAGCTGGATCCCCAAGATCTTCAAGAAGAAGACCTGCACGACGTTCATAGTTGACTCCACAGATCCGGGGTGAGGAGTTCGCCCCTGGACTGACCCCAGAGGGTCCGCGGCCCGCTGACCCCGCCCGCGGATGGTCACGCCCCAGCCCTGCTCCTTCCCCATTCCTGGACTCGGGGACCTTCCCAAGGGCGTTCCTTGCCGACGCTCTCCCTCTAGGAGCGTTTGGGTCTGTGTAGACACCCCTCATTCCCCATTCGCCATTCTCCCGCTCAGGGTCAGTGTAGACGCTCCAGGGCTCGGTTCTGCTTCTTTCCTCCCCGATGTCTCTTCTATGTGCTTCTGTCTCTTCGTGTCACTTTCTGTGTCTCTGTCTTTCCCTTTTGGGTATTTCTGTTTCATTCATTCATTCATTCATTCATTCATTCATTCATCCATCCATGCAAGAAACCCTCACTCAGCGCTCCCAAGGTCCCTTTAGCCTAATTCAACGGCCCTGCCAGGGTTCCAATTTCCCCTGGGACACGTGCTGTGTGGCTTCGGGCAAATCATTTCACCTCTCTGGGTCCCGTTTCTCATCTGGGCATCAAAAGAGGCTTGATCTCCTGGGGTTATTATGAGAATTAAACAAGTTAATGCTTGTGATATTCCTGGCACAGCGCCCAGCACAGGACGCTGGGAAATATCTGCAGCTCCCACTGGGAGGTGGCAATTATTACCGCGGGCGGGCCCTGTCTTGGTGGCCGGGGACACCAATTGAGCTAGATAGGGTGTGTGCGTCCGCGAGGAGCTCCCGCCCTTCAGTGACGGCCTCTCAAGCGGATCCAGGCTTTCTAGTTTTTTTTTTTTTTTTTTTTTTTTTGAGACGGTGTCTCGCTCTGTCCCCCAGGCTGGAGTGCAGTGGCGCGATCTCGGCTCACTGCAAGCTCCGCCTCCCGGGTTCACGCCGTTTTCCTGCCTCAGCCTCCCGAGTAGCTGGGACTACAGGCGCCCGCCACCACGCCCGGCTAATTTTTTGTATTTTAGTAGAGACGGGGTTTCACCGTGTTGGCCAGGATGATCTCGATCTCCTGACCTTGTGATCCGCCCGCCTCAGCCCCTCAAAGTACTGGGATTACAGGCGTGAGCCATCGCGCTGGGCCAATTTTTTGTATTTTTTTTTTAGTAGAGACGGGGTTGCACCGTGTTAGCCAGATGGTCTCGATCTCCTGACCTCATGATCCGCCGGCCTCGGCCTCCCAAAGCGCTAGGATTACAGGTGTGAGCCACCGCACCTGGCCCAGGCTTTCTAGTTTTTTGTTTTTTGTTTTTTTGAGACAGAGTCTGGCTCTGTCGCCCAGGCTGGAGTGCAGTGTTGCGATATCAGCTCACTGCAACATCCACCTCCTGGGTTCAAGCAGTTCTCATGCCTCAGCCTCCCTAGTAGCTGGGATTACAGGTGCCTACCACCATGCCCAGCTAATTTTTTGTATTTTAGTAGAGACGGGATTTCACCCTGTTGCCCAGGTTGGTCTTGAACTCTTGATCTCAGGCAATGCACCTGCCTTGGCTTTCCAAAGTACTGGGATTACAGGTGTGAGCCACCGCGCCCAGCCCTCTAGTTGTTTTTCAAGACAGTTTTTGGGGTGCGGGAAGTATCCACATTCCTACTTCAGTGTGTATTTTGTTATGACTATATATTAGTGCAGTATGGCTTGTAAATGATGGATAAATAAACAGATATGCGCTTGTTGGACGTGAGTGCTCAAAACCTTTTTACTGATAGGTCAGTGTGGTCAAGACAATTTAGGAAACTCTGGTCTGGCCTGAGGAGGAAGAAACGCAGAAGATAATTATAGTAAGGCAAGGGGTTGCAGCTCCCAAAGACGAGCCACTGGGCTCTGTGAGAGCTGGGAGGAGGTGTTTGCTTAAGACTGGGAGGGGACACAAAATGTCACTAATGGTTTCTGGAGGGAGGAAGAGTGGCTAGTGAGGTGACATTTGAAAGTGAGCTGGAGAGAGGCCCATGGAAAGCGATTTGGGGCCGGGCATTGTGGCTCACGCCTGTCATCCCAACAATCTGGGAGGCCGAGGCGGGTGGATCACCTAAGTCAGGAGTTCGAGACCAGCTTGGCTAACATGGTGCAACCCTATCTCTACTAAAAATACAAAAATTAACTGGGCGTATTGGCGCATGCCTGTAATCCCAGCTACTCAGGAGGCAGGAGAATCACTTAAACCTGGGAGACGGAGGCTACTATGAGCAGAGATCACGTCACTGCACTCCAGCCTGGGTGACAGAGCAAGACTCCATCTCAAAAAAAAAAAAAAAAAGAAAGAAAGAAAGAAAAAAGTGATTTGAACAGCATGTGCAAAGTCCTTGCTAAGGACCATATGGTTTGGCTTGAATATGAATCAAAGTTCAGGGTGCAGGGAGCACTGTCATGAGAGAAGAGGCTGCAGAGGAGGGCAGGGCCAGAGCTTGCAGGGTGTCAGAGGCCACCCTAAGGGGCTGGGATCTTGTCCTTGGGAGCTGGGGCATCACCGCAGCAGTGGGGTTGGCTCTGGGTGTGGAAAAACTTTCTGGGGCTGGGAGAGGATGAACAGGAGCTCGGGAGGAGGCTGTAGAGAGCGTCTGAGCGGGAGGGGTAGTGGCCTGAGCCAGGTCAGGGCTTTCGGGACACAGAGAGGAGGGCATGGGGCAAAGACTCAGGGGGCAGGAAGGCAGAGCTTGGGGCTTGATGAGGGTGATGAGGGAGAGAGGGGGTGCCGCCATCGGTGGATGGCTCCGGGACGTATGCTCTGCTGACTGGGACACAGTGGGGCTGTCCCTGAGATGGAGAGCTCAGGAGGGCAAGCAGGTTTGGGAAATGTCGCTGAGTGCAATGTGGGAATCTGTGCATATGAGCGGCCTAGGGGGACCGAGGGGCATGTGGGGACTGAGATTGGGAAAGGTCTGGACTAATGTCCAGAATCTGAGAGGTCCGAGTTGTAGCTGGTAATTGAAACTGGAAGTAGGTAAGACGTCACAGGGAAAACAACGTGTAAAGTCAGGGGAGTTGCAAACTGGCAATTCTATAGCCAATTGTGTGCGTGTGTTTGTGTGTGTGTGTGTTTAGAAGAGCATTTAAAAATATCTGTCTTCTGTCTCTCTCTCTTTTTTTTTTTTTTTTTTTTTTGAGACAGGGTCTTGCTCTGTTGTCCAGGCTGGAGTGGCACGATCATGGTTCACTGCAGCCTTGACCTGCTGGGCTCAAGCGATCCTCCCACATGAGCCTCCGGAGTAGCTGGGACCACAGGCATGCACCACCATGCCTGGCTAATTTTAAAATTTTTTGTAGAAACCGGGTCTCCCTTTGATACCAGACCAGGCTGGTATCCAACTCCTGGACTCAAGTGAGCCTCCCACCTCACTCTGCCTGCCAAAGTGCTGGAATTACAGGCGAGAGCCACCATACCCGGCTACCTCTTTTTTTTTTTTGAGACGGAGTCTCGCTCTATCACCCAGGCTGGAGTGCAGTAGTGCGATCTCGGCTCACTTCAACCTCTGCCTCCTGGGTTCAAGCGATTCTCCTGCCTCAGCCCCCCGAGTAGCTGGGATTACAGGCACCCACCATCACGCCTGGCTAATTTTTGTACTTTTAGTAGAGACAAGGTTTCACCATGTTGGCCAGGCTGATCTCGAACTCCTGACCTCAAGTGATCTGCCCACCTGGGCCTCCCAACGTGCTGGGATTACAGGTGTGAGCCACTGCTCCTGGCCCTGGCTACTTCTTTCTGTTGAGTTACTTGACTGGCCTCTGCACACATTGGGTTTGAGAATCATGTAGGGAAGGCTTGCACTGGGAACACCTACACTCAAGGGAGGTGAAAAGCAAGAGAAAGCCACAAACAAGTCAGGCATGAAGCAGCCGGGGCGGGGAGGAAGGCCAGAGGGGCAGGGGTATCCTGCCAAGGAGAGGGTTTCCAGAATGAGAGCCTTTCAGCTGTAGCCAGGGCCACTTGTGATACAGTCAGATGAAACCTGAATAAGGGCCGTTGTATATGGAGCCAGGCAGGAAATTGATGATTTTTATCAAGAACAATTTCAGGCCAGGCACAGTGACTCACAGCTGTAATCCCAGCAGTTTGAGAGGCCGAGGTGGGCTGATCACTTGAGGTCAGGAGTTTGAGACCAGCCTGGCCAATGTGGTAAAACCCCATCTCTACTAAAAATACAAAAACTAGCCAGGTACTGTGGCACATGCCTGTAATCCCAGCTACTCAGGATGCTGAGGCACGAGAGTCGCTTGAGCCCAGGTGGCAGAGGTTGCAGTGAGCTGAGATCGTACCACTGCATTCTAGCCTGGGAGACAGAGCGAGACTCCATCTCAAAACAAAACAAAACAAACAAACAAACAAAAAAACAATTTATTTCAGTTTCTGTGGCTCCACCGAGGAAAGAGTGTAGGAGGCAAGCTGTGCAGAAGGAATGGCTCCTAGCACTGAATGTCAGAATTTTCCACGATTTTGGAAACGTTCTATGTCTACATCCAATATGGCAGTCCTGGCCACAGGGGGCTACTGGGCACTTGGAATATGGCCATTGTACCTGAGAAACTGAATTTTTTTTTGAGGTGGAGTCTCGCTCTGTCGCCCAGGCTGGAGTGCAGTGGTGCAATCTTGGCTCACTGCAACCTCCGCCTCCCGGGTTCATGCCATTCTCCTGCCTCAGCCTCCCGAGTAGCTGGGACTACAGGCACCCGCCACCATGCCAAGCTGATTTTTGTATTTTTAGTAGAAACAGGGTTTCACCATGTTGGCCAGGCTGGTCTCAAAGTCCTGACCTCAGGTGATCCGCCCACCTTGGCCTCCCTAAGTTCTGGGATTACAGGCATGAACCACTGCACTTGACCTGAATTTTTTATTTGATTTAATTTTAACTTATTAGAACAGAAAGAGCTCCATGGCTACAAAGAACCCATGCAGCTATCACATTGGACAGTACAAGCTCCAGACTATTCCGTGAAGAGCTTTTATTTTATTATTATTATTTTTTTTTTTTTTTGAGGCAGAGTCTCATTCTGTTGCCCAGGCTGGAGTGCAGTGGCACAATCTCTGCTCATCACAACCTCCGTCTCCCAGGTTCAAGTGATTCTCCTGCCTCAGCCTCCTGAGTAGCTGGGACTACAGGCGCGTACCACCATGCCCGGCTAATTTTTGTATTTTTAGTAGAGATAAGGTTTCACTATGTTGGCCAGGCTGGTCTCGAACTCCTGACCTCATGATCCGCCCGCCTTGGCCTCCCAAAGTGCTGGGATTACAGTCATGAGCCACCATGCCCGGCCTTATTTCTTATTTTTAGTGACATGGTCTTGCTCTGTTGCCTAGCCTGAACTGCAGTGGTGTGATCATGGCTTATTGCAGCCTTGAACTCCTGAGCTCAAGTGATCCTCCTGCTACAGCCTCCTGAGTAGCTGGAACCACAGGCGTGCACCACCACACCTGGCTAATTAAAACAATTTTTTTTGTAGGGATGGGGTCTCGCTCTATTGCCCAGGCTGTTCTCAAACTCCTGGGCTCAAGCAGTCCTTCTGCCTTGACCTCCCAAAGTGCTTGGATTGTGCCCAGCCGTCCTTGAAGTTTTGCTCAGAAGAGCAAACTTTCTGGGAAGTAGCTGCAGGTGTTGGAAGTAGCTGCAGGGGAACTAGGGGATTCAAGGATGGAGCTGAAATGGGTGAACGGACAAAGTCGGTAAACTGAGGCATGCCAGGGCCCTGGAGGTAGACTCAGGAATGAAGAAGACACTTTATTGTAGTTCTCACTGTGCCAGGACCTGGCCTAAGTGTGTTTGGTTCATCCCATGTGTGGATCAGTTAGCCGTTCTTTTAGTGTCTTTACGGCTTTTGCCAAATCCTTGTAGCACCTCTGCTATCCCTTCTGTAAAATTGCTCTTAAATCTGCTCACTAGGTTTGTGTAAATACAGGTCTCCCCTGATATCTGAACTCCTGGAATCTGGAACAAAGAATTTAGATACATTTTTCTCCTTCTTTCTTCCTTTCTCTTTCTTTTCTTTTCTTTTCTCTCTCTCTTTCTTTCTTTCTCTCTTTCTCTTTCTTTCTCTCTCTTTCCCTCCCTCCCTCCCTCCCTTCCTTCCTTCCTTCCTTTCCTTCCTCCCTCTCTGTCTCTCTCCCTCCCTCCTTCCTTTCTTTCCTTAGTTTTTTTTTTTTTTTTTTTTTTTTTTTTTTTTTTGAGATGGAGTTTCGCTCTTGTCTCCCAGGCTGGAGTACAATAGTGTGATGGCTCACTGCAACTTCTGCCTCCTGGGTTCAACCAATTCTCCTGCCTCAGCCTTCTGAGTAGCTGGGATTACAGGCACCCGCCACCACGACCAGCTAATTTTTGTATTTTTTTTAGTACAGACAGTGTTTCACCATGTTGGCCAGTCTGGTCTCAAACTCTTGACCTCAGATGATCCACCCGCCTCAGCCTCCCAAAGTGCTGGGATTACAGGCATGAGCCACTGCGCCCGGCCTCTTGCTTGCTTGCTTGCTTGCTTGCTTGCTTGCTTGCTTGCTTTTCTTTCCTTCTTTTCTTTTTTTTGAACAGGGTCTCACTCTGTTGCCCAGGTTGGAGTGCAGTGGCGTGGTCACAGCTCTCTGCATCACTGCAGCCTTGATCTCCCAGGCTGAAGTGATCCTCCTGCCTCAGCCTCCTAAGCACATGCTGCCACACCTGGCTAATTTTATTTTATTTTATTTTATTTATTTATTTATTTTTAGAGACAGGGTCTGACTATATTGCACAGCTGGTCTCGAACTCCTGGGTTCAGGTGATCCTCTGGCCCCAGCCTCCCAAAGTGCTAGGATTACAGGCATGAGCCATCATACCCGACCCTACATTTTCAAATGAATTTCTCATTCTCCAAACCCCTGTTACTTACTCAGGTGCCAATCACCTTTAGAAAGCAAGAGAGACTTGTGCATTTCTTTAGGTGGGGGAAAGTTTTATATGTGGAAACTTTCCAAATGGAAACCTGTTCCATTTGGCACAGAGAGGAAGAAACAAGCCACACAGAAGCCAAAGACAATGAAAAGCAAACAAAGGTGTTTCCCTACTCGCTAGATGGCTGTTGCCAGCTCCATTTTTTGAGCCCGAGGCCTGCTTTTCTTGTTCAAAAGAGTAGCAAAGGGTTAGGCATTCAAAAATATTCTAGCACCCGGCTGAGCCTCTCTCCTTGACAGTCGTCAGGAGAACTGAAAAAGGAATGACTTTCTCACTGCGTTATTCAAGGTTATTTTAAGCTCCGTGTGAAGTTCGTGTCGCGTTGCCTCTGGCTGGGACTGGTATGCGAGCCTCATTTCAGGAAACACGGCGTTCTTTCCCTGGCTCCTCATAGCTCCGTGGAGTAGGCCGCGCTATTATTGTCTTTTCATTAGAGGAGGAAATTTAGGCTCAGAGAGGTGAAGCCGCTCGCCCAAAGTCACACAGCCGCGTCAGCCCCGAGCATGCGGGCTCTCCCTGAGTTACCCGCTGGATGTTCTTTCTCGTGTTGAACGTCATGTGTTTGGATGGGGGCACAGGGCACAGCAAGGATACCCCCAGTGGCCCTCTGCCTTCCCACTTGAGGCTCCTCAGGTGACAGTGACCTGCTTCTTCCTGCTCAGGCTTTCTGGACTCACTGGCTTCCTTCCCGTGGGGAAAGGGGACCGTCCTCGGCTCCAGTCTCTCCCCGAGGCCGTCAGAGCCAGGGCCAGGGGCAGCGTGGACTCTGCCTGCCTCTGTGGGTGTGGACTCAGTGTCGACAGCCCCCTCTACAGGAGCATGAACACGCTGACAGGGTGCTGGGGTCGGGGGGCAGCCCTGGGTTCACGCTCCGCCCTCGCACCCCCAGAGGGACCTTGTGCCAGTGTGGGCGCCCCCGGACCGCCCACCCCGCAGTGGCCATGGAGGATGCCTTCGGGGCAGCCGTGGTGACCGTGTGGGACAGCGATGCACACACCACGGAGAAGCCCACCGATGCCTACGGAGAGCTGGACTTCACGGGGGCCGGCCGCAAGCACAGCAATGTGAGGCGGGCCTCTGTGGGCGGGGCCCGGGCACCAGGGGGCTGCATGCTCGGGGCTCCAGAGTGGAGCCGGGACGCCCGCCCTGAACCCTGGCCCCTCCGCCCATCCCTGTCTTGGCTCTCTTTGTCCCCTCCGCCCCACCTATCTTCTCTCTGAGGGGGTCCCGTTCTCTCTGCGTCTCTTTGTCTCTGTCTCCCTCTGTCTCCGTGTCCCTCTCTCTCTGGGTCTCTGTCCCCCTCTCTCTCTGGGTCTCTGTCCCCCTCTCTCTCTGGGTCTCTGTCCCCCTCTCTCTCTGGGTCTCTGTCCCCCTCTCTCTCTGGGTCTCTGTCCCCCTCTCTCTCTGGGTCTCTGTCCCCCTCTCTCTCTGGGTCTCTGTCCCCCTCTCTCTCTGGGTCTCTGTCCCCCTCTCTCTCTGGGTCTCTGTCCCCGTCTCTCCGGGTCTCTGTTTCCCCTTTTCTGTGGGTCACTGTCCTCATCTCTTTGGGTCTGTGTTTCCGCTTTTCTCTGTGTCTCTGTCCCCGTCTCTCTGGGTCTCTGTCTCTGTCTCTCTGGGTCTCTGTCTCTGTCTCTCTGGGCCTCTGTTTCCCCTTTTCTCTGTGTCTCTGTCCCCGTCTCTCTGGGTCTCTGTCTTCCTCTCTCTGGGTCTGTTTCCCCCTCTCTCTGGGTCTCTGTCCCCATCTCTCTGGGTCTCTGTCTGTTTCTCCGGGTCTCCGTCCCTGTCTCTCCGGGTCTCTGTTTCCCCTTTTCTCTGGGTCTCTGTCCTTGTCTCTCTGGGTCTCTGTCCCTGTTTCTCCGGGTCTCTGTCCCCGTCTCTCCGGGTCTCTGTTTCCCCTTTACTCTGGGTTTCTGTCCCCATCTCTCTGGGTCTCTGTCCCTCTCTCTCTGGGTCTCTGTCCCTCTCTCTCTGGGTCTCTGTCCCTCTCTCTCTGGGTCTCTGTCGCCATCTCTCTGGGTCTCTGTCCCATGTCTCTGGGTCTCTGTCCCTCTCTCTCTGGGTCTCTGTCCCTCTCTCTCTGGGTCTCTGTCCCTCTCTCTCTGGGTCTCTGTCCCTCTCTCTCTGGGTCTCTGTCCCCGTCTCTCCGGGTCTCTGTTTCCCCTTTACTCTGGGTTTCTGTCCCCATCTCTCTGGGTCTCTGTCCCTCTCTCTCTGGGTCTCTGTCCCCGTCTCTCCGGGTCTCTGTTTCCCCTTTACTCTGGGTTTCTGTCCCCATCTCTCTGGGTCTCTGTCCCTCTCTCTCTGGGTCTCTGTCGCCATCTCTCTGGGTCTCTGTCCCTCTCTCTCTGGGTCTCTGTCCCTCTCTCTCTGGGTCTTTGTCCCCGTCTCTCTGGGTCTCTGTCCCCGTCTCTCTGGGTCTCTGTCCCTCTCTCTCTGGGTCTCTGTCCCATCTCTCTGGGTCTCTGTCCCATGTCTCTGGGTCTCTGTCCCTCTCTCTCTGGGTCTCTGTCCCATGTCTCTGGGTCTCTGTCCCTCTCTCTCTGGGTCTCTGTCCCCATCTCTCTGGGTCTCTGTCCCTCTCTCTCTGGGTCTCTGTCCCTCTCTCTCTGGGTCTCTGTCCCCATCTCTCTGGGTCTCTGTCCCTCTCTCTCTGGGTCTCTGTCCCCGTCTCTCTGGGTCTCTGTCCCCGTCTCTCTGGGTCTCTGTCCCCGTCTCTCTGGGTCTCTGTCCCCCTCCCTGTGTGCCCCGCTCCCATGTGTCCACAGTTCCTCCGGCTCTCTGACCGAACGGATCCAGCTGCAGTTTATAGTCTGGTCACACGCACATGGGGCTTCCGTGCCCCGAACCTGGTGGTGTCAGTGCTGGGGGGATCGGGGGGCCCCGTCCTCCAGACCTGGCTGCAGGACCTGCTGCGTCGTGGGCTGGTGCGGGCTGCCCAGAGCACAGGTGACCGAGGGTGGGTGGGGGCTGTCTCCTGGGCCTCGGCCTGCCTGCCATCTCCCCCACGACTGTGGGTGGCCTCCCCCGCCGCCCAGTGTGTGTGTGTGTCTCTGTCTTATTCTTTGTTTCTCTCCCCCTGCCTCTGCATGTTCCTCGGCGTCTGTGTAGGAGCCTGGATTGTCACTGGGGGTCTGCACACGGGCATCGGCCGGCATGTTGGTGTGGCTGTACGGGACCATCAGATGGCCAGCACTGGGGGCACCAAGGTGGTGGCCATGGGTGTGGCCCCCTGGGGTGTGGTCCGGAATAGAGACACCCTCATCAACCCCAAGGTGTGACCCAGGGACTTGGAAAAGGGGGCTGGAGGCCTGGACTCCTGGGTCTGAGGGAGGAGGAGGGGCTCGTGTTTGTCCTTCTGGCCCCGATGAGGAGACGCCCTGGTCTGGCCATTTTTCCCCTAGGGCTCGTTCCCTGCGAGGTACCGGTGGCGCGGTGACCCGGAGGACGGGGTCCAGTTTCCCCTGGACTACAACTACTCGGCCTTCTTCCTGGTGGACGACGGCACACACGGCTGCCTGGGGGGCGAGAACCGCTTCCGCTTGCGCCTGGAGTCCTACATCTCACAGCAGAAGACGGGCGTGGGAGGTGAGTGGTCGAACCCATGACCCACAACCCACGACCCACAACCTGCAACCCCAGCGCTCAGGATCCCAGTAGTTTGGTCTGGTCGAGATTTGGGGAATTACCTATGGTTAAGTGTCTTTCCCCGTCATTATTCATGGTTTTAAAAACTTCTGTCTGAGAGTGAGTTAGCTCACATCAGTAATCCCAACACTTTGGGAGGCCGAGGTAGGAGGATTGCTTGAGGCCAGTAATTCAAGACCAGCCTGGGTAACAGAGCAAGACCTTGTCTCTACCAATAATAATAATAATAATAATAATAAAGAATAAAAAATAAATTAGCCAGGTGTGGTGTCGTGTGCCTGTAATCCCAGCTACTTGGGAGGCTAAGGTGAGAGAACTGCTTGAACCCGGGAGGTGGAGGTTGCAGTGAGCCGAGATCAAGCCACTGCACTCCAGCCTGGGCGACAAAGCAATACTCCATCTCAAACAAACAAACAGACTTTATTTTGAAATTTCTCATACATACAGAAAAATGCACGAAGGTGGACAGCTTGATGCATTTTTTTCTTTTTTTGAGACGGAGTTTTGCCCTGTTGCCCAGGCTGGAGTGCAGTGGCGCGATCTCGGCTCACTGCAGCCTCTGCCTCCTGGGTTCAAGCAATTCTCCTGCCTCAGCCTCCTGCCTCAGACTCCTGAGTAGCTGGGATTACAGGCACGTGCCATCACACCCGGCTAATTTTTGTATTTTTAGTAGACGGGGTTTCACCGTGTTAGCCAGGATGGTCTTGATCTCCTGACCTTGTGATCTGCCTGCTTTGGCCTCCCGAAGTGCTGGGATTACAGGTGTGAGCCACCGCGCCCGGCCTAATGTTTGTATTTTTAGTAGAGATGAGGTTTCACCTTGTTGGCTAGGCTGTTTTCGAACTTCTGACCTCAAGTGATTCGCCCACCTCAGCCTCCCAAAGTGCTAGGATTACAGACGTGAGCCACTGCACCTGGCTCCGGCTAATTTTTAAAGTTTTTTGTAGAGACAGGGTTTTGCCATGCAGCCCAGGTGGCCTCAAACTCGTGGTCGAAAGTGGTCCACCTGCCTCAGCCTCCCAAAGTGCTGGGATTACGGTCGTGAGCCACTGCGCCCAGCCAGCCAATATCTTATAATTTTATCAAAACATGAACAAGATACATTACTAGGTTTGAGGAAAGTTTTTGATTTTTGTGTATTTTTCTTGTATCAATCCTCTTACCAAATTTTCTTATTGATCTTTATTTTTATTTTTGGTGGGGTTTTCCAATTTTCTGGGAATACAAGCCATGTTTTCTTCAAATAGGTACTTTTGTCCCTTCCAGCTTTACAAAAAACCAAAAACCAAAAAATCAATTTTCACTTCAGTGATTTCATTTTTTTGCATTATTGAGTTAGCTCAAAACTCCAGGATGAATACAGTGTTAGTGGTAATGTGGTCTAGTTTCTAATTTATTTATTTATTTTTTTGAGAGGGAGTCCTGCTCTGTGCACAGGCTGGAGTGCAGTGGCGTGATCTCAGCTCACTGCAACTTCTGCCTCCTAGGTTCAAGCGTTTTTCCTGCCTCAGCCTCCCGAGTAGCTGGGACTATAGGCACGAGCCACCACTCCCAGCTAATTTTTGTATTTTTGGTAGAGACGGGGTTTCACCATGTTGGCCAGGCTGGTCTTGAACTCTTGACCTCAGGTGATCCACCCGCCTCGGCCTCCCAAAGTGCTGGGATTACAGGCATGAGCCACCGCACCTGGCCTAGTTTCTAATTTTAATGGAAGTAGAGTCGATATAGTGCTATCTTTATGGTGCAATTGGATTTTGGTAAATATCTATATTGTGGTTAGATAGCCCTTTCTATTCCCATTTCCTTTACTTTCTATTTGAACTTTCACTCCCTCTGGCTCCTGGATGGTTAATCAATGACAGGATTGACTCATACAAGAAACACCTGCCTCATTCAGGGACTCAGGAGTCTAGGTCCTCAGCCCCCTCCTCCCTGGGGAAGTTAAGCATTACTGTCTTCAAAATCTAGCTCCCTCCTGAAGTGTCCAAAGACATGACAATTCTGGCCAGGCGCGCTGGCTCACAGCTGTAATCCCAGCACTTTGGGAGGCCAAGGTGGGAGGATCCCTTGAGTCCAGGAATTCGAGACCAGCCTGGGCAAGATGGCAAGACCCCTGTCTCTACCAAAAATTAAAAAGTTAGCTGGGCACGGTGGTGTGTGCCTGTGGTCCCAGCTACTTAGAAGGCTAAAGTAGGAGGATCAAGATGTAGTGAGGTGTGATCATGCCCCTGCACTCTATCCTGGGCGATAGAGTGACACCCTGTTTCAGAAATTAGGCTGATGCGGTGGCTCATGCCTATAATCCCAGCACTTTGGGAGTCCAAGTTGGGAGGATTGCTTGAGGCCAGGAGTTCGAGACCACCCTGGCCAACATAGCAAGACCCCCATTTCTAAAATAAATACATAATTAAGTAAAAAAAGAAATGACAATTCCAATGAGCCTCTGAACAGAAGATTAGGACAAGGCTGATGTTTGCCGACTCCTGGGAAATGCGGTTTTCTCCTATCTCCAGCAAAGGCTGATGGGAGGTAATCAAGCCCCCTTCTCTTCTTGCCTCAGGGACTGGAATTGACATCCCTGTCCTGCTCCTCCTGATTGATGGTGATGAGAAGATGTTGACGGTATAGGGGCCCGGATGCCCGGATCTAAGGGGGAAGGAGGGTTGGGGGCCAGGACTCCTGGGTCCTGAGTCTTAGGGAGGGTCTGGGGGTCTGACTCCGGGTAGGGTGAATATCCTGCCTTTTCTGACGTGATGAATAAAGAATGCCTTTATCCTGTAGCGAATAGAGAACGCCACCCAGGCTCAGCTCCCATGTCTCCTCGTGGCTGGCTCAGGGGGAGCTGCGGACTGCCTGGCGGAGACCCTGGAAGACACTCTGGCCCCAGGGAGTGGGGGAGCCAGGCAAGGCGAAGCCCGAGATCGAATCAGGCGTTTCTTTCCCAAAGGGGACCTTGAGGTCCTGCAGGCCCAGGTATGACACTGGGGGCCCAACTCTGGATCCTGAGATGGGAGGGAACTGGGGACTTGGGCTCCTGGGTCTGAGGGAGGAGGGGCTGGGGGCCTGGACTTCCAGGTTCCGGGAGAAGAGGGTGCTGGGCATATAGACTATTAGGTCCTGGAGGGGAATGGCCTCCTCCATCCCTTTGGACAGGGCCCAACAGGAGTTGGGGATGGAGGCGGGCTAGGGATGCAGAACTGGCTATTCCACAGGTGGAGAGGATTATGACCCGGAAGGAGCTCCTGACAGTCTATTCTTCTGAGGATGGGTCTGAGGAATTCGAGACCATAGTTTTGAAGGCCCTTGTGAAGGGTAAAAGTTGTACCCTCCAGTCTTCCCCCTCTCTCAGTTCAACCTTAGACACCTTTCCTGGCCTGGGCACTTCATCCACCCTCTCTAATCCAAGGCCCATGCCCCCTTTACCCCTCTTAATATTTTTCCCCTTTGGGGCTTTGCATGGTGCTATTTGGGCAGTTTTCCCAGATGCTTTCATTATGTTCCAGCATCTGCTTTCCTCTGTTGGATCCATCCATCCATTCTTTCATCTTTCCATCCATCCACATGTACAGATCGATCTTTCCATCTCTTTACCTACCATCCTTCCAGTCATCCCTCATTCTTTCATCCATCCATCCTTTCACCTGTCCATCCACACATCCACTGACAATTCCTGAGAATTCCATCCGCTCATTCCTCCATCCGTCTTCTCACCTGTCCATCCACACATCCACTGACAATTCCATTCAGTCATTCTTCCATCCATCCATCTTCTCACCTGTCCATCCATGCATCCACTGACAATTCCTGAGAATGCCATCTGCTCATTCTTCCATCCATCCATCTTCTCACCTGTCCATCTACACATCCACCGAAAATTCCTGAGAATTCCATCCACTCATTCCTCCATCCATCCATCTTCTCACCTGTCCATCCACACATCCACTGACAATTCCATTCACTCATTCTTCCATCCATCCATCTTCTCACCTGTCCATCCACACATCCACTGACAATTCCTGAGAATGCCATCCGCTCATTCCTCCATCCGTCTTCTCACCTGTCCATCCACACATCCACTGACAATTCCTGAGAATTCCATCCGCTCATTCCTCCATCCGTCTTCTCACCTGTCCATCCACACATCCACTGACAATTCCATCCACTTATTGTTCCATCCATCCATCTTCTCACCTGTCCATCCACACATCCACTGAAAATTCCATTCACTCATTCTTCCATCCATCCATCTTCTCACCTGTCCATCCACACATCCACTGACAATTCCATTCACTTATTCTTCCATCCATCCATCTTCTCACCTGTCCATCCATGCATCCACTGACAATTCCTGAGAATGCCATCTGCTCATTCTTCTATCCATCCATCTTCTCACCTGTCCATCTGCACATCCACTGAAAATTCCTGAGAATTCCATCTACTCATTCCTCCATCCATCCATCTTCTCACCTGTCCATCCACACATCCACTGACAATTCCTGAGAATTCCATCCGCTCATTCCTCCATCCATCCATCTTCTCACCTGTCCATCCACACATCCACTGACAATTCCATTCACTCATTCCTCCATCCACCCATCTTCCATCCATTTACCCATCTACCCATCCATCTTTTCATTCATCCATCCAACTGTTCTTCCATCTATCCATCCACCCACCCATTCTTCCTTCCCTACATGCTTCCAATATACATGAAGCACTCTGGCTAGACATGAACCAAAGCACTGTCTCCCAGTGAGGAAGTCCAGATATTTCACTAGAAATGGCAGCTTGGAGGACGGAATGATGAAAACCAAGGCGGGGGAGCATAATGCACACCTGGGAGAGGCTGGGGAGGGTCTTATTTATTTATTCACTTATTGAGACAGGGTCTTGCTCTGTAGGCCAAGCTGGAGTATAGTGGTGTGATCACGGCTCAGTGCAGCCTCAACCTCCCAGGCTCAAGTGATCCTCCCACCCCAGCCTTCCAAGTAGCTGGGAACATACCCGCCCACCACTACACCTGGTAAATTAAACAAAAAAAAAATTTTTTTTTTGTACAGACGAGGTCTTGCTCTGTTGCCCATGCTGGTCATGAACTCCTGGCCTCAACTGATCCTCCTGCCTCAGTCTCCCAAAGTGCTGGGATTACAGGCATGAGCCACCATGCCAGCCTCCTTTATTTAGTCAACAAATACAATCCTAGGCTCCAGAGACTAAAGCCAACCCATTTCCTGCTCTCAAAGACCCCAGATCCCACTAGGATTGTTTGGATACAACCTTAGGTAAAATTTAAGACAGAAGCACAGGCAAGAATCACTGTCGTTAGAAGGAAAACTTCAAGGAAAAGTTGTGTGTGTGTGTGTGTGTGTATTTTGAGACAGAGTCTTGCTCTGTCGCCCAGGCTGGAGTGCAGTGGTGCGAGCTTGGCTCACTGCAACCTCCGCCTCCCGGGTTCAAGCGATTCTCCTGCCTCACCCTCCTGAGTAGCCGGGATTACAGGCACGTGCCATCATGCCCGGCTGATTTTTGTATTTTTAGTAGAGACGGTGTTTCACCATGTTGGTCAGGCTGGCCTCGAACTCCTGACCTCATGATCCATCCACCTCGGCCTCCCAAAGTGCTGGGATTACAGGTGTGAGCCACTGCACCTGGCCAGAGAAGTTGGCATTTAAACCGGACCTTGGCCAGGCACAGTGGCTCACACGTGTAATTTCAGCACTTTGGGAGGCTGAGGAGGGAAGATCGCTTGAGCCCAGGAGTTTGAGACCAGCCTGGGCAGCATGGTGAAATGCCACCTCTATAAAAAATACAAATAATAAGTTGGGGAGGGTGGCGCATACCTGTAATCCCAGCTACTTGGGTGGCTGAGGCAGGGGAATCGCTCGAACCTAGGAGGCAGATTGTGCCACTGCACTCCAGCCTGGGTGATAGGGCAAGACTCTGTCTCAAAAAAAAAAAAAAAAAACCTAAATAAATAAACCAAATAAACTGGACCTTGATAAGTCAGTAGAATTTGGATTTAGTAAGCTAACGAGTGGGACAGATAAGTATTCAGGAAGATTCCCAGGGCTCTGTGTGGGGAGGGTCATTTTTGGTGTCAGAAGAACTTTTTTCTTTTTTTTTTTGAGATAAGGCCTCGCTCTGTTGCTCAGGCTGGAGTGCAGTGGTGTGATCTTGACCCACTACAGTCTTGACCTCCTGGGCTCAAGAGATCCTCTCACCTCAGCCCCACAAGTAGCTGGGACCACAGGCATGTGCCATCATGCCTGGCTTTTTTTTTTTTTTTTTTTTTTTTTGAGACGGAGTTTCGCTCTTGTTGTCCAGGCTGGAGTGCAATAGTGCCATCTCAGCTCACTGCAACCTCCGCCTCCCGGGCTCAAGTGATTCTCCTGCCTCAGCCTCCCAAGTAGCTGGGATTACAGGCATGCGCCACCACACCTGGCTAATTTTGTAGTTTTAGTAGAGATGGGGTTTCTCCATATTGGTCAGGCTGGTCTCGAACTCCCGACCTCGGGTGATCCGCCCGCCTCGGCCTCCCAAAGTGCTGGGATTACAGGCATGAGCCACTGTGCCCAGCCTTTTTTGTATTTTTAGTAGAGATGGGGTTTCACTATGTTGCCCAGGCTGGTCTCGAACTCCTGGGCTAAAGCTATCTGCCCATCTCGGCCTCCCAACGTGCTGGGATTACAGGCGTGAGCCATTGTGCTTAGGCCAGAAGAATTTTACGGGGGAAATACACACTAAGATAGAAACTCCCCAGATACACGGTGGCAATATATACAGCATTCTACCTCAGCTCCCCACCCATGTTTGTGGTGTGGTATATATTTTAATTATTTTTCTTATTTTAATTATTTCTTTCTTTTTCTTTTTTTTTTTTTTGAGACAGAGTCTCGCTCTGTCGCCCAGGCTGGAGTGCAGTGGCGCGATCTCGGCTCGCTGAAAGCTCTGCCTCCTGGGTTCACGCCATTCTCCTCCCTCAGCCTCCCGAGTAGTTGGGCTCTCTATTTTTAGTAGAGACGGAGTTTCACCGTGTTAGCCAGGATGGTCTCGATCTCCTGACCTTGTGATCCACCCGCCTCGGCCTCCCAAAGTGCTGGGATTACAGGCGTGAGCCACGGCGCCCGGCCTCTTTTTTTTTTTTTTTTAAAGAGTCTTTGTCTGTCGCCCAGGCTGGAGTGCAATGGCGCCATCTCAGCTCACTGCAACCTCCTCCTCCCAGGTTTAAGCGATTCTCCTGCCTCAGCCTCCTGAGTAGCTGGGATTACAGGTGCCCACAACCGCACCCGGCTAATTTTTGTATTTTTAGTACAGACAGGGTTTCGCCATGTTGGCCAGGCTGGTTTTGAACTCCTGACCTCAGGTGATCCACCCGCCTCGGCCTCCCAAAGTACTTGGATTACAGGTGTGAGCCACCGCGCCCGGCCTTAATTCATTTTTAGGTATTTTTTGAGACAGTCTCACTCTGTTGTCCAGGCTGGAGTGCAGTGGGACAATCATAGCTCACTGCAGCCTTGAGATCCTGGGCTCAAGTGATTCTCTCGCATCAGCCTCTGAGTAGCTGTGCGCCACCACACCAGGCTAATTTATTTTTAATTTTTTTATAGGGATAGGGTCTCCCTATGTTGCCTGGGCTGGTCTTGAACTCTTGGGCTGAAGAGATCCTCCTGCCTTGACCTCCCAAAGTGCTAGGTATAGTACAGGCTGTGGTAGGGTAGAAAGAGCAAGTTATTTTTGCTTTGGAATCAGACAAAACTGAATTTAAATACCAGCTTGGGCCGGGTACAGTGGCTCACGCCTATAATCCCAACATTTTGGGAGGCTGAGGTAGGATCACTTGAGGTCAGGAGTTCGAGATCAGCCTGGCCACCATGGCAAAACCCTGTCTCTACTGAAAATACAAAAATTAGCTGGCGTGGTGGCGGGTGCCTGTAATCCCAACTAGTTGGGAGGCTGAGGCAGGAGAATCGCTTGAACCCAGGAGGTGGAGGTTGCCGTGAGCCAAGATCGTGCCACTGCACTCCAGCCTGGGCGACAGAGCGAGACTCTGTCTCAAAAACAAACAATCAAAAAGAAACAAACCAGCTTGGCCCTTTCTTGCTGTGTGGTCTTGAGGAAGCAGCTTCCCCTCTCTGAGCCCCAGTTTCTCTCTGTGGAAAGTGGAGATAATATCTTACAGGAGTGTTATAAGCCTCCATGGCAAGGTATGAGTTGTGCCCGGTCCCGGTGGGGGCCCAATAAGAGGGATCTCCTCTTAATATGATTCCATTTCCTCTGGGGGTACATCCTTCAATATAAGGTAACTCTCAGTGGGCAAATCTGATTCACTCTGCGGAAGTTAACTCAGCAGCCTCCTGGGAGAAAATACGGCAGCTCTGCAAGATGTGGTTTGAGGGGGTGGTGTTGTAAGCCCAGCAGGAGTGGAAGTGATCACAGTCCACTGGGGGAACTGGAGATGGCTGATAGGCTTGGGGATAGCAGAGTTGAATGGATGGAATTTCAGCAAGAAAGAAGGGCAAGGTCATGAATGCGTCTTTTTTTTTTTTTTTTTTTTTTGAGACAGTGTCTCGCTCTGTCGCCCAGGCTGGAGTGCAGTGGTGTGATCTCAGCTCACTGCAACCCCCGGGTTCAAGCGATTGTCCTGCCTCAGCCTCCCGAGAAGCTGGGACTACAGGCACCTGCCACTATGCCTGGCTAATGTTTGTATTTTTAGTAGAGATGGGGTTTCACCATGTTGGCCAGGATGGTCTCGACCTTCTGACCTCGTGATCTGCCTGCCTCGGCCTCCCAAAGTGCTGGGATTACAGGTGTGAGCCACCACCCCTGGCCCATGAATCCTTCCTAAGAGTCTAGCATAGGCAGGCCCAGTGCTGGGCAGTTGGTGTACTCTTTTGCCCTTCATCTCCCTTCCCTGCCTGCAAGGATTATCACCCCATTTTGCAGATGAAGAGACTGAGGCTCAGAGAGAGGAAAAATGGCTTGCCCAGGGTCATCCAGCTAGTAGCAGGGGTCAGGCTTTTCATGTGAGTCTGTATAATTCTCAAGCCCATTGCAAGGGGCATGTTTGGAGAGAGGTCAGAGGCTCGCAGGGTTGGTATGTATCATTGGCATGAAGGGAGTGTTGGAGACAAGGCCAGTGAGGCAGGTAGGGCCAAACCACCCAGGACCTCAAATGCCAGGCAGAGGGGCTAAGGCTGTCCTTGAGAGGCAGCAGAGGACCAGGGTCCGTTATGTGGATAAAAAAGACTCTCTGGCCAAGCGTGAAGGCTCATGCCTATTATCACAGCACCTTGGAAGACTAAGGAAGGAGGTTCGCTTGAGCCCAGGAGTTTGAGACCAGCCTGGGCAGCATAGTGAGACCCCATGTCTATAAAAAATTAGCTGGGTATGGTACTGTGCGCCTGTAGTCCCAGCTACTCGGGAGGCTGAGGCAGGAGGATCGCTTGAGCCTGGGAGGTCTCAAAGCTGAAGTGAGCTGTGATGGCGCCACTGCACTCCAGACTGGGTGACAGACGAAGACCCTGTCTCAAAAAACAAAAACAGACTCTCTGGGAGTGGGTGGGGGCAGAGTGGAGAGGAGAGAAGAGACTGCAGTGATGGTGTTTGGGGGTGCCGAAGCTTGAGCTATAGCTGGGGCCAGGAGGACAGTCGGGGAGGCTCAGCAGAGAGTCAGGAGGCTGGACGTGGGACATGAAGCTTGGGGGCTGATGGCCTGTGAGATGGGAGGAGCAGGAAGGGACAAGGACAGTACCTGCGGGTCTGCCTTATTGATTGGGTGGACAGAGGGGCCATTCCTGAGATGAGGACGTAGGGAAGATGGGTTTGAGGGCTAGATGCTGAGTTGAGTATGGAACACGGTGAGTCTGAAGGGACAAGGTGGGGCCAGGGTCGAGTGCCCAGGTGACAAATGGTGCCAGATTAAGGCGGAATATAAAGCAAGGTATTATTATTATTATTATTTTTATTTTTTTATTTTTTTTGAGATGGAGTCTTGCTCTGTCGTCCAGGCTGGAGTGCAGTGGCACGATCTTGGCTCACTACAAGCTCCACCTCCCAGGTTCATGCCATCCTCCTGCCTCAGCCTCCTGAGTAGCTGGCACTACAGGCGCCCGCCACCATGCCCGGCTAATTTTTTGTATATTTAGTAGAGATGGGGTTTCACTGTGTTAACCAGGGTGGTCTCGATCTCTTGACCTCATGATCCACCCATCTCGGCCTCCCAAAGTGCTGGGATTACAGGTGTGAGCCACTGTGCCCGGCCTATTATTATTATTTTTGCAACAGAGTTTCGCTCTGTTGCCCAGGCTGGAGTGCAATGGCGTGATCTTGGCTCACTGCAACCTCCACCTCCCGGGTTCAAGCGATTTTCCTGCCTCAGCCTCCCAAGTAGCTGGGATTACAGGCATGAGCCACCACGCCCAGCTAATTTTGTATTTTTAGCAGAGACGAGGTTTCTCCATGTTGGTCAGGCTGGTCTCGAACTCCTGACCTCAGGTGATTCGCCCACCTCGGCCTCCCAAGGTGTTGGGATTACAGGCATGAGCCACAGCATCCAGCCTATTATTATTATTTGAGACGGAGTCTCCCTTTCTCACCCAGGCTGGAATGCAGTGACGTGATCTCGGCTCACTGCAACCTCCACCTCCCGGGTTCAAGCGATTCTCCTGCTCAGCCTCCCAAGTAGCTGGGACTACAGACGCATGCCACCATGCCCAGCTAATTTTTTGTATTTTAGTAGAGATGGGGTTTCACCGTGTTACCCAGGCTGGTCTCGAACTCCTGAGCTCAGGCGATCCGCCCATCTTGGCCTCCCAAAGTGCTGGGATTACAGGCGTGAGCCACGGCGCCCGGCCTGTAAAGCAAGATATTATGAACAATTTTGTTTCCTTCTTTTGAAACTGTGGGGAAAGTAGGAGAGCTTCATAGAATCGTAGAAAGTCGTGGAAAAGTCCGCTCTGAATGGACGTCTGGGTTTTGAAAGAGCACAGAAAGCCATGAGGTCCTAGACATGTTACTGCCTTTCTGGGCCTCTGTTTCCTCAAGCACAGCCTTGGAGGTTACACTGGCCAAGCTGTAGTGTCGCCACAGCGTGGAACTTCTTCCCACAGTTACTGTAATTGATTACAGTGCTATGAAGGGGGTGCCACTATTTCCCATTTAATAGATGAGGAAACTGAGGCTCCCAAGGTTCAATGGCTTGCCTGAAGTCACTCAGTTGGTACTGGTGGACCGGGGACTGGAACCCACGTCTGCCTGCCCCAGAGCCTATTGCTCACCTCCACTACATGAGATTATCTCTTTCTGTGGTACCAGTTTTTGGAGCAACCAAAATGAGATGAATTTGTTTTGGAGATAGATATGGAGCAAGTGGAGGCAGAAGGAAACCTAACTCCATGTCACGACAAATGCCCTTCAGGACTTTTCATGCCCCTGTTGACTGCACATGTTTGGATCCACTACATAGCTGGATCAAATTTTTAAGGGTTTCTGGTTCTCTCTTGCTGTTTCAGTGACCTCCAGGGTCTCTCGGAGTCCCTCTCCTGTTCTCATTTTCTGCTGTTGTCACCTCTTTCCCTTCACAATATACCCCAAGTTTCAGAAATCAGAGTGACTCACGTTTGTCATCATCTGCTGTGTGTGTGTGTGTGTGTGTGTGTGTGTGTGTGTGTGTGTGTGTGTGTTGCACCCGGGCCTTTGCTTCTGCTGTGCCTGCTGCTTTGAACGCCCTTTTCGCACCTTAGGGGCATACCTCCCAGTCCTGGTGGTCTTTCAAAGTGCTACCTCAACACCCATTCTCTGGGAGCTCTCTTGGGCCACTCTATACCTCTGTGACCATATCCTCCTCTGGGCCCTAATCATATTATATGCCTATAGATGCCTCCTTAGACACCCCTCCACCCTGCCTTCCATTATGGCCTGTCCAGCCTTCCCTTTAATCGCCCATCCATCTCTGATTGTCCGTCTGCCCCATCTTGTTTCCTCTCTCCCCATCCATCCGTCTGTCCATCTATCCATCTATCCACCCTGTACATCCATCTATCCATCCATCCGTTCATTCATCCATCTCTTTATCCTTTCATCCATCCATTTATCCATCCCATCCATCCATCCTTCTATCTGTCCATCCATCCATCCTAATCATATTATATGCCTACCTCTGAGGGCACCAAGCACCCTGAGGGTAGTTATGTGTTGGGGGGACATATTTCCCCCAATAGAACCAGCTTCTTCAGGGTAGGAACTGTATCTGATTTCTCTCTCCATCCCTCCCACTGCTTGGTCCATAACATACCTCAATAAATATTAAATGAATAAGTGATTCCTTTTGTTTCTTCTTGGGGGCTGTAAACCAGTGGTCTGTGCTCTGGCCCTGAGCCAAATGACCTTATGCCTATGATAGCCTGACTGCTTTAAGACCCCCACACTCTGCCCAGTAGCAACCCCTTTATGCAGAGTTTAAAAGTCAGACATGCAAAATAGAGGCAAAATAGACATTCAGCAGATGTCCCTCCTCCCCTGACTTCTTGTCCCCTCTCCCTCTAATCCTTCCAGCCTGTGGGAGCTCGGAGGCCTCAGCCTACCTGGATGAGCTGCGTTTGGCTGTGGCTTGGAACCGCGTGGACATTGCCCAGAGTGAACTCTTTCGGGGGGACATCCAATGGCGGGTGAGGGGTCAGGGCCTGGGGGTTGGGCATACTGACAAAGGGACTGTGCTGTCCTCCCTCTCTGCCTTCTTTTTTTTTTTTTTTTTTTTTGACGGAGTCTCACTCTGTCACCCAGCCTGGAGTGCAGAGGTGTGATCCCAGCTCACTGCAAGCTCCGCCACCTGGGTTCACGCCATTCTCCTGCCTCAGCCTCCCGAGTAGCTGGGACTACAGGCGCCCGCCACCACACCCAGCTAATTTTTTTGTATTTTTAGTAGAGACGGGGTTTCACTATGTTAGCCAGGATGGTCTCGATCTCCTGACCTTGTGATCCGCCCGCCTCAGGCTCCCAAAGTGCTGGGGTTACAGGCATGAGCCACCGCACCCGGCCTCTCTGCCTTCTTAGACGCCCCTCAACCCTGCCTTCCATTATGGCCTGTCCAGCCTTCCCTTAATTGTCCATCCATCTCTGTCCATCTGCCCCATCTTGTTTCCTCTCTCCCCACCCATCCATCTGTCTATCCATCCATCCACCCTGTACCTCCATCTATCCATTCATCCATTCATTCATCCATCTACTTATCCATCCATCCATCCATTTGTCCATCCATCCATTTATCCATCCATCCATCCATCCATCCATCCATCCATCTGTCCATCCATCCATCCATCCATCCATCCATCCATCTGTCCATTCATCCATCCATCCATTCATCTGTCCATCCATCCATCTACCTATCCATTCATCCATACATCCATCCATCTACCTATCCATTCATCCATCCATCCATCCATCTATCCATCCATCCATCTGTCCATCCATTCATCTGTCCATCCATCCATCTACCTATCCGTTCATCCATCCATCCCTCTGTCCATCCATCCATCCCTCTGTCCATCCATCCATCCCTCTGTCCATCCATCCATCCATCCATCCATCCATCCATCCATCTGCCCATCCATCCATCTGTCCATCCATCCATCTACCTATCCATTCATCCATCCATCCACCCATCCATCCATCCATCCATCCATCCATCCATCCATCCATCCATCCATCCGTCCCTCATACCCTTGCCCATCTCTTGTCCTTAACCTTTGAGCTAATCTCTTCCCCTATTCATCCCACCCTGCCAGTCCTTCCATCTCGAAGCTTCCCTCATGGACGCCCTGCTGAATGACCGGCCTGAGTTCGTGCGCTTGCTCATTTCCCACGGCCTCAGCCTGGGCCACTTCCTGACCCCGATGCGCCTGGCCCAACTCTACAGCGCGGCGCCCTCCAACTCGCTCATCCGCAACCTTTTGGACCAGGCGTCCCACAGCGCAGGCACCAAAGCCCCAGCCCTAAAAGGGGGAGCTGCGGAGCTCCGGCCCCCTGACGTGGGGCATGTGCTGAGGATGCTGCTGGGGAAGATGTGCGCGCCGAGGTACCCCTCCGGGGGCGCCTGGGACCCTCACCCAGGCCAGGGCTTCGGGGAGAGCGTAAGGACCGGGCAAAGCTGGGGGGCCCCCCCGCGCGGGAAGGACCTGGGGGCGGGATTACATCAGGGATGGGGCGTGGCCAAACCAGAGGCAGGGCTGGTGGTGGCCAGTGTTGGGGAGGGGCTGGTCCTCACCACCCCTCCTTTTGCTGGCAGATGTATCTGCTCTCGGACAAGGCCACCTCGCCGCTCTCGCTGGATGCTGGCCTCGGGCAGGCCCCCTGGAGCGACCTGCTTCTTTGGGCACTGTTGCTGAACAGGGCACAGATGGCCATGTACTTCTGGGAGATGGTGAGTGCTGACTTGGCGCTCCTGCATCCCTGTCCTTTAGGCCACTGGATGCCAGTGTTCCCGAAACAATTACCATACAATTCCCCGACCCCTGACGTCACCTGACAGGCGCCCCATCCTCCGTCGCTGATATATGCCTCCAACTGCTTCCTCTTTCTTTTCTCTCTCTCACATCATGCATTATTTTATGTGTTTATTTTTTGAGACAGAGTCTCGCTCTGTCGCCCAGGCTGCAGTGCAGTGGCGCAATCTTGGCTTACTGCACCCTCAGTCTCCCGGGTTCAAGTAATTCTCCTGCCTCAGCCTCCGGAGTAGCTGGGATTACAGGCACCTGCCCCCACGCCTGGCTAATTTTTGTTTTGTTTTGTTTTGTTTTAGTAGAGATGGGGTTTCACCATGTTGGCCAGGCTGGACTCCTGACCTCAAGTGATCCACCCGCCTCGGCTTCCCAAAATGCTGGGATTACAGGCATGTGCCACCGTGCCTGGCCAAGATTCTCTCTTTGTTTTGGCCTTTGATAATATATCTCAGTGTGGATCTCTGTGAATTTCTTTTTCTTTTTCTTTTTTTTTTTTTTTTGAGATGGAGTCCTGCTCTGTTGCCCAGGCTGGAGTGCAGTGGCATGATCTCGGCTCACTGCAAGCTCCACCTTCTGGGTTCATGCCATTCTCCTGCCTCAGCCTCCCGAGTAGCTGGGACTACAGGCGCCCGCCACCACGCCCAGCTAATTTTTTGTATTTTTAGTAGAGATGGGGTTTCACCGTGGTCTTGATCTCCTGACCTTGTGATCTGTCTGCCTTGGCCTCCCGAAGTGCTGGGATTACAGGCGTGAGCCACTGTGCTTGGCCTGTGAATTTCTTTTACTTGGAGTTCCTTGAGCTTCCTGGATGTGTAGACTTTTGTCTTTCATCACATTTTGGAAGTTTTTAGGACATTATATCTTCAAATATTATTTCTTTCCCTTTCTGTCTCTCTTTTCCTTTTGGACTCTCATTATGTATGTATTAATATTCTGTATGGTGTCTCGCAAGTCCCTTAGGCTCTGCTTATTTTCCTTCATTTGTTTTTCTTTTTTCTCCTCAGGCTGGATAATCTCAATGTACTTAGCTTCAAATTCACTGATCTTTATTTTGCCTTTTTTATGAATCTACTGTTGAGTCCCTCTAGTGGTTTTTATATTTCAGTTATTGTGCTTTTTAGCTTCAGAGTTTCTATTTGGTTCATTTCTGTCTCTGTAGTCTTTTTTTTTTTTTTTTTTTTTTTTTTGAGACAGAGTCTCGCTCAGTCGCCCAGGCTGGAGTGCAGTGGCTCAATCTCCGCTCACTGCAAGCTCTGCCTCCTGGGTTCACGCCATTCTCCTGCCTCCACGCCATTCTCCTGCCTCAGCCTCCCAAGTAGCTGGGACTACAGGTGCCCGCCACCACGCCCAGCTAATTTTTTTGTATTTTTTTAGAGACAGGGTTTCACTGTGTTAGCCAGGATGGTTGCGATCTCCTGACCTCGTGATCTGCCCTCCTCGGCCTCCCAAAGTGCTGGGATTACAGGCGTGAGCCACTGCGCCCGGCCTCTGTAGTCTGTCTTTTTTTTTTCCTGGTCCCACTACAAAACTTTATTTTTGATTACAGTACCATTCTCAATCTCTTCTACAAAAAGCAGAAAAAAAAGCAGCCACTTCACTCAAGACCTATATACAGATAAGATGTTTTCTGTGTTTTTTTCTTTTTTTTTTAATTTTTATTTTTAAAAAAATAAATTCAGTGTTCACATTTCTATAAAGAATTAACCCAGTTTCAGGAAACCCTGCCTCTATCTCTGTATTCTTATTCTCTAGGTGGTGAGACATCTTTTTCCTGGCTCCCTTTAGTTCTTTTTTCATGATTTCCTTTAGCTCTTCGAGCATATTTAAGACAATTTATTTAAAGCCTTTGCTAGTAAGTTCAGTGTCTGAGTTTCCTCAGGGATAGTTTCTATTCATTTATTTTTTTCCTACTCATTTCTATTCATTTCATTTCTTTTCTTTTATTTATTTATTTGTTGTTCTTGTTGTTGTTGTTGAGACAGAGTCTCATTCTGTCACTCAGACTGGACTGCAGTGGTTTGACCAAAGTTCACTGCAACCTTGACTTCTTGGACTCAAGCAATCCTCCCACCTCAGCCTCCTGAGTAGTTGGGTCTACCAGCCACATGCCAAGCTAATTTTAAAAAATTTGCAGAGATGGGGTCTTACTATGTTGCCCAGGTTGGTCTTGAATTCTTGGGCTCAAGCAATCCTCCTGCCTGGGCCTCCCAAAGTGCTGGGATTACAGGTGTGAGCCACCATGCCTGGTCTCTATTAATTTCTTTTTTTTCCAGTATATGAACCATATTGTCTTGTTTCTTTGCATGCCTCATAATTTTTGGTTGAAAAGTGGAACATTTTGAATATGATAATGTGGCAACTCTGGAAATCAGCTTATGCCCTCCCTCCAGGGTTTGTTGTGGCTGCTGCTCATTGTGGGTCATTGTTGTTTGTTTAGTGACTTTTCTTTTTTCTTTTTCTTTTTTTTGGGGGGAGGGGGGATGGAGTCTCACTCTGTGGCCCAGGCTAGAGTACAGTGGTGCAATCTCGGCTCACTGCAAGCTCCACCTCCCAGGTTTAAGTGATTCTCCTGCCTCAGCCTCCCAAGTAGCTGGGATTACAGGTGTGTGCCACCACACCCAGCTAATTTTTGTATTTTTCATAGAGACGGGGTTTCACCATGTTAGCCAGGCTGGTCTCAAACTCCTGACCTCAGGTGATCCACCCACCTTGGCCTCCCAAAGTGTTAGGATTACAGGCGTGAGCCACCGCGCCCACCCTGTTTAGTGACTTCTCTAAACCTTTTTTGGAAAGTCTGTATTCTTTGCATGTGTGGCCATGGAAGCCCCTCTTCTGTTAGCTTAGTGGTCTGCTGGTGACTTGACAGAGATATCCTTAAATGCCTAGAACCACAGAAGCAAATATAACAAGAAACTCCCTATAAGTGCTGGGATTAGAGGCATGAGCGACGCCCACCGTGGCTGTATATTGAAGCAGTCTTTCAATACTTAGCCAAGCTGTTTACAGTTCTGCTTTAGTCTTCACTTCCTGCTTGTGCAGAGCCTAAAGTTCAGCCAGATGTAAGAGCTTCAGGTTTTCTCTGGTATTTTCTGAGCACGCCTCTAGCCCTAGTCATGCATCTAGCCGTCTGGATTTCCTGGTACACAAGGAAGACTTTCAAAGCCCTTATTCCCTCCAAGTATTTCCTTTCATGGCCTCTTTCTTCCCAAGATGCTTAGTGTATCTATTACTGCCTCTACTGTGAGTCCTTGCCTCAGATGGATGTGGTTAATTCATTTGCCTTTAAAAGATTTTAACAGGCCGGGTGCAGTGGCTCACACCTGTAATCCCAGCACTTTGGGAGGCCGAGGCAGGTGGATCGCCTGAGGTCAGGAGTTCGAGACCAGCCTGACCAACATGGAGAAACCCTATCTCTACTAAAAGCACAAAAAATTAGCCTGGCATGGTGGCGCATATCTGTAATTCCAGCTACTCGGGAGGCTGAGGCAGGAGAATTGCTTGAACCTCGGAGGCAGAGGTTGTGGTGGGCTGAGATTGCAGCATTGCACTCCAGCCTGGGCAACAAGAGTGAAACTCCGTCTCAAAAAAAAAAAAAAAGATTTTAACACACACTGCCTGGAAAGCCACTTTTTCTCTGGGGAAAGCTCTAAGGCAGGTGAAGCAAAGTCAAGTCCTTGAGCTGTTGCTTCAGGGAGCCACCAGATAGGGCCACACACACAACCACAATTCTGGAGGGTAAGTCTGAATTGCTCCCTCTAGTACTAGCGACCCACACCAGGAATGTGTGTCTTTGTCTTCAAGGTTGCCACTGAACTGGGGAGCTGGGGGTAGTAAGTGGGTAGGTTAAAATGTCACAGTACCCTCTTACTGAAATTTAGTGGTCTCTTCATTAAGCATTTTCTTGTTTTTTTTTTTTTATAAGTTTTCGATTAGATTCCAGAATTCTAGAAAAGTTGATTCTGACAACTTTTGATAGCTATTGATTGCTTTTGTGGAGGGATAAAGTTTTGAAGTTCCCTACACTGGCATTTTTGGTCACCTCTCCAAGGGCTTTTAAAAATTTCATTGTTAGAGACAGGGTCTTCCTCAGTCATCCAGGCTGGAGTGCAGTGGCATGATCATGGCTCACTGCAGCCTCAACCTACTGGGCTCATTCGATCCTCCTACCTCAGCTTCCCTAGTAGCTGGGACTACAGAAGCAGACCACCACGCCTGGCTAACTAAAAAAAAAAAAATTTTGTAGAGATGGAGTCTCACCATGTTGCCTGGCTGGTCTTGAATTCCTGGGCTCAAGCAATCCTCCTCATTTGTAACCACCCAATGGGTTCACGTTGCCCGCTGCCTAGACAGAGCCGATTTATCAAAACAAGGAAAGTGTAATGGAGAAAGAGTAATTCGCGCAGAGCCGGCTGTGCGGGAGACCTCAGTTTTATTATCACTCAAATCAGTCTCCTCGAGGATTCAGGGATCAGAGCTTTTAAAGATAATTTGGTGGGTAGAGGCTTGGGAAGTGGGGAGTGCTGATTGGTCAGGTTGGAGATGGAATCACAGGGGTTGGAAGTGAGGTTTTTCTTGCTGTTTTCTGTTCCTGGGTGGGATGGCAGAACTGGTTGAGCCAGACTACAGTCTGGGTGGTGTCAGCTGATCCATCCAGTGCAGGGTCTGCAAACTATCTCAAGCACTCATCTTAGGTGTTACAGTAATGATGTTATCCCCAGGAGCAATTGGGGGAGCCAGAGGCTGCGTGACCCCTAAACTTAATTTCTAATCTTGTAGCTAATTTGTTAGTCCTGCAAAGGTAGACTGGTCCCCAGGCAAGATGGGGGTCTTTGGGGAAAGGGCTATTATCAATTTCGTTTCAGAGTCAAACCATGAACAGAATTCCTTCCCAAAGTTAGTTCAGCCTATGCCCAGGAATGAGCGAGGACAGCTTAAGGGTTAGAAGCAAGATGGAGTCGGTTAGGTCTGATTTCTTTCATTGTCATAATTTTCTCAGTTATCATTTTTGCAAAGGTGGTTTCACTTCAGCCTCCCAACGTGCTGGGATTATAGTCGTGAGCCACTTTACCCAGCCTCCAACTGCTTCTTGACCTGTCTGTGACTGCTGAATTGATTCTAACTGCAGCCCAGCCCCTGACTTGCATCCCTGGTCTCTGAACCACCTGACTTCTGGCATTTTCAACTGACTTTCAGTTTCTTCCAGATCCATCTCCAAACATTACTTCATCCTTGGCCTCTGATGACCCCAGTTAGTTTCTGACCTCTGACTCTGTTCCTTCCCTTGACTTCAGGCTTCCTCCCCCTCTATGAACCCTCTTTGACGCATCCGTGCCCTCTTTGTCTCTCCAGGGTTCCAATGCAGTTTCCTCAGCTCTTGGGGCCTGTTTGCTGCTCCGGGTGATGGCACGCCTGGAGCCTGACGCTGAGGAGGCAGCACGGAGGAAAGACCTGGCGTTCAAGTTTGAGGGGATGGGCGTTGGTGCGTGGGGCACGGTGCCTGGGAGCAGGGACGGGGGCTGCCGCCAGAGGGGGATGTGCAACTCCGCACTCCTCACATATCCCTGCGCCATCCCCTTAAATTCCCTTACCTCTCCCTTCACACCCTCACCCTACTCCTTCCCATCCCTGTCACATAACTAACTCCTCTGCCCCAGACCTCTTTGGCGAGTGCTATCGCAGCAGTGAGGTGAGGGCTGCCCGCCTCCTCCTCCGTCGCTGCCCGCTCTGGGGGGATGCCACTTGCCTCCAGCTGGCCATGCAAGCTGACGCCCGTGCCTTCTTTGCCCAGGATGGGGTACAGGTGAGTATCTGCGACACCAACATCCCAAACAGTCTCCAAGTGGACTCTGGGAAGTATGGGGATGAGCCCCTGCCATTGGGAACATCTATGGTCTTGACCAGCCACTCTCCCTGGAGATCCCCCAGAAAGTCTCTCTTCTCTCTCAGAAAGGCTGCTCTTCCCATAAGAAGCCCCGCTCCCTTCCACCAAAAGCCAACCTTCCCACGGCAAAGCCCATCTTCCTAAAAAGTTCCACTCCAGATAGAGAAACTCCTTGTGACCCTGTCAGGAAATTCCACCTTTAACCTTGGAAGTCCTTCCCGCTTTCAGGGAAGAGTCCATTTCTTTCAAAGGAAGTCCTAGCTCATCCACAGGAAGTCCTACGGCATCCACAGGAAGTCCTTTCCACTTCCTTTAGAGGTCCCTAGTTTCAGTTTTCAGCAGTTAGAATGGCCTCACTGAACAATTACCTTTTTTTTTTTTTGGACATAAACAAACTTTGGTCTAGGAAATCTCACCCTTCCTATAGGAAATCATCTGCCTTGGGAAGCCCTACTTGCTCCCACAGTCTCTCCGATCCTGACAAGTTGACATTTTGGAAACATTATCAATATTTTTAGTTTAAATCTGACAGGGGCTCAGAGTCCCACTTTAGTACAGGAAGTTGTGCCCAACAGGAAGTCCCATCCTCATCTGTTGGAATGGTTTGGCTGACATTTCAAACAGCTACCCAGAGTCCCTTGCTGTGGATAGTGGTTAAACTCATGGATTCCAGCTCTACCACATACAAACTGTGTTTCTTTGGGCCGTTTCCTTAACCTCTCTGTGCCTCATGTGTACCAAGGAGGAGATACTAGTACCCACCCCCTTATGTGTCAAGGGTTCGGTGGACTAATCTACATAAAGTGCTTAGCCCTGTATCTGCCATATGGTGTCAATTTAAGTGTTGACTGTTTACTGCCAAAACCTGGCCTAAGTTGTCTTTGCCTTTCACCACCGTTTCCCTACCTCAATAGTTGTGGCTGTGACATTGGGCACTTGCTCTGTACTCTGGAGCTGCAGTCCAACCCTTGCTGGGCGTCTTAGGGACGGGGCTGTGGGGGAGATTTGGATCCTAATCCTTCCCACCCCCCACAGTCTCTGCTGACACAGAAGTGGTGGGGAGATATGGCCAGCACTACACCCATCTGGGCCCTGGTTCTCGCCTTCTTTTGCCCTCCACTCATCTACACCCGCCTCATCACCTTCAGGTCAGTACCCTGGGGTGAGAGTGGTGGGGATGGGGGCGGGGTGCTCAGTTTCTCCTTCCTGCCCCCTCTGCCCACCTTTCTTCCCTCATCGGCCCATTGTGTCCCTTCCCTAGGAATGGGACTCTCTGTCCCTCCACTAAGGGAGTGCTGTGGGAGGTGAGTTTTGGGGGGGATCCTCCCTGTGGTATCTCTAGTGGCAGTTACTCTGCCTTTCTGGCCATGGCTCTGGGGGAAGGTCCCTTTGGGATGACTTTAGGAGACCACCTCTCTGTCCCTCTGCCATGTCTCCGGGTGAAGAAGTTTGAGTTTTGCTGGAGAATGCCTCTCCACCTTCTCTTCCCCTCATTTCTTGCTCTGTGCTTCCCCCCTTGCTAGGAAATCAGAAGAGGAGCCCACACGGGAGGAGCTAGAGTTTGACATGGATAGTGTCATTAATGGGGAAGGGCCTGTCGGGTGAGTGGAGCCTCCAGCACTGTGTGAGGTGGGGACACCCTGGGCAGTTCAGGACATGTGCCAGTTCCACGTTGTGTTAGTCCCCTCTTGAGTTGCTACAAAGTTGCTAAACCTGAGACTGAGTAATTTATAAAGAAAAGAGGTTTCATTGGCTCATGGTTCTGCAGGTTGTACAGGAAGCATAGTGCTGGCATCTGCGGCTGGTGAGCCCTCAGGAAGCTTCCACTCATGGCAGAAAGTGAGGGAGGAGCCAGTGTATCACATGGCGAGAGCAGAAGCAGGAGTAGGGGTGCCACATAGATCTCATGTGAACTAACTGAGCAAAAAGTCTCCAAAGGGATGGTGCTGAGCCATTTGTGAAGGACCCACCACCAGGACCCAAACACTTCCCCCAGGCCCCACCTCCAACATTAGGGATTACATTTCTTTGTTCTTTTTTTCTTTTTTTTTGATACGGAGTCTCCCTCAGTTGCCCAGGCTGGAGTGCAGTGGTACAATCTTGGCTCACTGCAGCCTCTGTTTCCTGGGTTCCTGATCAGCCTGCCTCAGCCTCCCAAGTAGGTGGGAGTAGAAGTGCATGCCACTACGCCCAGCTAATTTTTGTATCTTTAAAGTAGAGTCGGGATTTCACCATGTTGGCCAGGCTGGTGTCAACCTCCTGACCTCAAGTGATCCGCGCACTTTGGCCTCCCAAAGTGCTGGGATTACAGGTGTGAGCCACCGGGCCCAGCCAGGGATTACATTTCTTTCTTTCTTTTTTGAAATGGGGTCTCGCTCTGTCGACCAGGCTGGAGTGCAGTGGTGTGATCTCCGCCTCCTGGGTTCAAGCGATTCTCCTGCCTCAGCCTCCCGAATAGCTGGGACTACAGGAGCCCACCACCACACCTGGCTAACTTTTGTACTTTTAGTAGTGACAGGGTTTCATCACATTGGCCAGGCTGGTCTTGAACTCCTGACCTTGTGATCCGCCCGCCTCAGCCTCCCAAAGTACTGGGATTACAGGCATGAGCCACCATGCCTGGCCCAGGGATTACATTTCAATGTGAGATTTGGAAGGGACAAACATCCAAACTATATCACACGTCCCATCAGGGACTGAGATACTGAGGAAGCTTCCCAGGTGCCAAGCTCAAGACTTGGCTCAAGATTTGGTTCTGCCATCAAGGAGGCCATCACCAGAAATTGATTTTCTTCATGCTACACATACTTCCATCCCTCTGTAGCAAGCGGAATCAGTTGATTGAGGGATTTTTCACCTATTTTGTTCGTGGTCCCAAGGCCCCTGCTTTTAATCACTATGCTATGGTTGCCGTTAAGGTATTTTAAAAGTCAGGCCTAAGCAAATGAAATAGAATATTTATCAAACTTCTTTTTTTGTTGTTGTTTTTGAGGCGGAGTCTTGCTCTGTCGCCAGGCAGGAGTGCGGTGCCGCGATCTCATCTCACTGCAACCTCCGCCTCCTGAGTTCAAGCGATTCTCCTGCCTCAGCCTCTCAAGTAGCTGGGATTACAGTCACCTGCCACCACGCCCAGCTAATTTTTTTGTATTTTTAGTAGAGACGGGGTTTCACCATGTTGGCCAGGATGCTCCCCATCTCCTGACTTTGTGATCTGTCCTCCTCAGCCTCCCAAAATGCTGGGATTACAGGCATGAGCCACCATGCCTGGCCTATATATAGTTTTTTAAGACAATGTAGAGAGGATACAAAATATTTATCTGTAGCCATAAAAAAGAACGAGATCATTTCCTTTGCAGTGACATGGTTGGAGCTGGAGGCCATTATCCATAACAAACTAACAGGAACAGAAAACCAAATACCCCATGTTCTCACTTATAAGTAAGAACTAAATGATGAGAACACATGGACACACAGAGTGAAACAACACACATTGGGGCCTATTGGAGGACAGAGGGTAGGGCGAGGGAGAGGACCAGGAAAAATAACTAGTGGGTACTAGGCTAAATACCTGGGTGATGGAATAATCTGTACAACAAACCCCCATGACACAAATTTACCTACCTAACAAACCTGCACATGTACCTCTGAACTAAAAATAAACGTCAAAAAATAAAAAAAAGAACAAAATATGTATCAAGAGAGAAGGGAAAAACTAAGATAAACATTTGGACCACTGAGAAAGGTTGATAGAAGGCCCCAGTGTCTGAGGTCAGGATCAGTAATGGTGTCCTTCCCTAGCAATTTCTCATCTGCACATGTGATGATGATGACGACCTTGATAACAGCTGATGTTATGAAACACGTACAATGAGCAACTACTGTGCTCAATTCTTTTGAAAATCAGTTGGTTTTTTTTTTTTTTTTTTGAGATGGAGTCTTACTCTGTCGCCCAGGCTGGAGTGCAGTGGCATGATCTCGGCTCACTGCAAGCTCCTCCTCCCGGGTTCACACCATTCTCCTGCCTCAGCCTCCTGAGTAGCTGGGACTACAGGTGCCCGCCACCACGCCCGGCTAATTTTTTTGTATTTTTAGTAGAGCTGGGGTTTCCCCGTGTTAGCCAGGATGGTCTCGATCTCCTGACCTCGTGATCTGCCCGCCTCGGCCTCCCAAAGTGCTGGGATTACAAGCATGAGCCACCGCACCCGTCCGGAAATCAGTTCGTTTAATTCCAACAACCCAGTGCAATAGGGCCTATAATTATTCTCATTTTGCAGGTGAAATAATGGAGTCATTCAGTCACTTGCCTCAGATCATGTGGTTGGTAAATGGTAGAGCCGAGATTTGATCCCAGATCCTCTTGTACCTGAGTCTGTGCTCTCAGCCCCTGTGGAGCCCCCCCACTGAGAGCTCTGTTGAAGGACAGATCCCAAGATCCCCCCAGAGAGGCTGGGGCTGAGCCCAGGAACCTGCCTGTGGCCTGGCTGGAGGTGATTCAAGATGGCAGATGTGGGGGAAGCTTTCTGACCCACCGCTCTCCCTTCTTACCAGGATTCTGCAGGAGAACTGTGAAATACCATGATGGTTTTCTCTATCAGTAGGGAGCTTGCTGTCCTCTCTGCATCTGACCTTCTTTCTCTAGGAGTTCTTAGTTTCTGTAGCTTTCACTATTCTCCTCCTTCTCCTCCTCCTTCTCCTCCTTGTCCTCCTCCTTGTCATCCTCCTTCTCCTCCTCCTCGTCATCCTCCTTCTCCTCCTCCTCTTCATCCTCCTCCTCCTTCTCCTCCTCTTCCTACTCATCCTCCTCCTCTTCCTCCTTCTCCTCATCCTCTTTCTCTTCCTCCTCCTCATCCTCCTCCTGCTCCTGCTCCTCCGCCTTCTCCTCATCCTACTTCTCCTCTTCATCCTCCTCCTGCTCCTGCTCCTCCGCCTTCTCCTCATCCTACTTCTCCTCTTCATCCTCCTTCTCCTCTTCCTCCTCTTCATCCTCCTCCTCCTGCTCCTGCTTCTCCGCCTTCTCCTCATCCTCCTTCTCCTGCTCCTCCTCCTCCTGCTCCTCTGCCTTCTCTTCATCCTCCTTCTCCTTCTCCTTTCTTCTTCTTTGAGACAGGATCTTGATCTGTCACTCAGGCTGGAGAGCAGTGGCGCGATCATGGCTTACTGCACCCTCAACCTCCCAGGCTAAGCCATCCTCCCACCTCAGCCTCTCAAGTAGCTACAGATGCATGCTATGCTCGGCTAATTTTTATATGTTTTGTAGAGATGGGGTTTCGCCATGTTGCCCAGGCTGGTCTCAAATTCGAAGGCTTAAGTGATCTTCCCACCTCGGCTTCCCAAAGTGCTGGGATTACAGGCATACACCACTGCGCTTGGCCTCACTTATTTCCTTCCTTCCTCCTTCCTTCCTTCTTTCCTTCCTTCCTTTCCTTTCCTTTTCTTTCCTTCCTTCCTTTCTTTCCTTCCCTTTCTTTCTCTCTCTCTTTCTCTCTCTGTCCCTCCCTCCCTTCCTTCCTTCTTTTCTTCCTTCCTTCCTCCCTCTCTTTTCTTTCTTTCTCTATCTCCTTCCCTCCCTCCCTCTCTCCCTCCCCCCAACCCTTCCTTCCTCCCTTCTGAGACAAGGTCTCACTCTGTTGCCTCCGCTGAAGTATAGTAGCTTGATCTTGGCTCACTGCAGCCTCAACCTCCCAGTGTCAAGTGATTCTCCTGCCTCAGCCTCCTGAGTAGCTGGGACTGCAGGTATAAACACACCTGGCTAATTTTTTTTTTTTTTTCTGTAGAGATGGGGTTTCACCATGTTGCCCAGGCTGGTGTTGAACTCCTGGGCTCAAGCAATCTGCTCACCTTGGCCTCCCAAAGTGCTGGGATTTCAGGCTTGAGCTACCACGCCCAGCCTCACTTTTTTTTCTTTTTTTTTAAATGGCAGCTTTATTGAGCTGTAATCCACATATCATACCGTTCACTTACTTAAGGTATACAATTCAGTGCTTCTTGGTGTACTCACAGAATTGTGAAATCATTTCCACAATTCATTTTCAAATATTGTCATCACTCCAACAAGAAACTCTGTACATGCTTAGCACTGCTTTTCGTTTTCCCAGCCCTAGGCCACCATTCATGTACCTGCTGTCTCTGGGTTTGCCTGTTTTGCACACTTCACATAAGTGGAGCCATGCACTCTATGGTCTTTTCTTCTTCTTCTTCTTTATTTTTTTATTTTTTGAGACGGAGTTTTGCTCTCGTTGCCCAGGCTGGAGTCAATGGCGCGACCTCAGTTCACCACAACCTCCGCCTCCCGGGTTCAAGCGATTCTCCTGCATCAGCCTGTCAAGTAGCTGGGATTACAGGCATGCGCCACCACGCCAGGCTAATTTTGTATTTTTAGTAGAGACGGGGTTTCTCCATGTTGGTCAGGCTGGTCTCGAACTCCCGACCTCAGCTGATCTGCCTGCCTCGGCCTCCCCAAATGCTGGGATTACAAGCGTGAGCTAGCGCGCCCAGCCCGTTTCTACTTTAATTTTTTTTTTTTTTTTTTTAGACAGGGTCTCGCTCTATTGCCCAAGCTGGAGTGCAGTGGCATGTTCATGGCTGACTGCAGCCTGGGCCTCCTGTACTCAAGTGATCCTCCCATTTCAGCCTCCCCAGTAGCTGGGACTACAGGTGCTTGCCCCTACTACTGGCTAAATTTTTATTTTTATTTATTTTATTATTATTATTATTATTATTTTTGAGACAGAGTCTCACTCTGTCGCCTAGGCTGCAGTGCATTGCAACCTCTGCCTCCCAGGTTCAAGCGATTCTCCCGCCTCAGCCTCCCGAGTATGTGGGACTACTGGCATGCGCCACCAGACCCGGCTAATTTTTGTATTTTTAGTAGAGACAGGGTTTCACCATGTTGGCCAGGCTGGTCTCGAACTCCCTACCTCAGGTGATCTGCCCGCCTTAACTCCCAAAGTGCTGCGATTACAGGCGTGAGCCACCGCGCCCGATCCGGGTATATTTTTAAAATATTTTTTGTAGAGATGAGGTTTTGCCATGTTGGCCAGGCTGGTCTCCAACTCCTCGGCTCAAGCGATCAATCCACCTCTTGACCGGAGATTTCAGAGGTCAGAGGTTAGATACAAGAGTCAAAACCCAAGAAATTAGCTCTGGGCAGACTGAGTTTCGGGTCAGGCAGGGTGAGATGTGCCAAGCCAAAAGTCTCGATGATGGTGGAGATCAGGACTCAGAGGTCAGAGTGAGGCCTCCTCCCTTCTCTTCTCTTCCCCCACAGGACGGCGGACCCAGCCGAGAAGACGCCGCTGGGGGTCCCGCGCCAGTCGGGCCGTCCGGGTTGCTGCGGGGGCCGCTGCGGGGGGCGCCGGTGCCTACGCCGCTGGTTCCACTTCTGGGGCGCGCCGGTGACCATCTTCATGGGCAACGTGGTCAGCTACCTGCTGTTCCTGCTGCTTTTCTCGCGGGTGCTGCTCGTGGATTTCCAGCCGGCGCCGCCCGGCTCCCTGGAGCTGCTGCTCTATTTCTGGGCTTTCACGCTGCTGTGCGAGGAACTGCGCCAGGGCCTGAGCGGAGGCGGGGGCAGCCTCGCCAGCGGGGGCCCCGGGCCTGGCCATGCCTCACTGAGCCAGCGCCTGCGCCTCTACCTCGCCGACAGCTGGAACCAGTGCGACCTAGTGGCTCTCACCTGCTTCCTCCTGGGCGTGGGCTGCCGGTGAGTGCCCCGGGGCCTTGGAACCCTGGCCCCTGGCCACCTCTCATCCTTCCTGCCCACTCCCGGGGTCTCCACTCCCGGCTTCCCCGCAGCTGGGCAGCAGGTCAAGCCAACCCTGCTGATTGAGAACCCCTCTTAGGAAAGTCGGGCATGACGATTGCCCCAGGGTAATTGGCTGGCACCTGGAGATCTGGCTTCAGGGACGGCAGGATTCAGGAGAAAACCCCACTGTCCGCCACTCAGCCTCTGCTGCTATTTATTGCTAGGCCTGAAGTTTAACAGATATTTATGGGAGCGCCCCGACCTGGGTGCCAACCTCACCTCCTCCCTTCTCTTCCTCCACATAGCTCGTTGGTCCCAGGCCCCTTGCCCTCCTGCCCCCGACTTTTTCTTTCTTTCCTTTTTTTTTCTTTCTTTCTTTCTCTTTCTTTCTTTTTCTTTCTTTCTTTCTTTCTTTCTTTCTTTCTTTCTTTCTTTCTTTCTTTCTTTCTCTCTCTTTCTTTTCTTTCTTTCTCTTTTCTTTTCCTTTCTTTTCTTTTTCTTTTTCTCTTTTCTTTCTCTCTCTCTCCCTCTGTCCTCTGCCCCTCTGCCTCCCTCCCTCCTTCCTTCCTTCCTTCCTTCCTTCCTTCCTTCCTTCCTTCTATGCTTCCTTCCATCCCTCCAAGCTAAGGGTTTAACCCTTGCCCTGCCTGCATTATGGAGTATCCTGCATTAGGATACTCCTCCTTTTGAGGAGAGCAAACAGAAAAGTTTGTGGATACAACCTGGTGACTGGTTTTTTGTTTGTTTGTTTGTTTTTGTTTTCTTTCTTTTCTTTTTTTTTTTTGAGCCAGAGTTCCGCTGTGTCGCCCAGACTGGAGTGCAGTGGTACGATCTTGGCTCACTGCAACCTCCACCTCCTGGGTTCAAGCGATTCTCTTGCCTCAGCCTCGTGAGTAGCTGGGATTACAGGCATGCACCACTACACCTAGCTAAATTTTTTTTGTATTTTTTTTGTAGAGATGGGGCTTTGCCATATTGACCAGGCTGGTCTTGAACTCTTGGCCTCAAGTGATCCACTGGCCTTAGCCTCTGAAAGTGCTGAGATTACAGATGTGGGTCACCGTGCCTGGCCAACAACCTGGTGACTGTTTACAAGGGACCTGACACATCCTGAATGGTTGACAGTGATGACAGTGATGATCCCTACTCAAGCTTTTCCCAGTAGACACGCTGAGAGGCAGGCTTCCTCTAAGCTATGTTAGCAGTGTTACAAAGTGATTCAACATAAATAATTTATTCAAGCAGGGAGCAAGATATGAGAGTTTTGCAGAACACTAATACTTCTGTTTGTAATTTGTTGTATTTTGTATAAAGTGACTTTTGAGATGAAAGGGCTAAGGCCATATGCTACCATGCTCTAGGATTGCCAGTGATATTTTGGACAGTTTATCAAGCCTACCACTTTCCAGGTGAAAAATGGAAAGATCTCAGCTTAAAAGGGAGAAACGGGCCTGGCGTGGTGGCTCATGCCTGTAATCCCAGCACTTTGGGAGGCCGAGGCGGGTGGATCACCTGAGATCAGGAGTTTGAGACCAGCCTGCCCAACATGGTGAAACCCCATCTCTACTAAAAATACAAAAAATTAGCCGGGCATGGTGGCAGGCGCCTGTAATCCCAGCTACTCGGGAGGCTGAGGCAGGATAATTGCCTGAACCTGGGAGGCGGAGGTTGCAGTGAGCCAAGATCATGCCACTGCACTCTAGCCTGGGTGAAAAGAGCAAAACTCTGTCAAAAAAAAAAAAAAAAAAAAAAGGGAGAAATGTCTAATCATCTCCGGAATTGAATGGATGAATCATCCTTTGTTTCGCCAGTTCCCTCTAGATGGACATTTAGGTTCTCTCTTTCTTTCTTTTTTTGTTTTAAATAGAGACAGGGTCTCACTCTGTTGCCCAGGCTGGTCTCAAACTCCAGGGCTCAAGCAATCCTCCCACCTTGGCCTCTCAAAGTGCTGGGATTACAGGCGTGAGCTACTATGCTCAGCCTTCTGTTTTTTTATTATTCCAAAATAATAAAAGTTTACATCCCAGATGTAAAGTTTATGGGTCAAAGGGTACATTTATTTTTGACATGGATAGATTTCCTTCTAAGTAGCTTCACTCATTTCCACACCTGCCATCAGGGTAAGAGAGTGCCCCCTTGAGGCCATGCTCGACAATGCCTGATACTTTCACTCTAAAATGTAGCTCTCAATTTAACTGAAAAAAAATTTGCCAATTTAATGGGTAAACATGACCTCTCCTTGTTATAATTTATGCACTCTTGACTACCAGATAGGTTGGACATCTTTTCCTAAGCTTAATGGCCATATGTCCTTGTGCCCCCTTGTTTTTTTTTTGGTTTTTGTTTTTGTTTTTGTTTTTGAGACGGAGTCTCGCTCTGTAGCCCAGGCTGGAGTGCAGTGGCGCGATCTCGGCTCACTGCAACCTCCGCCTCCCGGGTTCACGCCATTCTCCTGCCTCAGCCTACTGAGTAGCTGGGACTACAGGTGCCTGCCTCCACGCCCGGCTAATTTTTTGTATTTTGTAGTAGAGACGGGGTTTCACCGTGTTAGCCAAGATGTTCTCGATCTCCTGACCCCGTGATCCGCCCGCCTCGGCCTCCCAAAGTGCTAGGATTACAGGCGTGAGCCACTGCGACCGGCCACCCTCCCGTTTTTTTAATTGGGGTTCATTGATTTGTATATGTATAAATGTATATACTCCTTATACTCTGGATCCTAATCCTCGGTAGTTTTGTTGGTCTTAATATCTTCATATCTTCTCGAAGTCTGTGGCTTGTCTTTTCACTTTCACTTTTGTATGTTTCTTTTCTTTTCTTTTTTTTGAGCCTGCCTCGGCCTCCCAAAGTGCTGGGATTACAGGCGTGAGCCACCGCGTCTGTCCATACACTAGGTTTTTAATCCATCCAAAGTTTAAGTACATGAGGATGCAAAATAGGGGTAGAATTTTTATTTTCCCCATAGGAATTATTGATGTTTACTGGCCGTTTGAACGTCCTCTGTGAATTGTACGTGGTATCCTTTATCTGGCTTCCTTCCTTTTGCGTATTAGTTTGTAAGGACTCTATATGTTTTGCCTTTTATAGGTTGGACAGATATTCCGGCAGTTTTTCCAGCTTGATTCTTACAGGGACCAGCTCTTTGCTAAGGCCATCGTTCATTCAGTCATTACTTAATAGGCGCAGCCATTTTAAAAATGGGTGCCAGGGCCCTGCATGGACCAGCTTGGTACTGAATAAATTTGAGTAAACCCCGGGTGACTGGGAGGGTCCTGGTCCTGCCCGGTGGAGGCTGCAGCTTCCTCTGAAGGATGGCATTGGGAAGACTTCCATTTTCCTTGGCGTCTTGTGACACTTGACCCTTGTGGCATCTCCCCACACCCCAGGCTGACCCCGGGTTTGTACCACCTGGGCCGCACTGTCCTCTGCATCGACTTCATGGTTTTCACGGTGCGGCTGCTTCACATCTTCACGGTCAACAAACAGCTGGGGCCCAAGATCGTCATCGTGAGCAAGATGGTGAGGCAGGGGCGGGGCCAAAGTGGGCGGGGACATAGGGAAAGGGGTGGGGCCAGGGAGGGAGTGGTCCGTGGAGAAGGGGCGTGACTTTGGGGAGCAATGGGGCGTGTTTTTGGGATATAGGGGTGGGGCCAGAGTAGGAAAGGGCGGGGCCAGACTCAGCCACATCTCCCCACAGATGAAGGACGTGTTCTTCTTCCTCTTCTTCCTCGGCGTGTGGCTGGTAGCCTATGGCGTGGCCACGGAGGGGCTCCTGAGGCCACGGGACAGTGACTTCCCAAGTATCCTGCGCCGCGTCTTCTACCGTCCCTACCTGCAGATCTTCGGGCAGATTCCCCAGGAGGACATGGACGGTAGGGGGGATGACGGCCTGACAGCCTTCCTCTGAGTCTCTGTCCCCGCTCCCTGGGTCTCTGTCCTCCTGGCTCTAAGAAAATATCTGTCTCTCTGAGTCTCTGTCTCCCTCTTTCTCTGGATCTCTGAGTGATACCCTATATTCCCCATCATCATCTCTCTGGGTCTCTGCCTACCCCACCCCCTCTGTCTTTCTGTCTGTCTTTCTTTTTTCTTTTTTTTTTTCTTTTTTTTTGAGATGGATGTTAGAAATGTTTATTTTGTGGTGTCGTAAAGAAATAGTACTTGAACATAAATTTAATTTTTTTAGTAAAGCCATTTTTATTTTTTGTAGAAAGGGTACACTCGCCAGCAGTTTTGTCATGAGAGTACACGGAACAAAGGAGATAGGGTCATTTATAACCTGACGCGTCTATTTTACTGCTGTGTCTGGTTTTTATTGGCTGGAACCGGACTTTACATTTTGTATTTGTCTTGATTGGCTAGTAACTTAGAAGTTTTTAAAAGAAGCGAAGGCAGAGGAGAACAAAGGAAGGAGGAAGTAACTTGTGGAATGTTGAGAAAGGTAAAAACACTTTTAAATAAGGAAGAGGAACAGGCTATGATCTAATGCTTGCTTGAACCAGTATAAGTATGTCAGGGCAAATATTTAGGCTAAATTGTGAGAGCTAAGAACATAAAGTACATTGATTTATTTTTTATGGCTAGTAGATATTTAAGAATGTTAGCACAGGTGTTTGAATAAATTTTGTTTCTAAGAGAAGTTACTATTTATTGTTAATTAGATGGGGAGGAAAGTCTTTGAAGAGGAACCTGTACTTTACTTTTTACATGGAGTTTTGCTCTTGTTGCCCAGGCTGGAGTGCAATGGCACGATCTCAGCTCACTGCAACCTCCACCTCCCAGATCGAAGCGATTCTCCTATCTCAGCCTCCCGAGTAGCTGGGACTACAGGCGCGTGCCACCACGCCTGGCTAACAGTTTTGTGTTTTTAGTAGAGATGGGGTTTCATCACATTGGTCAGGCTAGTCTCAAACTCCCCACCTCAGGTGATCCGGCCATCTCAGCCTCCCAAAAGTGCTGGGATTACAGGCGTGAGCCACCGCGCCCGGCAGTCTTCCTGTCTTTCTTAGGTCTCTGTCCCCCTCACCCCATCTCTGAATGTCTCTCTTCACAGTGGCCCTCATGGAGCACAGCAACTGCTCGTCGGAGCCCGGCTTCTGGGCACACCCTCCTGGGGCCCAGGCGGGCACCTGCGTCTCCCAGTATGCCAACTGGCTGGTGGTGCTGCTCCTCGTCATCTTCCTGCTCGTGGCCAACATCCTGCTGGTCAACTTGCTCATTGCCATGTTCAGGTGAGGCCTGACTGCTCTCTGATCTGACCCCACCCAGCATGACCCGTGGCCCTCTCATGACTCTTGAACCCCGTCTAATGAATTCTGTTTTTAGTCCCTGAACTCTGATCCAATCTAATGCTGCCTTCTCCCCAAACCCAACCAGACCCTGCTTGTAATTTGGACTTTGGACTGATCCTCTCCCTGAGCCCAGGTTGAACTTCCTTATTTGTATTTTTTTGAGACAGGGTCTCACTCTGTCGCCAAGGCTAGAGTGTGGTGATGTGATCGTAGCTTACTGCAGCCTCGACCTCCTGGACTCAAGCAATCCTCCTGCCTTCGCCCCATAAGTAGCTGGGACTACTTAAAATTAGCCAGGCCAGCAGGCCTGCCTAATTTAAAAAAATTTTTGGAGAGAGGGGTCTCACTATGTTGTCCATGCTAGTCTCGAGCTCCTGGACTCAAGTGATCCTCCCTCCTCAGCCTCCCAAAGTGCTGGGATAATCTGTCACCTAGGCTGGAGTGTAGTGGCAAGTTCTCAGCTCACTGCAACCTCCACTTCCCACTCCCCCATACCCAGTTAATTTTTTGTATTTGTAGTAGAGATAGGGTTTCACCATGTTGGCCTTGAACTCTTGACCTCAAGTGATTGGCCCACCTCAGCCTCCCAAAGTGTTGGGATTACAGGTGTGAGCCATCGCGCCCAGCCAACTTTGTTTTTTATTGTGGTAAAATTATATAAAATTTTCCATTTTTACTTCTTTTTTTTTTTTTTTTTTTTTGACGGAGTCTCGCTGTGTCACCCAGGCTAGAGTGCAGTGGCACGATCTCACAATCTCAGCTCACTACAAGCTCCGCCACCCGGGTTCACGCCATTCTCCTACCTCAGCCTCCTGAGTAGCTGGGACTACAGGTGCCCGCCACCACGCCCAGCTAATTTTTTTGTATTTTTAGTAGAGACGGAGTTTCACCGTGTTAACCCGGATGGTCTCAATCTCCTGACCTCGTGATCCACCCGCCTTGGCCTCCCAAAGTGCTAGGATTACAGGCGTGAGCCACCGCGCCCCGCCTTTTTTTGAGATGGAGTCTCGCTCTGTCGCCCAGGCTGGAGTGCAATGGTGCAATCTCAGCTTACTGCAACCTCCACCTCCCAGGTTCAAGCGATTCTCCTGCCTCAGCCTCCCAAGTAGCTAGGACTACAGGCGTGCGCCACCACACCTGGCTAATTTTTTGTATTTTTAGTAGAGATGGGGTTTCACCGTGTTAGCCAGGATGGTTTCGATCTCCTGACCTTGTGATCCGCCCGCCTTGGCCTCCCAGAGTGCTGGGATTACTGACATGAGCCACCGCGGCCGGAGTTGATTTTTACCATTTTTAAGTGTACAAGTCAGTGACATTAATTACATTTACAGTACTCTCCAACCATCACCACTATCTATTTTCAATACGTTCTATCACCCAGAACAGAAAGTGTGTCCCCATGAAACAGCAACTCCCCACTTCCCCTCCCCACAGGTCTTAGTAACCTCCAGTGTATTTTCTGTCTCTATGGATTTAGTCTAGATGTTTCATGTAAGTGGAATTATGCGATATTTGTCTTTTGGTGTCTGGCTGATTTTACTGAGCATGTTTTCAAGGCTCATCCCTGTTGTAGTGTGCATCAGAACTTCATTCATTCCGTTTTATGAATGAGTAATATTCTATTGTACAAATAGACCACATTTGGGCCCAGCGTGGTGGCTCATGCCTGTAATCCCAGCACTTTGGGAGGCCTAGGCGGGTGGATCACCTGAGGTCAGGAGTTCGAGACCAGCCTGGCCAACGTGGCAGGACCCCCTTTTTACTAAAAATACAAAAATTAGCTGGGCTCATGTCTGTAATTCCAGCTACTTGGGAGGCTCAGGCACGAGAGTCGCTTGAACCCAGGAGGCGGAGGCTACAGTGAGCCAAGATCGTGCCACTGCACTCCAGCCTGGGCAACAGAGCGAGACTCCATCTCAAAAAAAGAAGACCACATTTGATTTACCCGCTCATCTGTTGATGAACACTTGGGTTCTTTCTGCCTTTTGGCTATTGTGACTAATGTTTGTTGGAACATTGGCATGCAAGTATCTATTTGAATCCTTGTTTTTATTTCCTTTGGGTGTGTATCTCAAAGTGGAATTCCTCGGTCATGTGGTAATTCTATGTATAGCTTTTTGAGAAACCACCAAACTGGTTTCCACAGCAGCTGCACCATTTTCCATTCTCACCAGCAGTGTATGAGGGTTTTAATTTCTCCACATCCTAGCCAACACTTGTTATTTTCCTTTTGTAAAAATTATAGTCATCCAGCTGGGTGTAGTGGCTCATGCCTGTAATCCCAGCACTTTGGGGGGCTGAGGTGGGAGGATTGCTTGAGCACAAGAGTTCGAGACCAGCCTGGGCAACATAGCGAGGCTGCTGTCTCTACCAAAACACCAGAAATGAGATACCACTTCACACCTGCAGCCTCAACCTCCTGGGCTCAAGTGATCCTCCCACCTCAGCCTCCCAAGTAGCTGGGACTACAGTTACGTGCCACCATACCTGGCTTGTTTTTTTAATTTTTTTTTTACTTTTATTTTATTTATTTATTTTTAGTAGAAACGGGGTTTCACCATGTTATCCAGGATGGTCTCGATCTCCTGACCTTGTGATCCACCCATCTCGGCTGGATCCCAAAGTGCTGGGATTACAGGCGTGAGCCACCGTGCCCAGCGGCTATTTTTTTTTTTTTTAATGAAACTCCTTTTTAATCCTATGTTAGGTCTCTCTGTTTGCTTCCTTTCTTGTTGGCATGATTTTTGCTGAGAAAATATAAAATTTCATTGGCTTTGGTTGTTTTTTTTTTTTTTTTTTTTTCAGAGATGGGGTCTTACTATATTGCCCAGGCTGATCTTGAACCCCTGGGCTCAAGCAGTCCTCTTGCCTTGGCCTTCCAAAGTGCTGGGATTATAGGCACAAGCCCCTGTGCTGGACCTATTGTATTAGTTTCCTAGGGCCGCCAGAGTACCAAAAACTGTGTGGCTTTAAATCACAGAAATTGTCTCACAATTCTGGATGCTAGAGGTCCAAAATCAAGGCATCCGTCAAGCTGTTTTCTTCTGAGGGATGTCGGGGAGAGTCTGTTCCATGCCCCTCCTGTCACGTCTAGTGCTTTGCTGGCCATCTTTGGCTTCTAGTTGCGTCATTGAAACTTCTGCTTTCATCTTCCAGATTTCCCCTTTTAATAAAACGTTACTTAAATTGGATTAGGGACCATGCTAATAACTTCATTTTAACTTGATCACATGTGTAAACTCTATTTCCGAATAAAGCCACATATTTCATAAATAAAAAATTTAAAAAGGTCTCATTCTGAGGCACTATGGGTTATGACTTCAACTTTTTTTTTTTTTTTTTTTTTTTTTTGGAGACAGAGTCTTGCTCTGTCACCCAGGTTGGAGTGCAATGGCGTGATCTCGGCTCACTGCAACCTCCACCTCCTGGGTTCAAGGGATTCTCCTGCCTCAGCCTCCCGAGTAGCTGGGATTACAGGTGCCTGCCACTATACACAGCTAATTTTTGTATTTTTAGTAGGGACGGGGTTTCACCATGTTGCCCAGGCCGATCTCAAACTCCTGACCTCAGGTGATGCACCTGCCTCGGCCTCCCAAAGTGCTGGGATTACAGCCGTGAGCCACTGGACCCGGCCGGACTTCAACATATCTTTAGCGGGATACAATTCAATGCATGACACTCATAGATTTATGAGTTTATTTCTGGACTTTCAATTCTATTCCACTGGATTGCGTCTATCCTTATGCCAGAACCACACAGTTTTTTGGGTTTTTTTTGAGACGGAGTCTCGCTCTTGTCACCCAGGCGGGATTGCAGTGGCACGATCTCTGCTCACTGCAACATCCGCATCCTGGATTCAAACGATTCTCCTAACTCAGCCTCCTGAGTAGCTGGGATTACAGGCACCTGCCACCACGCCCGGCTAATTTTTTTGTATTTTTGGTAGAGACAGGGTTTCACCATGTTGGCCAGGCTAGTCTTGAACTCCTGACCTCAGGTGATCTGCCTCGGCTTTCCAAGGTGCTGGGATTACAGGCGTGAGCCACCATGTCTAGCCCACACAGTGTTGATTACTGTAGGTTTGTAGCAAATTTTGACATTGGAAGTATGAGTCTCCTTTGTTATTTTTCAAGATTGTTTTGGCTATTCTGGGCCTCCTGCAATTCTATATGAACTTAAAGATCAGAGTTTCCATGTCTGTCAAAAAGGTTGTTGGAATTTTCTTTTTTTTTCCTTTTTTTTTTTTCTTTTTTTTGAGACAGAGTTTCACTCTTGTTGCCCAGGCTGGAGTGCAATGGCGCGATCTCAGCTCACCACAACCTCTGCCTCCCGGGCTCAAGCGATTCTCCTGCCTCAGCCTCCTGAGTAGCTGGGCTTATAGGCATGTGCCACCACGCCCGGCTAATTTTGTATTTTTAGTAGAGACAGGGTTTCTCCATGTTGGTCAGGCTGGTCTCGAACTCCCGACCTCAGGTGATCCACCCGCCTTGGCCTCCCAAAGTTCTGGGATTACAGGTGTGAGCCACCGCGCCCGGCCAGTTGTTGGAATTTTCCGAGGGATTGCGTTGAATCTGTAGATTGCTTCGGGTAGTATTGATATTTCATCTAGGTGTTCTTTTTAATGCTTTTCCAGCAGTATTTGGTAGTTTTCAGGCTACAAATTGTTCACCCTTTTGGTTAACTTTATTCCTAGGTGCTTAACCTTTAGATACTGTTGTAAGTGGAATTGCTTTCTTAATTTCCTTTTTGGATTGTTCATTGCGGGTGTGTAGAAACACAACTGATTTTTGTGTGATCTTGTACCCTGCAACTTTGCTGAATCTGCAGCCCTAGAAGCTTTCTTGTGATTCTCTGGCATTTCCTATATATAGGATCATGTCATCTGTGAATAGAGATATTTTTACTTCTTCCTTTCCAATTTGGATGCCTTTTATTTTTTTTCTTGTTTAATTGTTCTAGCCAGAACTTCCAGCACAATGTGGAATAGCAGTGGTAAAAGTGGACATCCTTGTCTTGTCCCTGATCTTAGGCAGAAAGCTTTCACTCTTTCACCATTGGGTATGACGGTAGCTGTGGGTTTTTCAGAAGTACCTTTTCTCATGTTGAGAAAGTTTATTTCTATTCCTAGTTTACGATTTTTAAAAATTATGATGCATGGTGGCTTGTGCCTGCAATCACAATACTTTAGGGAGCCAAAGTGGGAGGATCACTTGAGGCCAGGAGTTCAAGACCGACCTGGGCAACATAGTGAGACCTTATCTCAATAAAAAAATAAAAAATTTGCCAGGCGTGGTGGTGCATGCCTGTAGTCCCAGCTACTCAAGAGGCTGAGGTGGGAGGAAGGCTTGAGCCCAGGAGGTCAAGGCTGTGGCTTCAGTGAGCCATGATTTCACCACCATCATGATTGTGCCACCAACAGAGTGAAACCTTGTCTCAAAAAAAAAAAAAAAAAAAAAAAGCCATGCATGGTGGCTCAAGCCTGCAATCCCAGCACTTTGGGAGGCCGAGGTGGGCAGATCATGAGGTCAGGAGATCGAGACCATCCTGGCTAACACGGTTGTAGGGGCCAGCCCTACAAGGTCTGTGGGTTTTTCTCCCCGTGTGCAGAGACAAGAGATTGTAGAAATGAAGACACAAGACAAAGAGATCAAAGAAAAGACAGCTGGGCCTGGGGGACCACTACCACCAAGACGTGGAGACCGACAGTGGCCCCTAATGCCTGGCTGCGCTGTTATTTATTGGATACAAAGCAAAAGGGGCAGGGTAAAGAGTGTGAGTCATCTCCAATGATTGATAAGGTCACGTGAGTCACATGTCCACTGGACAGGGGCCCTTCCCTGTTAGGTAGCCAAGGCGGAGAGAGAGAGGACAGCTTACATCATTATTTCTTCTATGCTCTTTTAAGAAAGATCAAAGACTTTAATACTTTAATACTTTCACTAATTTTGCTACTGCTATCTAGAGGGCAGAGCCAGCTGTACAGAGTGGAACATGAAAGTGAAACAGGAGTGTGACCGCTGAAGCACAGCATCACAGGGAGACGGTTAGGCCCCTGGATAACTGCGGGCGGGCCTGACATCAGTCAGGCCCTCCACAAGAGGTGGTGGAGCAGTCTTCTCTAAACTCCCCCGGGGAAAGGGAGACTCCCTTTCCCGGTCTGCTAAGTAGTGGGTGCTTTTCCTTGGCACTGACGCTACCTCTAGACCACGGTCCGCTTGGTAACGGGAATCTTCCCAGATGCTGGCGTTACCGCTAGACCAAGGAGCCCTCTGGTGGCCCTGTCCAGGAATAACAGAAGGCTCACACTCTGTCTTCTGGTCACTTCTCATCATGCCCCTTCAGCTCCTATCTCTGTATGGCTTGGTTTTTCCTAGGTTATGATTGTAAAGCAAGGATTATTATAATATTGAAATAAAGAGTAATTGCTACAAACTAATGATTGATATTCATATATAATCATATCTATGATCTATATCTAGTATAACTCTTGTTATTTTATATGTTTTATTACACTGGAACAGCTTGTGCCCTCGGTCTCTTGCCTTGGCACCTGGGTGGCTTGCCGCCCACACATGGTGAAACCCCATCTTTACTAAAAATACAAAAAGTTAGCTGAGCGTGGTGGTGGGTGCCTGTAGTCCCAGCTACTCAGGAGGCTGAGGCAAGAGAATGGCATGAACCCAGGAGGCGGAGCTTGCAGTGAGCCGAGATTGTGCCACTGCACTCCAGCCTGTGGGACAGAGCAAGACTCCATCAAAAAAAAAAAAAAAAAATCGTGAAGTGTTGTTGAATTTTGTCAAATGCCTTTTCTGTGTTGGTTGAGAAGATCATATGGCTTCCCCCACACCTTGTTCTATTAATTTGGTGTTTGCATTAATTTTTGTATGTTTAACTACCCTTACTTTCCTAGGATAAATCCCATTTCGTTATGGTATAAAATCCACTTAATGTGCTGCTGAATTAGATTTGCTTGTATTTTTTCAGGATGTTTACATGTATATTCATAAGGGCTACTGCTCTGTAATTTTCTTGTGATATCTTTATCTGGCTTTGGTATTACGGTAATGCTGGCCTCATAGAATGAGTTAGGAAATGTTCTCTCCTTTTCAATCTTTTGGACGAATTTGAGAAACATCCTTGTTATTATAATTCTTCTTTAAATATTTGATAGAATTCACCAGCACAGCCATCTGGTTTTGGGCTTTTCTTTATTGAAACGTTTTTGATTCAATCTCTTATGATAATTCTACTGAGATTTTCTGTTTTTTCTTGAGTCAGCTTAGCTAATTTGTGTGTTCCTAGGAATTTGTCCATTTCATTTATCTAGTTTGTTGACATATAATTGTTGATAGTATTCTCATACAATCCTTTTTATTTCGGTAAGGTCAGTAGTAATGTCTCCATTTTCATTTCTGATGTTAGTTATTTGTGTCCAGGCTAACTTTGGAGCCCAACTTTAACCTGACTTCAACCTCCACCTTATACCGTGATACCATCCCAACTTGACCTCTGACATCTGACCCTTGGCCCTTCTAAACTGACTTTTTTTTTTTTTTTTTTTTTTTGAGATGGAGTCTTACTCTGTCTCCCAGGCTGGAGTGCAGTGGCACGATCTCAGCTCACTGCAACCTCCACCTCCTGGGTTCAAGCGATTCTCCTGCCTCAGCCTCCCCAGTAGCTGGGATTACAGGTGCCCACCACCACGCCTGGCTAATTTTTGTATTTTTAGTAGAGATGGGGCTTCACCATGTTAGCCAGGCTGGTCTCGAACTCCTGACCTGAGGTGATCCGCCCACTCCGGCCTCCCAAAGTGCTGGGACTACAGGCGTGACCAAACGCCCTTGGCTCTAACCTGACTTCTAATCGCATCCTGTAACCTCTGACTTTAGTGATCTTGACTTCTGTCTGCTGCTATAGACTGAACAATTATTGCCTGGCATCTAACCTTCGTCCTTGCCCCTGGCTGGGCCCTGACCTCAAGTGACCTTTGACCTCTGGCCTTTGCAGTTACACATTCGGCAAAGTACAGGGCAACAGCGATCTCTACTGGAAGGCGCAGCGTTACCGCCTCATCCGGGAATTCCACTCTCGGCCCGCGCTGGCCCCGCCCTTTATCGTCATCTCCCACTTGCGCCTCCTGCTCAGGCAATTGTGCAGGCGACCCCGGAGCCCCCAGCCGTCCTCCCCGGCCCTCGAGCATTTCCGTAAGAACAGAGCTTGGCTTAAAAAGGAGAAATATAGGGGACCGGGAGCCTGGAAGGCGAGGGGAAGGGGGCATGCCCCAAATGACTAACGGGCGTGGCTTAGGTAGCGAGGGGCGGGGTTTAAGCAACAAGGGGCGGAGCTTAAGCACTGAGGGGCAGTGCTTACGGGTGAGGGGCGGGGCATGTTCTCGAATCACCAGGGGCTGGGTCTGGGATAGCGTGCGTGTTCTGAGGGTGTCGGAAGGGGCAGCTGGGATTGGGAAGGGGCGTGGCCTGAGCCCTTTGACTCCGCCCGCCCCTGCAGGGGTTTACCTTTCTAAGGAAGCCGAGCGGAAGCTGCTAACGTGGGAATCGGTGCATAAGGAGAACTTTCTGCTGGCACGCGCTAGGGACAAGCGGGAGAGCGACTCCGAGCGTCTGAAGCGCACGTCCCAGAAGTGAGAGCGGGGCCTGGTCGGGGATGGGGCTTCTGGCCTGGGGCGGATCCTGACTTCAGCTGAAGGCAGGGTCCTGGGAGGGAGGGAGAGAGGGAGGAGGCCCGGGAAGCAGGCAGAGCCCTGGGGGTGGGTGGGCTGCGGGTGCCCCCGGTAAGAGGCCCTCCCTTCTCAGGGTGGACTTGGCACTGAAACAGCTGGGACACATCCGCGAGTACGAACAGCGCCTGAAAGTGCTGGAGCGGGAGGTGAGGCCTTGGGGCCTGGCTGGGGGACTGTGGCAGGGGTCCCATCTCCCGCTCTGACATTCCTCCCATTCCGCAGGTCCAGCAGTGTAGCCGCGTCCTGGGGTGGGTGGCCGAGGCCCTGAGCCGCTCTGCCTTGCTGCCCCCAGGTGGGCCGCCACCCCCTGACCTGCCTGGGTCCAAAGGTCAGTGTGTAGCATCAGCCTGTGCATCTCCAGCCTCTGTTCCTGTATTTTTGCGTGTTTTTCTCTCTCGGCACCTTTCCAGTGTCCCTGGGTCACTCTCTTGGTCTCCTTTGAGCCTTTTGTACTCTCGCCTTCGTCTTTCTTCTTTTTTGCCAGTCTCCCAGTTTTTCTGTCTCTCCCCTTCCCTGCCAATCACCTGCTCTCTCTTTTCTCTCTTCCCCCAGACTGAGCCCTGCTGGCGGACTTCAAGGAGAAGCCCCCACAGGGGATTTTGCTCCTAGAGTAAGGCTCATCTGGGCCTCGGCCCCCGCACCTGGTGGCCTTGTCCTTGAGGTGAGCCCCATGTCCATCTGGGCCACTGTCAGGACCACCTTTGGGAGTGTCATCCTTACAAACCACAGCATGCCCGGCTCCTCCCAGAACCAGTCCCAGCCTGGGAGGATCAAGGCCTGGATCCCGGGCCGTTATCCATCTGGAGGCTGCAGGGTCCTTGGGGTAACAGGGACCACAGACCCCTCACCACTCACAGATTCCTCACACTGGGGAAATAAAGCCATTTCAGAGGAATCGTGTCCGGAGGCTTGATTCCTGGGGGAGCTGGTGGGTGTCTAGATCCAGGATGGGAGCTGGAGCTGGGGTGTTGGGTTTGGGGTTCTTGGTGGATTTGCTGCTGTAATTCAGATATTTTGGAGTCCGTTTCCTCCCTTGAGCCCCATTGTTCTTGCCGGAGACCCAGCACTTCTGTCTGCACTGTTCTGACGGCTCTCGCTTCAGTAGGACAAGACCCCATCTGTACCCCCTCCCACCCAGTTTCAACTTTCCAGTGGAAAAATAACTCAGTGATAATAAGCAAATTATTTCCTGGAATGGAGGTGGGTGGGTGTTGTGTACATCTGCTTTGGCAATAGGGAAACGGATGATGCAAATTTGAGTAGATAAATGCATACGTGTCTTTAAAAAGTCTAATTAGTGGGAAATTGCAGGCCAGGCGCACACAGGGTTGAGGCAAATATGTGTGATTATACATGCAGCTTAACTAAATAACCCATAACAAGCTAAACTGGTAATGACAAGGTTGAACTGACAGCAATCATTAGTTAAATAGCAAGAAAGCCACCAACAACCAACACATCCAAAAATCAAAACCAAACATCCTTCCTCCAAATTGGAGGAGATCCAAGTATCTGTCACCGTGGGTGCAGAGTAGCGTTGAAACATTGCCAAGTGTTGTGTGGCAACTGCAACTTCTCTGGAAGATGCTGAGTTAGTTCTCACCAACCCAAGTAGTAATAATCACTGTAATGTAACCTACTTCCTTCCTTCCTTCCTTCCTTCCTTCCTTCCTTCCTTCCTCCCTCCCTCCTTTCCTCCCTTCCTCCCTCCTTCCCTCCCTCCTTCTTCCTTCCTTTCTTTTCTTCTTTTTTTTTTTTTTTTTTTTTGAGACAGAGTCTCTCTCTGTCACCCAGGCTGGAGTGCAGTGGCACGATCTCAGGTCACTGCAACCTCCGCTTCCTGGGTTCAAGCAGTTCTCCTACCTCAGCCTCTGGAGTAGCTAGGATTACAGGTGCCCGCCACCATGCCCGGCTAATTTTTGTATTTTTGGTAGAGACGGGGTTTCACCATGTTGGCCAGGCTGGTCCCAAACTCCTCATCTCAGGTGATCTGCCTGCCTCGGCCTTCCAAAGTGCTGGAATTACAGGTGTGAGCCACCACACCCGGCCACTTTTTCTTCTTTTCTTTCAATAAGGTCTCACTCTGTCACCCAGGCAGAAATGCAGTGACTCAATCACAGCTCACTGCAACCTCCACCTCCTGGGCTCAAGCAATTCTCCCACTCAGCCTCCTGAGTAGCTGGTTCTACAGGCTCACACCACCATGCCCGGCTAATTTTTTGGATTTTTGGTAGAGATGGGGTCTCACCATATTGCCCTGGCTGGTCTCAAACTCCTGGGGTCAAGTGATCCACTCACCTCGGCCTCTCAGAGTGCTGGGATTACAGGCGTGAGCCACCGTACCCGGCCTCCAGTACTTTCTATATATGTGTGTCCAGCATTGTTTTAAGTGCTTCACGTGCGCTACATCAGTGAACCCTATGATAACCATACAAGGTAGGTTCTATTATTGTCTCCATTTTGCAGATGAGAAAAGTGAGACACAGAAAAGTAGCTCAAATAAAGTCACACATAGAAAGTAGCTGAGTTGGGGGTTGGGCGTGGTGGCTCATGCCTGTAAAACAGCACTTTGGGAAGCCAAGCAAGTGGATCACTTGAGGCCAGGAGTTCGAGACCAGCCTGGCCAATATAGCAAAACCCCATCACTACTAAAAATACAAAAATTAGCCGGGTGTGGTAGCGGACACCTGTAGTCCCAGCTACTCGGGAGGCTGAGGCAGGAGAATCACTTGAACCCAGGAGGCGGAGATTGCAGTGAACCGAAATTGTGCCACTGCACTCCAGCCTGGGTGACAGAGCAAGACTCTGTTTCAAAAGAATAATAAAAAATAAAAATGGAAAGTGGCTGCGTTGGAACAGAAATCTGGGCAATCCAGAGAGCATCTGTAATGCACGATTTTATATTTGGAAATGTCAACTGCCGTGAAGTCACAGGAACTCACTCAGTCCATGTGCAAGTTTGAGCTTTTGTCTCTCAGCTGCAAATCCACCCTTGCCTCCGCTCTGTGATGTTGGGGCGGAGCCTCTGCAAGCCACGTTTTTGCTTTCCCAGCTGGGTTGCTATAAGCCCCGGCCTAAAGAGGGCGCTAGACGGAGACCGGCCATTGGAGGAGGAAGCAGGGATTTGCTCCACCTATTTGCTTCAGGCATCCGAGCAAGCGTCGCCCCAGAACAACGCTCCCTCTGACAGCAGCAGTTGCTTCCAGGTTTTTTGTTTGTTTGTTTGTTTTTTGTTGTTGTTGTTGTTGTTAAGACGGAGTCTTGCTCTGTCGCCCAGGCTGGAGTGCAATGGCGCGATCTCAGCTCACTGCAACCTCTGCCTCCTGGGTTCAAGCAATTCTCCTGCCTCAGCCTCCTGAGTAGCTGGGATTACAGGCATCCGCCACCACGCCCAGCTAATTTTTGTATTTTTAGTGGAGACAGGATTTCACCATGTTGGTCAGACTGGTCTCGAACTCCTGACTTCAGGTGATCCAGCCACCTTGGCCTCTCAAAGTGCTGGGATTACAGGTGTGAGCCACCACGCCCGGCCCTCTTCCAGGTTTCAAGTTTTATTTTTTTGGCACCTCCCTAACCTGTTTCTTTTTCTATTTCTGTCGCCCAGGCTGGAGTGCAGTGGTCGAGGCTCACTGTAGCCTTGACCTCCCAGGCTCAAGCCATACTCCCGCCTCAGCCTTCAGAATAGCTGGGACCACAGGTGCACGCCACCACACCCAGCTAATTTTTTGTTTTCAAATTGTTTCGTAGAGATGGGGGTCTCGCCATGTTGCCCAGGTGGGTCTCAAACTCATGGGATCAAGGGATCCTCCAACCTCGGCCTCCCAAAGTGCTGTGATTACAGGCATGAGCCACCACGCCGGATGCCATAACCAGCATCATTGTCAGCCTTCTGTCACACCAGCGCCACCCTGGTAGCCCCTGGCTCTAGTCTGGGTTTCAGTTCTGCAGGGCTGCTGCCTCAACATTTTAGGTTCTGATAGCTGTATTCTCAGTCCTGGAGTGACAGGTGTAGCCTGCAGTTACTATTTTTATACGGTGCAGTTACTATTTCTGCGCTGTTTCTTCTCATTCCTTTCACGGTTTCCTGAGACCTGTTTAATTTATCTGAGACCCGTGTATTAATTCATCTCTGTTGAAGTATCTATATAACAGGAAAACTCCAGGTCGTGTGTGTAGAAATCTGACGTGAGTCATCAAGATGGAGAATTTGCACGAATTCCACATGTAAAGCGATTTGGAGACCAAAAATTCCTTAATTGAAGAGGAGGCTGGTACTCTTGAGGAATTACCCTAAAATAACTGCTGCAAGCTTATATTTTGCATCTTCCATTCAAATAGGACTTGTCTCCGTTTATGCAGTAACTGTGTATTGGGGAAAGGAAAATACTCAGACCTTTTAGGGATTAGCAGACACTGGCCCGGCCTATTTATTCATTTTTGAGATGCAGTCTCACTCTCTTGCCCAAGTTCGAGTGCAGTGGTGTGATCACAGCTCACTGTGGCCTGGCTCAAGTGATCCTCCTGCCTCGGCCTCCTGAGTAGCTGGGATCACAGGTGCACGCCACCATGCCCATCAAATTTTTTTTTAAAAAAATTTAGGCCAGTGCGGTGGCTCATGCCTGTAATCCCAGCACTTTGGGAGGCCGAGGCAGGTGGATCACCTGAGGTCAGGAGTTCGAGACCAGACTGGCCAACATGGCGAAACCCTGTCTCTACTAAAAATGCAAAAATTAACCGGGCATGGTGGTGTGTGCCTGTAATCCCAGCTACTAGGGGGGCTGAGGAAGGAGGATCACTTGAACCTGGGAGGCGGAGGTTGCAGTGAGCCGAGATCATGCTGCACTCCAGCCTCCGCAACAGAGCGAGACTCCATCTCAAAACAAACCAAAAAATTGGTCTTTAATAATTTTTTATTTTTGAGACGGAATCTCGCTCTGTCACCCAGGCTGGAGTGCAGTGGCGCGATTTCAGCTTAATGCAACCTCCACCTCCCGAGTTCAAGCGATTCTCCTGCCTCAGCCTCCTGAGTAGCTGGGATAACAGGTGTGCGCCACCACGTCTGACAAATTTTTGTATTTTTAGTAGAGACAGGGTTTCACCATGTTGGCCAGGCTAATAAAGTTTTAAAATAAAAAAATAAAAGAAAAAAGAAAAATACACCACATTTGAGGTATTTTCCAACCCATTTAGTGAGTAACCTACAAAAATGCCAACTCGGAGTGTCGTCCAAGTGCGTGAGAAGGCTCTGCATCCGGCTGATGCTGAGCTTAAGCTCAGTCTTGTGACTCAGCAGCTCACATGATACTCAGAAAAGAATGTGGCAAATCGAGATGCTGTATGACCTCCAGAAAGTGCCAATAGGAGCATTTTCCGGCATAAACTCGTAGGGTTTTGGCACAAAGCCATGCCATCTTCTGCACACAACTCATCTCTGTGAAGAAACAATTCCTTGTCTCGGTTAGAGATAGATACCTGGCCATGGAGCACCGAGCAATGATAAAACCTGAGCTGACCATCAGGAACTCGGTGTAATCCGACCCACAAATCCAGAAGATTGAGCACAGGCAATGGCAGTGCATCAGGTGGAAATAAGAAATAAAGTGTTGGCCGGGCGCCATGGCTCACTCCTGTAATCCCAGCACTTTGGGAGGCCGAGACAGGTGGATCACCTGAGGTCAGGAGTTCGAGACCAGCCTGGCCAACATGGAGAAACCCCCATGTCTACTAAAAATACAAAATTAGACAGGCATGGTGGCGCATGCCTGTAATCTCAGCTACTCCGGAGGCTGAGGCAGGAGAATTGCTTGAACCTGGGAGGCAGAGGTTGCGGTGAGCTGAGATTGCACCATTGCACTCCAGCCTGGGCAACAAGAGCGAAACTCCATCTCAAAAAAAAAAAAAAAAAAAAAAGAACTAAGGTGTTGGCATAAGCAATGACACAAGCAAATTGCTTGAGTGGACAGCACAGACCGTTCTGCCATCTATACCCACTGTTTTGTCTTCTCTCCATTTATACCCATGGCTTCATGGACAGCTCCTCATGACTTTTTTTCTTTTCTTTCTTTCTTTTTTTTTGAGATGGAGTCTTGCTCTGTTGCTCAGGCTGGAGTGCAGTGGTGCGATCCTGGCTCACCACCTCTGCCTCCCAGGTTCAAGTGATTCTCCTGCCTCAGCCTCCCGAGTAGCTGGGACTACAGGTGTGCACCATCACGCCCAGTTAATTTTTGTACTTTTAGTAGAGACGGGGTTTCCCCATGTTGACCAGGCTGGTCTCAAACTCCAGACCTCAGGTGATCTGTCCTCCTCGGCTTCCCAAAATGCTGGGATTACAGGTGTGAGCCACCGCACCAGGCAGCTCCTCGTGATTAATTGAACTGGGGAGGACACAACTTTGGGCTGGTTTTTAGATGGCTCAGCATGATATACTAGGATTCTCAGAGTCAGCCACATTGCAGCCCTCAGAGGAACCAGCACTAGCCTGGCAGTCTCCCTTCCCAGAAATCTGAGCCCCAGCTCAGCAATGCCCACTTCTGAGCTGGGCAGCAACCCTGAGCAACCAATCTCAAGAGCCCTGAGGTTCATCTGATCCTCTCTTTGGTAACATAGCAGGATTGGCTCAGCAAGCCTGCGCTGACGCCACAGATACAGAAGAACAGGCTGATACCAGCTGCTGAGCCCCAGAGGCTGCCCTTTTCTAGCCAGAACATTTTTTCTGACCAGGAAGCTGTCATCGCCACATAGCTGTTTCTCCTCTTCCCCGATTCTATAAATACAAAAACACAGTCCTTCTTTACTGGGATGCTGCTGGCCACGGTGCAGGCAGACCGTTCATGTTTAGCCGGAGTCACGGGCTGGAGGGATGCTCCCTCCTCTACCTGTGCGTCTTCCCTCAGTGAATCTATTCCTGTCTCTATCACACAGGCCTAGTGGTGTGTGTGACAGTTGGTGACCACAGAGGAAAATTCTCCATCTGTCCTGCTGCCGTGTTCTTTTTGTTTGTTTGTTTTTAGACGAAGTCTTGTTCTGTTGCCCAGGCTGGAGTGCAGTGGCGCGATCTTGGCTCACTGCAACCTCCACCTCCCCAGTTCAAGGGATTCTCCTGCCTCAGCCTCCTGAGTAGCTGGGATTACAAGTGCCCGCCACCATGCCCGGCTAATTTTTGTACATATATATGTGTGTGTGTGTGTGTGTGTGTGTATAGGTATATACATATATATATGTATATATACACATATATTCGTATATATGTGTATATACACATATATTCGTATATATGTGTATATACATATATATTTGTATATGTGTATATACATACATACATATGTATATACACACATATGTATGTATGTATGTATGTATATATATATATATGTATTTTTTTTTTCTGAGACTGAGTCTTGGTCTATCACCCAGGCTGGGGTGCAGTGGCACAATCTTGGCTCACTGCAACCTCTGCCTCCCCAGTTCAAGCCATTCTCCAGCCTCAGTCTCCCGAGTAGCTGGGACTACAGGCGCCTGCCATCACGCCTGGCTAATTTTTGTATTTTTAGTAGACACAGGGTTTCACCATGTTGGCCAGGCTGGTCTCGAACTCCTGGCCTCAAGTGATCCGCCTGCCTCAGCCTCCGAAAGTGGTGGGATTACAGATGTGAGCCTGTGAGCCACCACACCCAGCCTGGTGCTGTGTTTGCAAGCAACATGGAGTTTGGCCCACTATGGAGGTGGAAGACATTCCCTCCTAATGGTGGTGGCAGGTCACATGTAAGGCCAGTGAGTAAACTGGATGTCCATGAAGCCAGGGTGGGCAGCAGAGCTGTGGTCAGCTAGTGCAGTGTACTCTGGAGAGGCTGCTGACGGGGTGGGGATGGCTGTGGTGTCCCCTCACCCGGGACCTGGTGAGGCCCCCTAAGATGCTGTCTGTTCCAGGTCTCAGGTGCAGGGAAAGACAGATGACTGTAAACAGAATGTGTAAGACACCAGAGGCCCCCAGACAAGCAAGTCATTTGAAAAACATGGTTCATTGTATACAAAAAGAAATCTCTAGGTAGCGGGGCTGCAGGTTTTCAGAGGAAAGGAGGCAGGAGGCTGGGATGAGGGCTAAAGAGTGCAGATGCAAATTACAAAATTAACCGAGTGTGGTGGTGGGCGCCTGTGGTCCCAGCTACTCAGGAGGCTGAGGTGGGAAGATCACTTGAGCCTGGGAGGTCGAGGCTATGGTGAGCCGTCATCACGCCACTGTACTCCAGCCTGGGTGACAGAGGGAGACCCTGTTTCAGAAAAGAAAAAGACGGAGGCCAAGGAACTGGTAATATCAAAAGGACGACGAGTGTAACTAGAGGGAACGGAGCTGTAAGGTTGGCTCAAAGCTGCAACCAAGCAAATGGGCTGCGGCCAAAACTGGGATGGATTTGCCTTTTTATTTATTTTTTATTTTTATTGTATTTTTTTGAGACGGAGTCTCACTTTGTCACCCAGGCTGGAGTGCAGTGGTGCAATCTCGGCTCACAGCAAATTCCACCTCCCGGGTTCAAGCGATTCTCCTGCCTCAGCCCCCCAAGTAGCTGGGACTATAGGCACGCGCCACTACTCCTGGCTAATTTTTGTTTGTTTTTGTTTGTTTGTTTGTATTTTTAGTAGAGACGGGGTTTCACTGTGTTAGCCAGGATGGTCTCGATCTTCTGACCTCATGATCCACCTGCCTTGGCCTCACAAAGTGCTGGGATTACAGGTGTGAGCCACTGCACCCGGCCGGATTTGCCTTTTTAGAACAAAGACGTAGGCAAGCCAAGGGGCTGATACACACAACCAGATTAAGTTTGGAAAAACTGTGGGCATTGGACACACGCTTTTGCTTCTCTTGAATATCTAGGATTGGGATGGCTGGATGGTATAGGAAGTGTATGTATGACTTTATAAGAAATTGCCAAAATCTTTTCCTAAGTAGTTGCACCGTTTGAATTTTGAATTTCCACCAGCAATGCATGAGAGCGTTCTAGTGGCCCTGATCCTTACCAGGACCTGCTATTATCAGTGCTTATGATTTTTTGTGTTTTTTTTGAGACAGAGTCTCTCTCTGTCACCCAGGCTGGAGTTAGTGGTGTGATCTCGGCTCACTGCAACCTTCACCTCCCAGATTCAAGCAATTCTCCTGCCTCAGCATCCTGAGTAGCCAATATTACAGGTGTACACCACCACACCCAGCTAATTTGTTGTATTTTTAGTAGAGATGGGGTTTCACCATGTTGGTCAAGCTGGTCTCGAACTCCTGACCCCAAATGATCAACCCACCTCGGCCTCCCAAAGTGCTAGGATTACAGGCGTGAGCCACCATGACCAGCAAGTTGTGTTTGTTTGTTTGTTTGTTTGTTTGTTTTTAGCACAAAGTATTGGCTGGGCACGGTGGCTTACACCTGTAATCCCAGCACTTTGGGAGGCTGAGGTGGGAGGATCACTTGAGGCCAGGAGTTCGAGACCAGGCTTGGGCAACATAGTGGGACTTTATGCCTACAAAAAATTTTTTAAAATTAGCTAGGTGGGGTGGTGTGTGCACCTGTAATCCCAGCTACACGGGAGGCTGAGGTGGGAGGATCATTTGAGCCTGCGAGTTTGAGGCTACAGTGAACTATGATTGCACCATTGCACTCCAGCCTAGGTGACAGAGCAAGACTCGGTCTCCCCGCCCCACCCCCCCAAAAAAAAGGATCAGGTAATGTGTACAAGTTTTTGTTTGAAGACCTGTCTTCAGTTCTTTTGGGTAGGTACCTAGGGGTGGAATGACTGGGTCATATATATGCTAATTCTGTGCTTAACTTTTTGAGGAACTGCCAAACTGTTTTACACAGTGGCTGGACCATTGTACATTCTCACCAGCAATGTACGGGGGTTCCAATTTCTTCACATCCATGCCAAACACTTGTTATTCGCAGTTTGTTTTCTTTTCTTTTTATTTTTCTTTTGAGATGGAGTTTAGCTCTTGTTGTCCGGGCTGGAGTGCAGTGGCACAATCTTGGCTCACCGCAACCTCTGCCTCCCGGGTTCAAGCGATTCTCCTGCCTCAGGATCCTGAGTAGCTGGAATTATAGGTGCCTGCCACCATGCCCGGCTAATTTTTGTATTTTTAGTAGAGATGGGGTTTCACCATGTTGGCCATGGTGGTCTCCAACTCCTGACCTCAGGTGATCCACCTGCCTTGACCTCCCAAAGTGCTGGGATTACAGGCGTGAACCACTGCGCCCGGCCCAGTTTATTTTCTTGATCGTAGCCATCCTAGTGGCTGTGGAGTGGTGTCCCATTGTGGTTTTGGTTTGCATTTCCCTAAGGACTAGTGATGCTGTGTTTTGACCATTCTCACATTCTTTTTTTTTTTTTTGAGACAGGGCTGGAATGCAGTGGCATGATCATAGCTCACTGCATCCTTGAACTCCTGGGCTCAGGAGATTCTCCCACCTCAGTCTCCTGAGTAGCTGGGACTACAGTTGTATGCCACCGTGCCCACGTAATTTATAAAAAAATTTTAGTAGAGACGGGATCTTACTATGTTGCCCAGGCTGGTCTCAAACTCCTGAGCACAAGTGATCCTCCTGCCTCAGCCTCCTGAGTAGCTGGGATTACAGATGCACACCACTATACCCAGCTAAGTTTTTATTTTTTTTTTTTTAAATAGAGATGGGTTTCATTATGTTGCTCAAGCTGGTCTGGAACTCCTGGGTTCAAGCGATTCTCCTGCCTTGGCCTCCCAAAGTGCTGGGATTACAGGTGTGAGCCACTGCGCCCAGCCTTATGCGTTCTTTGGAAGAAACGGCTTTTGGGTAATGGCCTGCACTGTTGTATTGTATCAGCTGCCATCCAGTCGAAGCTAACTAAGGGCAGGTGGGTGTTGAATGAGGACAATGCCCACCTGCCCTTAGTTAGCTGTGACTGCAAGAACAAAGACCCTGTTATCCCAATCATCATCATGAGGACTAGCTGGGCCGCAGCTTAAAGGGACATTTCATAGCTTAAAAAAGACAAACTGTTGGTCCTGCCACCTCCAACTACAAAGGTGTTGCAACTGATAAGCCTTTTGGGATCTTGAGGACGCCACATCTCACGTGTGGAAATTTCACTAACGTGGCTGCAGCAAGTGACCAGACAGATGGCCGCATTTGAGTGGGAGCCTCTTTAGCAAGAGCTTTTTAAAATCAAGCTCCACCCAGGAGCTCTTTATCTTCTTCAGAACCCACGGGATTACAGACATCTGCACCAGCCCCCGTGGGACCTTGGAGTCCAGGAGAATGAATACCAAGGCATTGATGCTCATGCTCCCTGCTGGCTGGTGAGTAATAAAGTCCCTTGTCTCTGGCCCAGGAGTCTTGTGTCTTCTGGCAACATTTGTGAAACAGTAATGGGCTAGCTTGTTTTATTTTTATTTTTATTTTTTATTTTATTGATTGATTCATTGAATTAGGGACAGGGTCTCACTCTGTCACCCAGGCTGGAGTGCAATGGTGCACTCCAACCTGGGCTCAAGTGATCCTCCCACCTCAGCCTCCCGAGTAGCTGGGACTACAGGTGCATGCCACTATGCCCAACTAATTTTTTACATTTTGTAGAGACGGTCTGGCTACATTGCCCAGAGTGGTCTCGATCTCCTGGGCTCAAGGGATCCTCCTGCTTCAGCCTCCCAAGGTGCTGGGATTACAGGCATGAGCCACTGCACCCAGCCCAGGCTGGCTTGTAAGTAGGACAAAATGAAAGTCCGGACCTGGTAGTGTGGAAAAGGATGGGATGTTGACAGAGGCGTGGCTTTCTGGAATTGGAAGGACAGGGCCTCCATGGGCCTGGTTCAAAAATATGAGAAGAATCCCTGGGATCCAGTAGGGAATTCTCTCATCCAAGTAGAGGAGGATGGCCAGGAATAGAGGTCTTCACTGTCCTACTTGTATTTTTTTTTTTTTTTTTTTTAGATGGAGTTTCACTGTTGTTGCCCAGGCTGGAGTGCAGTGGTGCAACCTCGGCTCACTGCAACCTCCGCCTCCTGGGTTCAAGCAATTCTCCTGCCTCAGCCTCCCGAGTAGCTGGGATTACAGGCAGGCACCGCCACGCCCGGCTAATTTTGTATTTTTAGTAGAGACGGGGTTTCTCCATGTTGGTCAGGCTGGTCTCGAACTCCCGACCTCAGGTGATCCACCTGCTTCGGCCTCCCAAAGTGCTGGGATTGCAAGCATGAGCCACCGCACCCAGCCTGTCCTACTTGTTAATGAGGCTCAGTGGCTACAGATAGGATCAAAATCAGTGGGCAAAACAGTGGGCAAATGGTGCCTGGCTGCACCTGGGTTCTTACCCTTCTCCAGGCAGGTGGAGGAAGAAATGGGATCATGAAAATGAGACAACAAGCCCCAGGGACCCAACCAAGAGGCAGCATGGCTGTGGCCGCTGGGTCAAAGGGTCTCTGAAACCGAAGTGGTATCAGCAACAAGGACCTTGTTATTTGTTTCTTTGTTTTGAGACAGGGTCTTGCTCTGTCACCCAGGCTGAAGTACAGTGGCGCAAACATGGCTCACTGTAGCCTCAAACTCCCAGGGCCAAGGGGTCCTCCCCACTCAGCCTCCCGAGTAGCTGGGACCACACGTATGCACCACTACACCCAGCTAATTTAAAATTTTTTTGTAGAGATGAGGTCTCGCTATGTTTCCCAGGCTGGTCGTGAGCTCCTGAGCACAAGTGATGCAATCACCTCGGCCTCCGAAAGCCCTGAGATTACAGGCATGAGCCGCTATGCCCTGCCTTGCTATTTGATATTGAGCCTTCAGTGGGCTGAAAACATTAGTGAAGATCCCACCCTGCGAGTGTTTCTGGCCCCACCACGGTCCAATTTGGATCCAGTCCACAGCTGGGTGCAGGGCTGGTCAAAGATGCTGAGGACTGGGAGGGCTGAGCCTGGCCATCTGTGGAAGAGCAGAAAGAGAGGGGCCTCTGTGCCTAAGAACTTGCTGGGTCCTGGGAGGTACCTGGGTTGCAGCTCTGGCACTGATCCTGGAGGGAGGAGCCAAGTGAGCCGATAGAGAGGTCAATAATGAAGTTTTTTTGTTGTTTGTTTTTTGAGATGGAGTCTTGCTCTGTCGCCCAAGCTGGAGTGCAGTGGCATGATCTTGGCTCACGGCAAGCTCTGCTTCCTGGGTTCATGCCATTCTCCTGCCTCAGCCTCCCCAGTAACTGGGACTACAGGTGCCCGCCACCATGCCTGGCTAATTTTTTGTATTTTTTATAGAGACGAGGTTTCACCGTGTTAGCCAGGATGGTCTCGATCTCCTGATCTCATGATCCACCCGCCTCTGCCTCCCAAAGTGCTGGGATTACAAGTGTGAGCCACCATGCCCGGCCCTTTTTTTTTTTTTTTTTTTTTTTTTGAGATGGAGTTTCACTCTTGTTGCCCAGACTGGAGTGCAATGACGCGATCTCTGCTCACTGCAAGCTCCGCCTCCCAGGTTCAAGCAATTCTCCTGCCTCAGCCTCCTGAGTAGCTGGGACTACAGGTGTGCACCACCACACCTGGCTAATTTTGTATTTTTGGTAGAGACGGAGTTTCTCCATGTTGGTCAGTCAGGTCTTGAACTCCTGACCTCAAGTGATCCGCCCGCCTCGGCCTCCCAAAGTGCTGGAACTACAGGTGTGAGCCACCGCGCCCGACCAACAATGAGTTTTTTTCCCCTGCCTTTGCTGTCCCCCTGGGATGCCCCCCAGCCCCAAGTTGCTCCAGGGCTGAGGCTGTAGTCCCTGACCCACAGACTTCTTGGTCCAAGTACCTGAATTCAACCAGTCAGGCTCCCAGTGGGAAGGGAAGCTGAAGAGATCTCGTTGGGTGTGGCACCTAGAGCCAATTCAATGTCCCGCTGTGTGGTTTCCACGACTGAGCGGGTGTAATTGGTACTGATGCTTTACATGCTCGAAAAAACTACACATGCCTTGTTATCAGAGGATTCTACCAGTCGGAGGCTGTGGCATATGCCGCCCTCTTCACCTCTACCAGAAACAATGTGGGATCCCAGTAGAAAAGGAAACACAACTGTAATGACTAAATGGCTGCTGGAGTGCTCCGGGAAGCCGTTTCCCAGTGCCACAGTGCCACCTGCCTGACACGGCCACCAAGTACACTCCTTTTAAAAAGAAAGGGCAGCTGGGCTGGGTGCGGTGGCTCACACCAAGAGGTGGGTGGATTGCTTGAGTCCAGGAGTTCAAGACCAGCCTGGGCGACATAGTGAAAACCCATCTCTGTTTTTTTTAAATTAAAATTTTATTTATTTATTTTGAGACAGAGTCTTGCTCTGTGACCAGGCTGGAGTGCAGTGGTACGATCTCGGTTCACTGCAACCTCCACCTCTGGGGTTCAAGCGATTCTCCTGCCTCAGCCTCCCCAGTAGCTGGGATTACAGGCACCTGCCACCATGCCCAGATAACTTTTGTATTGTTAGTAGAGACTGGGTTTCACCATGTTGGTCAGGATGGTCTTGATCTCTTGACCTTGGGATCTACCCACCTCTGCCTCACAAAGTGCTGGGATTACAGGCGTGAGCCACCGTGCCCGGCCCTGTCTCTCTTCTAATAAATAATAAAAAAAGAAAAGAAGGCCGCTATGAATCACTATTAAGCTCTCCTTGAAAGCAAACGCCTGGCTTGTGGTGGCCTTTGACTCCCCAGCCTCACACCCTTGTTCTCGGGTAGGTTAACTGCAGCTTCACTAGCAATACCGGAAATGGCCAAAGGTAAAGGGTACGTCTAAGAGCACAGCTGGTCTGGTCCTCAGGTCTTCTGAGTTTTACATACAAAAGTCACAGCTACCCCTGTTTCTTCTGTTTTCTGTTTCGAGACGGTCTTGCTGTGTTGCCCAGGCTGGAGTGCAGTGGCATGATCGTGGCTCACTGCAGCCTGGAACTCCTGGGCTCAAGCGATCCTCCCACCTCAACCTCCTGAGTAGCTGGGACTATAGGCATGCGCCAGCATACCCGGTTAATTTTTTAATTTTTTTTTTTTCCAGAGACAGAGTCTCGCTGTGTTGCCCATGCTGGTCTTGAACTCCTGGGCTCAAGCAATCCTCCTGCCACGGCCTCCCAAAGTGCTGGAATTACAAGTGTGAGCCGCCGCACCCCGCAGCAGCTACCCCATTTGGAGAAAACTCTCCTCCACTCCCCTGCCTGAGGCAATTCCTCTGGCTCAATGGGGCCCTCAATTCAAACGGGTTCCCTTAAACGGCTGGGCGCATTCCACTATGTTAAACCTAAAGATGTCCACTAGGGGGCAGCAACCACCTAACCCCAACACCAACTCCGGAAGACATTGATTGCAGTTTGGTTGATATTTAAGGTATTCAATGGGACTTTGTAACTTCCTCACTATCTGCGGGTGTCTGGTATTATTGATTGTTGGATCATCTTCCTCAAGAATCAGCTCAAAAAGGTTTCTGGTTTCCCCTTCCTACCTCTTCCTGATCCACACACTTTATTTATTTATTTTTTGAGACAGATGCTCTGTTGCTCAGGCTGGAGTGCAGTGGTGCCATCTCGGCTCACTGTAACCTCTGCCTCCTGGGTTCAAGCGATTCTCCTGCCTCAGCCTCCCAAGTAGCTGGGATTATAGGCGTCACCATGCCTAGGTGATTTTTGTATTTTTAGTAGAGATAGGTTTCACCATGTTGGCCAGCTGGTCTCGAACCCCTGACCTCAAGTGATCCACCCGTCTTGGCCTCCCAAAGTGGGGGGATCACAGGCGTGAGCCACCACACCCGGCCGCACACACTTTACTCAGGCCGTTTGGTCACTGAATGTGGCAGTCCCAGAAGAGGCTTCATCTCTTCTTGGCTGCATCTTGGATAGTCCCTGAGACAGAAGTGTTGGAGGAGTTACAGAGACCCGAGGTCAGGAGATCGAGACCATCCTGGCTAACATGGTGAAACCCCGTCTCTACTAAAAATACAAAAAATTAGCCGGGCTTGGTGGCGGGCGCCTGTAGTCCCAGCTACTCAGGAGGCTGAGGCAGGAGAATGGCATGAACCCGGGAGGCGGAGCTTGCAGTGAGCCGAGATCACACCACTGCACTCCAGCCTGGGTGACAGAGCAAGACTCCGTCTCAAAAAAAAAGTACAATTTTGCCCGCTGACCATTGTTGGGAATGATGCATCTTTCTTTCCGCTGGACAGCCTGGTGGTCATGCCCTCCAGATGGCAGTTGAGTCCTGAGGGGGCCAAGTAGGGGATTCAAACTAATGCTGGTTTAGGCACCAGAATCCCCTTGTTGGACCGACATGGTGCTAGATCAGGAGTTGGCACACTATAGCCTGTGGGATACATCTGGCCTGTGACCTGTTTCTGTGTGGTCTATAAACTAACAAAGCTTTTCATATATTTTAAAGAATGTGTTGTTGTTGTTGTTGTTGTTGTTGTTTTTGAGATGGAATCTCGCTTTGTCGCCCAGGCTGGAGAGCAGTGGTATGATCTTGGCTCACTGCAAGCTCCGCCTCCTGGGTTCACGCCATTCTCCTGCCTCAGCTTCCCGAGTAGCTGGGATTAAAGGTGCCCGCCACCATGCCCGGCTAATTTTTGTATTTTTAGTAGAGACGGGGTTTCTCCATGTTGGCCGTCCTGGTCTTGAACTCCTGACCTCAAGTGATCCACCTGCTTCAGCCTCCCAAAGTGCTGGAATTACAGGCGTGAGCCACGGCTCAGCCAAGAATTGTTTAAAAAAAAAAAAAAAAAAAAAAAGCCAGGTGTGGTGGCTCACCTCTGTAATCCTAGCACTTGGGGAGGCTGAAGCAGAAGGATCACTTGAGCCCAGGAGATCAAGACTAGCCTGGGCTATGTGGTGAAAGCCTGTCTCTACAAAAAATTAAAAATTAGCTGGGTGTGCTGGTGCACGCCTGTAGTCCCAGCTACTCGGGAGGCTGAGGTGGGAGGATCGCTTGAGCCTGGGAGGTCGAAGCTGCAGTGAGATATTATTGTACCACAGCTCTCCAGCCTCAGTGACAGAGCAAGATCTTGTTTCAAAAAGAAAAAAGAAAAAGATGACTATGCCACAGAAAACAAATGCCCTACAAAACCCAAAATACTATTACCTGGTTCTTTCCAGAAAAAGTTGGCTCACTCCTGTGTTAGTTGAAACAACCTGCTGATATTACTTATGTGGCTTAACTGAGACAATGTAACGGTAATTCCAGCCAAGCTTAACAACAAAATCCAATGACTGTCTCTTCTCAGGTTGGGGAGGTAAGCTGTGGCATGCCCATTGTGGATGGGGGTTGCTTTTAGGCTCATCTGTTGTCACCCTGTAATTGTTTGTAAAGACATCAAAGATCAGATCAGTTTTTTTATTTTTAAATTTCTTTTTTTGGTATTTTAGCAGATCAGCCTAAAGTTCTCTGCTCTGCTTATAATGGACAATAGAGTCGCCTTAGACTATATCCTGGTTGTCCAAAATAAGATGTACTGGTCCTCTGGGACCAGTTTTTACTTTTTTTTTTTCTGAGATGGAGTTTCACTCTTGTTGCCCAGGCTGGAGTGTAATGGCATGATCTCAGCTCGTTGCAACCTCTGCCTCCCGGGTTCAAGCGATTCTTCTGCCTCAGCCTCCCAAGTAGCTGCGATTACAGGCATGTGGCACCATGCCCGGCTAATTTTGTATTTTTAGTAGAGACGTGGTTTCTCCATGTTGATCAGGCTGGTCTTGAACTCCTGACCTGAGGTGATTCCCCCTCCTCGGCCTCCCAAAGTACTGGGATTACAGACGTGAGCCACCACACCTGGACTTTTATTTTTTTTTTATTTTAATTTTATTGTATTAGAGACAGGGTCTTGCTCTGTCACCTAGGCTGGAGTACAGTGGCGTGATCTTGGCTCACTGCAACCTCAACCTTCTGGGTTCAGGGGATCCTCCCGCCTCAGCCTCCCAAGTAGCTAGGATTACAGGTGTGCCACCACTTCTGGCTAATATTGTTTTTGTATTTTTTGTAGAGATGGGCCTTCACTACGTTGCCCAGGCTGATCTTGAACTCCTAAGATTAAATGATCTGCCGGTCTCAGCCTCCCAAACTGCAGGGATTACAGGCATGAGCCACCTTGAGACTTATTCACAGTTGGCTGAGTCTAGGACCCTGGGGGACATAGTTGAGAGTTGAGGTCAATACTCAAGGTTGGCCTGATCTTGCTGTTGGGAGTCCCATCAAAAGTAGCCTTAATTAAAGGCCGAATGAGACAAATTGAAGTGATTTTTTTTTTTTTTTTTGAGATGGAGTCTCTGTGGCCCAGGCTGGAGTGCAATGGCACAATCTTGGCTCATTGCAACCTCTGCCTCCCAGGTTTAAGCGATTCTTCTGCCTCAGCCTCCCAAGTAGCTGGGATTACAGGCACCTACCACGACACCTGGCTGTTTTTTTGTATTTTTAGTAGAGAAAGAGTTGCCCCATGTTGGCCAGGCTAGTTTCAAACTCCTGACCTCAAGTGATTTCAGCCTCCCAAAGTGCTGGGATTACAGGTGTGAGCCACCATGCCTGGCCTGAAGTGATTTTATTCCAGCCTGTTAGTTAGATGAATCAGAGTGGCTGATGGGTGTCAGAGTCATTTGAAAACTTGCCAGAAGCTAAGATGATGCGGGTCTGGGGGTGGGTATTGCTGTGTTGGGAGACTGTCCTCCACAGTTGTCTTGTGTTTCCTGCATGTTGTGTGGGGTGTGCATGGCTGCAAGGCCCTGGTCACTGTTTCTTCAGGGTTGTTTACGCAGCTGGCAAACTTGAGCAATGAGGCAACCCCTCCCCTCTCACAAAGAGAGGCTTGCTTGTTGATTGCTATAAAGAAGAGGGGGTTCCCTAAGCTCAGTGCTCCTCTCCTGTAATACAACCCTCTGTACGTGCAGGCATCCACCTGGGCCCTGGCATTGCCCTTACAGAGTTTGGAGAGAAAGGAGAACCAATGAAAACATGCTGTGTTTATGCTGCTGGCTGTACTGGGAGGAATATGGTCCTTTGTCTCTGACCCAGGAGTTTCATGTCTTCTGCCAAGATACATTACATGGACAGATACATTAGGTAGATAGATACATTAGATATAGATAGATACATTAGATATAGATAGATACATTAGATATAGATACATTAGATATAGATGGATACACAGATAGATACACAGATAGATAGATAGATAGATAGATAGATAGATAGATAGATAGATAGATTCATTTATTTATTGAGACAGAGTCTTGCTCTGTCACCGAAGCTGGAGGGTAGTGGCTTGTTCTTGGCTCACTGCAACCTCCACCTCCTGGGTTCAGGTGATTCTCCTGCCTCAGCCTCCACAGCAGCTGGGATTACATGCCCACCTAATTTTTGTATTTTTAGTACAGACAGGGTTTCACCATATTGCCCAGGCTGGTCTCGAACTCCTGACCTCAGGTGATCTTCCCGCCTTGGCCTCTCAAAGTGCTGGGATTACAGGCATGCACTACCGCGCCCAGCCAGATGCCGCCATTAAGTGCTTTTTTGGGAAGAGGTTGCTCACACCTCCATTTGTACAAGGGATACTTGCATTCTATTAGATGGAAGCACAATGATGTTTTCTTGTTGTATAAAAGTTTAAATAAGGGTAGATTTGTGTGAACAGATACTGAGTAGCCAAAATGTTGGCCTGTGTTGGACACTGTTGCCTCTCAGTTCCATATTCTTCTTTCTTCTCTTTTCTATCGATGGCCAGGCTAGGAAGCCTACAAAACATATTCCCCAGGCCCCTGTGGTATTGTCAGTGAGGCATGTTGCTTTCTGCTGCTTTAAATGCTTTACTCACAGCCCTAACCTCTTTGCACTCAATTCCAGCACTTATGTCATCTCTGCGTCTACTGCTTGTCTTTTTCTCTTGGTGAGTTGCAATTTTGATTCTTTGTATGCTGAGCAATTTTGGGTTGTATTCTGGACATCTTAAATATTATGTGATAAGGTGCTGGGTCTTGTTTAAATTCTATGTAGATTGTGGATACGTTTTGTGCGGGGGGGTTGTTTTGTTTCGTTTTTGACACAAGGTCTCCCCCTGTCTCCCAGGCTGGAGTGCAGTGGCGTGATCTTGGCCCACTGCAACCTCCGTCTCCCAGGTTCAAGAGATTCTCCCACCTCAGCCTCTTGAGTAGCTGAGATTACAGGCATGTGCCACCACAGCCCGGCTAATTTTTGTATTTTTATTAGAGATGGGGTTTCATCATATTGCTCAAGCTGGTCTTGAACTTCTGACCTCAGGTGATCCACCCGCCTTGGCCTCCCAAAGTACTGGGATTACACGCATAAGCCACCACGCCCGGCCTGTTTTAGTTTTGTTGAGACAGTGTCTCGCTCTGTTGCTCAGGCTGGAGTGCAGTGGCATGACCTCGGCTCACTGCAGCCTCCACCTCCCAGGCTCAAGCGATCCTCTCACCTCAGCCTCCCAAGTATCTGGGATTACAGGCACGTGCCACCATGCCTGGCTAATTTTTGTATTTTTTGGTATAGATGGGGTTTCACCATATTGGCCAGGCTGGTCTTGAACGCCTGACTGCAAGTGGTCCTCCTGCCTCGGCCTCCCAAAGTGCTGTGATTACAGGCGTGAGCCACCACACCCGGCGATACTTTTGTTTTGACAGGTCACTGACCTAGTTTGGTTCAGCTCAGGGCTTCTGAGCAGCCTGCTGTGGGTTGTGGTTTCAGGTGAGTTCTGACTTCAAAGTCGTTACAATGACTTTCTAATCTGTCTTCCCCATGGACCACCCACTGGCCAGACTGGAACCCAGATGGTGTTGAATCCCTTCATTGTGTCTTCAACATCTTTGGAATGTTGTTTAGGCTCAGATCCACATGCATCTTAGGGGCAAACAGAGAAATTCATGAAAGCAACTTCATTAGGTCACTTTCCCAATCTCCTCCCTCTCCGCGGTACTTTCTGGTTTCTCTCCCCTTTGTTGGTCCTCCAGCCAGAAAGCTGGGGCCTCAGCTACCCCACTTGCCTCACACTTCCTGTGATTGAACCTGCATCTACAGCGAAGTGGGCAGGAGGATGCAGGGGGAAAGAAAGCAATGGGGATGGGTGCTGTCCCCGGGGGACCACAGAGCCTTGATCAGGGAGGAGAGAACAGAGAAAGAAACAGAAAAAGGGGAAACAGGGGATTCCCCCACCCTCTGATCATTAAAAGGCATTCATTCATTCATTCATTCATTCATTCATTCGAGATGGAGTCTCACTCTGTCGCCCAGGTTGGAGTGCAGTGGCGCGATCTCGGCTCACTGCAACCCCCGCCTCCTGGGTTCAAGTGATTCTCCCACGTCAGCTTCCCAAGTAGCTGGGATGAAAGGCATCAACCACCAGGCCTGGCTAATTTTTGTATTTTTTGGTAGAGACGGGGTTTCACCATGTTGGCCAGGCTGGTCTTAAACTCCTGACCTCAAGTGGTCCACCAACCTTGGCGTCCCAAAGTGCTGGGATTACAGGTGTGAGCAACGGTGCCTGGCTGGCCCTTATTATTATTATAAAGATGATAATATATTCATTGAACTTAGGGCCTTAGGACATTTTTTTTTAGTCTTACAATCTTGCTCTGTCGCCCAGGCTGGAGTGCAGTGGTGTGATCATAGCTCACTGCAGCGTTGACCTCCCAGGCTCAGGCGACACTCCCACCTCAGCCTCCCAAGTAGCTGGGACCACAGGCACATGCCACCACACAGGGCTAATTTTTAATTATTTTTTTTCCAGAGACGGAGGATCTTGCTATGTTACCCAGGCTGGTCTCCAATTCCTGGGCTCAAGCAATCCTCCCACCTTGGCCTCCCAAAGAGCTGGGATTACAGATGTGAGCCACGACACCTGGCCCTGAAAATTTTGTTTGCAATGAACAATTTTAAGAGATTGGGTATTGTTTTCAAAGTGGAATAGCAGCAAATAGTCCTTTCTTTGCTCAAGAGCCCTATTTGGGTATTCAGAAGTTCTTATTAATGTTTCCCTTCCTCCTGCTTCTCTGCACAACCCTACCTCCTCTGCTTCTTCTACACCAATGTACCTGGACTTGGATGGCTTGGGGTATTGGGCTGAGCCCATCGCTGGAAGGACCTGAGGCTAGGAATGGTGGGCTGTGGGCAGGTTAAGAGGGAAGAAGAGGCTGGAAAGTTTCTGGGCCGTCTGTGGGAGGGAAGACTCCCTGGGACTCACTCACCAGGGGGTTGCTGAACGTCACTGAGGCTGCTTTGGTGTGGCCTTTCTGCCTTTGACAGCAGGAGGAACTGGGGTGAGAACAAAGCTATTGGCAAAGGAGAAAGGGGAGAGGTTAGGGATCCAGGAATCAGGCCTCTGCCCCTTCTCCTTCAGCGTCTCCCTCTTTCTTTCTTTCTTTCTTTCCTTCTTTCTTTCTTTTCTTTCTCTTTCTTTTTTCTCTTTCTCTTTCTTTTTCTTTTTCTTTCTTTCCTTTCTTTCTTTCCTTTCCTCCTTTCTTTCCTTCCTTCCTTCTCTCTTTCTCTCTTTCTTTCTTTTTCTTGGAGATTCCACTTTTGTTGCCCAGGCTGAAGTGCAATGGTACAATCTCACCTCACTGCAACCTCCACCTCATGGATTCAAGTGATTCTCCTGCCTCAGTCTCCTGAGTAGCTGGGATTACAGGCACGTGCCACCATGCCCGGCTAATTTTTGTATTTTTAGTAGAAAAGGGATTTCGCCATGTTGGCCAGGCTGGTCTCAAACTCCTGATCTCAGGTGATCTGCCTGCCTCGGCCTCCCAAAGTGCTGGGATTACAAGCGTGATCCACCACGCCCGGCCTCCATTGCTTTCTGTTCCCAGTCCCCGACACACACATCTAAAAAGGCAAGTTCGACGAGAGCCAGGATTTTTATCTGTCCCGTTTCTGGTTGTATCCCTGACACCTAGAACAGATGAGAGTTCTTGACACAGAGTATGAACTCCATAAATATTTTTAGGCCGAGCATGGTGGTTCACGCCTGTAGTCCCAGCACTTTGGGAGGCCAAGGAGGGAGGATTGCTTGACCCCAGGAGTTTAAGACCTGCCTGGGCAACATAGGAGATGCTGACTCTACAAAATAAAAAATAACAAAATAGCTGTGCATGGTGGTGTACCCCTGTCATCCCAGCTACTCGGGAGGCTGAGGTGGGAGAATCGTTTGAGCCCAGGTGTTGGAGGCTGCAGTGAGACATCATTGCACCACTGTACTTCAGGCTAGGCAACAGAATTAGACCCTGTCTCTAAAAGAAAAAAATAAAAAATACTTAAAAATTAGATCAATGAATGAATGAATGAAAAAGTGTTTGGGACTAGGTGCAGTGACTCATACCTGTAATCCCAGCACTTTGGGAGGCCAAGTTGGGTGGATCACTTGAGGTCAGGAGTTTGAGACCAGCCTGCCCAACATGGTGAAACCCTGTCTCTACTAAAAATACAAAACTTAGCCAGGCATATTGGCGGGCACTTGTAATCCCAGCTATTCAGGAGGCTGAGGCAGGAGAATCGCTTGAACCTGGGAGGCAGAGTTTGCGGTGAGCCGAGATTGTGCCACTGCACTCCAGCCTGGGCAACAGAGTGAGATTCTGTCCAAAAAAAAAAAAAAGGCAGCTCTGGGAAGGAAGAGGTTAACTGCCTTCTGGCAGACCCTAGAAGGGATGACTTTTACTTTTTATCTACCGCTAAGGATGAGTTGGGAATTGAGCAGATGGAGAAAGGTGGGAAGATTATCCCAGGCAGAGGGAACTGCATGTGTGGAGGACCGAGGCAGGGAGCTGCAGGTGGAGCCTGACTCGTAAGTCCCTGTGGCTTCAGTGCAGAGAGTGATTGGCAAGTAATGCAGGATGAAGCTGGACAGACTTGATGAGGTCATCAAAGTAGAGAAGCTGGGGATTTTTCCTGGTACATTGGGGAGCTGTGGGAGTCCTGTGAGCAAAGAAGCAGCAAACTCCTCTCTGGGGCCATTTGGGGAGTGGGCTGGAGGGAACAAGTGAAGGCTGGGAGGCCAGGAGGGAGGCTGGGTTGATGGTCTAGGCAGGAGAGGATGAGGTATGAATAAGCTGGGGTCCGGGTGTGGAGACGAAGAAGGTGGAATTGGGCAGAGAAAGTCAGGGGGCAGCAGGGATGGGGCTGGGGGCTGATGGGCTGTGGGGAGGTGAAGGGGAGGAAAGGAGAGAGGAAGGTGCCTGGGGTGTGGCCTGGTGACTGGGTAGACAGTGGCTCCACTCCTGAGAGGTACAGAATCTGGGAGAATGGGGTCTGGGAGGCAGATGCTGAGTGTGAGAGACTGTGGGGAGAGGAGGTGGGCCAAGAAGCATTTCAACTTAATTAAAAAATTCTGCACATAACATTTTATGATGAGGCCAGGCGTGATGGCTCACGCCTGTAATCCCAGCACTTTGGGAGGCTGAGGCAGGTGGATCACTTGAGGGTAGGGAGTTCAAGACCAGCCTGGGCAACATGGAGAAACCCCATCTCTACTAAAAAATACAAAAATCAGCCAGGCATGGTGGCAGGTGCCTGTAATCCCAGCTACTTGGGAGACTGAGGCAGGAGAATTGCTTGAATCCGGGAGGCGGAGGTTGCAGTGAGTCGGGATCTGTGTCAGTGCACTCCAGCCTGGGCGACAGCACAAGACTTCGTCTCAAAACAAAACAAAACAAAAAAATACCCCCAAACAACAACAACAAAACATTTTATTATGGAAACAGTTATAACCTACAGAAAAGTAGAGAAAATCATATAACGAAACCCCACGTACTCATCATTCAGCTCATTCCGCTTCAGTGTGAAACATTTTTGCCGTTCCTCTTTTGTTTACGACTCCATCCGCACTTAGTTATATTTTGCTACAGTGTTTAATAGTACATCTGGTGCTTCTTAAAAATGGAAATGATTTTTTTTTGGCTGCAGTAATGGTATCATATGTTCTCTAAAGAATTGATACTGTGCTGAAAATACAAAAAAAAAAAAAACAACATAAATGGGTCAGGTGCAGTGGCTCATACCTGTAATCTCAGTACTTTGGGAGGCTGAGGCAGGAGGATTGCGTGAGCCCAGGAGTTTGAGACCAGCCTGGGCAGCATGGGAAAAATCCCATCTCTACAAAAAATAAAATACAAAAAATTAGCCAGGTATGGTGATGTGTGCCTGAGGTTCCAGTTACTGGAGGGGCTCAGGCAGGACGATCGCTTGAACCCCGGAGTTGGAGGCTGCAGTGAGCTATAATTGTACCACCGCACTCCAGCCTGGGCAACAGGGCAAGAACTCCATCTCAAACAACATAAATGTCATTCATCATTGCAATTCTCATGCAACTGATGTTAAAGTTTGGTTCTATATCCTCCTAGACACTTTACACAGATACTTTTGCAAAAGTAGGAGTATACCATTGTAACAGGAATGCCACACCAAAGGTTGCTGCCTAGCCATGAGAACACCTCTCCTGAGTGGTCCAAGCTGGTGGTCAGAGATGAGCACCTAGAGGCATCTTTGTCACCCAGCAGACTAGGCTCTCCACTTTCCTGCTGCTTCCTTTAAATGGACCATTCAGACATTTGCCTGTGAATTTAAAGTGATCCACACCCTTCTCCTCTGTACACCTATTCCGCTAGCTGTGATGCATTCTCTCTCTCTCTCTCTCTGACTCTTCTTCTTCCCTGCCTTGCAGGACCCAGGGATGGAGCAGTGTCCTCACTCATTGCACTCACCCTACCCAGGATCTGTAAGTAATAAATCTTGGACCTTATATATATATTTATTTTAATTTGATTTCCATTGGTTATTGGGAAATAGGTGGTGTTTGGTTACATGAGTAAGGTCTTTAGTGGTGATTTGTGAGATTTTGGTGCGATTATCTCCTGAGCAGTATACACTGAGCCCAATTTGTAGTCTTTTATTCCTCGCTCCTTTCCCACCCTGAGTCCCAAAAGTCCATCGTGTCATTCTTATACCTTTGCATCCTCATAGCTTAGCTCCCACTTATGAGTAAGAACATACAATATTTGGTTTTCCATTCCTGAGTTACTTCCCTTAGAATAATAGTCTCTAATCCTATCTAGGTTGCTGCAAATGCCATTAATTCATTCATTTTTATGGCTAGGTAGTATTCCATCATGTATCTATATATACACATATATATGTATATATATGTGTATATATACACATATATATGTATATATATACACGTGTATATATATGTGTGTGTGTATATATATACGTGTATATATGTGTGTGTATATATATACGTGTATATATATGTGTGTATATGTGTGTGTGTGTGTGTGTGTGTGTGTGTGTGTATATATATATATATATACACACCACAGTTTCCTTATCCACTTGTTGATTGATGGTGGGCATTTGTGTTGCTTCCACGTTTTTGCAATTGCAAATTATGCTGCTATAAACGTGTGTGCAAGTATCTTTTTCATACAACTTCTCTTCTTCTGGGTACATACCCAGGAGTGGGTGTTGTTTTTTGTTTTTTGTTTTTTCTGTTTTTTTTTGTTTTTTATGAAGTCTCGCTTTGTCACCAGGCTGGAGTGCAGTGATGTGATCTCGGTTCACTGCAACCTCTGCCTCCCGGGTTCAGGCAATTCTCCTGCCTCAGCCTCCTGAGTAGCTGGGATTACAGGTGCACGCCACCACGCCTAGCTAATTTTTGTATTTTTAGTAGAGACGGGGTTTCACCGTGTTGGCCAGGATGGTCTTGATCTCTTGACCTCGTGATCCTCCCACCTCAGACTCCCAAAGTGCTGGGATCACAGGCGTGAGCCACCGCAGCCGGCATCCAGGAGTGGTTTTGCTGGATCAAATGGTAGCTCTACTTTTAGTCCTTTAAGGAATCTCCACACTGTTTTCCATAGTGGCTGTACTAGTTTACATTCCCACCAGCAGTGCAGAAGTGTCACACCGCATCCATGGCAACATCTATTATGTCTTGATTTTTTGATTATGACCTTTCTTGCAGGATTAAGGTGGTATCTCATGGTGGTTTTGATTTGCATTTCCCTGACCATTAGTGATGTTGAGCATTTTTTCATATGTTTCTTGGCCATTTCCATATCTTCTTCTGAGAATTGTGTATTCATGTCCTTAGCCCACTTTTTGATGGGATTGTTTTTGTTCTTGCTAATTTGAGTTCGTTGTAGTTTCTGGATATTGATATTAGTCCTTTGTCAGATGTGTAGATTGTGAAGATTTTCTCCCACTCTGTGGTTGATCGGTTTACCCTGCTGACTGTTCCTTCTACCGTGCAAAAGCTCTTTAGTTTGATTAAGACCCAGCTATTTATCTTTGTTTTTATTGCATTTGCTTTTGGGCTCTTGGTCAGGAAATCCTCGCCTAAGTCAATGTCTAAAAGGGTTTCCCCAATGATATCTTTTAGATTTTTTATGGTTTCAGGGCTTAGATTTAAGTCCTTGATCCATCTTAGTTGATTTTTGTATAAGGTGAGAGAGGAGGATCCAGTTTCATTCTACATGTGGCTGCCAATGATCCCAGCACCATTTGTTGAATAGTGTGGCCTTTCCCCACTTTGTTTTTGTTTGCTTTGCTTTGACCTTCTTTTCTGTTCTTTTCTTCTTCTTCTTCTTCTTTTTTTTTTGACATGGAGTCTCGCTCTGTCGCCCAGGCTGGAGTGCAGTGGCGCGATCTCAGCTCACTGCAAGCTCCACCTCCCGGGTTCATGCCATTCTCCTGCCTCAGCCTCCGAAGTAGCTGGGACTACAGGTGTCCACCACCACGCCCAACTAATATTTTGTATTTTTAGTAGAGACGGGGTTCCACTGTGTTAGCCAGGATGGTCTTGATCTCCTGACCTCGTGATCCGCCCACCTCAGCCTCCCAAAGTGCTGGGATTACAGGCGTGAGCCACCGCGCCCAGCCCAGGTTTGTTCCATAGGTATACATTTGCCATGGTGGTTTGCTGTACCCATCAATCTGTCATCTACGTTAGGTATTTCTCCTAATGCTATCCCTCCCCTTGCCCCCACCCCTGACAGGCCCCAGTGTGTGGTGTTCTCCTCCTGTGTCCATGTGTTCTCATTGTTCAACTCCCACTTTTGAGTGAGAACATGTGGTGTTTGGTTTTCCGTTCCTGTGTTACTTTGCTGAGAATGATGGTTTCCAGCTTCATCCATGTCCCTGCAAAGGACATGAACTCATCCTTTTTTATGGTTGCATAGTATTCCATGGTATATATGTGCTACATTTTCTTTATCCAGTCTACCATCGGTGGGCATTTTGCTTGGTTCCAAGTCTTTGCTATTGTTAATACTGCTGCAAGAAACACACGTGTACATGTGTCTTTATAGCAGAATGATTTATAACCCTTTGGGCATATACCCAGCAATGAAATTGCTGGGTCAAATGGATATACCATAATTCTTAAGGGCCCTAGCTTTTTTCTTTTTAAGATGGAGTCTCACTCTGTTGTCCAGGCTGGAGTGCTGTGGTGTGATCCTGGTTCACTGCAACCTCCGCCTCCGGGGTTCAAGTGATTCTCCTGCCTCAGCCTCCCAAGTAGCTCAGATTACAGGTGCCCACCACCAAGCCTGGCTAATTTTTGTATTTTTAGTAGAGAACGGGTTTCACCATGTTGACCAGGCTGGTCTCGAACTCCTAACCTCAAGTGATCAGCTCACCTTGGCCTCCCAAAGTGCTGGGAATACAGGTGTGTGCTACTGTGCCCAGCTGCCCTAGCATTTTTGAAATTATAGATGAGTATTGCCTTTATTTATTTATTTATTTATTTATTTATTTATTTATTTGAGACAGAGTCTTGCTCTGTCACCCAGGCTGGGGTGCAGTGGCTCAATCTTGGCTCACTGCAACCTCTGCCTCCTGAGTTCAAGCAATCCTCTTGCCTCAGCCTCCTGAGTAGCTGGGATTACGGGTGTGTACCACTCGGCTAATTTTTGTATTTTTAGTAGACACAGGGTTTCACCATGTTGGCCAGGCTGGTCTCAAACTCCTGACCTCAAGTGATCTGCCCACTTTGGCCTTCCAAAGTGCTAGGATTACAGGCATGAGCCATCGCGTCCGGCCGAGCATTGCCTTTAACTTAAAGTCACCAGCTGCATTCGCCTCTAACAAGAAAGCCCACCTGTCCTTTGAAGCTTTGAAGCCAGTCATTGATTTCTCTATAGCTATGAAAGTCCTACATGGCATCTTCTTCCAGTAGAAGGCCTTTTGTCTCCATTGAAAATCTGTTGTTTAGTGCAACCACCTTCATCAATGATCTTAGCTAGATCTCCTGGATAACTTGCTGCAGCTTCTCCATCAGGACTTGGTGCTTCACCTTGCACCTTTTTTTTTTTTGAGATGGAGTCTCACTTTTGTTGCCCAGGTTGGAGTGCAATGGTGCGATCTTGGCTCACTGAAACCTCTGCCTCCCGGGTTCAAGTGATTCTCCTGCCTCAGCCTCCTGAGTAGCTGGGATTACAGGTTCCCGCCACCACCCATGCCTAATTTTTTTTCTTTTTGTAATTTTAATAGAGACAGGGTTTTGCAACGTTGGCCAGTCTGGCCTCGAACTCCTGATCTCAGGTGATCCTCTCGCCTCAGCCTCCCAAAGGGCTGGGATTACAGGCATGAGCCACCGTGCCCAGCCACCTTGCACTTTTCTTTACGGAGATGGCTACTTTCCTTAAACCTCATGAACCAACCTCTCCTGGCTTCAGGCTTTTCTTCTGCAGCTTCCTCCTCTCAGCCCTCATAGAACTGAAAAGTGTTAAGGCTTTGCTCTGGATTAGGCTTTGGCTTAAGGGTTTTACCTTCTGTCCAGACAACACTTTCTCCATATCGGTAATAAGGCTGTTTGACTTCTTATTTTTTATTGATTGATTGAGACAGAGTCTCGCTCTGTTGCCCAGGCTGGAGTGCAGTAGCACACAATCTCAGCTCGCTGCAACCTCCACCTCCCAGGTTCAAGCAATTCTCCTTCCTCAGCCTCCTGAGTAGCTGGGACTACAAGTGTGCGCTACCACACCAGCTAATTTTTGTATTTTTCGTAGAGATGGGGTTTCACCATGTTGGTCAGGCTGGTCTTGAACTCTTGTCCTCAAGTGATCCACCCGTCTCAGCCTCCCAAAGCACTGAGATTACAGGTGTGAGCCACTGCATGCGGCCACTCCTTAGTTTTGTGTTCACTGGAGTAGTACTTTTGATATCTTTCAACTTTTCCTTTGCATTCACAACTTAGCTAACTGGTGCAAGAAGCCTAGCTTTTGGCCTGTCTTATCTTTTGATGAGCCTTCCTCATAATCATTTCTAGCTTTTGATTTAAAGTGAGAGATGTGTGACTCTTCCTTTCACTTGAACACTGCGAGGCCATTGTAGGGTTATTAACTGACCTAATGTCAATATTGTGTGTCTCAGGGAATAGGTAGGCCCAAGGAGAGAAAGAGATGGGGGAATGGCCGGTGGGTGGAGAAGTCAGAACACACGCAACATTTATTAAGTTTGCCATTTTATATGGGCATAGTTTGTGGTGGCCCCAGTGACAATAGAAACATCAAAGGCCACTGATCACAGATCACCATCACAGATGGAAGAATAATAATGAGGCCGGTGCGGTGGTTCACGCCTGTAATCTCAGCACTTTGGGAGGCCAAGGCAGGTGGATCACAATGTCAGGAGTTCGAGACCAGCCTGGCCAACATGGTGAAACCCCGTCTGTACTAAAAATACAAAAATTAGCAGAGCATGGTGGTGGGCACCTGAAATCCCAGCTACTCGGGAGGCTGAGACAGGAGAATCGTTTGAACCCAGAGGCGGAGGTTGCAGTGAGCCAAGATCACAAAATTGCCCTGCAGCCAGGGCACAGGGTGAGACTCTGTCTCAAAAAAAATAATAATAATGAAAAGATTTAAAATTTTATTGTGAGAATTACCAAAATGCAGCCCAGAGACACACAGTGAGCGCATGCCGTTAGAAAAAAATGGTGCTGATAGACTTGCTCAATGCAGGGTTGCCACAAACCTTTGATTTGTTAAAAAAAAAAAAATGCAGTATCTGTGAAGCACAATAAAGCTAAGTGCAATAAAATGAAGAGTGCCCTATAAGAGCTTAGTCACCCTTCACCTCGAGTCCTTGATTGTGATATCTTACCGTGTTTCCTTTATCATCACCGCCTTTCACATTTATTATAACAATACCTATTATGTAGCAGACCCATTTGAGAGTAAGCTGTAGACATGATGCCCCTTTACTCCTAAATACTGCAGTGCGTATTTCCAGAACGGGGACATTCACCTGTGTAACCACAGTGCCATTGAAATCATGAAAGTAACATCGATCTACTTCTATTATCTACAGACCTTATTCGTTTTTCCCAATTATTCCAATATGCTTTTTTTTTTTTTTTTGAGTTGGAGTCTTGCTCTGTCACCCAGGCTGGAGTGCAGTGGCGTGATCTCAGCTCACCAGAACATCTGCCTCCTGGGTTCAAGTGACCCTCGTGCCTCAGCCTCCTGAGTAGCTGGGATGACAGGCATGCGCCACCAGGCCCGTCTAATTATTGTATTTTCTGTAGAGATGAGATTTTGCCATGTTGGCCAGGCTGGTCTCGAACTCCTGACCTCAAGTAATCCGCCTGCCTCTGCCTCCCAAAGTGCTGGGATTACAGATGTGAGGCACTGCGCCTGGCCTAGTCTGTTTTTCTTTTTTCTTTTTCTTTTTTTTGAGACAGTCTCTTGCTCTTGTCACCCAGGCTGGAGTGCAATGGTGTGATCTCAGCTCACTGCAACCTCTGCCTCCTGAGTTCAAGCAATTCTCCTGCCTCAGCCTCCTGAGTAGCTGGGATTACTGGCACCCACGACCACACCCGGCTAATTTGTGTATTTTTAGCAGAGATGCGGTTTCACCACATTGGCCAGGCTAGTCTCAAAGTCCTGACCTCGGGTGATCCCCCCACCTCGGCCTCCCAAAGTGCTGGGATTACGGGCGTGAGCCACCGTGCCCAGCCCCCTGTGAAGTATTAAGAAGGGCACTGGGGCTTCCTGTAGCACTTGGAACAGTGTTCTCAGTGCCCATACGTGTCACCACCCTAATCTCACACAAAAAAGACCTCAGGTGATCCGCCTGCCTCTGCCTCCCAAAGTGCTGGGATTACAGATGTGAGGCACTGCGCCTGGCCTAGTCTGTTTTTCTTTTTTGTTTTCTTTTTTTTTTTTCCACTGGAGCCGGAGCTCAAGTGACTTAGGAAGCATCTCCCACGTTGGATTTTACCTTCCTTCCACCACAGCCCAGGTGATTTGCAGTTCCTGGTGGCTGGTGGTCTGTCCTGGCTCTGAGAGGAGACAAAAGGGGTGGGGGTGAGGGTGGGGAGGGGGTCCCAGCCTCTTCTCTCCCTGCTAGAGTTTAGCCCCACCCCTATTCCACACAGCCGTTCCCCAGGCTGGGACATCCCAGACCCAAAGTCCCTGGAGAGCGAGGGAGGAGGAGGAAGGGGCCCAGGGGGTGGTGGGCCTTTGCCTCTGAGCTCTCAGGGCTCTCTAAATTGGGCTGTAGAATTGGTTACGTTGGGGATGCAGGAAGAAAAATTGACGACTTCTGCTTCTATTTTTTAAACAAAAATAAGCAAAATAAGCTTCACTGATACCGTGTGTAGAATGACAGTAGATCACAACGTAAATTTTCGATGTTTGTTTGCGATGTTTTTTCAGAAAGTTGTTATCTAATAGGGGAGTGTGACAAACGTTTAGAGACTTCTAAGGTAAATAAAAAGGTGTGAGGGGCAGGTGGAGATTTGGGAATTGGTCGGGAACCAGGAAGCTGGCATTGATTTTTTTTTTTTTTCCAAGGCCATGAACTTTGTGGGGATGAAGGGGTCTTTGCCCAGGAAGTCACTGAGCAGTATGGCTTCTAGAAGATGCCTCCCCTGCCCCGAGCTGCCTTAACCCCGTTTGACGTTCAAAGACGCAGGTGATGTCACCCCCTCCCACTGACAACACAGTAAGGTCCAAGTTCTCTGAGGCTTCTTGGGCCGTGGCCCAGGGAAAGCAGGTGACCCACCTCCCAGTGCCGAGTGGGCAAGGAACTCGACCCCGAGTAAGGACCAAGCATGACGGTGAGCTAGAGAGGACCTACATGCCAGGTTCGGTTCTGGGCACGTTACCCTCTATTTTCTTATTTTTATTTATTTAGAGTCTCACTCTGTTGCCCAGGCTGGAGTGTAGTGGGGTGATCTTGGTTCACCACAACCTCCACCTCCCAGGTTCAAGCAATTCTCCTGCCTCAGCCTCCCAAGTAGCTGGGACTACAGGCATGCACCACCACATCTGGCAAATTTTTAAATTTTTTTTAGTAGAGATGGGGTTTCACCCTGTTGGCCAGACTGGTCTTGAACTCCTGACCTCAGGTGATCCGCCTGGCTCGGTCTCCCAAAGTGCTGGGATGATACTGTGCCTGGCCTTGTTTTATTTGTAGAGAGATGAGGTCTCACTCTGTTGCCCAGGCTGGAGTGCAGTGGCGATTCATAGGCATGGTCCTCATGGGCTACAGCCTCAGACTCAAACCTCAGCCTGAGTAGCTAGGACTCCATGGGTGCACTGCGCCGGGCTCAGCACCCCACAGTGGTGAGAGTTGTTACGGTGATTTAGTGTGGCCGTCGGTTACTCAGGTAGACTTGGTTTGTTGTCCTTGACTGCTGCACCGTCCTCCATAGCATGCATTTAAGATCCACATTTTATATTTGATTCCCTAAATAATGAGACAGCTTCTTGTAATCACAAACGTGATCCAAACATGATCACGATGAACCATCCGTTTCTAGGGTTTGTGTGAGAACTTTCCTATGCTTGGGAATGGAGTCACTGGCCCGTAAATCTGTGCTTAATTTTTTTTTTTTTTTTTTTGAGTCCAAGTCTCGCTCTCAGTCTCGCTTTGCCCAGGCTGCAGTGCAATGGCACGGTCTCAGCTCACTGCAACCTCCGTCTCCTGGGTTCAAGCAATTCTCCTGCCCCAGTCTCCTGAGTAGCTGGGATGACAGGTGTCTGCCACCACGCCCGGCTAATTTTTTGTATTTTTAGTAGAGACAGGGTTTCACCATGTGGGCCAGACTGGTCATGAACTCCTGACCTCATGATGCTCCTGCCTCAGCCTCCCAAAGTGCTGGGATTGCAGGTGTGAGCCACCGCGCCCGGCCTACTTCGCTTAATTAAATGCTGCAGACTTTCAGCTGTCTTCTGTTCTGGTTGGAAGCCATCTCAGTCAAAACATGGCAAAACCCCATCTCTACTAAAAATTTAAAAATACCCTGGCTCATTTTGCATTTTTAGTAGAGACGAGGTTTCACCATGTAGGTCAGGCTGGCCTTAAACTCCTGACCTCAGGTGATCCGCCTGCCTCGGCCCTCCCAAAGTGCTGGGATTACAGGTGTGAGCCACCGCACCTGGCCCCCATTGCAGTTTGAGAGGCTTTATATAATAAAGGGCAGAGCACTCAGGAGGCTGCTCCTCTAGGGCTGCAATGGTCCAGCATGATAGCTATTAGGCACACGTGGCTATTTTTCCTTTTTTTTTTTTTTTTTGGAGACAGAGTCTTGCTCTGTCACCCAGCCTGGAGTGCGGTGGCACGATCTCGGCTCACTGCAAGGTCCCGGGTTCACGCCATTCTCCTGCCTCAGCCTCCCGAGTAGCTGGGACTACAGGCACCCGCCACCACACCCGGCTCATTTTTTTGTATTTTTAGTAGAGACGGGGTTTCACTGTGTTAGCCAGGATGGTCTCGATCTCCTGACCCCGTGATCCGCCTGCCTCGGCCTCCCAAAGTGCTGGGATTACAGACATGAGCCAGCGTGCCTGGCCCCGGCTATTTTTTTTTTTCCTTTAGACAGTCTTGCTCTGTCACCCAGGCTGGAGTGCAGGGGCGTGATGACAGCTCACTGCAGCCTTGGCCTCCCGGGCCCAAGCGATCCTCACGCCCAGCATCTTGAGTAGCTGGGACCACAGGCATGTGCCACCATGACCAGCTAATTTTTTTTTTTTTTTTGTAGAGACACGGTCTCCTTATGTTGCCCAGACTAGTCTCAAACCCCTGAGCTCAAGCGATCTTCCTGTCTTGGCCTCCCAACGTGTTGGGATTACAGGCGTGAGCCACCACACCTGGCCAAAACTCAGTTTTTATTGAGCTATAATTTACAGACAACAAGCACAGATACTAAATGTATACTTTAATGAGTTTTGACAAATGACCCCTGTCACCAATGCCCCAATTTCCGTCACTCCAGAGAGTTACTTTGGGTTCCTTTCTCTTCACCCCAGAAGCAATGACTGATTTCCATCACTACATATAAGTCTGACCTGTTCTTGGGTTTCATAGATAATAGATTCACACAATACATAGACATTTGTGTCTGGCCTGTTACATTTAATATAGAACATCTTTGCTAAGCCCGAGGTCATAAAGATATTCTATGTTTTCTTCCGGAAGTTTCTAGTTTTGGCTTTTGAATTTAGGTCTTTGGTTCCTGTTAATTTGGGGTGGGGGTATGGTATGTGGCAGGAATATGTTTATATTTTTCTATATGGCTATACAGTAGTTCTAGCCCTGTTTGTTAAAAAGACTTTCCCTTACCCATTGAATTGCTGTGATATCTTTACTGAACATCAATTGGTCATATGTGTATAGGTGGATTTCTGTTCTGTTCTATTGATCTTTTGGTTTATCTTTAGGCTAATATAACACTGCCCTGACTACTGTAGCTTTATAGTAAATCTTGAAATTCGATAGTATGAGTCTCCAACGTGTTCTTTCTCAAGATTGTTTGGACTACTTTAGGTCTTTTGCATTTTTTTTTTTTTTTTTTTTTTGAGATGGAGTCTTGCTCCATTGCCCAGGCTGGAGTGCAGTGGTGTGATCTCAGGTCATTGCAACCTCCCTGCCTACTGAGTTCAAGCAATTCTCCTGCCTCAGCCTCCTAAGTGAAATTACAGGCACCCGATACCACGCCTGGCTAATTATTTTTTAGTAGAGATGGGGTTTCCTCATGTTGGCCAGGCTGGTCTCAAACTCCTGACCTCAGGTGATCCTCCTGCCTTGGCCTCCCAAAGTGCTGGGATGACCGGCATAAGCCACTACACCCGGCCGGTCCTTTGCATTTTCATGTACATTTTAGAATCAGCTTGTCAATTCCTCAACAAACCTGGCTGAGATCTGAATTGCCATTGTGTTGAATCTGTAGATCAATTTGGGGAGAACTGATATCTTGTTTTTTGAGACAGAGTCTTACTCTGTTACCCATGCAGGAGTGCAGTGGTGCGATCTCGGCTCACTGCAGCCTCTGCCTCGCAGGCTCAAGCGATTCTCCTACCTCAGCCTCCTGAGTAGCTGGGATTACAGGTGTGTACCACCATGCCCAGCTAATTTTTTTGTATTTTTAGTAGAGACAGGGTTTCACCATGTTGGCCAGGCTGGTCTCAAACTGCTGAGCTCAAGTAATCCACCCACCTCGGCCTCCCGAAGTGCTGGGATTACAGGCGTGAGCCACCACGCCCGGCCTACACCAATTCTTTGAATTCATAAACAAATATTTCCATTTATTTAGGTTTTTCTCTCAAAAATACCTTGTAGTTTTCAGTATAGAGATTTTTGAATATCTTTTGTTAAATATAGTCTTAGCATTTGATTTTTGAGGCTATTGTAAATGGTTTTGTTTTTAAAATTTCACTTAACTATGGTTTGTTGCTAGTATGCAGAAATGTGATTATTTTTGTATATTGGCTTTTATTTTTGTGACTTTCCTAAGTGCACTTATTCTAGTAGCTTTTTATTTTTGTAGATTCCCTAGGATTTCCTAATTACATGCTTATGACATCTGTGAATAAAGACAGTTTTACTTCTTCCTAGCCAGTTTCTATGCTTTTTATATCTTTTTCTTGCCTTCTTTCACTGGCTAGGAACTTCACTATAGTGTTGAACAGAAGTGGTGTAAAGGGATTTCCCTTCCCTGTTTTCAGTATTGGGGAAAGTATTCAGTATTTCATCATTTAGTATGATGTTAGCTGTAGCTTTTGTCATTGTTGTTAATATCCTTAACACAATGAATGATTCTCAACCGAGGGTGATTTCCCACCTCTTCCAGGGACATTTGGTAATGTCATATGACTTTTTTTTTTTTTTTTTTTTTTTTTTTTTTGAGACTGAGTCTCGCTCTATCACTCAGGCTGGAGTGCAGTGGCGTGATCTCGGCTCACTGCAAACTCCGCCTCCCGGGTTCACGCCATTCTCCTGCCTCAGCCTCCTGAGTAGCTGGGACTACAGGCGCCCGCCACCACGCCTGGCTAATTTTTTGTATTTTTAGTAGAGACAGGGTTTCACCATGTTAGCCAGGATGGTCTCGATCTCCTGACCTCATGATCCGCCCACCTCGGCCTCCCAAAGTGCTGGTATTACAGGCGTGAGCCACTGCACTTGGCCTGTCATGTGACATTTTTCATTGTCACAAACAGCTGAGTGGGGAGCGTTGATGCTGGCATCTTGAGGGTGAAGGCTAGGAACACTGCCAAGCATTCTAGGATGCACAGCACAGCCTCTCCCCACCCCAGCAAAGAATTTTCTGGGCAAAATCCCCATCATGTTCAGGTAGAGAATCTCTGCCCAGCACATGGAGGAAGTTCTGTTGTATTTCTAGTTTGTTGCAGGTTTTTTTTCCTCCAATAATAGGTGTTGAATTTTGTCAAATGGTTCTTCCCTTTAATCTATTAATGTAATAAGTTACATTAATTTCTGGGATAAAACCACTTGCTTATACTGTATCCACTTTGTTTGTGGATTAAATTTGCTAATATACTTTGAGACAGTCTCTCGTTCTGTCGCCCAGGCTGGAGGGCGTGATCTTAGCTCACTGCAACCTCCGCCTCCTGGGTTCAAGCTATTCTCCTGCCTCAGCCTCCCGAGTAGCTGGGATTATAGGCGCCTGCCACCACGCCCGGCTAATTTTTATATTTTTAGTAGAGATGGGGTTTCATCATGTTAGCCAGGCTGGTCTCAAACTCCTGACCTGAAGTGATCCACCCACCTCCCAAAGTGCTGTGATTACAGGCACAAGCCACTGCGCCTGGCCAAATTTAACTTTTAAACTCAGAAATGGGGCTATTTAGATTTTCTACTTGCATCAGTCTTTGTAATTTGTACCTTGCAAGGTGTTTAAGTTGAACTTATAGGTATAATTTTGATCATAATATTCCATTATTATTTTGATGTCATCAAGATCTATGATGGTGCTCCTTTTGTTTTAGAGTCTCTGTTGTGCAGGCTGGGTCACCGCAGCCTCCACCTCCTGGCTTCAAGCGATTCTCTTGCCTCAGCCTCCTGAGTAGCTGGGATTACAGGCACATGCCACCACACCTAGCTAATTTTTATATTTTTAGTAGAGATGAGATTTTGCCATGTTGGCCAGGTGGGTCTCAAACTCCTGACCTCAAGTGATCCGCCTGCCTCATTCTCCCAAAGTGCTGGGATTACAGGTGTGCGCCACTGTGCCTGGCCAATTCCCTGTATTTTAAATGTTTTTTTTTTTTCTATCTTTTCCACCAGCTACTGAAAAGAAAGTGTTATCCAACTATGATTATGAATTTATGTGTTTCTTGCTGGAGTTCTGAAAATTTTTATCTATTTTGAAACTGTTATGAGCTGCATAAACATTTATATAATTCTGGCTTCCTGCTGAATTGGCTCATTTATCATTATGAAATCCTCTTCCTAATCTGTAGTGTTACTTGCTTGACTTCGATGTTAATGTTACCACACTAGCTTTCTCATTGGTTTGCATGGTATGTTTTTCCATTCCTTTTTTTTTTTTTTTTTGAGACGGAGTTTCGCTCTTGTTGCCCAGGCTGGAGTGCAGTGGCACGATCTTGGCTGACTACAACCTCTGCCTCCCGGGTTCAAGCAATTCTCCTGCCTCAGCCTCCCAAGTGGCTGGGATTACAGGCATGTGCCACCACACCTGGCTAATTTTTTGTATTTTTAGTAGAGACAGGGTTTCACCATGTTAGCCAGGCTGGTCTCGAACTCCTGACCTCAGGTGATCCATCTGCCTTGGCCTCCTAAAGTGCTGGGATTACAGGCATGAGCCACCGTGCCTGGCCCCATTCTTACTTTAACCTGTGTCTTTATGAAGGGCATCTCTTGAAAACAGCCTGTGGTTGAGTCCTACATTATTTAGGTTGATAATTGCTGCCCTGCTTCTCTCCCCTCTCCCTCTGAAACTCCAATTATACATATATTAGTCTCACAGGTCGCTGATACTATGTTTAGCTTTTCTTAATTCTTTTTCTCTTTCTGCTTCACTTTAATTTCTATGTAGCTATCTTCAAGCTGATCCTCTCTTCCACTGGTTCCAGTCCATATTAAACCCATCCAGTGAAACTTTCATCTTTTTGTTTTAGAATTCCCATGAGGTTCTTTAGAGTTTCAATATCTTTCTGAATATTGAAAACCATCGCTTTCTATTAAATTCCTTAACATATTTGTAAGTTGTTTTAAAGCTCTTGTCTGCTAATTCTAATGTCTGGATGATCTGTGAGTCATTTTTCTCTTGGTCATGGGTTACATTTTCTTGGTTTTATTATTTTAAATTTTATGCTGGATATTGTATGTAGAAGAAAAAACGCATGTTATTTGTTTACTTTGTTTAGTTTCAATGAGTTCATGCCTTTTATCCCAAAAGTCGGCTAGGATGAGGGCTATTTAGATTTTTCTAAGAGTTGAGTTGAGCTGGGGCTGGGAACAGTCTTAATTAAATTTTTCTCCACCTTCACATGGAATTAAGAGAGCTCACTTCGCCCTTGATGCCCCAACCTTCTGCACCTGCCATCAGACTAGTTCCTTTGATGTTGTCATTGAGTTTGAGTGAGTTGGGTTGTGGCTTTAGATGTTTATGGTCTTTCTTTGTATTCAACTCCAGTGGGGCCCAGGACTCTGAGCATCATAAGACTTATACACACTTCCTCAGCAGAATTCCTGGGACTACTGTGAGGATAACTGTTGGATCAAGCAGTTGACTTATGTGTTGGGGATTCTTCAAGACTACACTACCTATTGGCAGCCCATGCTGTTATTAAATGCCTGGATGGTTTCTTCTTAGCTGTGCAAAAAGTCTGTCCACCTATGAAAACTCTTCCACTCACCTTACCCAGATTAAGCACTTACCCACAGATATAAAAACATTCATGGCCGGGTGCAGTGGTTCACGCCTGTAATCCCAGCACTTTGCGAGGCCAAGGCGGGTGGATCATGAGGTCAGGAGATCGAGACCATCCTGGCTAACATGGTGAAACACTGTCTCTACTGAAAATACACACACACACACACACACACACACACACACACACACACACGAAAAAAATTAGCTGGGCGTGGTAGCGGGCGCCTGCTGTAGTCCCAGTTACTCGGGAGGCTGAGGCAAGAGAATGGCGTGAACCCGGGAGGCAGAGCTTGCAGTGAGCCGAGATCACGCCACTGCACTCCAGCCTGGGCGACAGAGCGAGACTCCATCTCAAACAAAAACAAAAAAAAAACCCACAAAACATTCATGACGTTGTGCCCACTGGTCTTCAGTAACTTTATAAGAAAGTGTGGTTTTTATTTTATTCATTTCAAAAGCTCCCGCTACCATCAAAGCTGGGAGGTTTGTATCCTTCAACATTCTGACTAGAAGAAAAATTCTGCTGTGAAGCATTTGTGAATCCCAATGCCTGGATGCACCCAAGACCAAGTAAGTCAGAATCTCTGGAGGAGGAACTCAGGAGCGTTTTCTCATGTTCCCCAAATGATTCAAATATACAGCCTGGGTGTATAACCACTGATTGTGGCCCCATGAGCTGTAACAGCCTTCTTTTGTGAGTTATAGAATTGATTTTGGAATCTTCCTCCCTCTATTTGCGATTTATGGAAAGCTTAGAACAGTCGCATCTCTGAGACTATTTTCTTACCTATAAAGTGGTGGATATTATATTAGAGCATTCCTTTTTTGTTTGAGTCCGAGTCTCGCTCTGTCACATGGGCTGGAGCGCAGTGGCGTGATCTCGACTCTCTGCAGCCTCCACCTCTGCCTCCTGGGTTCAAGCGATTCTGCTGCCTCAGCCTCTAGAGTAGCTGGGACCACAGGGGCGTGCCACCATGTCTGGCTAATTTTTGTATTTTTTAATGGGGATGGGGTTTCACCATGTTGCCCAAGCTGGGCTCAAACTCCTGACCTCAGGTGATTCATCTGCCTTGGTCTCCCAAAGTGCTGGGTTACAGGCGTGAGCCACTGTGTCTGGCCGCGTTCCTTTTTTTAATGGCTGCGAGAAGAAAGGATGTTATTATGAATGGAAAGGTCTGAAGTCTGAAGGGCCATGAAGCTGATGGATTGCTAAGGTAAAGGGAGGGGCCTTTCCTTGTACCTGTGAGGCTCTGATTACTTACTTCTCAACACAGGCGTGGCCATTGGTGGTGGCCCAGAATCCCTGCACTAGAAAGACGAGGGATGTTGTCCGCGTTGAGGTTATCAGGTTGACCAGGGCTGCAATGGCAGCCACCTTGACATAATCGTCACCTCCGGCCTTGTAGGAGGTGAAGGTGATGATGGTCCCCATGCCCAGGCTCAGGGAAGAGGGTACACGGCCCCTGCTTGATGCCACAGGTCCAGGGAGGATAAGGCAGAGAGCTGTGGGTGACTGAGAAGTTTTTAGGAGTGGGCTTGGAAGGGTAGGACTACCAGTAAATAAGCAGGCTAAGGGGTCGGCTAAGGTAGAGAGCAAAAGGATAAAAGGGAGGCTGGGGGCAGAAAGAAAGGAGATGTGGGGGAAGGAGACTCTGAGGTCTTGAGAGTCGAGAGAGGGAGAAGGTTTGGAGTCCCGGGCCTCACCTCTGTGGTGATCATACGTCTGAGGCTCGTGACCACACCTTCCAGGAAGAGGCAGAGGAGGATGACGGAGGGGAGGAGAGGAAGACAGAGGTGAGCATCAGCAGGGGCCTCCCAGTCAGGAGTAGAAATATGAACGGTGTCAAGGTGGCCCAGAAGTAACACGATGGAATTATGGGAGGACGATTCTAAGGAGACAATATTTGTGGTTTGGAGCAAACAATAAGCTGCCCAGGAGTCAGGGGCGAGACTCCAAGTAAAGATGGCTTTGAAAGGGTGGGTAGTTGGACACTTAATTCCCCGGCCTTGGATTTACGGCTTATGTGTGAGTTTAAGGAGAGGAAAAGAAACTGAGAAGAGACTTTGAGAGAGAATAACATAACTAAGAGGAATTTTAGTGATTTGCCCCGGAGGTAGTTGAGCTATGGCCCCTCTCTCTGCATATCCCTATCAAACCTTTAGTAAAGTCTACTTTTGTAGGAGTGGTTTATTTTTGGAGGCTGTGAAGAGATGGCGAGCTGAGTCTCCAGGGGTGGAGATGGATGACGTGAAAGGTGACCACCTGCATGAATGCAGGGACCAGGAGGTACAGGTAGAGTTTACCAAAATAATCTGATAAACACACTGAAATACATTTTCTTTTTTTTTTTTTTTTTTTTAAGATGGGGTCTTGCTCTGTCGCCCAGGCTGGAGTGCAGTGGCGCGATCTCAGCTCACTGCAACCTCTGCCTCTAGGGTTCAAGCGATTCTCCTGCCTCAGCCTCTCGAGTAGCTGGGACTACAGGCATGCACCACCACACATGGCTAATTTTTGTATTTTTAGTAGAGATGGGGTTTCACCATATTGGCCAGGCTGGTCTTGAACTCCTGGGCTCAATCAATCCTCCCACCTCGGTCTCCCAGTGTACTGGGATTACAGGTGTGAGCCACTGCACCCGGCCTGAAATACATTTTCTATGTAAAGGGAGCATGATCCAGATGCCAAGGAGATGGATTGAAAGAAAATACTCCCAGGCTGGGTGTGGTGGTTCACACCTATAATCCAGGCACTTTGGGAGGTGGGTAGATCACTTGAGGTCAGGAGTTCAAGACCAGCCTGGCCGACATGGTGAAACCCCATCCCTACTAAAAAATATAAAAGTTAGCTGGGTGTGGTCATGGGCACCTATAGTCGCAGCTACTCAGGAGGCTGAGGCAGGAGAATTGCTTGAACCTGGGAGGCAGAGGTTGCAGTGAGCCGAGATCATGCCATTGCACTCCAGCCTGGGTAACAGAGCAAGACACCATCTTAAAAAAAAAAAAACAAAATAAAAACCGCTGGACGTGGTGACTCATGGCTGTAATCCCAGCACTTTGGGAGGCCGAGGCGGGTGATCACGAGGTCAAGAGATCAAGACCATCCTGGCTAACATGGTGAAACCCCGTCTCTACTAAAATTAGTTGGGCATGGTGGCATGTGCCTGTAGTCCCAGCTACTCAGGAGGCTGAGGTAGGGGAATCGCTTGAATCCGGGAGGCGGAGGCTGCAGTGAGCCGAGAGCACACTGTTGCACTCCAGCCTGGCAACACAGTGAGACTCCGTCTCAAAAAAATAAAGAAATACAAAAAATTACCTGGCATGGTGGTGGGTGCCTGTAATCCCAGCTACTCAGGAGGCTGAGGCAGGAGAATCACTTGAGCCTGGGAGGCAGAGGTTGCAGTGAGTTGAGATAGCGCCATTGCACTCCAGCTTAGGCAACAAGAGCAAAACTCAGTCTCAAAAAAAAAAAAAAAAAGCTCCAAATGGGTACCTGGAATGGAATTGGTGCCACTCAGCTCCTTTAGGGGTTAACATGTTGTCAAAATGCAGGGAGGTGGAGGTTGCAGGACTCAGCTGGGGAGACTGTGGTCTGATCTGAAAGGTTGCCCACAGGTGTCTGCCTGCAGCGATGTGGGGATCTGGTTGATAGTGAGGCATTTCTTCACGCTGTCAATGGGACAGCAGTTCTCTGTAGAGAGACCTGGCCGACTTAGCTTGTCTGAGGAGAGTACAGAATCTTCCTCGGACCCCTGGAGGGAGACGCCGGGTGGCCACATCTGAGTCTAGCTCCATCATGCAGGCTAGAGTGCAGTGGCGCGATCTCAGCTCACTGCAACCTCCACCTCCCAGGTTCAAGCGATTCTCCTGCCTCAGCCTGAGGTCAAGAGTTCAAGACTAGCCTGGCCAACATGGCAAAACTACTAAAAATACAAAAATTAGCCGGGTGTGGTGGCAGGTGCCTGTAATCCCAGCCATTTGGGAGGCTGAGGCATATCTGAGCTTGTCCTCAGGGCAGGTGGAAGGGTCACAGGGATTGCAGAAGAGCAGTCAACAGGGAAGAGTTGGGCTGTGTTGGGGTGGAGAGTGTGGAAGTCTTCGGATTTGCAAAGGTGACAGGGTAGCGGGGCTGGCCGTCAGGGGAGCTTACCGGCGTTGAAATCCAAATCCCTGTGATCACGACCGAGAAGACAACCCAGGCTGCGGTTCGGGACGAGGGCTTCAGCCGCTTCTTCACTGTGGTCCGAGGCATGGAGGGTAGTGTGGTACAAGAAGTACTGGTGGGCCCAGTCTGAAGGCAAGAGACGTCTCGGGGAGGGGACTCAGGTACCACCTTGCTCGGTGCCTACTTCTGTTCACTTCCTCCCCTTGGTGTCCCTGCCTCCCTTGGCCCTGCTGGCCCCTCTCCTCACCAGTGACACTGATGTTCTTCACCAGTGGGCAGTGGTCCCAGGGCAGGGGGTGAGCAAAGGAGTAGAAGAAATTCCAGGAGATGATGGTGCTGTTGTACAAGCTCACCGAGGCGCACACCTGGGGGTGGACACGGTGGGCAGAGACCTGGAGACCACAGAGGGAGATCGGGGATGGCCTGGGGCTGGGTCCCTCATTTACCAGACTGTGAGCATAGCTCATGCTGCACAGCCAGGGGACAAGCTGCTTCCAGACCCGGATGTTGTCCACATGCAGCCACTGCCCCATGATCACCTCCATGTATAAGAGCGGGATCCCGAATAAGAGAAGCATGAAGAAGTACATCAGGATGAAGCTGCCTGGGAAGGGAGCCAGGGGCTGTGCTCAGGCAGCCAGGAGTCCTGGCCCTGTCCCCATTTTCCCCTAGGAGCCCACGTGCCCAACCCCAGCTTTCTCCTCCTTCAGGGCCCAGGACTCCAAGCTCCCAGCCTTGAAACGCCTTCCTTAAGCTCAGGACCCAGGCCCCTGGCCTTACCTCCTCCGTTCCGGTGACACAGGTAAGGAGAACGCCACACGCTGCCCAGCCCGACAGAGAAGGCAATCTGGATCAAGATGCTCTCAGTGTTTTTAGGTTGAACGAAGTAGTTTTGGGTCTTGGTGGCCTGGATCTCCTTGGTCTTGAGCCTCCAGGACAGGGAGTTGGGGGTCTGGAATTTCTTAGAAGACTCTTTCTCTGTCAGATAATTCCTCAAGGGACTCCGTGGCTCTTCTTTCAGGCCCGGTAAATCCTGAGAAAATCTTGGGTCACCAAGAGCAGCAGAATTTAAAGGACACGTCTCAGGTGCCAGGCTGTGAAATTTCATAACCAGGGCTTTGGAGAAATGAGGGCCAGAGTTTAAATCTTGGCCCTTCTCCTTATGAGTTACTAACTTATGGGCAATATACATATATATTTTTTGAGATGGGGTCTTACTCTGCCACCCAGGCTGGAGTGAGTGGCATGATCTCAGCTCACTGCAACCTCCGCCTCCCAGGTTCAAGGGATTCTCCTGCCTCACGAGTAGCTGGGATTACAGGTGTGTCCTACTATATCAGATAATTTTTGTATTTCTAGTAGAGACAGGGTTTTGCCATGTTGTCCAGGCTGGTCTCAGAACTCCTGACCTCAAGTGATCTGCCTGTCTCGGCCTCCCAAAGTGCTGGGATTACAGGTGTGAGCCGCCACACCCAGTTCTGTTTTTCTCATCTTAAAAGCAGCGGTGAATTTCAAAATATTTAATAAAAGCTATGGTGTGAGCACTCACCAATCAGAATGAATGCCAGCCATAAACACTGGAGTATCAGCTGAACACCAGTCCTGTCTGAAATGATTAAAATAACACAATGGAATATTGAGTGCCAAGAGCACAGTAAACAATGGATACACTCAGGTTTCTTTCCCGTTGACTTCTGGTGTACTTGGAAACTTTTAGGCCCAACTAATGCACATAGACTTCTAGGCCAGGTTTTACAAACACAGCTGTTTATCACAGTCACTGGGGGAGCTCTAAAATGATACAGATTCCTGCCTTCCATTCTGCTAGCCTCACTCCTCTAGATTAAGTCTAAGGTGGGGATAGAGATGGGTAGAATTTTTTTTCTTTTGAGACACAGTCTCACTCTGTCGCCCAGGCTGGAGTGCAGTGGCGTGATCTTGGCTCACTGCACCCTCTGCCACCCAGGTTCTAGCGATTCTTCTGCCTCAGCCTCCCGAGTAGCTGGGATTACAGGCATGCACCACCATACCCGGCTAATTTTTATATTTGTAGTACAGACAGGGTTTCACCATGTTGGCCAGGCTGGTCTTGATCTCCTGACCTCATGATCCACCCACCTTGGCCTCCCAAAGTACTGGGATTACAGGTATGAGCCACTGCGGCCAGCCACGATGGGTAGACTTTAAAAGCTTCGTTGGGATTCCACCTTTGGAAAGGCAGCATGAGGAGCTCTATGGACCCACTCCCTAGTAAAACAAGTCAACTTGTGAGAAATATAAAGAAAAACATTTACGGTCTCTAGAAATTGTCCTAAGGGCATATAGCAAGTGACAAAATATTTATTCAAGAAAATATACTAAAATTCTGGGCAGGCACAGTGGCTCACACCTGTAATCCCAGCACTTTGGAAGGCCAAGGCAGGCAGGTCACTTGAGGTCAGGAGTTTGAGATCAGCCTGGCCAACACGGCAAAACCCTATCTCTACTAAAAATACAAAAATTAGCCAGGCACGTGCTTGTAATCCTAGCTACTCGGGAGGATGAGGCAGGAGAATTGCTTGAACCCGGGAGGTGGAGGTTGCAGTGAGCCAAGATCACGCCACTGCACTCCAGCCTGGGTGACAGCAAGGCTCCGTATTAAAAAAAAAATTTATATATATATATACACACACACACACACACACACACACACACACACACACACACACACGGCTCTTTCTCTGCCTTGCTTCCAGTTGAAGGCTATAGTATCTTCCCAGGAGGGACAGGCCACCAGCATTTCTCATTCCTCTCCAGCTACCTGTTGCAAGTGTGGTAAAAAGGTCAGGAGCTCCCTTCTTCTATCCAGTACTGCTCCTCCCCTCTTTTAGGGCAGAGGCTCCACCCCAGCCATTTGAGAATGCTGGAGCCCTGATCTCCCCTGGCCCTAGCTCATGTGTAAGGCTAAGGTTACATTCCAGGAGAGGCAAGTTGATAAGAAAGTTTAATGCCCCATCCAGCAACCTGCTGCTAAGGCAGCTGTGTCGCTCAGAGAGAAATAGGCCACTGTCCCTACCCATCTCTGGAGATTTTACTCAGGGAGAAAGCCAAGCCTTCAGAACAAAGAGCTCTGAAAGTCTCTCCCCAAAGAACTGACTTGACTTGAAACAGCGTGGGAGAGCTCAAGCCTAAGGGCATGCTCGAAAATGGTGGAGGAGGTTCTGTTGGTAAGTAATTAAGAGGAAGCTGGTAGCTTCATGAGACACAAGCTAAACCACAGGCCAACTAGTATACCAGAGAGAATCAGGGAAACAGCTAAGAAGGTCACTCCTGGGTTCAGAACAACTCTCAAACACCAACCTCTAAAACTACTCCTTTAAGGGAGCCTAAATTTAAGTGGACCAGATGCAGAACAATTTATGCCTCAGAGCATTGTCAAAAACAATAATCAGGTGGCAATTAGTGGAGCCTAAAAGCTGAGTGTGGTGAGGGAAAGAGACAGGAGAGCCCACCTAAAACCACTGTCATCCTAGGGTGACAATGCATGTCTAAAGCTGTGCCCTTTGAGGAATATACATTATGACCAGCAGGATTTATTCCAGGAATGCAAGGTTGGTTTAATATCTGAAAATCAATGTTATATCAATAGAATAAAGAACAAAACCCAATAAAGAACAAAACCCATATGATCATCACAGTAGATATATAAAGAGCACTTGACAAAATCCAACACCTTTCATGATAAACACTCAACAAACCTAGAAATAGAAGGAAATCTTGACTTGATAAAGGGAATCTACAAAAAAAAATCTATGGTTAACATCATACTTAATGGTGAAAACTGAATCCTTTCCAAGATCAGGAATAAGACATGAGTGTTTTTCTCACCACTTCTGTTCAATATTGTACTGGAGATTCTAGCCAGAGAAATTAGGCAAGACAATAAAATAAAAGACATCAAGAATGAAAAAGAAATAAACTGTCTCTCTTCCCATATAACATGATCTTGTATAAAGAAAATCCTAAGGAATCCACTAAACTATTAGAACTCCAATAGGTTCAGTAAGGTTGCAGAATACAAGATCAATATACAAAAATTGTATTTCTATATACTTGCAAAAAATCCAAAATTTAAGAAAACTGTTCCATATATGATAGTATGTGATACAGTTTGGATGTTTGTCCCCTCCAAATCTCATGTTGAAATGTAATCCCTACTGTTGGAGGTGGGGCCTGGTGAGAGGTGTTTGGGTCATGGGGCCAGATCTCTGATGAATGGCTTGTTGCTGACCTCTTGATAGTGAATGGCTTCTTGTGAGATCTGGTTAAGAGTGTGTGGCTCTTCCTCCTCTCTCTCTTGCTTCTGCTCGTGTGTAGTAGAAGTGACATGCTGGCTCTTTATGACCTTCCACCAAGATTTTAAGTGTCCTGAGGCCTTCAGCAGAAGCAGATGCTAGCACTATGCTTCCTGTATATCCTGCAGAACCGTGTGCCAAAATAAAACCTCTTTTCTTTATAAATTAAAGCAGCATGGGACTGGTATAAGGATGCACAATAGACCAATAGGAATACCAGTCAGGTATTCCTTTATAGCAATGCAAAAGTGGCCTAATGCAGTGTCAAAAAAAAAAATAAAATACTTAGTAATACATTTAACAAAAGGACAAATTTTATACTCTGAAAATTACAAAACATGTTGAAAGAAGATTTAATGAAAAGAAATCCCATGTTTATGAACCAGAAAACTAAGTATTAAGATGGCAATATTTCCCAAGTTGATCTATAGAATTAATGCAGTCCATCTCAAAATCCCTAGCTGGCTTCTTTGCAGAAAATGACCAGCTGATGATATAATTCATCTGGAAATTAAAGGCGGCCCAGAAGAGCCAAAACAAACTTGACAAAGAACAATGTCGGAGGACTCATGCTTCCTGATTTCAAAACTTATTATACTGCTACAGTAATTAAAGCTGCATGGGACTGGTACAAGAATGCATATAAACCAACAGGATACCATAGGATAGAATAGCCCAGAAATAAACCTTTATGTATGTAGTCAATTTTCAACAAGAGTGCCAAGAGTACTCAATGAGAAAAAGACAGTTTCTCCAACAGATATTGGGAAAATTGGATATACACATGCAAAAAAAATAACCTTGGATCCTTACACTCTACACAATAATTAACAAAATGGATAAAAGACCTACATGTAAGAGCAAAAACTATAAACCTTTTAGAAGAAAATGTTGGGGAGCAAATCTCTATGACCTTGGTTTGGCAATGGTTTCTTAAATATGACACCAAAATTTGTCCTTTTGTGCATCAAAAGACATTATCAGAGAGTGAAAAGATAACCCATCGAATGGGAGAAAACATTTGCAAATCAAGTATTTGGTAAGATTCGAGTATCCAGAATATAAAAATAACTCCTACAACTGAAAAAAAACTAAACTCAGTTAAAAAAAATGGGCAAAGTATGTTAATTAGCCCTATTGCGCCATTTCACTACATATACATGTTCCAAAACATCACGTTGTACATGATAAATATATATAATTTGCATCTGTTACTTTAAAAATCAATTTTTTAAAAAGGGCAAAGGACATCAATAGACATTTCTTCCAAGAAGATAAACAGATGGCCAAAAAGCAGATGAAAAGATGCTCAACATTGCTAATCACTAGAGGCAGGCAAATCAAGACCAGAGTTACCATTTCACACTGATGAAGATGGCTACAAGAAAAAAAAAAATCAGTGGGAAATAACAACTGCTGGGGAGGATGTGGTGAAATTAGAATCATTATGCATTGAGGATAAGAATGTCCACTGGAGCAGCCATGGTAAAAACCAGTTTGGCAGTTCCTCAAAAAGTAAAACAATTACCATTGGATCCAACAATTCCACTTCCGGGTACATACACACCTGACTTGAAAGGAAGAACTCAGGCCGGGCGCAGTGGCTCACCCCTGTAATCCCAGCACTTTGGGAGGCCGAGGCGGGCGGATCACGAGGTCAGGAGATTGAGACCATCCTGGCTAACACAGTGAAACCCTGTCTCTACTAAAAATACAAAAAATTAGCCGGGCATGGTGGCAGGCGTCTGTAGTCCCAGCTACTCGGGAGGCTGAGGCAGGAGAATGGTGTGAACCCGGGAGGCAGAGCTTGCAGTGAGCCAAGATCGCGCCACTGCACTCCAGCCTGGGCGACAGGGCAAGACTCCGCCTCAAAAAAAAAAAAAAAAAAAAAAAAGATTTAAAAAAGAATAAACTCTGGTATACCCTACAATGGAATATTATTCATCCATAAAAAATGAAATTCAGATACATGCTATAACATGGATGAGCCTTGAAAACATGTTAAATGAAATAAGCCAGATACAAAAAGACAAATATTATGATTCTATTTATATGAAATATCTAGAATAGGCAAATTCATAGAGACAGCATATTAGAGGTTACTAGGGGGGTGCTGGGCAGAGGGAGAGGAATTACTGCTTCCCAGGTGCAGAGTTTCTATTTGGGGTGTTGACATGTTTTGGAACTAGATAGAGATAGTGGTTGCACAACATTGTGAAAGTACTAAATGCCACTGAAGTGTTTCTTTAAAATGGCTAATTTTATGTTATGTGGATTTCACCTCAATAAAAATAATAAAAGATGATGAAATAATGCTACCAGACAGACAAAAGTTGGGAGAATTTGTCATTAGCACATCAGCACTGCAAAAAATATTAAAAATCTTTGGGCTGAAGGAATATTATTGGAGCTGGAAAGAGATGTAAGAGTAAAATAAGAGACGCAGAAACACATACTGCGTGATTTCACTCATACGTGGAATCTGAAAAAGTTGATCTAGAAGTAGAGACTAAAATGGTGGTTACCAGAGTGGGGATGATGGGGGAGTGGGGTGCTGGGGAGTTGTTGGTCAAATAATACAAAATTTCAGTTAGATGAAAAGAATAGGTTTAAGATAACTATCATTCAACATGGTGACTAAAGTTAATAACTACACTGTAATCTTGAAAAATGCTGATTTTAAATATTCTCACCACAAAAATATTAGATATGTAAATTAGCTACATTTAGCATTCCACAATGTATATATATTTCAAAACATCATGTTGAACACAAATACATACAATTTCATCTGTCAGTTAAAAAATAATAACATAAAATTTAGAAAGGAATAAAGAAAACCTGAAAGGGTGTCCCAGCTACTACCTAGGTCAAAGTAGTCCTAGCTACTCAGGAGGCTGAGGAGAGAGGATCACTTGAGCCCCAGAAGTTTTGAGGCTGCAGTGAGCTGATCATGCCATTGCACTCCAGTTTGGGCAACAGAGCAAGACCGTGTAGGCAAATTTGAGACTAATGAGTGCTTAAAGTAACAATAGCAGCAATGTATTGTGGGGTTCATAATATGTAGAAGAAAAATATTGGAGAACAATTGAAAAAAAAAATGGTGGGAAAACTAGAAATAGAAGGCAACTTCCTTAATCTACAGCTTCCTTAAGCCTATAACTAACATCACACTGAACAATGAAATATGAATGCTTTTCTCTTGAGTTTGGGGACAAGGTAAGGATGTTCATTCCACATTGTATTAAAGGTCCTAGCCTGTGCAATAAGGCAAGAAAAAAAAGTATAAAGATCAAAGTAAATAAAACTTTCCTTATTTAAAGGTGATGTAAGTATACTGTCAAGAGATCATGTATGTAGCTGGGCACAGTGGCTCATGCTTATAATCCTAGTACTGTGAGGCAGGAGGATCAGTTGAGGCCAGGAGCTCAAGACCAGCCTGGGCAACATAGCAAAACTCCATTTCTACAAAAATTGAAATAAAAAATTGGCCAGATGTGGTGGTACACGCCTGTAGTCCTAGCTACACAGGAGGCTGAGGAGAGAGGATCTCTTCAGCCCAGGAGTTTGAGGCTGCAGTGAGCTGATATGCCACTGCATTCCAGCTTGGACAAAAGAGTAAGACCCTGTCTCAGGAAAAAAAAAACCCAGATATTGTATATGTAAAAAGAATCTACAAATGGATGAAATTAAGTTTGTAATCGAATTTAGCAAAGTTCCTATATATAAGGCGATTGTACAAAAAATTATATTTTTGTATAGTAGCAACAAATAATTGGAAAATACTATTTTAAAACATCAAAGAAATTTAATACTTAGTAATCAATGTAGTTAAAATGTGTAAGACCTCGCTGAAAACTACAAAACAATGCAAAACACTTAGAGAATTTTACCATGTTCATGAGTTGGCAAGTTGAACATTTTTACAATGTCAATTATCCCCAAATTGATCTACAGATTCAGGGCAATCTTAAACACAAAATCCCATATTGTTGGTTTTTTGGAAACAGACAAGCTCGTTCTAAAATTATATGGAAAGCCAAAGACCTTAGAATGGCTAAGGCTATCTTGAAGAAGACCAAAGTTGGAAGACTTAACTTACCGTGGACTTATCTTATTATCTTAAGATTTACTCTAAGGCTACATAATTAAAACAGGAGGGGAGGGGCGGGGGAGATGGGGGAGGGGCTGGAGAGAGGGGTGGGAGTGTGGTGTTGGCAAAGGATAATAAATAGATCAATGGAAAAGAGAGTCCATAAATATACTCCAGCCTATGTGGTCACTTAATTTATAATAGAATTGCCACTGTGATTGGGTGGCGATGGATGGTCTTTTCAATAAGTAGTGCCAGAATAATGATATCTATGTAGAAAATAAGCTTGAGCCCACCTCACATGACACACGAACATTAATTCAAGATGAATCATAGATATAAATGTGGAGGGTAAAACAAAAGAGATTCCAAAAAAATATGAAAATATCACTTTGACTTTGGGTAGCACATTTTCTTAAATATACACAAAGAAAGCACTAAGAAAATTAGAACTCAACCTCATTAAAATTAAGACGTTTTTAAAAATTCAATGACATCTTTAAGAAAGTAAATAGGTAAGCCACAGACGGAACACATTTGTAATGCACACATGTGACAAATGACTTGTATTCAGAATATAAATAATGCCTACAAAACAATAAAAAAAAAAAGCCTAAGAAAAGGTGAAAGACTTGAACAGGGACTTCACAAAAGCAGCTATTCAGATGACCAATAGCCATATAAAAGTGCTAGATATCATTACTCATGATGAAAATGCAAATTAAAGCCACAATCAGGTACTACCGCACAGCTACCAGCACGACCAAAACTGAAAACACTGAGCTCATCAGATACTGTCCAGAATGTGCAGTGACCGCAGCGCCCTTCCATCGCTGGCGGGAGCGGAAAGTGATTTCACCATTTTGGACGGGTGTTTGGCAGACTCCCTAAAGACAAAAACACCTGTTCTATGACCCATAAAGTCACGTCTATGTGCATAAAAATATGTACGAGAATATTTGTTGCCACTTTATTCACAATAGCCTCCAAATAGTGGCATATTCATACAATGTAATACACAATAAAAAAGATCCAGTTACTGATGCCCCCAAAACACGAAGCTCAAAAGCTTTTCAGATTTAATTAATAATTTTAATGGTTAATAAAGTATATTCTTTTTAAATTTAAAAATATTTAATTGACAAAAACTGTATATATTCAAGGCATAATATGATTTATGTATACACTGTATAATGATTACCACAATCAAATTAACACATCCATAACCACCATAATTATCGTGTGTGTGCGCGTGCGTATGTATGTGATGAGGACACTTAAAATCTGTTCTCTGGCCGGGCGTGGTGGCTCACGCCTGTAATCCCAGCACTTTGGGAGGCCGAGGTGGGCAGATCACCTGAGGTCAAGAGTTCAAGACTAGCCTGGCCAACGTGGCAAAACTACTAAAAATACAAAAATTAGCCAGGTGTGGTGGTGGGTGCCTGTAATCCCAGCTACTCGGGAGGCTGAGGCAGGAGAATCACTTGAACCCAGGAGGCAGAGGTTGTAGTGAGCTGAGATTGCACCAGTGTACCCTAGCCTGCACGATGGAGCGAGACTGTCTCAAATAAAAAAAAAAAAATCTGTTCTCTTATCAAATTCAGGTAAATAATACAGTATTATTAACTGTAGCCACCATGTATATATTAGATCCCCAGAACTTAATAATCTTATAACTCAAAGTTTGTACCCTTTAACCAACATCTCCCCATTCCCCATAAGCCCTAGCATCTGCCAAAGCTGCACAGCAGGAAAAAAAAAAAAAGAGGCTAGGCGCGGTGGCTCACGCCTGTAATCCCAGCACTTTGGGAGGCCGAGACAGGTAGATCACGAGGTCAGAAGATCGAGACCATCCTGGCTAACATGGTGAAACCCCGTCTCTACTAAAAATACAAAAAATTAGCTGGGTGTGGTGGCGGGTGCCTGTAGTCCCAGCTACTCGGGAGGCTGAAGCAGGAGGATGGCATGAACCCGGGAGGCGGAGCTTGCAGTGAGCGGAGATTGCGCCACTGCACTCCAGCCTGGGTGACAGAGTGAGACTCCATTTCAAAAAAAAAAAAAAAAAAAAAAAAGGCAATCTATGGAATCAGAAAATATTTGCAATGTACATCCGAAATATGAATGGAACTCATACAACTTAATAGCAAACAAACCAAACGACCTAATTAAAAAGTGGACAAAGGACCTGAGTAGATATTTCTCCAAAGAAGACATACAAATGGCCAACAAGTATATAAATAAATGCTCAACATCAGCCGGGTTCAGTGGCTCAGCACTTTGGGAGGCTGAGGCAGGTGGATCACCTGAGGTCAGGAGTTGGAGACCAGCCTGGCCAATATGGTGAAACCCCATCTCCACTAAAAATACAAAAAATTAGCTGGGCATGATGGCATACGCCTTTAGTCCCAGCTACTCAGGAGCTGAGGCAGGAGAATCACTTGAACCCCGGAGGCGGAGGTTGCAGTGAGCTGAAATCATGCCACTGCACTCCAGCCTCCTGGGCAACAGAGTGAGACTCCATCTCAAAAAAAAAAAAAATGCTCTGGCTATTCAGGGTCTTTTGTTATTCCATACTCTGGGCGGCAAGCCACCTAGGAGCCAAGGCAAGAGACCGAGGGCATGAGCTGTTCCACTATAGTAAAATATGTAAAAACAACAAGAGTTATACTAGATCTAGATCATAGACATGATTACATATGAATATCATTAATCATTAGTTTGTAGCAATTACTCTTTATCCCAATATTATAATAATCCTCGCTCTACAATCATAACCTAGGAAAAACCAGGCCATACAGAGACAGGAGGTGAGCGGACATAGTGAGAAGTGACCAGAAGACAAGAGTGCGAGCCTTCTGTTATGCCCAGACAGGGCCACTAGAGGGCTCCTTGGTCTAGCGGTAACGCCAGCGTCTGGGAAGACAACCGTTGCCAAGCAGACTGTGGTCTAGCGGTAGCGTCAGTGCCAAGGAAAAACACCCACTACTTAGCAGACTGGGAAAGGGAGTCTGCCTTTCCCCGGGGGAGTTTAGAGAAGACTCTACTCCTCCACCTCTTGTGGAGGGCCTGACATCAGTCAGGCTCACCCGCAGTTATCCAGAGGCCTAACCATCTCCCTGTGATGCTGTGCTTCAGTGGTCACGCTCCTAGTCCGCTTTCATGTTCCATCCTGTACACCTGGCTCTGCCATTTAGATAGCAGTAGCAAAATCAGTGAAAGTACTAAAAGTCCCTGATATGCAGAAATAATGGCATAAGCTGTCTCTCTCTCCTTTCTCTGCCTCGGCTGCCAGGCAGGGAAGGGCCCCCTGTCCAGTGGACACATGACCCAGGGGACCTTACCTATCATTGGAGATGACTCACACTCTTTACCCTGCCCCTTTGTCTTGTATCCAATAAATAACAGCACAGCCAGATATTTGGGGCCACTACCAGTCTCTGCCTCTTGGTGATAGTGGTCCCCCGGGCCCAGCTGTCTTTTATCTCTTTGTTTTGTGTCTTTATTTCTACAATCTCTCATCTCCACACACACGGAGAAAAACCCACTGACCCTGTGGGGCTAGTCCCTACACCATACAAATTTTAGGATTTTTTTGTGAAAAATGTCATTGGTATTTTTGCAGGAATTGCATTGAATCTGTACATTACTTTGAGTAGTATGGACACTTTAGCAATATTAATTCTCCCAATCCATGAGCATTGGATGTCTTTCCATTTATTAGTAATCTCTTCAATTTCTTCCACCAATTTTTTATAGTTTTCATTGTAGAGATCTTTTACCTCCTTGGTTAAATTTGTTCCTATGTATTTTATTTTTGTTATTATTGAAAACAGGATTGTTTTCTTGATTTCTTTTTCAGATAGTTTGGTGTTGGTATATAGAAACACTAGTGATTTTTGTATGTTAATTTTGTGTCCTACAACTTCACTGAACTTGTTTAATCTAACAGGTTTTTGGAGAGGCTGTAGGGTTTTCTATATATAAGATCATGTCTTCTGCAAACAAGGACAATTTGACTTCCTTCTTTTCAGTTGGATGCTTTTTTTTCTCTTGAGATGGAGTTTCGCTCTTGTTGCCCAGGCTGGAGTGCAATTACATGATCTTGGCTCACCACAACCTCTGCCTTCTGGGTTCAAGTGATTCTCTTGCCTCAGCTTCCCGAGTAGCTGGGATTACAGGCATGCGCCCCCACCCCTGGATGCCCTTTCTTTCTTTCCCTGGCCTAATTGCTCTGGCTAGGACTCCCAGTACTATGTGGAATAGAAGTGGTACAACCTTGTGTTTTTCTGTATTTTAGAGGCAAAGCTTTCAACTTTTTCCCCATTGAGTATGATGCTAGCTGTGGGTTTGTTATATATGGCCTTTATTGTAACCAACTATGTTCCTGCTATATCTAATTTGTTAAGGGTTTTCATCATGAAGGCATGTTGAATTTGAGATCATATGGTTTTTGTCCTTCTATTAATGTGATGTATCATGTTTATTGATTTGCATATGTTGAACCATCCTTGCATCCCTGGGATGAATCCCACTTAATCATGGCAAATGACCTTCTTGATGTGCTATTTTAAAGAAATAGCATCGGCCAGGCCCAGTGGCTCACACCTGTAATCCCACCTTTTTGGGAAGCCGAGGCAGGAGGATTACCTGAGCTCAGGAGTTTGAGACTAGCCTGGGCAACATGGTGAAACCCTGTCGCTACTAAAATACAAAAAGTTAGCTGGGCATGGTGGAGTGCACCTGTAGTCCCAGCCACTCAGGAGACTGAGGCAGGAGAATCACTTCAACCAGGTGGAGGTTGCAATAAGCTGAGATCACGCCACTGCACTCCAGCCTGGGTGACAGAGTGAGACTCTGTCTCAAAAAAAAAAAAAAAAAGAAGGAAAGAAATAGGGTCTATGTTGCCCAGGCTGGACTTGAACTCCTGGACTCAACTGATGTTTCCACCTCAGCCTCCCAAGTAGCTGGGAGTACAGGCACGTGTCACCATGCCCAGCTACAGTTCTTTAAATGTTTGGTAGAATTTGTAACTGAATTCATTAGATCCAGAGCTTTTTTTCAATGGAAAACTTTTTATTAATTCAAGCTTGTTGCTCATTATTGGTCTGTTCAGGTTTTCTAATTCTTCATAATATTGGCTGGTTATATGTGTCCAGGAATTTATCCATTTCTTCTAAGTTTTCCATATAGTTGTTCATAATAGTCTCTAATGATCCTTTGTAGTTCTGTGATACCAATTGTGATGTCTCCTTTGTCATTTTTTTTTTTTTTTGAGACACTCTCACTCTTGTTGCCCAGGCTGGAGTACAATGGCGTGATCTCAGCTCACTGCAACCTCCGCCTCCCAGTTCAAGTGATTCTCCTGTCTCAGCCTCCCTAGTAGCTGGGATTACAGGTGCCCACCACCATGCCCAGCCAATATTTGTATTATTAGTAGAGACAGGGTTTCACCCTATTGGCCAGGCTGGTCTTGAACTCCTGACCTCAGGTGATCCACCCACCTCAGCCTCCCGAAGTGCTGAGATTACAGGCGTGAGCCACTGCACCCGGCCTTTGATCTATTTGAATCATCTCTCTTTCATACTTAGTCTAGCTAAAGGTTTGTTGATTTTGTTTATCTTTTCAGAAACCAACTCTTTGTTTCGTTGATCTTTTGTATTTAATTCTCTAGTTTATTTCTGCTCTGATCTTTATTTTTTTTTCCTTTACTAACTTGGGGTTTCATTTGTTCTCATTTTTCCAGATTTTTAGAGAAAATCCCTTAATCAGAAAGGAAGACTAAGAGAAAAAGGAAGAAAAGATCTACAAAACAACTAGGAAAAAGTAACAAAATGGCAGTAGTAAGCCCTTACCTATCAATAATTACCATGAATGTAAATGGATTAAATTCTCCAGTTAAAAGACAGACTGGCTGAACGGATTAAAAAACATGACCTAACTAAAGTTGGCCATTGAACAATATGAGTTTGAGCTGCAGGAGTCCAATGTCATGCAGATTTTCTTCCACCTCTGCCACTCCGAGTCAGCAAGACCAGCCCTTCCTCCTCCTCTCCCTCAGACTCCTCGATGTGAAGACCACGAGGATGAAGGCCTTTGTGTGATGATCACTTCCACTTGATAAACATTAAATATATTTTATCTTCCTTATGATTTTCTTGATAACATTTTTTCTCTAGGTTGCTTTATTGGAAAATATAGTGTATAATAGATTCAACATATAAAATATGTGTTAATCGACTTTTTATATTGTTGGTAAGGCTTCGGGTCAACATTAGGCTATTAGTAGTTAAGTTTTGGGGGAGTCAAAAGTTATTCGCAGATTTTCAACTACATGGGGGTTGGTGCCCCTAACCCTACATCATTCAAGGGTCAACTGAATATGTTGTCTACAAAAGACTCGCTTCACCTGAAAGGACACACACAGACTGAAAGTGAAGGGATGGGAAGATATTTCCTGCAAATGCAAAGCAAAAAAGAACAAGTAGTTATATCAGATAAAATAGATCTTAAGCCTAAAACTGTAAAAAGAGACAAAGAGGCCATTATAGAATGGTAAAATAGTCAATTCAACAAGAGGATATAACAATAATAAATATATATGCACCCAATATTGGAACATCTAAATTTATAAAGCAAATCTTAAATAAACCTAAAGGGAGAGATAGACTGCAATACAGTAATAGTAGAGGATTTCAACACTCCACTTTCAGCAATGGACAGATCATCCAGACAAAAATCAACAAAGAAATATCAGAGTTAAACTACACTCCAGACCAAACAGACCTAACAAGACACTTACAGAACCTTCCATCCAGTAGCCATGGAATACACATTCTTCTCAAAACCACATGGAACATTATCTAGTATAGATGATATGTTAGGCCATAATACAAGTCTTAACAAATTTTAAAAAGCTAAATCATATTATCTTTTTTGACAATAGAGTAAATCTAGAAATTAATAGGCAGAACATTGGAAACAAATATTTGGAAATTAAGCAACATGCTCCTAAACCACCAATGGGTTGATAAAGAAATCAAAAAGGAAATTCGACACAAAGGAAAATGGGAATACAGCATATTGAAACCTGTGGAGGCTGGGCATGGTGGCTCATGCCTGTAATCCCGGCACTTTTGGAGGCCGAGGCGGGAGGATCACTTGAGGTCAGGATTTCGAGACCAGCCTAGCCAACATAGTGAAAATACAAAAAATACAAAAATTAGCCAGGCATGGCAATGGGTGCCTGTAGTCCCAGCTACTCAGGGGGCTGAGGCAGGAGAATCACTTGAACCCGGGAGGCAGAGGTTGTAGTGAGCCGAGATTGTGCCATTGCACTCCAGCCTGGGCAACAGAGTGAGACTCTGTCTCAAAGATTAAATGAATAAATAAAAATAATAAAACCTACAAATACAGCAAAAGCAGTACTAAGAGGGAAACTTAAAGCAATAAATGCCTATATAAAAAATATTTGAACAATTAGTAAACCTGACTGACTGTGGCCTGTTAGGAACCAGCCAAACAGCAGGAGTTGAGTGGAAGGCAAGCAGGGATTATTGCCTGAACTCTGTCTCCTGTGAGATCAACGGCAGCATTAGGTTCTCACAGGAGCTAGAACCCTGCTGTGAACTGTGCATGTGAGGGATTTAGGTTGCACGCTCCTTATGAGAATGGAATGTGTGATGATCTGAGGTGGAACAGTTTCATCCTGAAACCACCCCCCACACTAGTGCCAAAAAGATTGGGGACCACTGAATAAATTGCTTCTGTAATTAGTAACTTTGCTCCAAAGCAAACTTCTGGTGAAGATGACTTCACTGAATCGTGTCAGACATTTAAGAAGTAAATGCTGTCAGTTTGGTGTAAAATCTTCCAGAATAGAAAAAGTGGCAAGACGAGTATAACTTGAGTACCTAGTCTAGCAAGGGAATTATGATAAAATCACACACCAATGTCATTCATAAACCTTGATGCAAAGGTCCCAAAAAATAACCAGCAAATGAAATCCATCAATACATGAAAACTATATATCACAAATGATTTTGCTTAAAAGAAAATCAGTGATAACATAATAAGGATACAGATCATATGACCATCTCAATTTGTAGAATATTTGATGAAACCCAATAACCATTCATTTATTAACAAAAGTAGCTGGGCATGGTGGCTCGTGCTGTGATCCCAGGACAGGACTTTGGGAGGATGAGGCAGGAGGACTGCCTGAGGCCAAGAGTTTGAGATAAGCCCTTGCAACACAGCGAGATCCCTTCTCTACAAAATAAAAAATAAGATAAAAGCCAACCTCTTAGCAAATTAGAGTAGAAAAGAACATCTTTAATTTCATAGGAGGTATTTATAAAAAAAGCATAAAGTAAACATTATACTTGATAAAACATTGAAGGGTTTTCCTTCAAAGTCAGGAATAAGACAAGGATGTCTGCCACCATCCCTTCTAGTCAAATTGAATTTAAAGTTTGTGTAGACTGATGGCCTTCATGGTACCAAGTCTTCAATTTTTCCTATATCCACCCCCTCTGCAATGTGATTCTACAGTTTGTCTAAGATCATATCTACTCTCCTGCTCCTTGAACCTGGGCTTGTATGCCGATTCAGCGCCTGTGCTGCAAGAGACCTTACTTGTTACTGCTTATTCTCTAACTCTTCCGCCATCGCTATGAGGACATGTCTGGGCTAATCTGCTGGAAACTGAAATATATATTAGAGCTGAATCACTCCAGTGGTACTAGCTCAAGCTAGTCTAGATTAGCCAAGAGGCAGCCCATTCCCTTTTATATTAGCTGAGCCCAAAATAATGACTCATAAGCTGTAATAAAAAATTCTTGTTTTAAGTCATTGAAGTTTGAGGTGGTTTGTTATGCAGCATTATGGTGGCAATGAGTCATTGACACAAGGTACAATAAAATGAAAAAAATGGTTTAGAAAAGAAGAAATAAAACTATTATTTATGGATATGATTCTGTATATAAAAAGGAAAAAAATCACCGGGCGCAATGGCTCATGCCTGTAATCCCAGCATTTTGGGAGGCCTAGGTGGGCAGATCACCTGAGGTCAGGAGTTCGAGACCAGCCTGGCCAACATGGTGAAACCCCATCTCTACTAAAAATACAAAACTAGCCAGGCATGGTGGCGTATGCCTTTAGTCCCAGCTACTCGAGAGGCTGAGGCAGAAGAATCACTGAACCCAGAAGGTGGAGGTTGCAGTCTGCGAGATCATGCCATTGCACTCCAGCCTGGGCAACAAGAGCAAAACTCTGTCTCAAAAAAAAAAAAATCTATAAATACATTACTAGGATTAATGAGTGAGTTTAGCAAGGTTGCTGGATACAGGGTTAATAGAAAACAATATTAATAGCGTTTCTACATACCAGCAAGAAATAAATAGGTAATAAAAAAATAAAGATAACATTTATAATAACAAGATATTTTCTGTGCCTAGGAATAGATCTAACACAAAAGTACAAAACTTCTATACCAAAACCTATAAATTATTATTATTGTTATTATTATATTGGTGTCTTTTGATGAAAAAATGTTCTAAATTTTAATGAACTCAAATTTATCAGTTCCCTCATGGTTAATATTTTCTAAAAGCTATTTAATACATCTTTCTTTCTTTTTTTTTTTTTTTTTTGAGACAGAGTTTCGCTCTTGTTGCCCAGACTGGAGTGCAATGGCGCGATCTTGGCTCACCGCAACCTCCACCTCCCAGGTTCAAGCCATTCTCCTGCCTCAGCCTCCCGAGTAGCTGAGATTATAGGCATGCACCACCACACCTGGCTAATTTTGTATTTTTAGTAGAGATGGGGTTTCTTCATGTTGGTCAGGCTGGTCTCAAACTCCCAACCTCAGGTGATCTGCCCGCCTCGGCCTCCCAAAGTGCTGGGATTACAGGCATGAGCCACCGCGCCCGGCCCTAATACGTCTTTCTTAACCCCCAGATCATGAAGTTATTCTTCCACATAACTTCTAAACACTTTATAAATTTGCCTTTCATGCTTAAATCTGTTAATCCTCATGGATTAACACTGTTCTTGATAATAATAATGATTATAGGCTGGGCATGGTGGCTGACCCCTGTAATCCCAGCACTTTGAAAGGCCAAGGCGGGCAGATCACCTGAGGTCAGGAGTTCAAGAGCAGCCTGGGCACGATGGTGAAACCTCATCTCTGCCAAAAATACAAAAAATTAGCTGGGCATGGTGGTGCATGCCTTTAGTCCCAGCTATTCAGGAGCCTGAGGCGCAAGAATCTCTTGAAGCTGGGAGGCAGAGGTTGCAGTGAGCCAAGATCATGCCACTGCACTCCAGCCTGGGCAACAGAGAGACCCTGTCTATAATAATAATAATGGTTATAGGTTTTGGCATAGAAGTTTTGTATTTTTTTTATTAGATCTATTCCTAGGCACTTAAAATAGCTTCATGTTATTATAAATGTTATCTTTATATTTTTCATTACCTATTTATTTCTTGCTGGTATGTAGAAACGCTACTAATATTGTTCTATTAACCCTGTATCCAGCAACCTTGATAAACTCACTCATTAATCTTAGTACTGTATTTATAGATTTTTTTTTTTTTTTTTTTTTTTTGAGACAGAGTCTTGCTCTGTCACCCAGGCTGGAGTGCAGAGGCCCGATCTCGGCTCACTGCAATCTCCATCTCCCAGGTTCAAGCGATTCTCCTGCCTCAGCCTCCCAAGTAGCTGGGATTTCAGGCGTGCACCACCATGCCCAGCTAATTTTTGTATTTTTAGTAGAGACGGGGTTTCATCATGTTCGTCAGGCTGGTCTTGAACTCCTGACCTCGTGATCCGCCTGCCTTGGCCTCCCAAAGTGCTGGGATTACAGGCGTGAGCCACTGCGCCCGGCCAGATTTCCTTTTTTGGGCGAGTTTTGCTTTCTTCTTGCATACTAACCTATCTCCTTTTTATTATAAAATACACATATTCCAAAAAGTGTACAAAACTGAAATGTTCACCTGAATGATTTATTGTAAAGCAAATGCCCCAACCATCCTAGCCAAGATTGAAATCTGAGTATCAGGAAACAATATTTAAGATTAAAAGTACCGAGCACATTAGAGACGTATGGTACATGCTCAACACGCAAAGAAAAAAATAACAGCCACAAGCCTATATGTACCAAACAACTGGAGAGCTAAATATTTAAGGCAAAACACGTATAAAACCAAAAAGAAATTGATCAAAATATAACTACGATGGCAATTATCATACAACTTTTTCAGAACTCACAGATCTAATAGAGAAAAAAAAGGACATAGAGAAATTGAATAATGCAAACAAATACGATTTAATAGATACTTAGTCATATTAGAAATGAACAATTTTAGGGAAGGGAGATGGATTTGTGAACCCTGGAGTGCGGTTCTGCCTACTCGAGGCCGCTGCTGTGTGGAGACCCCTGGGTGAAGCCACTGTCATCATGTCTGACCAGGAGGCAAAACCTTCAACTGAGGACTTGGGGGATAAGAAGGAAGGTGAATATATTAAACTCAAAGTCACTGGACAGGATAGCAGTGAGATTCACTTCAAAGTGAAAATGACAACACATCTCAAGAAACTCAAAGAATCATACTGTCAAAGACAGGGTATTCCAATGAATCCACTCGGTTTCTCTTTGAGGGTCAGAGAATTGCTGATAATCATACTCCAAAAGAACTGGGAATGGAGGAAGAAGATGTGATTGAAGTTTATCAGGAACAAACGTAGTGGGGGGCGGTCATTCAACGGCTTATTCTTTTTTTATTTTCCCTCGATCCTTTAATCCTTTATTTTTAAAAATAGTTCCTTTGTAATGTGGTGTTCAAAACGCAATTGAAAACTGGTACCCCATCTCTTTGAAACATCTGGTAATTTGAATTCTGGTGTTCATTATTCATTATCATTTGTTTTCATTGTGCTGATTTTTGGTGATCAAGCCTCAGTCCCCTTCATATTACCCTCCTTTTTTTTTTTTTTGAGACGGAGTCTCGCTCTATCGCCCAGGATGGAGTGCTGTGGCGCGATCTCGGCTCACTGCAACCTCCACCTCCCGGGTTCACTCCATTCTCCTGCCTCAGCCTCCCGAGTAGCTGGGATTACAGGCACCCGCCACCACGCCTGGCTAATTTTTTGTATTTTCAGTAGAGACGGGCTTTCACCGTGTTAGCCAGGATGGTCTCGATCTCCTGATCTTGTGATCTGCCAGCCTCGGCCTCCTAAAGTGCTGGGATTACAGGCGTGAGCCACCGCGCCCAGCCTACCCTCTCCTTTTTAAAAATTACGTGTGCACAGAGAGGCCACCTTTTTCAGGACATTGCATTTTCAGGCTTGTGGTGGTGATAAGTAAGATCGGCCAATGCAGGTGTTCATAATGACTTTCCAACTGGCCCTGATGTTCTAGCATGTGATTGCTTCACTCCTGGACTGTGACTTTCAGTGGGAGATGGGAGTTTTTTCAGAGAACTGAACAGTGGAAAAACGACCTTTCCTTAACTTGAAGGTACTTTTAAAATTTGAGGGTCTGGACCAAAAGAAGAGGAATATCAGGTTGAAGTCAAGACGACAGATCAGGTAAGAGTGATGCCTAACTCCAAAGATGGCTTCACTGAAGAAAAGGCATTTTAAGATTTTTTTTAAATCTTGTCAGAAGATCCCAGAAAAGTTCTGATTTTCATTAGCAATTAATAAAGCAATACACGTAGAAATGAATAAGGCAGAACACTGCTCTTTTTTATTTGTTCTTTTTGGCCTGGGATATGGGTTTTAAATGGACATTGTACCAGCTTCATTAAAATAAACAATATTTGTAAAAATCGTAAAAAAAAGAAATGAACAATTTTAAAAGAGAAAATAACCTTAATGACTTGGAAATTAAGAAATATGCTTCTGTGGTGAGAGGGTCATTTGAGCTCAGGCGTTCAAGACCAGCCTAGGCAACACAGCAAGACACCCATCTCATATCTATATATCTATCTATATATATATATATATATATATATACACACACACACACACATACATACACACACACTTCCAGATAATCCTTGGATTAAAAAGAAGCTAAGTAGAAAATTACAAAGTTTCCAGGTAGCATAAAAGTGTGTGTGTATATATATTTCCAGATAATCCTATACACACACACACACACACACAACCCCACACACACACTTCCAGATAATCCTTGGATTAAAAAGAAGTAGAAAATTACAAAGTTTCTAGGTAGCATAAAAAGGAGATTTCATATCAAAACCTTTGACATACAGCAAAAATTACACTTTACTGAAGACTAAAGATGATGAATAAAGGAACTTAATACTCCCCTTAAGAAATCAGAATAGGCTGGGCGCAGTGGCTCACGCCTGTAATCCTAGCACTTCGGGAGGCTGAGACAGGTGGATCACTTGAGGTCAGGAGTTTGAGAAATCAGAAGAATAAAGACAAAACAAACTAGAAATTGTAATTATAAAGTTGACATTAATAAGATAGAAAATAAAGTAAAAATGCTAAGTAAATCCAAATGCCACTTGTGAATCTGATTGAGAAAAAGATAAATAAAAATAACAAAATGTAAAAAATGAGAAAAGAGACACAGCCATCAAATTTAGAATTTTAAGGACATATGCTATATGAAATCCTAGGTCAACAAATCTGAAACCTTAGAGGAAACTGAAAGTGTCTGGCAAATGTAAATTACTAAAAATAATCCAAGAATTTTGGGGAAAATTAATGGAAAGGGTTGGAAAGATGAGTAGAGATTTACTGCACAAATGGGCTCTGGGACCAGATGGGTTCAGAGATGAGTTCGATTTAACCTTTAAAAAGCAGATGGTTCTAATGTCAATTACACCAGGCTGCTCAAAGTGTGGCCCACGAATCCTAAGCATCACCTGGGAGTGTGATAAATGCAAATTAATGAACCTGAATCCAGATTCACCACATAAAAATCACTAGCGGGCGGCCGGGTGCAGTGGCTCACGCCTGTTATCCCAGAACTTTGGGAGGCCAAGGCGGGCAGATCACGAGGTCAGGAGTTCGAGAACAGCCTGGCCAACATGGCGAAACCCTGTCTTTACTAAAACTACAAAAATTAGACAGGAGTGGTGGTGCACGCCTGTAATCCCAGCTATTCGAGACGGCTGAGGCAGGAGAATCGCTTGAACCTGGGAGGCGGAGGTTGCAGTGAGCCGAGATCGCACCATTGCACTCCAGCCTGGGTGACAAGAGCAAGACTCTGTTTCAAGAAAAAAAAAAAAAAATCACTAGAAGATGGGGCCCAACGATCTGTTTAACCAGCTTTCCAGGTGACTTTCAGCATACTAAAGTTTGAGCAGCACTGGCTTAGGATCACAGAAAAAATAAAGAGCGCCTCAATTTACTTTCTGAAGCTAGCATAACTTTAATGCCAAAATTTATAAAAAGTAGAAAAAAACCCCTCATTTACAAAGACGAGATGAACAAGCTAAATATTAGCAAGTAGAATCTAGAATATATCAAAAGGATAATACATTACACCTAAGTAGAATTGATCCCACAAGGAGAGTTCAATATTTAAAATTCTATCAACAAGTCCACTAAATGCTAAAAAGCCATTTGGCAAAATGCGGCAGTTCTATGAATATACTAAATATCATTGAATTGTAAACTTTTTTTTTTGAGACGGAGTTTTGCTCTTGTCCCCCAGGCTGGAGTGCAATGGCATGATCTCAGCTCACTGCAACCTCTGCTTCCCAGGTTCAAGAGATTCTCCTGCCTCAGCCTCCCAGGTAGCTGGGATTACAGGCACCCAACACCATGCCCGCCTAATTTTTGTGTTTTTAGTAGAGGTGGGGTTTTGACATATTGACCAGGGTGGACTAGAATTCCTGACCTCAAGTGATCCACCCACCTCGGCCTCCCGAAGTGCTGTGATTACAGGAATGAGCCGCCATGCCTGGCCGAATTGTAAATTTTAAATAGGTTGATTGTGTGGTATATGAATCACATTTCAATAAAGCTGTCACAGAAGACTATCTTAGGCCTCTGGACAAAAGGGAGCTTGGGAGTGTCTGGTAGACATCTCTGATAGCAATAACTTTCCTTAACCCTACCCTTATGGCAGATACACCTGACAGCAATAACTTAAGCTGCCTCTGAGAATGAGGGTTGCCACGTAGAGGTTGCTAGGGGAGGATGCTAAGTGAAAGTGCCCTATGAACTGCATTTTTTTTTCTTTTTTTTGAGACAGAGTCTCGCTCTGTCACCCAGGCTGGAGTGCAGTGGTACCATCTGAGCTCACTGCAACCTTGCCTCCCAAGTTCAAGCGATTCTCCTGCCTCAGCCTCCCAAGTAGCTGGGACTACAGGCGCCCGCCACCATGCCCAGCTAATTTTTATATTATTAGTAGAGACGGTTTCACCATGTTGGCCAGGCTGGTCTCGAACTCCTGACCTCAAGTGGTCCACCTGCCTCAGCCTCCCAAAGTACTGGGATTACAGGCACGAGCCACCGAGTCTGGCCTGAACTGCATGCTTTTTGCAAATGGTTGTAGTTCTCCTGTCCAGTCCACCACCACTGGCCCATGCTGCAAGTTCCCCCAAATAAGCCCTGTGTTTTGTGTGCTGGCTCTGGGTCTCTTCTTCAGCCTCTTGAACTTGGTGCCATGGCTACTGAAGTTAACAGGCATTTGGCACGACAACCGATGATCCCAGCAGGAGGTTGGAGAAAATCCTGTGCACGCAGAGTCGATGGGATTGGAGAGGAGAATATCATCGGGGGGCATCTCGGGCTGGCTGTCCACGTCTGTGTGGGGCCCAACAGCCACTATCCTTGATGGATGAGGCCCAAGGCATGGGTACAGAGATGCCCCCAAAACACTGAAGGGTCTGGAAGAGCTATTGCAGGAGGTGGATCTAACTAAGCAAAAGTTAGATGCCTGAGCTGTGGCAGCTGCGGTTGGCTGGCCACTCCTGACTGTGCTCTGAGCAGCCTCGGGGGCCGGGCTCATGGCGCAGGTGAAGGTGCATCCATTACAAGATGAACTGCGATGACAAAGAGATGCCTAATTAGATCAGACTGAAACATCAGAGACCGACTGTCCTGCCTGCAGGCACGGGATGACAAAATGGAGAGACCCTGGCTTGTCAGGTATGGTCCATTTGAAAAGCTGCTGGCTGCTATGTCAATGAGTTAGGGCCCTCATGACTAAATCATCCTGGGACCCTAAGTTCTGGGACCCCATGGAGAGCTCTAGTGGGGAAGAGAGTGAGGCCTGGGATGAGCTCATGGAGGTGCCCATCCTCTCTGCACGTTTGCTGGTCAACACCAAGATGAAAGCCGACCAACCACAGACATAGGGGGTCACCCTGCAAGACTTGCCCCTGCCTGGAAGACACCATAGTGCGGGATTCCACGGCTGTGGAGTTGGTGGAGCTGGGAACTAGGTTCAGGAAGAAGGGCAGAGAGTCGGTCACAGGGTGGCTTCTCTGTCTATGGGACATGGAACAGAGATGAGTGAAATGGCATCCATCACCAACCATCCAGCCCTGAGGCGGTGCCTCGATGGCACCAATAATGACGATCGGGCCACCCCCTCCTTAGCCGGGTGGTTGCAAGCTGCAAGGCAGCCTGGCCAAATGAAAGGAATGTCCCAGCTGGGTGCAGTGGCTCAGGCCTGTAATCCCAGCACTTTGGGAGGCCGAGGCAGGAGGATCATGAGGTAGGGAGTTTGAGACCAGCCTGGCCAATATGGTGAAACCCCGTCTCTACTAAAAATACAAAAATTAGTCGGGTGTCGTGGCAGGTGCCTGTAATCCCAGCTACTCGGGAGGCTGAGGCAGAAGAATCGTTTGAACCCGGGAGGCGGAGGTTGCAGTGAGCTGAGATGGAGCCATTGCACTCCAGCCTGGACAACAGGGCGAGACTCCATCTCAAAAAGAAAGAAAGGAATGTCCCCACATCTCCTTTGTGATGACAGATTATGGAGGAATTGAGGGACATCCTCTGGGAATTAGGGGTGATGCTTGCTATCTACACTGAGCATTACCGAGGCCCTGACAAGGAGCTTTTCACTGCGGGCATGAGAAATGCCATCTTACAGTAGGCACACTACCAATGGTGTGGCACACTGGCGTCTATCTTGAGTCCCTTCATAGGAATCACTTGAACCTGGGAGGCGGAGGTTGCAGTGAGCCAAGATCGTGCCACTGCACTCCAGCCTGGACCACAGAGTGAGACTCCGTCTCAGAAAAAAAAAAAAAAGGCAAAAAACCAAGAATGCATCCAGGAGGCAAGGTGGCTTACGCCTGTAATCCCAGCACTTTGGGAGGCTGAGGTGGGCAGATCACGAGGTGAGGAGTTCGAGACCAGCCTGACCAACATGGTGAAACCCTGTCTCTACCAAAAATACCAAAAGTTAGCTGGGCACCTGTAATCCCAGCTACTCTGGAGGCTGAGGCAGGAGAATCGCTTGAACCCGGGAGGTAGAGGTTGCAGTGAGCCGAGATCGTGCCACTGCACTCCAGCCTGGTGACAGAGTGAGACTCCATCTCAAAAACAAAACGAAACAAAAAAACAAGAATGTACAGGCTGTTCCCAGCGGATACTGGAGCTGAATGCACTCTCGTATGTGGTGACATCCGTGGTTCCAGTGGCCTATAACAATAGATGGTCGGTGGGGGCGGGGGTCGTGAAAGTCAGACAGGTTGAGCTAGTATTACAAGTTAGGAGACTGCTGCCCAAACCCTATTTAGTATACAGAGCTCCTATCCCAGATTACATCTTGGGAAGGGCTGTCTCATCAGGACTGTGACCCTCTGAATTGCGACTGAGTTAGGATGGTGAGGCGCGTGATCAAGGGGAATGCGAAATGGACACCAGCACAGCTGCCAGCCCCTCTGTGAATAGCAGCATTGAAACGACAACACCTGGCCGGGCGCGGTGGCTCACGCCTGTAATCCCAGCACTTTGGGAGGACGAGGCAGGCGGATCACGAGGTCAGAGGATCCAGACCGTCCTGGCTAACACGGTGAAACCCTGTCTCTACTAAAAGATACAAAAAATTAACCGGGCGCGGTGGCGGGTGCCTGTAGTCCCAGCTACTCCGGAGGCTGAGGCAGGAGAATGGCGCGAACCCGGGAGGCGGAGCTTGCAGTGAGCTGAGATCGTGCCACTGCACTCCAGCCTGGGCGACAGAGCAAGACTCCGTCTCAAAAAAAAAAAAAAAAAAGAAAAGAAAAAAGAAACGACAACACCTGCCAGGAGGTCATGATGAGATCATAGGGACTGAAAAGGAAAGAAGTCTGGGTAGACATTATAAGACCAGTGAACAGCCCATACAATAGCCCTGCATGGCCCATGTGGATGCCTGATGGGACACGGAGAATGACATATTACTGGGAGTTCAACAAAGCCGTCCCCCTAATGTATGCAGCTGTTCTCATATCGCCTCCTTTCTTATGAGGATAAGAGAGGGACTGCACGCACCTCATTTTGTCATTGCATTCACCTGGTATATTAGTCCGTTTTCAAGCTGCTATAAAGAACTGCCCAAAACTAGGTAATTCATAAGGGAAAGAGGTTTAATTGACTTACAGTTCAGCATAGCTGGGGAGGCCTCAGGAAGCTTACGATCACAGCAGAAGGCAAAGGGGAAGAAAGGCACCCTCTTCACGAGGCCGGGCGAAGGGGGGAAGAGCCCCTTATAAAACCATCAGATCTCGCGAGATCTCACTCCCTGCCACGAGAACAGCATGGGGGAAACCGCCCCAATGATTCAATTACCTCCACCTGGTGTCTCTGACACGTGGGGATTATAGAGATTTCAACTCAAGACGAGATTTGGATGGGGACACAAAGCCTAACCCTAGCTGGGCGTGGTGGCGGGCGCCTGTAATCCCAGCTGCTCAGGAGGCTGAGGCAGGAGAATGGTGTGAACCTGGGAGGCGAAAGTTGCAGTGAGCCGAGACCACGCCATTGCACTCCAGCCTGGGCAACAGAACGAGACTCCCTCTCAAAAAAAAAGCCTAACCTTTTCACCTGGGAAGGAGAACAATATACCTTTACTGTCTTGCCGCGGGGATATTTCCATAGCCTCACTATCTGTCAACGCCTAGTGGCCACAGACCTCAGTAGATGGACTACCCTGGAGAGGGTACATGTTTTCCTTTACATTGATGTTAAATTCTGAGTCTTTTGCCAGCTAACTTCTGAGTCTCTATAGCCCTCACCTTGCTGTCTCACTTGGTTAACAGAGGATGGGCGGTCAATGCAGACAAAGGCAGGGTCCAGGCTTATCAGTCCAATACTTGGTGTCATCTGGTTGGGTAAGACTAACGGTGTTCAATTTGCCATTCTACATATGGTGCAGGCCTACCCACATCCTACACCACCAAAGTGGCTGCAAACCTTCTTAGTTCTTCTAAGGCCGTGGTGTCCTTTTATTTCCCATTTGGCTCAACTCCTTAGGCCACTGTACCACTTAGTCAAGAAGGGGGCCAACTGGGACCAGTGGCAAAGGCAAGGACACAAACTTGTACCTTTAGGATTCTGGTTCCAGCTATGGAAGGGGACTGAAGTTACAGTGTCAGGGAGCTATAATTCTGCACTACGTGTTATGCCTTACAGCAAGTGGAAGATGTTCCAAAGGGGTTCCCATGCTAGTACATACCCAGTACCCCATAGTAGGTTAGCTGGGATTACAGGTGCCCGCCACCACGCCCACCTAATTTTTGTATTTTTAGTAGAGACAGGGTTTTGCCATGTTGGCCAGGCTGGTCTCAAACTCCTGACCTCAGGTGATCCGCCCACCTTGGCCTCCCAAAATGTTGGGATTACAGGCGTAAGCCGCCACGCCCAGCCAGCCTGTGCATTCTTAGGTGACCAATATATAGTTAGCTAGCTCTATATGTGGCCGCCAGTCTCCAGACACTCAGCCACCATTGCTCTTATCGGGATCCTGAGGCCTTAGCCTTTATCCTAGTCGAAAGTAGGACACCTTCCAGAAACCAAAATCTGGGAATGCCCAGAAACAGATTGTGGCCAAATGGCACGCATGCCTGCAACAGAGGAGTACACGAACTAGCACAGGGTTCCGTTTGCTGCTTGGCCCTGTCACCTATGTGACAGCTGAAGGACAGTCTTTGACAAGGCACTGAGCCTCCACATATTCCCTCCTTTATATAAGAGGGACAGGCCCCAATTCCTGACCAGGCCTGGTACACAGATGGCTTGTCACGAGGCAATCCTTCCACCTGTATCCAGCTGTCCACTGAGAGTATCTGGCTCGATACAGGCAAAGGACATGTAGCCAATGGGCTGAGCTGCCTGGATGGTTTCTTCTAGGAGCCGGACCCAACAGTCCTGTGCACTGACATCTGGGCACCATCTTTAAGGGGCCCACCATGTGCCTACTACAAGGAGAAACACAGGATTGGATGGTAGCAGGCAGCCCCCTTTGGGGGGCTGATATAGAAGAACATTCTCCACTGCACCTGGGGGATGCATGTAACAGTCTAGCGTCTGGATGCCCACACTGCATAATATCCCTATTGTCTTACTCCAGCCTCATGTGACACTTTGTAGAGAGGGGGCCAACCTATTTGGTATTGCAAACCAAGCACCAGGCCACTCTCGGGGTGATGCTGTCTCAGAAGGACACAACTTCCTGTTTCTTGTAAAATGACCATGAGGCTGGGTGCAGTGGTACATGCCTGTAATCCCAGCACTTTGGAAGGCCGAGGTGGGTGGATCACCTGAGGCCAGCAGTTTGAGACCAACCTGGCCAATATGGCAAAACGCCACCTGTACTAAAAACAAAAAATTAGCTGGGCATGATGGCGGGCGCCTATAATCCCAGCTACTTGGGAGGCTGAGGCAGGAGAATCGCTTGAACCCAGGAGGCGGAGGTTGCAGTGAGCCGAGATCCAGCTACTGCACTCCAGCCTGGGCAACAAGAGTGAAACTCTGTCTCAAAAAGAAAAAAATGACCATGACTTGCCCCTTCTTGTACTCACTAAACATCTCACTTTTCACCCATAGATGGTATGCAGCAAACCTCTTGCCAGCTGAGCACAGACGGTGGTCTCTCTCCAGAACAAAACAGACTGTTGGGTCTGCAGAGAGCTGCCCCTCTCCTCCACTGCGGGCCTGCCGTGGTGCCTCGCAGCAGTTAACCTGAGTACCTGAAGCCACTTTTATATTCATTATTTTTTCTGTTGTAGTTTGTATTGCTGCTGTGGTGTCTGGCTGCAATGCTCCTCCGCATACCTGGCCCCAGGGAAATGGTGGAAGAACGGTACAAGAATGTGAGGGCCATTCAAAGGTATGCTAGAGTGGCCAGGTCGCAGTGGCTCACGCCTGTAAACCCAGCATTTTGGGAGGGCCGAGGCATGTGGATCACTTGAGGTCAGGAGTTCAAGACAAGCCTGGCCAACATGGTGAAACCCCATCTCTACTAAAAATACAAAAATTAGCCAGGTGTGGTGGCACATACCTGTAATCCCAGCTACTCAGGAGGCTGAGGCAGGAGAATCACTTGAACCTGGGAGGCGGAGGTTGCAGTGAGCCAAGATCGCACCACTGCACTCTAGCCTTGGCGACAGAGTGAGACTCCGTCTCAGAAAAATGAAAAACAAAAACAAAAAAAACACAGCAAGGTGGGTATGCTGGAGTGAGGGTATATGGTAGACGCACCTGGCAGCAATAACTTAAGCACACCCTGAGGATAAGGGCTGCCGCATGGAGGTTGCTGGGGGAGGGTGCTGAGTGAAAGTGCCATATAAACTGCATGCATTTTGCAAGTGGGTGTGGTTCTCCTGTCCAGCTCATCACCACTGGATCACCCTGTAAGTTATCTCAAATAAACCCTATTTCTCGTTTGCTAGCCCTGGGTCTCTTCTTCAGCCTCTTGAACGTGGCGCCATCCCTATTGAAGCGTCCCGCATGTCAGGGATGCAAATTAGAAAGCAGAATTAGGCCAGGTGCAGTGGCTCACGCGCTTTGGGAGGCTGAGGCGGGCGGATCCCTTGAGGCCAGGAGTTCGAGCCCAGCCTGGCCAACATGGCAAAACCCCTATCTCTACTAGAAATACAAAAATTAGCTGGGCACAGTGGTGTGCGCCTATAATCCCAGCTACTTGGGAGGCTGAGACATAAGAATCGCGTGAGCCCAGGAGGTAGAGGTTGCAGTAAGCCGAGATCGTGCCACTGCACTCCAGCTTGGGCAACAGAGCGAGACTGTCTCAAAAAAAAGAAAAAAAAAAGGCTGGGTGCAGGGGCTCACGCCTGTAATCCTAGCACTTTGGGAGGCCAAAATGGGCAGATCATGAGGTCAGGAGTTCGAGACCAGCAACTCTCGAGACAGGGCTACATGTGACTCTCGAGACTGTCTCGAGACTGTCTAGAGACAGGGCAACATGGTGAAACCCTGTCTCTACTAAAAATACAAAAATAGCTGGGCGTGGTGGTGCACCCCTGTAATCCCAGCTACTCAGAAGGCTGAGGCAGGAGAATTGCTTGAACCTAGGAGGCAGAGTTTGCAGTGAGCCAAGACCGAGACACTGTACTCCAGCCTGGGCAACAGAGCAAGGCTCTGTCAAAAAAGAAAGAAAGAAAGAGAGAGAGAGAGAGAGAGAGAGAGAGAGAGAGGGAAACACACTAAGAGAGAAATAAAATATTTTTTCTTTCTTTCTTTGAGATGGTAAGCCCCTACTTTTCAATCCCCCTCTCCCAAGTTCCACCTCCAAAACTGGACCGGGGATGGTGGGGAGGTAGGTGGGAGGGGCCTTGAGGCAGAAGGGAGGATGAGTGCCCTGGTTCCCAAAAGGGAGGAGGTTGAAGACCCAGACTATTTGATGAGAAGGAGGAGCCCACCGCCTTCTCTCTCCCATCCCCACATTACCCGATTCAATAGTGCAAGTCTTCAAGCAGATAGAGCATTTGGAATTTGGGGGGTGGATGGGCTGGCCTAATAGGGCACAGGAGCCAATGGGTGATGACACAGAGGTGCACGCCCCTCCAGCCCTCCTATCTTCAAGCTTGAAGAGCCAGACTTCAGAGGTCTGGAAACTTCAGATGCCTCTGCTCTTTCCTTTCTGCAGATCCACCTCTTGAGTCCTGCCTGCCAATGGTTGGGGGTGTCTTCTTTTCCTTTATCACTGAAACTTACCCGTGGGCTCTAAGCAATCTAAAAGCCTGAGATCTCTGAGCATTTAAGGGAAACCCATTCCCTGGATCTTTGGGAATCCCAATCACCTCTGTCCACAGCCCCCATCCCCAGCAGGTAACTGACAGGCCCCCCAGTCTCCTTTTGGGGAGTACTTCAGCACCCTCATGGCACTACCCTCCCACAAGTTCTTAAAGACCCACTCAGTGATCATCCACTGGGCAAGTTCAGTTGATTTGACCCTGGGATAAAAACCAGTGGTGCCCAGTACTGAGCAGAAATGGGACTCTTGGTGAGCTCAGTGAAACAGCTTGTTAGTAACTGGTTGTGGCACTGATTTACAGATGTACTCAGTCCACAACACAATGTTCAAACCTTGAGTGCAACCTCTTTTTAGAAATAATTTTAGACCTATAATAGGATTATCATGTATCAGTAGCAAGCACATTAATATCTTCCCCATCTTTGTTGAAGTCACCATTTCCCAGGTTTCCCTTGGCTAAAGGCCAGCCCGTGGATAATGCAAGCCTGGTAATCTAGTATCTGAGTTTGCCAGAGCAAGGGGAGGGCAGGAACTCAGGGCTGGACATTTAGCTTTAGAAAGACTGTGATATGGTTTGGCTGTGTCCCCATTTAAATCTCAACTTCAGTTGTATCTTCCAGAATTCCCATGTGTTGTGGGAGGAACCCAGGGGGAGGTAATTGAATCATGGGGGCTGGTCTTTTCCATGCTGTCTCATGATAATGAATAAATCTCATGAGATCTGATGGGTCTATCAGGGATTTCCACTTTTGCTTCATTTTCTCTCTTGCCACCACCATGTAAGAAGTGCCTTTCACCTCCCGCCAGGATTCTGAGGCCTCCCCAGCCATGTGGAACTGTAAGTCCAATTAAACCTTTTTGTTCCCAGTTTCAGGTATGTATTTATCAGCAGCATGAAAACTAATACAGTAAACTGGTACCAGTAGAGTGGGGTGTTGCTGAAAAGATACCCAACAATATGGAAGCAACTTTGGAACTGGGTAACAGGCAGAGGTTGGAACAGTTTGGAGGGCTCAGAAGAAGACAGGAAAATGTGGGAAAGTTTGGAACCTCCTGAAGACCTACTGAATGGTTTTGACAAAAATGCTGATATGAACAATAAGGTCCAGGCTGAGGTGGTCTCAGATGGAGATGAGGAACTTGTTGGGTACTGGAGCAAAGATGACTCTTTATTATGTTTTAGCAAAGTGACTAGTGGCATCTTGCCCCTGCCCTAGAGATTTGTGGAACTTTGAACTTGAGAGAGATGATTTAGTGTATCTGGCAGAAGAAATTTCTAAGCAGCAAAGTATTCAGAAGGTGACTTGCGTGCTGTTAAAAGCATTCCGTTTTAAAAGGGAAACAGCATAAAAGTTCAGAAAATTTGCAGCCTGATGATGCAGTGGAAAAGAAAAATCCATTTTTGAGGAGAAATTCAAGCCAGCTGCAGAAATTTGCATGAGTAGCAAGGAGCCTAATGTTAATCCCTTAGACCATGGGGAAAATGTCTCCAGGCCATATCAGAGACATTCATGGCAGCCCCTCCCATCACAGGCCCAGAGGCCCAGGAGGAAAAAGTGGTTTTGTGGGCCAGGCCCAGGGTCCCCATGCAGTGTGCAGCCTAGGGACTTGGTGCCCTGTGTCCCAGCCACTCCAGCCATGGCTGAAAGGGGCCAACGTACAGCTCGGGCTGTGGCTTCAGAGAGTAGAAGCCCCAAGCCTTGGCAGCTTCCACGTGATGTTGAGCCTGCGGGTGCACAGAAGTCAAGAATTGAGGTTTGGGAACCTCCGCCTAGATCTCAGAAGATATATGGAAATGCATGGATGTCCAGGCAAAAGTTTTCTGTAGGGGCAGAGCCCTCATGCAGAACCTCTGCCAGGGAGGGAAATGCAGAAGGGAAACGTGGGGTCAGAGCCCTCACACAGAGTCAGAGTCCCTACTGGGGCACTGCCTAGTGGAGCTGTGAGAAGAGGGCCACTGTCCTCCAGACCCCAGAATGGTAGAACCACTGACAGCTTGCACCCTGAGCTTGGAAAAGCCACACTCAACACCAGCCCGTGAAAGCAGCTGGAAGGGGGACTGTACCCTGCAAAGCCACGAGGTGGAGCTGCCTAAGACCATGGGAACCCACCTTTTGCATCAGCATGACCTGGATGTGAGATCTGGAGTCAAAGGAGATCATTATGGAGCTTTAAAATTTGACTCCCCTGCTAGATTTTGGACTTGCATGGGCCCTGTAACCCCTTTGTTTTGGCCAATTTCTCTCATTTGGAATGGCTGTATTTACCTGATACCAGTACCCCCATTGTATCTAGGAAGTAACTAGCTTGTTTTTGATTTTACAGGCTCATAGGTGGAAGGGACTTGCCTTGTCTCAGATGACACTCTGGACTTTTGGATTAATGCTGAAATGAGTTGAGACATTGGGGGACTGTTGGGAAGGCATGATTGCTTTTGAAATGTGAGGACATGAGATTTGGAGGGGCCAGGGGCAGAATGATATGGTTTCACTGTGTCTCCATTTAAATATAAACTTCAATTATATCTCCCAGAATTCCCACGTGTTATGGGAGGGAACCAGGGGAGGTAATTGAATCATGGGGGCTGGTCTTTTCCATCCTAATCTCGTGATAGTGAATAAGTCTCATGAGATCTAATGGGTTTATCAGGGGTTTCCACTTTTGCTTCTTCCTCATTTTTTTCTCTTGCTGCCATCATGTAAGAAATGCCTTTCACCTCCCACCATGATTGAGGCCTCCCCAACCATGTGGAACTGTAAGTCCAGTTAAACCTCTTTTTGTTCCCAGTTTCAGGTATGTCTTTATTAGCAGTGTGAAAATGAACTAATACAGACTGGAAGCCTTGTGACAGGAAAACTGAACATCTGAGACATCTATAGGAAAAAAAGATCTGCTTACATCCAGTCCTTGGAGTTCCAGTAGACTGATTTATTCACCAACAGCATTGCTCCTCCAGCTCCATTCCAGGAGACAGGCACCCCAGAAGTAGCAGGACTGGTAGACATCACTAGTATTGTATATGTGTTGTGCATGTATGTGTGTTGAGGAAGAGGATGGGGAAAACAATGATGGTGGTCACCAGGTAAGATGGGACCCAGGAAGGGATTGCAAGTCCAGGCCCCATGAACACCCCCAAAGAATGCCCCTCCTCTTGGAAATAAAAGTGGTTCTGGATCCAGGGAGATCAACAGTTGCAAGCTGATATTAAGAGTTGTCTATTGGATCTGTTCTAAGGGATATGTTATGTGAAGCCAAATTAATGAAGTTAGGAAGTCACATTACAAGTTGATGGGTACTTTGTTTCATCAACTTGTAGAATTTCTTCCTTTTGAACCTCTTTACTGGGTGTTAGCTGGTGACTTAGGGGTAGGGATGTGGAGGCTGTCATAGGCCCGTCTCCGCTCTTGGGCCTGAAGGGAATCCTATGTATGCGGCAGTATACAAAGTATGCAGGGATGGGGAGGATGACAATGGCAAAAAGGGTGATCATCAAGAGCAGTGCCCACGGTGGGTATGGTCGAAGCACCTCTTTTGACTGTGGAGAGATGGGAAAAGGGTTCAGAATATCAAAATCCCCAAGAGAAAAGGAAGAGTTGTGGAGGGGAAGGATGGGTGGGGAACCAAAGCAGAAAACCCATGAGTCTTCGGGCAGTAAGAGAATGAGATGACTGGGTTCTTTCACCCAGAGTGAATTGAAAGGTCTGGCCCCTACTCCCAAAGGGGTTCTGGGTCCTGGGGGAGGCTCACGGTGCTTGAGTCCCAGGACATGTAGGTGATCGGCTTCATACAAAGATGAACCATCATGGTCACAAAGATGATTAGCAGCACAACTGGACACAGATGGGGCCACAGCCAACCAAAGATGGGAGAGATGGGGTGGCCCAACAGGATCGTCAGGTCTGCAAGGAACCTGGAGAAGGGCCACCAGAGTGTGGGATGCCCAGTTAGGCCTCACCACCTTGGAGGCAGGGCCAGCCCAACCTTGGCATCTTTCAAACATTCTATTGTATCTCTAATCTCCTGTTTCATCTCAAGTCTTGTCCTCTCTCATCTTCCCCCTAGTCAGTCTGTCTTCTATCCTAACCCAAGAAACTTTTCCAAACACCCCTCTCCTGCTCAAGAACTTTCCATGGGTATCCAATGGCCTCAGGAGAAAGGCCAAGTCTCTTTCATTCATCCCATAAATATGAGAATGTCTATGATGTGCCAGGAACTCTTCTAAGTGCTGGATATCCAGCAGTGAACAACACAGATAAAATAAAGTGGCATTTGGCCCTTGGTGAACTTATCTAGTTTATTTCAGCCACCTATCCAGTCTCCTTTAGTACATATTCTCAATCTCAATAAATATACAAGTGGGGTCTTTTGGTCTAGGGTGCCCATCACCCTATCTCCACCTATTCATCTGTCCAGGCTCTGCTCAAGCATCCTCTTCTCTAGGCCACCTTCCCTAACTCTCCAGTCTTCCTTAACTAACCATCTATGCCCCCGGAGTTTCCCTGGCTACCTCTACTATAGACTTACCACCGGGTACTGGGATTTTCTGCTTATATACGTCTTTCTCTTTGGACTCTGAGCTCTTTGAGAAGAGTATCTCAATGTAAGTCATTCATATCCCAGTACCACAAGGCTTTCCTGACACAAAGTCTCAAGAAAATGTTTGTTGGGTGAGTTAATAAATGAGTCCATAAGTGAGCAAACTGACTCCAAGAACCACTATCAGATGAAAATGCTGAGGCTTTCACCCCTGAATTATACCAGGAACTCTTCTAAGTGCTGGATATCCAGCACTGAACACAGATAAAAGAAAGTGGCATTTGGCCCTTGGGAAACTTATCTAGTTTATTTCAGCCAACTATCCAGTCTCCTTTAGTACATATTCTCAATCTCAATAAATATACAAGTGGGGTCTCTTGGTCTAGGGTGCCCATCACCCTATCTCCACCTATTCATCTGTCCAGGCTCTGCTCAAGCATCCTCTCCTCTAGGCCACCTTCCCCAACTCTCCAGTCTTCCTTAACTAACCATCTGTGCCCCCGGAGTTGCCCTGGCTACCTCTACTATAGACTTACATTCCACAGCTATATCTTCCAGGTCTCACTCCCAGATTATCTTGTTCTCTTTCCCAGGTAGCTCTACCTTCCAGAATCAGACCACTTCTCTTAATCCACAACTCTTCTACTTTTGACCAAGCCATTCTTAGCTCTCACTTGAAATATTACATAGCTTTCACCAGGCGGGGTGGCTCACGCATGTAATCCTAGCACTTTGGGAGGCTGAGGCAGGTGATCACGAGGTCAAGAGTTCGAGACCAGCCTGGCCAACATGGTGAAACCCCGTCTCTACTAAGAATACAAAAATTAGCCGGGCGTGGTGGTGAATGCCTGTAATCCCAGCTACTCAGAAGGCTGAGGGAGGAGAATTGCTTGAACCCGGGAGGCGGAGGTTGCAGTGAGCTGAGATCGCACCACTGCACTCCAGCCTGGGCAACAGAGCAAGACTCCATCTCAAAAAGAAAGAAAAAAAGAAATATTACATAGCTTCCAACTCTTATCCTGGCTTCACTCTTGACTCTTCCTGGTCTGTTCTCCAGACAGCAGCCATAAATACCTTTTTAAAAAACAAATCTAATAATGGCACTCCCACCTGAAAATGTCATTCTCCTACTCAAAACCCTCCAATGCTTCATCTGCCATTCTGCATACAAAGCTGAGTCCTATCGTGGCTTACAAAACCCTACATGACTTGGCCACCATCACTTCTCTAGCCCCATCTCCTAATATCTTCTATTCCAGCCTCTCTGACTTCCTTGTTTCTCAAAAACTCTAGGCATTATGCTTCCTCTGGCCTTGGTAATTTCTGTTTCCCTGCAGGGAGCACTTTACTCAAAATCTTGTCATGACTCCCTCCCTCCTATCATTCAGGAGTCTGCTCACATGTCACCTTATCGGAAGGGCCCTCCCTGAAGTCGTATGTGACTTGGTGCCCACACACACTCCCACTATGTGCCATCTGACCTCATCCTTTGATTCTTCCTATCGCCTGTATTTATTCTCAACGTTTTTATTCTTTATTTGCTAATCTGGTTATTGTCTCTCTAGACCACTAAAATGTAAGCTTTCTGAGAATAGGAATACTTCTTTTATTCAATGCCCCTATCCCTGATGACTAAAATAGTGCCTGGCACATATTCAGCACCCAAAATATATGTGAAAATGGATGAATGAATAAAAAGATTTCCCAGAAGACTCTGAACTTAAGGGTCCCTATGTCACACTAGGTGGGTTGACAGTAGAGGCAACAAAAAAGGGGTCACCCTTCCCTATAGTCCCATGCTTTGTGAGAACCTGGGCTTAGGACATCACCTCCTGGCCCCATAGGCCCAGGATACAGCCATGGTTTCAAATACGACAACGACGATGATGGGGAAGACTATCCAGTAGTCACTCAGCAGTCTGATGAAGTAGCTGCCTGAAGGTCGAGTGAAGAAGAGGCCGCACACGAACATGAGCAAAAAGACTCCCACTGGAGAAAACATGAGATCTGGATCAAGGTTAGAAGTCACGGCTGGGTGACAAGGGCTAAGTAGAGGCCATAGACCAGGGCTGGTGGCAGACCCAGTGGTAGCCGGGCGAGGGGGCTTACATGTGTAATCCAAGCATTTTGGGGAGCCTAAGTGGGCAGATTCCTTAAGCCCAGGAGTCTGAGACCAGCCAGGCAACATGGTGAAAGCCCGTCTCTACAAAAGCTACAAAACTTAGCCGGGCGTGGTGATGCACGCCTATGGTCCCAACTACTGGGGAGGCTGAGGTGGGAGGATCACTTGAACCCAGGAGGCAGAAGTTGCAGTAAGCCGAGATCACACCACTGCACTCCAGCCTGGGCTACAGGGACCCTGTCCCAAAAAAAGAGTCCCAGTGGTGTCAGGGGTCAGGGTCATTGTTAGGAGTAGGGCCTAGGTCAGAGTACCTATGAGCAGCTTTGTATGTTTCCTGAAGAAAGAGAAGGTGTCCTGGAGTGGAGTAATGATGCCCTGCATAATCCCTATTGCGCTGCTCAGCCCCATGGCCAGCAACATCAGGAAGAAGATAAAAGACCAGAAGACAGACGGAGGAAGGAAGGACATGGCTTCAACAAAGGACAGGAATGCAAACTTTGGGCCCTCGCTAGCCTGCAAAGAGAACAAAGAGGTGTTAAAGTGTCATTGAACTAAACAATAACAAAAAAATATAGACAAGTATACATTCTATCTTCCCTGGAAAACTCCTGAAAATCCCTGGATCACTGAGAAAATCAGATGTCCAAGCTAACCCCCTGACATGGAAAATCAATCCACCTAGCATTATCCATGGAAGGCCATTCCGCAAAGTATAGTACTTTGTATTACTGAGAGCCACAGATGATTCTGGTGCTTCCGGGATTTTTGCTGGTGCTAATAAAAGCTAAAATTTCTGTTGTGCTAAAGGCTTTCAGGAACTCTAGGCTCCCCCCTCAGCTATGTTTACTGACCTTAAGAAACTGAGTCTCTATGTTGCACTCAGTCACCTCGCGGAGAACCATGCTTTTGATGTGCTGGGGAAGGCCACTGAGCCAGGCATTGTAGATGGAGGTTGGGTTGTAAAGCAGGTTGACAGGGGGCTTGGCATCAGGAGGCAGTTTCCCTAGGTTTATCAGCTTTAAAAGTATTTCAGCATTCCTGGGGATAGAGGGTTGAATCAAATCGAACCATTTGGCCCAGTAGGAGATAGTCTCCTTTTCCCTTATCTTCAAGATAAAAAAGGCTATCACTGGCTTAGCATTACTGATCTGGGTAAGATAGAGCCTGGGATGAATCCTAGAAGGCACCCGCCTTCAGGGACGTGAATTCGTTTGTGTAATCCTGGAGAATTTATGACCATGGGAGAGCCTAGGAGAAGCATTTTCTACAGTCTTCTTGGGGACTCTGTGGTCTCTGCTCTAGTGATGGGATTTCTTATACGCTGTCTACCTTCCCTCTCCACTGAGACTAACGGGTAAGAGCCAACTTTCTAAAGTTCCTATTACAGCATGTCCGGGAGCACACAGACTATGATCATAATGTCCCATGGAGTCGTGCTGTGTGGCAGCAACTGCTTGTTCGACTTTTTGATGTGAGCCCTGCTGACCATTTTGGCCTCATATGTCCCTACGGCCCTCTTCACATTCCATGTTCTGGCCAGATTTAACTACTTACCGTGTCAGGGCCCATCATACCCCATCACACACAATACCAACTCCACCCCCACCACCATTCTTCACTTGGCTAACTCCTACAAACCCTTAAAAATTCAGCTCATTGATCGAGACCATCCTGGCCAACATGGTGAAACCCCGTCTCTACTAAAAATACAAAAATCAGCTGGGCATGGTGGCACGTGCCTGTAGTCCCAGCTATTCGGGAGGCTGAGGCAGGAGAATTGCTTGAACCTGGGAGGCAGAGGTTGCAGTGAGCCGAGATCGCACCACTGCCCTCCAGCCTGGGCGACAGCGAGACTCCATTTCAAAAAAAAAAAAAATTCAGCTCATTGCTCTGTAAGAACTGCAATGGACAGCTTGCCAAGGTTCACTGATAAAAGCAAAAGGCAAGCAAGTAGAGTTTGATCACATTTTAGAAAATAAAATACTATATGCTATTCCAGTAATAAGCTAGAGATTTGAACCAATTTTCTCATCGGAAATAATTTAAAAGGCTGGAAGATATTTTTAAATCTTCTAACAAAATAAAAATGTTGACAAGATAATAAGGAATTATCAGGCAAACATTGAAGTACAGGCAAAGCAGTGGAGAAAGGGGACTTCCAAAGATACTTTGTCCCAAAGATGTATGCCAAATACAACAAACTGGACCTGCAGTTTCCAATTTTATGACTTTTCAGATACAAAAGGGGGCCATGGAGGCCAGATATAAAACACCAGAGCCTGCCCAAAATAAGGATCAGAATAGAAGTTCCCCTCTTAAATCTGACACTTCAAAGGGCTACACCTTCACAATAAAAATGAAGCAGAAGCTTGCTCCTGGCCCTTCTACACAACTGGGAATGCAAGGAAAGCTGTTTCAGAAATGATCTACAGATTTGATGCAATCCCAATTAACACCATAGCAGGCTTTTTATTTTCTTTTTCTTTTTTTTTGAGATGGAGCCTCGCTCTGTCGCCCAGGCTGGAGTGCATTGGTGCGATCTCCGCTCACTGCAACCTCCGCCTCCCAGGTTCGAGCGATTCTCCTGCCTCAGCCTCCCAAGTAGCTGGGACAGGCGTGCGCCACCATGCCCAGCTAATTTTTGTATTTTTAGTAGAGACAGGGTTTCATCGTGTTGGCCAGGCTGGTCTCAAACTCCGGACTTCAGGTGATCTGCCCGCCTCAGCCTCCCAAAGTGCTGGGATTACAGGCATGAACCACCACACTCAGTCTGGGAAGGTAATTCTAAAATTTACTTGGAGAACAAAGATCTACAATAGTCAAAACGATTTTGGAAAAAAAATAGCACAGTTGGAGAACTCATACAATCTGATTTTAAGGTTTACTGTAATACCTTAGTAATCAAAGCAGGGAGGTATTGGTGTAAAAAAAATAGACATGTTAACTAATGATACTGAGTAGAGCCCAGAAACATATTGTGGACAACTAATTGTCAACGAAGATACCAAGGCAGCTTAATAAGAAAAGGATAGTCTTATTAACAAATAGTGCTAGAACAACTGAATATCTAAATAGAAAAAAATTTAATTTTGATCCTTGCCTCATACCTTATACAGAAATTTATGTGAAATAGATATCTAAACAGAAAAAGCAAAAACTTTAAAACACAGGAGAAAAATCTTTGCAATCTTGGCCAGGCGCGGTGGCTCATGCCTGTAATCCCAGCACTTTTGGAGGCTGAGGCGGGCAGATCACTTGAGGTCAGGAGTTCGAGACCAGCCTGGCCAACATGGTGAAACCCCATCTCTACTAAAAATACAAAAATTAGCCAAGCGTGATGGCGGGCGCCTGTAGTCCCAGCTACTTGGGAGACTGAGACGGGAGAATCACTTGAGCCTGGGAGGCAGAGGCTGCAGTGAGCCAAGATCGTGCCACTGCACTCCAGCCTGGGCAACAGAGTGAGACCCTATCTCAAAAAATATATATATATTTGCAACTTTGAGGTAAACAGAACTGTCTGAGGATGTAAAAAGCTCAAAACATGAAAGAAAATTGATAAATTGGGCATCATCAAAATTATGTCTTTTCATCAAAAGGCTTCATTAACGAAAGACAAACCCCAGAATGAGATATAATATCCACAATATGTACAACTGACAAAGAACTTGCATTTAGGATATATAAAGAATGCTTACAACTCAATAATTTCACCGCCCAAAAAAAACCCTGATTTTTAAAATGGACAGTAGACTTGAAAAGATACTTTACAAGACAAGCTCTGTAAAAGGCCAATAAGCACTTTCCAAGGTAGCCAACATTAGTAGTCCTGAGAAACAGGCAAATTAAAATCACAATGGCATACCACACCACACATCTGCCAGAATGGTTAAAATTAAAAAGCCTGATGTCATCAAGTATTGACAAGGATGTGGGACAACCAGAACTCTCATACCATACTAGTAAGAATGGAAAACTGATTTAAAACCACTTTGGAAACAGTTCCACAAATTCTTATGAAATTAAACATACCGTTACCACGTAACCCAGTGACCCAATGATCCTTCTCTTAGGTGTTTATCCAAGAGAAATGAAAACATATGTCCATACAAGGACTTGTACATGAACTCTCAAAGCAGCTCTACTTGAGACAGCCCTAAACTGGAAACAACTCAGATGCCTCTGAGTAGGAGAATGGATGAAGAAATTGTGGTATAATCATAAAATGGAATAATACTTAGGAATAAAAAGGAACGAACCTCCAATACATCCAGTATCATAGATGAATACTAAAAACATGCTAAGTGAAAGAAGTCAGATATAAGAATGCATATAGTATGATTCTACTTACTCTGAAGAAAAAAAAAGACAAATCTAATCTATGATGATAGAAAACAGATTGGTGATTAATTGGGGCCAGGAGTGAGAGGAACATAGGTAGAAAATATGAGAGTTTCTAAGACCTAGATGATATAGTAAAAAGGTCTAACAAATGAGATGACATGGCCAGTGAGTCAGAGACAATATGTGAACAAACAATGGCTGAGAATTTTTGGAACTAATGAAAAAAGTAATCCATAGATGCAAGAAGCCAAAAGAATCCCAAGCAAAATAAAAGGAATTCCCCATTAGATATATTACAGTGAAGGTGTAGAGAAACAATGTTAAAAGGTACCTGTGCATTGGCAAATAATTTATGAATTAAAAGTCCTTAAAAGCACTTGCAACAACAAAAATTGACAGATAAGTGGGATCCAATTAAACTGAAGAGCTTCTGCACAGCAAAAGAAACTCAACATGAAGGAGAGAAAATATTTGCAAACTATGCATCCAACAATAGTCTAATATCCAGAATCTATGACAAACTTAAGTAATTTGATAAGCAAAAAATAAATAACCCCATTTAAAAAATGGGCAAAGGACATGAACAGATACTTCTCAAAAGAAGATATACATGCAGCCAACAAATATATGAAAAAATGCTCACTGGTGTGTTTCTCACCACACCAATCAGAATGGCTATTAAAAAGACAAAAAGCAACAGATGTTGGTGAGGCTGCAGAGGAAAGGGAATGCTTATACACTGTTGCTGGGAATGTAAATTAGTTCAGCCACTGTGGGAAGCAGTTTGGAGATTTCTCAAATAACTTAAAAGGGAACTACCATTCAACCCAGCAATCCCATTACAGGGTCTATATACCCAAAGGAAAATAAATCGTTCTACCAAAAAGATACATGTACTCATATGTTTATCACAGTACTATTCACAATAGCAAAGACATGAAATCAAGCTAGATGCCCAACAATGGTAGACTGGATAAAGAAAATGTGATACATATATACTGTGGAATACTATACTGCCATGAAAAAGAACAAAATCATGTCCTTTGCAGCAATATGGATGCAGCTGGAGGCTATTATCCTAAGTGAATTAACATAGGAATAGAAAACCTGCCGGGTGTGGTGGCTCACACCTGTAATCCCAGCATTTGGGAGGCAGAGGCAGGCAGATCACGAGGTCAGGAGATCAAGACCATCCTGGCTAACACGGTGAAACCCCGTCTCTACTAAAAATACTAAAAAATTAGCCGGGCATGGTGGTGGGCGCCTGTAGTCCCAGCTACTCGGGAGGCTGAGGCAGGAGAATGGCGTGAACCCGGGAGGCAGAGGTTACAGTGAGCCGAGATCGCACCTCTGCAGTCCAGCCTGGGCAACAGAGCGAGACTCCGTCTCAAAAAAAAAAAAAAAGAAAGCTGAAAGATGCCAGAAGCGGGCTCATGCCTGTAATCCCAGCATTTTGGGAGGATGAGGCAAACCGATCACTTGATGTCAGGAATTCGAGACCAGCCTGAGCAACATGAGGAAACTCTGTCTCTACTAAAAATATAAAAATTAGCCTGGTGTGGTGGCATGTGCCTGTAGTCCCAGCTACTCAGGAGGCTGAGGCACAAGAATTGCTTGAACCTGGGAGGCAGAGGTTGCAGTGAGCCGAAAGCCTGGGTGACAGAGGGAGGCTTGGTGTAAAAAAAAAAAAAAAGAAAGAAAGAAAGAGAAAGCTGAAAGATAGTAGGCTATCTTCAATGTGCTAGGAAAAAAAAAAAAAAAAGGCACTGCCAAGCTAGCAATCTATATCCAGATACAATAGATTTCAAAACACAGTGAAAGATATTTTCAGAAAAGAAAAGTAGGGAATTGGCCACTAGCAGACTATCACTAAAGAATAATTTAGGCTGGGCATGGTGGCTCACGCCTGTAATCCCAGCACTTTGGGAGGCCAAGGCAGGTGGATCACCTGAGGTCAGGAGTTCAAGACCAGCCTGGCCAACATGGTGAAACCCTGTCTCTACTAAAAATATAAAAACTAGCCGGGCGTGGTGGTGGGCACCTGTAATCCCAGCTACTTGGGAGTCTGAGGCAGGAAACTGCAGTGAGCTGACACAGTGCTGCTGCACTCTAGCCTCAGCGACAGAGTGAGACTCTGTCTCAAAAAAAAAAAAAAAAAAAAAAGAGAGTAATTTAAAGGATATTCAAGTAGAAGGAAATCCCTCATGGAAGGGCCAGGATGCAAGATAGAATAAAGATCAAAGAAAGCAATAAATAGGAAGTAGTACATCTAATTGAACATTAACTATATAATAAAACAATAATATCTTTGCATTTTAGCAAAATAATATGAAATAAAAATACATGAGGTGCATGCTTGTAATCCCAGCTACTCGAGAGGCTGAGGCAGGAGAATCACTTGAACCCAGGAGGCAAAGGATGCAGTGAGCTGAGATTGCACCACTGCTCTCCAGCCTGGGTGACAAAGTAAGACTCCGTCTCAAAACAAAACAAAAACATGATATAACATTCAAATGTAAGTTAGGAATGCATGTAAATGGATATAAAGAGTTTTGGAGCCCTTATCTTGAAAGACAGTGAAGTACTGATTACCTTTAGACATCGATAAATTAAGAATGCATATTGTGAATTCTGGGGAAATCACTAAATCACTGAAAGAACAGAAAACAGAGTGGATAACTTCCAGACTAGTGGAGGAAAAAAAAAATGGAATGATAAATAACTACTAAGTCAATCCAAAAGAAGGCAAGAAAAGAGAAAAAACAAAATACAGACCAGGAGAAACAAATAGCAAAGTAAGATGGGAGACAGAGCCAATTATTTCCTATCATGATGGCAGAGAAAGGGATCCAGCCTCCCTTTCTCTATAAAGAGCAACAATTTGGCAACTATCCTTGAACAACAATTACTCTGGGCCGGGCGCGGTGGCTCATGCCTGTAATCCCAGCACTTTGGGAGGTTGAGGCGGGAGGATCACTTGAGGTCAGGAGTTCGAGACCAGCCTGGCCAACGTGGGGAAACCCCGTCTCTACAAAAAATACAAAAATTAGCTGGGCATGGTGGCACGTTCCTGTAATCCCATCTACTTGGGAGGCTGAGACAGGAGAATTGCTTGATTCCGGGAGGCGGAAGTTGCGTGAGCCGAGATCAGGCCACTGCACTCCAGCCTGGAAGTCAGCGAGACTCCATCTCAAAAATAAATAAATAAATAAAATAAAATAAAAATTACTCTGGAAGAATTGAGAAGTCGGCTTCAGCTGACTTTTAGTGGGAGAAAGAACCCTAGAAAAACCCATACAGAAAGGGTGGAAAGAACAATTCCATTTTGCCCACATCACCCCATCCCCCGAGCCAGCACTGCTCAGCATGGAGAGGGAATTCCCTGGCTCGCATAACCCTCTTTCAGGGATAATGAGAGCAGGCTATACCACCAGCTTCCCTAGTGTTTTGGGACACTGCCCAACCAGCTTCAGTTTCACTCCATTCACATTTCCGTGGGGACTGGCATTGCCGAGACTTACGGAGATAATGGGGAACCAAGAAGTGGGACAGGCTGTCAGTATCAGCCATGCTGGTGGGAGCCACAGCGCCCCCTAGTGGCCTGCTCAACACGGGTCTCTAGCACACTTCTGTACTGAGGACCTCAACAGCACTCCTGGCCACTGTGCAGCTCCCCACAGTTTTCACCACCAAGGACACCTTGGTGTTACCAATGGCTGATGCCAGCACCATTTTCTGCAGAGGAACCAAGCAGCTTTCACAGCTGAGGAAACCAACTGCCAGCACTGCAGCAGCAAAAGCCCTGTAGTTTTTTCCACCTTCACAGTCTCCAGGTGCCTGGCCCTCTAATTTCTCCTTCCTCTGTCCCTGAAACCACCTAAGCTGTTCAATACCATGGTCACCCAGACCAGACCCAGGGACTCACCCCAGTGGCCATCGCATTCTCTGGGTGCCTAAGCCAATACCCCTCCTCTATGGAGTCACCCCAGCTGCTGCCTCTACAAGTGCTCTGAGCCAAGGACCCAGCACAGCTACCATGCATGTGCCTGCACACAGCCATGCCTCCCCATCCCCAGGTTCTAACTCCAGCATCACGTTTGCACCCTCAGCTAGGCCCCGCGGCTGCATGTGCACACACGCCTCCAGCTCAGCCCTGCAACTGCCCACGTACATGCAGATGGACTGACCTCTGTGGCCAGACTGCAGCAGGCCCCTGCAGTTAGGCACAAGCTGTCAGGCCCCACTGCCACATGCATGCCCTTAGTCAACCCCAGCCCCTGCCTCTGACTCCACCCCTTGCCACCATTAATGAGCCTGCAACTAGCCTCTGCTGCCATGCTTGTGCCTACAGCCAGCCTCTGCAGCAGAGTGTGTGCACACCACTGACCCCAGCCTCCACTGCTGCGAGTCCTGGCCCCTAGATGCTAGGCAAGAGGCACAGCTGAGGTCCCAGAAAACTCTGTGGGAGGTTCACAGCCACTGTGGACCTCCCACAGCTGTTGCCACCAAGGACCATGCAGGTATCAACATCACAGCCCCCAGCTGCCTGTGCTAACAAGACTCTGTGTCCCTCCAACCTGGACCCACCACACGCACCCCCACCCACAGTTGGCACTCTGTGCCACTGGACCCAGTGCCAGAGAGCACCACTCTTCTCCCCAAAAAAAGCATTTGAAGTTAATGCTTCTTCAAATGCTTTTCTCAAGACTATAAAAATCATGAAGAATTGGAGAATCATGATAACACCAAAGGAAAACAATAAACTTCCATTAGCTGACTCCAAAGAATAGCAGATCCACTAATTGCCTGACAAAGAATTCACAATAATGGTTCTAAAGAATCTCAGTCAATTATAAAAGAACAGAGAAAACAATTTAACAAAATCAGGAAAACAATAGAACAACGAAAGAAGAGGCTAAACAAAGGCACTGAAAATATGAAAAAGAACCAAACAAACATTTTTGAGCTGAAGAATAACAATAAACAAAAAATACAATAGATGGCTTCAACAGCTGACTAGAAAAGCAGAAGAAAGAATAAGCAAATTCAAAGACATCATTTTAAATCATCCAGTCAGAGGAGAAAAAGAAAAAGAAATGAAGATAACCAAAGAAAGTCTACAATATCTATGGGAGGCCATCAAGAGAACACTTACATAACAAGATTTACAGAGGAGAAGAGAAAAGGACAAAGTTTATCTTTAAAAATAGCTGAATACTTCCCTAATCTGGAGAAAGATACAAACATCCAGGTACAAGAAGTTCAGAGGTCTCTAATAAAATTCAACCCAAAGAAGAGTTCATTGAGACATATTATAAACAAATTATTTAAAACTGAAGACAAAGAATTCTGAAAGCAGAAAGAGAAAAGCATATCACATATAAGGGAGCCCCAGTACAAGTATCGACACATTTCTCAACAGAAATCTTGCAGTCCAGGAGAGAGTAAGATGATATATTCAAAGTGCTGAAAAAAAATCTGACAACCAAGAATACTTTAAAAAGTATGTAGGCCGGGCAGGGTGGCTCATGCCTGTAATACCAGCACTTTGGGAAGCCAAGGCAGGCGGATCATGAGGCCAGGAGTTCAAGACCAGCCTGGCCAGTATAGGGTTTAGTAGAAACCCTGTCTCTACTAAGAATACAAAAATTGGCTGGGCATGGTGGCGCCCACCTGTAGTCCCAGCTACTTGGGAGGCTGAGGCAGGAGGATTGTTTGAACCCGGGAGGCAGAGGTTGCAGTGAGCTGAGATCACGCCACTGCACTCCAGCCTGAGTGACAGTGTGAGACTGTCTCAAAAAAAAAAAAAGAAAAAAGAAAAAAGAAAAAAAGCCACACCATTAGAACTGGTCTCATCTAACGCCCTTCAGTCATTTGATTTATACAAGTGATAAGGTTTGGGGCACAAAACTATTATCATATTACTATTAATTTTACTTTATATTTGCCCTTTTTAAAACTTTGTATCTGTCACTTGTTAAATTTTTACAGAAGTACAACTCCTAACAAAATAATGCTGGCCCAGCCAAACACTTTGAGATGATAACAAAAGACTATGGAACAGACAAAATTGAACTTCATAATGGACCTCAGATAGACTTAGCCTAAGAGATACCCCCTTCAAATGTCCCTTGTTGCTCAAATGTGGCTACAAGAGTTTGACACTGACTCCAAGTCACCCATCATTCCCCTCAATGTGACATGAGACCAGCAACTGGGACAGGCCCATCATGACATTGAGGGACAGGAAAACCCAAATATGAATGATTGATCAGTGATGCTTTTGGAGAAAGATCTTGATTAAAAGAGGAAATGTGAACGTTATCAGAATAAAATGGAGTCACTAATGTTAAGAAAGCCCTAGCAAATTGAGTCAAGGAAGGCCATAAAGAGAGGGTTCTCACACTTGTATGTCTGATTAGAAAAACAACTACAAAAACTATAACCACGCATAAAGGCCACTGCAACCTTACACACACAAAATATTCCTGCAGAAACATCTGCCCAACAAACGCCTATCCAATCTTGGACTGGTGTCACCCTTGTTATCGATCTCTGTAGTCAAGGAAAATTATTTCAAAACAATTATGTTATCCTCCTCATTTTTTTCCTTTAAAAACCTTTGTTGGCTGGGCGTGGTGGCTCAAGCCTGTAATCTCAGCACTTCGGGAGGCTGAGGTGGGCGGATCACCTGAGGTCGAAAGTTCGAGACCAGCCTGACCAACATGGAGAAACCCCGTCTCTACTAAAAATACAAAATTAGCCAGGCGTGGTGGCACATGCCTGTAATCCCAGCTACTCGGGAGGCTAAGGCAGGAGAATCGCTTGAACCTGGGATGTTCAATGCACTCCACCAGGTGAGAGAAAAGAATTTTAATATATACAACTGGAAAATGACTACATATCCAGAACATATAAAGAACTCCATAGAAAAAGATAGATCATCCAATATTTTTTTTAAAATGGGCAAAAATGAACTTGACCACACATTTTGCTTTAAACTATGACAATACAAGTATTTGCACGAGTGAGGTAATGAGAACTTCCATACACACATTTCATATACATACAATTATAAATTGGCACAGATACTATGGAAAGTAATTTGGCATCATCTGTGAAGTTGTAGATATATGTGGTAGATTGAATAAATACAGCCACAATATTTTGGAGCTCCTCCAATTAAGAGGTAAAGTCTATTTTTCACCTTTGGAATCTGGGGTAGCTTTTTTACTTCCTTCAACCAAGAAATGTAGCAGCAATGGAAGCAGTCCTATACTTCGCTTCAAGACACTTTGCTGAGTCTGCCTTTGTGCTCTGTGAGCTACCATGTGAAGAAGACCAAACTAGCCCCATGGAGAGGCCTCATGGAAGAGAGCAGCCCTTGCTGGCCAGCCAACTGACTACAAACAGGAGTGAACCCAGCCACCACCACTTAAAGAAGAGCAGTGCCGGCTGGGTGTGGTGGCTCACGCCTGTAATCCCAGCACTTTGGGAGGCCAAGGTGGGTGGATCACTTGAGGTCAGGAGTTTGAAACCATCCTGGTGAACATGGTGAAACCCCGTCTCTACTAAAAATACAAAAATCAGCTGGGTGTGGTGGTGGGTGCCTGTAATCCCAGCTACTCGGGAAGGTGAGGCGGGAGAATCGCTTGAACCCGGGAGGCGGAGGTTGCAGTGAGCCGAGATTGCACCATTACGCTCCAGCCTGGGTGACAAAAGCAAAGATCTGTCTCAAAAAAAAAAAAAAAAAAGAAGAAGAAGAGCAGTGAGCAGCGCCGTCCCTGCTGGGCTCAGCCCCCAGCCAACCCTCCAGCTAAATGCAGCCATGTCAGTGAACCCATACAAGCCCAGCAGAAGAGCTTTCCAGCCAACCCGCAGAATCATGAGATAAATCATTGTTGTTTTAATCCATTTACTTCCAGAGTGATTTGTTACCCAAGAATAGACAACTATGCCCCAACAATCTAACTCATATCCCAGAAAAATGTGCACATATGTAGTACATCAGGAACATGCATAAGAATGTTTGCAGCAACATTGTTTTAATAGCATAAAACTGGAAAGACTCCAAATGTTATCAATAGTTGAATGGATTTTTAAAAACTGTGGTATATTCATATACTGAAACATTATACAGCATTTTAAAAGCACAGATTAGGCCTGGCGTGGTGGCTCACGTCTGTAATCCCAGCACTTTGGGAGGCCGAGGCGGGCGGATCACGAGGTCAGAAGATCGAGACCGTCCTGGCTAACACGGTGAAACCCTGTCTCTGCTAAAAATACAAAAAATTAGCCAGGCATGGTCGTGGGCACCTGTAATCCCAGCTACTTGGGAGGCTGAGGCAAGAGAATGGTGTGAACCCAGGAGGCAGAGGTTGCAGTGAGCCGAGATCACACCACTGCACTCCAGCCTGGGCAACAGAGCGAGAGTCTGTCTCAAAAAAAAAAAGAAAAAGAAAGAGCACAGATTAAAGTTATACACAATATGGATAAATATTGCAAACATGTTGGATGAGAAAAAGAAAGCACAAAAGTAAGCAAAGAGAATGTATATATGAGGGAACAAATAACTAAACATATTGCTTTATATAAGTGGACAAATTATATTGCTTAGCTATGCATACATAGATGATAGAATATAAAGAAAAACATTAATCACTATCCTTAGTTCTTTGTTTTTTTTTTTTCTTTTTTTTTTTTTTGAGAGAGAGTCTCACTCTGTTGCCCAGGTGGAATGCAGTGGCACAATCTCAGCTCACTGCAGCCTCCACCTCCCAGGTTCAAGCAATTCTCCTGCTTTGGCCTCCTGAGTAGCTGGGACTACAGGTGTGTGCCACCACGCCCGGCTAATTTTTGTATTTGTTAGTAGAGATGGGGTTTCACCATATTGGCCAGGCTGGTCTCAAACTCCTGACCTCGTGATCCATCTGCCTCAGCCTCCCAAAGTGCTGGGATTATAGGCATGAGCCACCGCACCCGGCTTGTTTTTCTTTACATTTGATCATCTATGTATGCGTATCTACTAAGCAATATAGTAACCACTATCCTGACTTTTATGATGGTTACCTCTGGGAGGCAGTAAAGAGATTATGATTAGAAAAAGATACACAGAGAGCATCTAGGGTTATTCTAGTTCTTAATACAGGTGATGTTTACTTCACGGTTCGTTACACAGTGCATTGTTTTATACACTTTTTTTTTTTTTTTGTTAGAGGAAGGGTCTCGCCCAGCTGATTTCAAACTCCTGGGTTCAAGCAATCCTCCCACCTCAGCCTCCCTAAGAGCTGGCATTACAGGCGTGAGCCACTGCTCCCGGCCTTGTTTTATGCATTTTTCCATATGTAGGTAATAGCTCATAATAAAAGGTTTTTTTGAAAATACACAAAAAAACTACCATTACACTCCCACCAGACTGGAAACAATTTAAAAGTCCAACCAAGTTTAATCAAGTGTTGTGCAAAAAGTAGAACAAATGGAAGTCTCACACATCCCTGATGGGAGGGCAATGCATTACGCCACTTTGAAAACCAGACAATATATGATAAAATTGAAGGGGAGCACACCCTACTCAGCAATTCCTTTCCTAACTATATGCTGTCAAGAACTCTTGCACACGCACACATGTATATTCCCAGGCATCTTCTAGAAGAAAATGGTGGTTATTTGTGAGGGTTAGGGTTACTAGGAGAGGTCGGGCGCGGTGGCTCACGCCTGTAATCCCAGCTCTTTGGGAGGCAGAGGCAGGAGGATGGCTTGAGCCCAGGAGTTCAAGACCTGCCTGAGCAATATAGTGGGACCCTGTTCTCAAAAATTTAAATTAAAAAAAAAAAATCTGCTGGGAGAGAGAGGAAGAGGAGGAGGAAGCAAAAAAAAAGAAAAAGAAAAAAAAGAAAAAGAAAAAAAAAAGATTACTGGGAGAAATTCAACTCAGGGTTGCCTCCTCTGGAAGGCCCCATCTGACTAGTCCAGACAGAATTAATGGCTCTGTCTCCTGTCCTCACCCATCACTTCAGTTACCAGTTAGCACAAGTTTTTGGCTGTCTCATTCTCCTTTCCTTCCCCCTCCAAAATTGAAAACTTAATGAAACAAGGACTGTGGTCTGATTCACCTGTCCAAGTCTCTGTTGTATAGAAAGAACACTTCCTAAATGTCTGTCTGATGGATGTTTTTGGAATTAATGCCTAAAAATAAGAAAAATAAGAAACAGGGGTGATCAGACAATCAAGGTTCTAGTACAGAGAATCCTTTTGGAGTTTCTGCTAGATTGACAGAAATCCCCAATTCAGGAGTTAACAGTTAAGAATGGGGGCCTTAGGGCGCGGTGGCTCACGCCTGTAATCGCAGCACTTTGGGAGGCTGAGGCGGGCGGATTATGAGGTCGGGAGATCGAGACCATCCTGGCTAACATGGTGAAACCCTGTCTTTACTAAAAATACAAAAAAATTAGCCGGGCCTGGTGATGGGCACCTGTAGTCCCAGCTACTCAGGAGGCTGAGGCAGGAGAATGGCTTGAACCCAGGAGGCAGAGCTTGCAGTGAGCCAAGTTCGCGCCACTGCACTCCAGCCTGGGTGAAAGAGCGAGACTCCATCTCAAAAAATAAAAATAAAATAAAATAATGGGGGCCTTCTACTTCTCCATTTTTCCAAGGATGGCCTTGGAAGTCTCTGTGTGGTATGGTCTTGGATGGTATTTTGTTGTGTATCTGGGATTAGAGAAGCCTTCAATGTTTGCAATTTTTAGTACATCCCTGTTAGCATATCCACTCTGAGGTGGATAGCTGGCAATCTCTGAGTTTGAAGATTTATTTCTAGGGTGACAAAAGGCTCTGAGAAGGATAATATATGATAGGAGATTCTATTGTCTCCATTTTTAGCTATGGGGAAGGTAGAGGGCTTGCAAGTGCACCCAAGGTTGAAATGTGTGAACATGGGTCTTTGCAGCACCTTTAAGGTTAGGGTCTCAGGGTTTTAAAGTTCCCTGGAGCTGAGACCCTTAACAAAGGGGCCGGCCTTACCTCTCACAGCAGCGATGTGTGATGACTGTCGCCCAGAAGCCCAGGACACAGAAGTTGAAAGATGTGAAAACCAACAAAGTGAGCAGGTTTATCACAGACACGAGAAAGGCATCACTGAGACAGTTGTTGGACTGGGGCATGTAGGAGGCTAAGGAGGCAACGGAGCCAAGGCCTATGCCTGTGTTAGACAAAACTTGACCCCCTGCTAGAGACCACACACTCATATTGTACACATCCGATATCTAAAAGAGAGAAGACAAGCATAAGGGGGTTGTAAAAGAAGAAGCAGAGGACAACTATAATAGAAATGTTGCAGGGAGGAGAGAGGGAGATACAAAAGTAAAGAATGGGGAAAGGAAGCTCTAAGAATAGGCAGCTGTGGTGCCCTACAAGGCCTGACGGGGGAGTGAGGAGATAGATTTCACCTTGGCAACCACCAACTGTTGAAGGCCAAATTTTGCCCCTTCCAGGAGTAGAGTCCGGATGAAGAAACCGACAATGATGAAACAGGGGAGCAGTACCAAGACATAGATTACCTGAATCGAGAGTGGGACATATCAGCAACCGTGTACCAGTAGGGGTCAACCAACAGTTAGGAGGGATCAAAAGTTCTGAGTCAGAAATGAGTAGGAGTTAGAAGAAAGCCTTCAGCAAGAGTCAGGGGCTAGGGGAGTAAAAGCCAAAGGAGTAAGAGATTAGGAGATCAACAAGTAACAAATTGAGGTAAGGGCTAAAGCATCTGAGAATTTCAAGGAATCCAATACTGGTGGCTCACCTTCCCAGTGGACTTGAGCCCATTGATCATGAAAGCACCAACAAGACACCAGCAAAGAAAGAAGGGCAGGACCAGACTGTAGACTGGTGACCCGCCATCCTCGATTCTGTCTGAGGCCTTCAAGGCCTGCTGGTACCAGAAGTATATGGAGGGTGTTGTCCGTTCACATTCAGGATCTGGGGGGACCTGGCTTTAGACATGCCTGCTAGACAAGGTACCCCCTCTTCTTCCTTATCCCCTCCCCCACCTCCCTTTTCTCTTTCCCTCTCCCATTTCTTTTTCCTTCTTCTTCCTCTTCCTTGTCCCTCCCCACTCTCTCCTATTCCAAATTCCCTTCTACTTCTACTTCTCCATTTTTCCCTTCTCCTCTTCTTTCACTTCCTCCTCACCAAAGCCACTAGAGTTCATCGTTAAGGGACATTTCTCCCATGGAACGGGAAACTGGAAGGACTGGCTCATGTAGAAGATGATCCAGGAATTGACCACATTGAAGTACAGGCCGAGGATGAAGCACACCTGGGGGCCAAGGAGGATATGGCTGGGGAGGAAGAGCAGGGACAGGAAAAGGGAGGGGATTTGACAGAGGATTGGGGAACCAAAGGGATCTGACCCATGGAGGTATTCACAGGGCGCATTTCAGGAGGAGGGTTGGGATGGCGGTGGGGTGTAAAAGTCAGGCCTGGGCAGCCATGGGCTCCTCACCATGAAGCTAGAATACCCCACACCACCAATCCAGGGGGCAATGATCTTCCATACACCCATGCCACCCTGACGCATGCTCTGACCAGCTGCCATCTCCAGGAAGAGAAGAGGAACCCCGACCAGGAACAGCATGAAGATGTAGATGGCAGCGAAACTGCCTGTGAAGAAGATTCAGAAGGGACTCTGAGAACCATGTGGCCTTTCAGTGCCTGGACTCCAGGAGCCCAGGAAAACATTCTCCCTACCAGCGACCTCTTCCAGGGCCACAGGCATCAGGGCTCACCCATGTCTACATCCCTCACGGTCCCAAGTGTCCAGTCCTCTGGCCCCCAAATCCTGGAAGACCCAAGTACCTAGTTTCCAGCCCATCTTGGGCCCAGGCCTCCAGCTTTGCCATCCCCATGTTCAGATACCCTGAACCTCTCATGATCCTAAGTGTCCAGGGACCTGGCTCCTATCCTGCTCAGAGCACCAGGTCTTTAGTCTCTACATATCTCAGAAACATTCATGGTTAAAGCCTGGACAGGACTCTGTCCTGATTGCCCCTTGTGGACCCAGGTTTCCTGGTCCCCAGACTTACAGCCTCCACTGTTAAGCCACAGGTAGGCAAAGCGCCAGAGACAAGATGGCTTCATAGAGAAGCCCACCTGAGCCAGAATATACTCAGTTTTGCTGGACCAGAACGGACGGGCAAGGAGGACCTCACTCTCTTTCTTCTCTGTCATCTGCACCTTCTCATGCGTGGGTTTCTGGTTCAGGGCTGAGGCAGTTAACGCCTCCAATACAGAAATTTGCTTGGGCTGACTGGTCCTGGCCTGAGCCTCTGCAACCCGGGCTGCTGAAACTTGGGCCTCTGAGGTCCAAGATGTTGCAGACCGGGTCAATGAACCCTTGTCTTCCCACGTTTGACTTCCTGGGACACTGTCAGAAATCACTGTGCCAGTCCATGAGGTGTTTGCCAGCAAGGATGTCGAAGGCTGGGCCTCTGTCTTCATCTCACACAGACTCTCTGGGGCAGCTCCCGCTTCTGCAAGGGAGGGTTCATCTTCCTGAGGAGACCTGAAGGACACCAAAATCTGTAGATTTTAGATTTTAGAGTCAAGTAACTACTGAGTTACAAAACAATCCTCAACATCTCCTTAAAGCAAATTTTATACCACCACTGACATTTAAAGCACAAAAAAATCTCTTGCATAAGTTTCACTTCTTAGAAATGTTTTCACGTGGTGGCTCACGCTGTAATCCCAGCACTTTGGGAGGCCGAGGAAGATGGATCACCTGAGGTCAGGAGTTCGAGACCAGCCCGGCCAACATGGTGAAACCCCGTCTCTACTAAAAATACAAAAATTAGCTGTGTATAGTGGCAGGCACCTGTAATCCCAGCTACTCGGGAGGCTGAGGCAGGAGAATCGCTTGAACCCAGGAGGCGTAGGTTGCAGTGAGCCGAGATCAGGCCACTGCACTCCAGCTTGGGAGACAGAGTAAGGCTCCATCTCAAAAAAAAAAGAAAAAAAAAAAAGAAATGTTTTCTTGTACAGGATAGGGATAGAGACAGACATACCCAAGAGTCAGGAATCCCTGAAATCAAAGGATTTCTTTTTTTTTTTTCCAGCTACTGGGTTCAAGCGATTCTCCTGACTCAGCCTCCCAAGTAGCTGGGATTACAGGCGCCCACTACCACACCTGACTAATTTTTGTATTTTTAGTAGAGCCAGGTTGGTCTTGAACTCCTGACCTCAAGTGATCCGCCCACCTCAGCCTCCCAAAGTGCTGGAATTACAGGTGTGAGCCACTGCACCCAGCCTGAAATAAAAGGATTTCTAAGAACACTGAAGTACTATTTACAGAGGGCTTCTGAATTTAAAAACAAAACTAAACTAAACTAAACTAATTTAATACTAAATCTGCCTTGTAACCTTAGAAAAGTTACTTTACCTTTCTGAGCTTTCTAATCTGTAAAACACTCAGATCTCTGCTCAAATATAGCCTCACCAGAGATGCCTTCCCTGTCCACCTATCTAAAATAGCAGCTACCTACCCACAACTCTCTTTACTTCATGGCATTTCTCATCTCCTGACTTTATTATCTATTGATTGTTAATTTATTCATTGTCCATCTCTGCCTACTGCTCTATCTCCAGCAAAAGGATGGTGTTCTACCTCACATCTAGGGCTATTCTCCTCCTTATTCTCCAAGTTCCCGCCACTCTGAACTTCTGTTGGCTCTTCAAATACAAGAGAAAAGGCAAGGAGTGTGCTGAAAAAAAAAAAGTTACATGAAAGAGAGGAAGAGAGAGGGGAAACTGGAGTTTTCTTTCAGTGGGGGAAGGAGCATGCTTTCCAAAAGCAGAGGCAGTAGATGGGCTTCAAGGCAGCACTGGCACATTTGGGTGACATGGATAACTGCTTGTGAGACACAGCTTCCAAAGAGCTCTTTGTTACACAAGAAAATGCTTATAATTCAATTACAGGTTAAAAACATAAGACTAAGATACAAATTTCTATCTTTAGTTCTATCTCTACTACATTTAAAAATGCAATGAAAGGCTGAAAGGAAATACATCAATATACAGAAGATGATCAGGCCAGGCGCAGTGGCTCACGCCTGTAATCTGAGCTACTCAGGAGGCTGAGGCAGGAGGATCGTTTGAACACAGGAGGCGGAGGTTGCAATGAGCCGAGATCGCACGACTGCACTCCAGCCTGGGCAACCCTGTCTCAAAAAAAAAAAAAAAAAAAAAAAGACGATGATGGCTACAAATATGTTTATATCCTTATCCCTGCTTTTACATTAAATTTTTTAAAATCTTGTATTACTTTTTTTTCAGACACAGGTTCTCACTCTGTCACCCAGGCTGGAATGCAGTGGCATGATCCACAGTTCACTGCAGCCTTGAACTCCTGGGTTCAAAGGATCCTCTCACCTTATCCTCCAAAGTACCTAGGACTATAGGCATGTGCCACCATACTCAGCTAATTTTTAAAAGTTTTTTTCAAGATGGGAGTCTCACTATGATGCTCAGGCTGGCCTCGAACTCCTGTGCTCAAGTGAGTCTCCGGTCTCAGCCTCCAGAGTAGGTGGCATTACAGGCACAAGCCACCATTCCCCACTCACCTGTATTACTTTAATAATCAATAAAAATACGGCCAGGCATGGTGATTCATGCCTGTAATCCCAGTACTTTGGGAGGCCAAGGCAGGCGGATCACTTGAGGTCAGGAGTTTGAGACCAGCCTGGCCAACATGGCAAAACCCTATCTCTACTAAAAATGCAAAAAAAAAAAAAAAAAAAAAATAGCCGGACATGGTGGCAGGCACCTGTAATCCTAGTTACTAGGGAGGCTGACTTAGGAGAATCACTTGAATCGGGAGGCAGAGGTTACAGTAAGCCAAGATCATACCACTGTACTCCAGCCTAGGTGACAGAGTAAGACTCTGTCTCAAAAAAATAATAATAATCAGCCGGGCACAGTGGCTCACGCCTGTAATCCCAACACTTTGGGAGGCCGAGGTGGGTGGATCACCTGAGGTCAGGAGATCGAGACCATCCTGGCTAACACGGTGAAACCCCATCTCTACTAAAAGTACAAAAAATTAGCCAGGCACAGTGGCGGGCGCCTGTAGTCCCAGCTACTCAGGAGGCTGAAGCAGGAGAATGGCGTGAACCTGGGAAGCGGAGTTTGCAGTGAGCTGAGATCACGCCACTACACTCCAGCCTGGGCAACAGAGTGAGACTCCGTCTCAAAAAAAAAAAAATCATAATCATAATCATAATCATAATCAAGAAAAAATATGTATTGATAAGTGAAAATAAAAAGATCATAATGGACAAAGAAATCCAATTGAAGAAGCTCTCATCAGCGAAATCTGGACAAATCAGAACATCAAAATAAAGAATAGTAACAGATGAGAACCAACAGACTAAAACAAGAATCCATGAATCCACAGGGATACAACTCAGGAAAAGGAAAACCTCTTCCTTATAGTAGAATACAAACTAATAAATGTACAAGGAACGATGAATTAGAAGGTCACTGCTTATCATAAACTAATCAAGTTGTACACATGAAATATGTACAGTTTTTTACTTGTCAATCATCCCTCAATAAATATGTCTTTTTAACAAATCATTGTTTGGAAATTACCAGAGTAATAACTGACACAAGCAAGAATCATCAATGGTTGCTAAAACAAGATGATGAAAATTTGATGGGGACAGGATAATTGCATAGTATTACTGTATCTCCCCACAAGATATTCCCCCCAAAAAAACCCAAGAAACTAGTATCTTTAGAGTATTACACACTACCTAAACCAATAATAGTCACCTGATATCATATAACTCCTGATACAATGCATTAAGAGCACAACATCATTTCTGTGGGATTCCTGCCAAAAACATGTAACAAAACTCCAATCGTGAGGAAACACCAGAAAACAAATCTAAATTGAAGTACATTCTGTAAAATAGCTGGCCTGTGCTCAGTAAAAATGTCACAGTCAATAAAGACAAGGAAAGATGGAAGTGTTGTAAGTCTGAAATTATGTCAAAATTTTGTTAAATTTTTTAAACTTCCAAGCACCTGCCACTCCTACAATTCACCATCAAAACAAAAGGAAGTTTCTTCTAAGATAGCCACATGAACACCAATCTCCAAACTTACCCACAATCTCCCCCTACCCAACAAAAAAAAAAACCAATGATTTTAAAATATTACAAATATGGGGATATCTGCATCATTTCTGAAAAATAGGTTCCATCCTCATGTCAAAAACAGAGAAACTTCTGCTACATAAACAAGAAACAGGACCAAACTGTAATCACTGAGGAGTCAGTTCACATCTCTTTTTCCTGATGAAGTGGTTCAGTGTTTCAGGAAGTAAGTAAATACTTTCCCAGCAACTTGTGGGAAATAAAAACAATCACTTGCCAAAGACCTTCTGCTCCAGTGAACCAACAGCTTCCAGAAGCTGTATGCCAGAGAATGCAACAGCAGGTGGGCCACTCCTCTGTTATTGGATTTATTGGAGTTATTGGTGGGTTGATGGGCGTCTCCCTGAGACAAATGATGCTTCCATAACATTAAGAGAGAAGCAGAAAATCATGCAGGGAAGAAAAGGCTGAAGAAAAAATTAGGTACAAAAATCCAGCCTTTGGGGCTGGTCATGGTGGCTCATGCCTGTAATCCCAGCCCTTTGGGAGGCTGAGGCAGGAGATGTTTTATGTAAGCTTCGTGGTAACTACAAAGCAAAAAACTCAGTAGAGATGATTCAAAGCATACCACTAGAGAAAATCAATATAATTAGTCACATTGATATAATAAAGAAGAAAAATATTATCATCTCAAGAGATATAGGAAAAACATACAATACAATGATGATTTACGGAGAAAAACTTTTAGCAAACCAGGAATAATTTCCCTAACCTGATAAATGGTGTCTCTCAAAAAAAAAAGATTATACTTAATAGTGAACATATGCTTAAACATAGGCACATATTTAATAATGAAGTGAAGAAAGCTTGCCTTTTGAAATCAAGAACAATCAATGAAACCAGCTATCAGCACTTCCTTCCCATTGCATTAAATATTTTAGACAACACAGGAAAGCAAGGGGAATAAAAGACAAAGATTAAACAAAACTCACTATTCACAGATGATATATCTATGTGGAAGATCCAGAATACTACAGATAAATTATTTAAATTAATAAGATAATTTAGCAAGATTGTTGGATGCAAACAGCAATAAATGAAAATTATTTATATGTCTATGCTTGCAATACATAATTAGAAAATAAAATTTTAAAATAATAATGCCACTTATAAAATAATTTTTTAAATATAGAGTAAAATCCTGGGAAGGTAATGGCAATAACAGCAACATTGTTTTAAAATCTTCCCAAATACTCACATGAAAACAAGTAGTTCTACTAGATTGCAAGCCCAAAATCCATGGATAATATTTACAATATCAAGATAAACCCCAAAAGACAAGTCTATGAGAACAAACCACAAGAGCCACAGACCTGTATAGAATCAGCATCTGTGTGGGAGGAAACAAAGGAAGCAAGAGAGCATCTGACAGACCTGGGGATGGGGGACAGGGAAACCAGTCTCTCAAAATAATCAACAGGTACTCACCAGAAATCATGGGAAGGCTATTAGAGAACAGCAGCTAAAACTAGAAGATGTCTTGCCTAATCCAATAACAGTTGAGTGCATGGAGTCAACAATAGAAACTGAAGGGACCAGGGCAGACTAGATTCTATGAACTCTTAAAATTAACCAACCAGGGATCTTTTCCAACCCAGAGGCCACAATGAGGAGAAATTCCTGTGAGTAAAGCCAAATTGAGCAATACAAGAACAAGAATGATGAAGGATAGGCCAGACACAGTGGCTCATGCCTGTAATCCTAGTACTTTGGGAGGCCAAGGCAGGAGGATCACTTGAGGCCAGGAATTCAAGATAAGCCTTGACAATGCAGTGAAAACCCATCTCTACCAAAAAAAAAAAAAAAAAATTAAAATTAAAATTAGCCAGGCATAGTGGGACACGCCAGTGGTCCCAGCTATTTGGGAGGCTAAGTGGAGAGGATCGCTTGAGCCCAGGAGTTCAAGGTTGCAGTGGGCTATGATCACACCACTGAACTCCAGCCTGAGCAACAGAGTGGGACCTCATTCTCTAAAAAAATAAAATAAAATAGGCCAGGTGCAGTGGTTCATGCCCGTAATCCCAGCACTTTGAGAAGCCAAGGCAGGAGGATCACTTGAAGTCAGGAGTTTAAGACAAGCCTGGCCAATATGGTGAAACCCCATCTCTACCAAAAAATACAAAAATTAGCCAGGCATGGTGGGACACACCTGTAGCCCCAGCTACTCGGAAGGCTGAGGTGAGATAATTACTTGAATCCAGGAGGGGGAGGTTGCAGTGAGCCAAGATTGCACCACTGCACTCCAGCTTGGGCAACAGAGTAAGACCCTATCTCAAAAATAATAACAATAATAATAAAATAAAATTAATTAATTAAAAGATAATTTTAAGAAAACATAGAAATGAAGGATATACAGGATCCAGATAAAAATGGGGAGAAGAAATTTCCACTTTTGACCATGAAAGCAAAACAGTGTCTGGAGTTACCTCCACAAAAACACTACAAAACTGTACAAATAGGCCAGGCGCCGTGGCTCACGCCTGTAATCCTAGCACTTTAGGAGGCCGAGGCGGGCGGACCACGAGGTCAGGAGATCAAGACCATCCTGGCTAACATGGTGAAACCCCATCTCTACTAAAAATACAAAAAATTAGCCGGGCATGGTGGCGGGCGCCTGTAGTCCCAGCTACTCGGGAGGCTGTGGCAGGAGAATGGCGTGAACCCAGGAGGTGGGGCTTGCAGTGAGCAGAGATCGCACCACTGCACTCCAGCCAGGGCAACACAGCGAGACTCCGTCTCAAAAAAAAAAAACTGTACAAATAATTAAAACAACTATTTTCACATATTAAACAAAGGCAGTACAGCATTGCAATCTCTAAAAAAAGGCCAGAAAACAAGGTAACTAATTGCACGATTGCCCCATTTTTCTGCTAATTTCCAAACTTTGGCACAGGAGGAAGAATACAAACAGAGCCTGGCAGTCTCAGCACTTGAGGAGGCAAAAGTCAGTTCAGGAAGGCTTAGGTGACTAGAATTAGCTGGGCTAAGTACTCAACAGAAGGGAGCCACAGAGAAAGAGCTCTAGGAATCTGGATAAAGTACCTTCGAGCCATTAGCTAAATATCAACCTGCACATGTATAGTATGAAACCTCATAAGAACAGGCAAAGAATAAATTCCAAGGAAAGAAAAGTACTGGGGAACTACAGGTAAAACAATTCCTAGAACTTGGAGAAGAACAAGAATTACTCAAGTTTCCATCAGCCAGTGTGGAGAGACTTTACTGAATACTTGGAACATTTAAAGTGGCATAAACTAGCTCTAGTTCTAGTAGTAGGACTACTTTAGACCTGAAAAAAAAAAATTCTTAAAAGCAACCCTTAAACAGCCAAAACTGATCTTCAAGTAACTTAACTGCCTGTCACAACAAAGGCCAACATTCCTTAAGATAATACAGACAAACCTAGCACTGAACAACAAAAAATTCATAATGTCAACCATCTAGTCAAAAATTACTAGACATGCAAAAAAGCAGGAAAAGTGACCCATAATCAGACAACAAAAACAGAAATGATAGACTAATGGAATTAACACACCATAACACTAAAATAGCTGTTACAAATATGCTTAATATGGTCAAGGACTTAAAAGGAAAACATGAACAGAATGAGGAATATAAGATAGCTAGATAGCTAGCTAGCTAGACAGACAGATAGATATTTTCTCTTTTGAGACAGAGTCTCACTCTGTTGCCCACACTGATCTCAGCTCACTGCAGCCTCTGCCTCCAAGTTTCAAGCAATTCTCCTTCCTCAGCCTCCCAAGTAGCTGGAATTACAGGTGTGCACCACCACAACTGGCTATTTTTTTTTTTTTTTTTTTTTTTTAGTAGAGACAGGGTTTTGCCATGTTGGCCAGGCTGGTCTCGAACTCCTGATCTCATGTGATCCAGCTACCATGGCCTCCCAAAGTGCTGGGATTACAGGCATGAGCCTCCATGCCTAGCCATGATATATTTTAAACATCAAATAGAACTTCTAGAGATGATACAACACCTGAAATGAAAATTTCACTGAAGATTACTGGCAGATTTTAATAAATCAGTGAACTTAAAGATATAGCAATAGAAACAATCCAAAATGAAGCACAAAGAAAAAAAAAAGACTGAAAACAATTACCAGAGCATTAGTGACTGTGAGACAATATCAAATGGCCTAAAATGTGTAACTGGAGGTCCAAAATAAAGGGAGGATGGGAAAATGAAACCAGGCCAATTTTCCAACAAGCCAGATGCCCATAGAACTGAAGCTTGAGAAACTTACATTTGTACAATGAGATGAACCTGCTGTATGTTGACCAAGTACTCTTCTTTACTCCTCCCTAATTCCTTCATATATGTGTGTGTGTATATATATATATTTGTATATACATATAAATACATATACATATACATATGTGTATATGTGTATATGTATATACATATACTTATACATATATGTGTATATGTGTATATGTATATACATATACCTATACGATATATACATATACATATATATATCAAGAAAAGACTCACATAATTGAAAGGATAAAAGGACAGTTCTACAATAATAACTGGAGACTTTAATACCCCACTACGAACAATGGACAGAAGCAGCAGACAGAAGATAAGCAAGGAAATAGAGGACTTAACACAATAAACCAACCAGATCTAACAGATGTATTCAGAACACTCTAGCCAACAGCAGCAGAATACACATTCTTCTCAAGTGCACATGGGACATTTTCCAGGAGAGACCACAAATTTGTAGGCCACAAATTTCCTTTTTTTCTCAATAGAATTAGAATGATAAATATCATACAAAATATCTTCTCCAGCCACAATAGGATGAAGTTAGAAATGAATCACAAAAGTAAAATTGAAAATTTTACAAATTTGTAGAAATTAAACAACACACTCTTAAACAACCAATGGATCAAAGAATAAACTACAAGGGGAGTTAGAAAATACTTACAGATAAATGAAAACGAAAACACACATACTAAAATTTATGGGAGGCAACAAAAGCAATGCCAAGGGGGAAATTTATAACTATCAATGGTTACATTAAAAAACAAAAAAGAGGCCGGATGCAGTGGCTCACGCCTGTAATCCCAGCACTTTGGGAGGCTGAGGTGGGTGGATCATTTGAGGTCAGGAGTTCAAGACCAGCTTGACCTACATAGTGAAACCCCATCTCTATTAAAATACAAAAATTAGCTAGGCATGGTGGTGGGCGCCTGTAATCCCAGCTACTCAGGAGGCTGAGGCAGGAGAATCGCTTGAACCTAGGAGGCGGAGGTTGCAGTGAGCCGAGATCACACCACTGCACTCCAGCCTGGGCAACAGAGCAAGACTCCCTCTAAAAACAAACAAACAAACAAACAAAAAAAAACCAGATCTTGAATCAATAACCTAACTCTAAAACTTAAGAAACTAGAAAAGCAAACTAAACCCAAAGCTAGCAGAAGAAAATAATAAAAATTAAAGCAGAAATGAATAGAGAATAGAAAAACAATAGAGAAGCCAAAAGTTGTTTCTTTAAAAATATCAACAAAATTGACAAACCTTTAACTAGATGTACTAAGAAAAAAAGAGAAGACTCAAATGATTAAAACCAGAAATGAAAATGGGGACATTATTACCAATTCTACAGAAATAGAAGGATTATAAGAGAGTACTATGAACTTATGAACAACTGTACACCAATAAACTGGATAACCTAGATTAAATGGACAAATTCCTAGAAATACAAATCTACTAAGACTAAATCACAAACAGAAAATCTGAATAGATCTATAACTAGTAAGGAGATTGAATTGGTAATCAAAAATCTCTCAACAAAGAAAAGCTCTGGACCTGATGGCTTCATGGGTGAATTCTACTAAACCTTTAATGAATTAATATCAATCCTTCTCAAACTTTTCCAAAAAATTGGAGAGGAGGGAACACTTCCTCATTCATCCTATAAGGCCAACATTGCCCTAATACCAGAGCCATACAAAGACATTATAAGAAAAGAACACTACAGACCTATATTCATTATGAACTTTGATGCAAAAATCCTCAAAAAAAATACTACCAAACCTAATTCAGCAGCATATTAAAAGGATTATATACCATGACCAAGTGGGATTTATTCCTGGAATGCAAGGATGGTTCTGCATACAAAAATCAATCAATATAATATACCACATTAACAAAATGAAAGAAAAATAATGATTCTCTCAACTGATGCAGAAAAAACATTTGACAAAACTCAATACCCTTTCATGATAAAAAAAAAAAAAAAAACTCAACAATCTAGGAGTTAAAGGAAAATACGGCTGGGCATGGTGACTCATGCCTGTAATCCCAACACTTTGGGAGGCCTGATGACCACTTGAACCCAGGAGTTCAAGACCAGCCTGGGGCCAGGTGCAGTGGCTCACATCTGTAATCCCAGCACTTTGGGAGGCCAAGGCGGGTGGATCACCTGAGGTCAGGAGTTCAAGACCAGCCTGGCTAACATGGTGAAACCTGATCTCTACTAAAAATACAAAAATTAGTCAGATGTGGTGGTGTGCACCTGTAGTCCCAGCTACTTGGGAGGCTAAGGCTGGAGAATCGCTTGAACCTGGGAGGCAGAGGTTGCAGTGAGCCAAGATCATACCACTGCACTCCAGCCTGGGTGACAGAGCAAGACTCCATCTCAAAAACAAACAAACAAACAAACAAACAAAATTTTTAATTACCTGGGTGTGTTGATGTACTTCTGTAGTCCTAGCTACTCATGAGGCTGAGATGGGAGAATCACTTCAGCCCAGGAGGTCAACGCTACAGTGAGCCATGATGACACCACTACACTCCAGCCTGGGTCACAAAGTGACACCATGTCTCAGCAAAAAAAAAAAAAGGAAAATATCCCAACATAATAGCCATATACGAAAAACTCACAGCAAATGTCATACTTAATGATAAAAGACTGTAAGCTTTTCCTCTAAGATTAGAAACAAGCGTAGAATGTCTAATTTTGCCACTTTTATTCAACATAGTACTGGAAGTCCTAGCCAGAGAAATTAGGCAAAAATATAAATAAATAAAAGGAAACCAAACTAGAAAGATTATATGATCTTATACGTAGAAAATCCTAAAATTTTCACCAAAAAAATTTTTGAGCTAATAAATGAATTCAGCAAAGTAGCAGGATACAAAGTCAACAATCAAAACTCAGTTGCATTTTTATACACTAACAATGAACAATCTGAAAAGAAAATTATGAAAACAATTCCATTTGTAATAGCATCAGAAAGAATAAAATACTTAAGAATTAACTTGGCTGGGCACGGTGGCTCAAGCCTGTAATCCCAGCACTTTGGGAGGCCAAAGTGGGCAGATCACCTGAGGTCAGGAGTTCGAGACCAGCCTGACGAACATGGAGAAAACCCGTTTCCATTACCAAGTTACCCAGGCATGGTGGCACATGCCTGTAATCCCAGCTACTCAGGAGGCTGAGGCAGGAGAATCACTTGAACCTGGGAGGCAGAGGTTGCAGTGAGCCGAGATTGCACCATTGCACTCCAACCTGGGCAACAAGAGTGAAACTCCATCTCAAAAAAAAAAAAAAAAAGAATTAACCAAGAAGGTGAAAGACATGTACAAAGAAAACTACAAAACATTGCTGAAAAAAATTAAAGGAGACATAAATAAATGGAAAAATATCCCATGTTCATGGGTTGGAAGACAACACTGTTAAGATGTCAGTATTACCCAAAGCAATCTACAGAATTAGTAGCTTTTTTTTTTTTTTTTTTTTTTTTTTTTTTTTTTTTTTTTTTTTTGCAGAAATAGAAAAACACGTCCTAAAACTAACATGAAATCTCAAGGGACCCTGAACAGCCAAAATAATCTTGAAAAAGAAGAAAAACGCTGGTGTACTCACATTTCCTGATTTCAAAACATATTACAAAGCTATAGTAATCAAAATAGTGTGTTACTCACATAAAGATACAGACCAAGGGAACAGAATAGAGGGCCCAGAAACAATGTATGGAAAAATGATTTTTTACAAGGGTGCCAAGACTACTCAATGAGTAAAGGACAGTCTTTTCAACAAATGGTGCTGGGAAAACTGGATTATGTACAGGCAAAAGAGTAAAGATGGACTCTTACCTAACACCACATACAAATACACAAAATAAATCAAAGACCTAAATGTAACACTTAAAATTATAAAATTCTTAGAATAAAACATACGACAAAAGCTTCATGATAGTGGATCTGCAATGAATTCTTGGATATGATACCAAAGGCAAAAGCAACAAAAGAAGAAACAAACAGGATTTCATTAAAATGTTTTAAATTTGTGCATCAAGAGACACTATCAAAGGGGTGAAAAGATAACCCACAGAATGGGAGGAAATATCTGAAAATCATATGTATAATAAGAGATTAATATTCAGAATATATAGAGAACTCGTAAAACTCAACAACAAAGAAACAAACAACACAATTCAAAAATGGGCAAAAGACTTAAATAGACATTTCTCCAAGGAAGATATACCAATCTCCAAGAAGTACATGAAAAGATGTTCAACGTCACTAATCATTAAGGAAATGCAAATGAAAACTACAATGAGATAATACCTCGCATCCATTAGGATGGCTAATATAAAAAGGCAGAAAATAAGAAGTGTTGGTGAGGATGTGGAGAAATTGGAATCCTTGTGCCTTGCTGGTCAGAATGTAAAATGGTGCAACCACCATGGAAAACACTATGGTGGTTCCTCAAAAACTTAAAAATAGAATTACCATATGATCCAGCAATTCCACTTCTGGGTATACACCCAAAATAAGTGAAAACCAAGCCTCCAGTGGCTCAGCCTGTAATCCCAGCTCTTTGAAAGGCTGAGGTGGAAGGATTGCTTGAGCCCAGAAGTTCGAGGCTGTAGTGAGAGGTGATCATGCCACTGGACTCCAGCCTGGGAGACAGAGAGAGACCCTGTCTCTTAAAAATAATAATAATAGGCTGGGCACGGGGGTTCACACCTGTAATCTCAGCACTTTAGGAAGCTGAGGCGGGTGGATCGGCTGAGGTCAGGAGCTCGAGACCAGCCAGGCCAACACAGTGAAACCCCGTTTCTACTAAAAATACAAAAAATTAGCTGGGGGTGGTGGCGCACGCCTATAGTCCCAGCTACTTGGGAGGCTGAGGCAGGAGAATCGCTTGAACCTGGGAAGCAGAGGTTGCAGTGAGCTGAGATCGTGCCACTGCACTCCAGCCTGGGTGACAGAGTGGGACTCCATCTCAAATAAATAAATAAATAAAAAATAATAGATTCATGTTTCTTAAACACATTCTAGAACAGTTGTCCTTAAAAGCAAGCTTTACGGAAGGGAGAGAACTGAGTTTTGGCCAGCTGGCCACTTCCAACATCCATAAAGCCCCTTGAGCCCCAGGCGGACTCCTCTTCCCATATGGGTGCAACCCTCCATGGTGCCCCTACACCGTCATCCCAAGCAACTCCTAGGCTCATGCCCTGTGGGGAGTGCTCAGGATCCCCCAGAAATGCCCATTCCCCTCACATTACCTCCTTCCCTGGAACTATAACCTCCAGAAAAGGAAAATAAGGAGCTGGTGTCCCATTTCTGCAAAAAGCAGAAAATAACTGCCCTAACAGACCAGTGATGGGGCTAGACCCGGGTTTCTGCCACTCGGGCACTTGACACTGATGGCTTTCCCCAAAGGCAGGGACTGATGGCCGAATCCTGTCAAGGAATTGGCTCAAACTCGGACTGGATGAGTGAGGAGAGCCGAAGACAGTTTCCTCTGTCCTACGTGGGGGGTAAAGGAGGGACCCCTTTGATCCCTCAGCTCCACAGAGCCCAGGGCAACCAGGAGGCTCCCAGCCAGTCACCTGTCACCCGTCAGTGGAGCCCAGTGGGCCCGGGCCTCGAAAATGGCGCCCAGCCCCACACACCCCAGATGTGGGAACATTTTAGGGCTCCCTGGGCCGTGACCCTCACCCTAGCCCCAAGGCTTCTGCCAGGTTCTTCAGTCCAGCCAGTCGGACAAAAATGAGGGTGAAGAAGCCCCAGCTGAGAAGCCTAGCAATCTCCTCAGGCCCCTTCAGGCGTCGACAGATCGGTTTGGGCGACACCCCTCGATCTGCCTGGCGCGCGGCCTTTCCCGCCGATTCTCTGCGCATGCGCCGCCGCGCCCCCTCACTCTTTCCCTACAGCTGTAGCAAACACTGTAACCACTTCGCCCTCCCCAACTCCCTGCTCTCTCCCCACACGCACGCACGTGTGCACATCCTCTGACTGCTCACGCGCCACTCCCTTCCCCACCGCACCCCACCCCGACACCCACGATGCCACGCTTCAGGCGGGGCTCTAAGACAAGGCCTTTCTCTGGCACATGCACTTTGCTTCCACTTCATGTAAGGAAGAAGAGGGTAGGAAGTGGGAGAATCGTCTCATTCATTCCTTCTAGCCTTCAAACCTTTCGCATTTACTTAAAGATCGCCTACTAGAAACCAAACCTTAAATATGCGTCCAACAAGGCAGACAGGGACGTTGCCTTAAGAGAGCTCAGAAGCCTACTAGGGCTGCAGACAAGAATTAAAAACTCAAAGATTTACTTAGGTCATCCGTTCTCATACTTTCCGGTCTCTTAAGAATTATTAAGGACTCCAATAATTTATGAGTTACATTTATATGGGTTGTATGTTTATGTGAGTTGTATCTATCAATATTAAAATAAATTTCTAAAATAGTCATTGTTTAAAAATTCATTATGTGTCAAAATAACATTTTTATTTAAAATAACTATAATTTCTACTCCAAAAGAAATTTTGGCGCTGGGCGCGGTGGCTGACGCCTGTAATCCCAGCACTTTGGGAGGCCAAGGCGGGTGGATCACGAGGTCAGGAGTTCGAGACTAGCTTGGCCAACATGATGAAACCCCGTCTCTACTAAAAGTCAAAAAAAAAAAAAATTAGCCGGGCGTGGTGGCACACACCTGTAATCCCAGCTACTCGGGAGCCTGAGGCAGGAGAATCGTTGGAACCCAGGAGGCAGAGGTTGCAATGAGCCGAGATTTTGCCACTGCACTCCAGCCTAGACAACAGAGCAAGACTCCGTCTCAAAAAAAAAAAGGAAAAAAAAGAAAAAATTTGGGGAGAAGAATGGCATCATTTTACATTTTTGCAAATCTCTCTAATGTCTGGCTTCATAGAAGACAGCTGGATTCTCATATCTGCTTCTGCACTGAGTGTGTCAAAATAGCTCATGTCTTGTAGCTTCTGGCAAACATCACTATATTCAAAGAGGAAATGAAAGTGAAAGGCAAATAATATCTTAGTAGTATTATGAAAATAATGTTCACCTCATGGACCCCCAAAAGTGTTTCAAGAGCCCCCAGGAGTCCCTGAGCCACACTTTGAGAATGAAAGGCTTAAATTGTTATGATTGAACAAAGAGATGAAGAGGAAATTTTGGGGGTGCTGTAAGAATTCATCACAATCTTTGGGAATCATTCAATCTTTCAACACGTATTTATCGAGAGTCTACTAAATGCTAGGAACTGGGAATAGTGTAGAGAACAAAACAGACCCCATTCCTGCCCTCGTTTTGCTTCACACAACAAGAAAACAGATATATGATGAATCTCAAATAATTACATGATTATAAATTGTATTAAGTGCTATGACAGGCCGGGCATGGTGGCTCACGCCTGTAATCCCAGCACTTTGGGAGGCCAAGGTGGGCGGATCACATGAGGCCAGGAGTTCAAGACCAGCCTGGCCAACATGGTGAAACCCCATCTCTACTAAAAATACAAAAACGAGCCAGGTGTGGTGGTGCACGCCTGTAATCCCAGCTACTCGGGTGGCTGAGGCACAAGAATCACTTAAAACCATGAGGCAGAAGTTGCAGTAAGCCAAGATCACACTACTACACTCCAGCCTGGGTGATGGGGTAAGACCCTGTCTCAAGGAAAAAAAAAAAAGTGCTGCGACAGAAAAGGGCCACAGACCTATTTATTTCTATCGAATTTTTTTTTTTTTTGAGACAATCTCACTTTGTCACCCAGGCTGAAGTGCAGTGGCATAATCTCGGCTCACTGCAACCTCTGCCTCCCGGGTTCAAGCAATTCTCCCTGCCTCAGCCTTCCGAGTAGCTGGGGTTGCAGGTGCCTGCCATTACGCCTGGTTAATTTTCATATTTTTAGTAGAGTCAGGGTTTAGTAGAGTCAGCCTGCCATGTTGGCCAGGCTGGTCTTGAACTCCTGACCTCAGGTGATCCGCCCGCCTCAGCCTCCCAAAGTGCTGGGATTACAGGCGTGAGCCACTGCGCCCGGCCCATAGACCTAATTTAGAAGGAGGATTTCTCTAAGGAAATAACACTGGAGTTGAGGCTTAAAGGATTATTTGCTAGGTGAAAAATGTGTGTGAACATCTCAAGCCTTGAGGCTGTGCAAAGGCCCTGAGGCAGGGCAAACTGTGTGTTCAAGGCACCAGGAAAAGTCTCAGTCGGTCAATAAATATTTATTGAATGATGTGCCCCACACTGTCCTAGACCCCTGGGATATAGTTATGAAAAAGATTTTACGTTCCAGTTGCACAAAGAAAGTAAATGCCTAAATAGAAAGAATTTCAGAGAGTAAGAGTGCTGATAGGGAGTTACTTTAGACAGGGTAGTCAAGAAGGACTCTTGGGGAAAGTGATATTTCAGCAGAGAGCTGAAGGAAGGGAGCCTTGTGAACAGCATAGGGAAGAACATTCCAGGCAAAGAAAATGGCAACAGCAAAAGCCTTGAGGCAAGAAGTACACTTGATGGGTTCTGGAAATGGCAAAGAGTCTGATATGAATGGATCCCAGTGATTGAGGAAAGGGTAGCAACAGATCAGATCAGAGCAGTGGCAGGGGCCAGAGTATTATTTGGAGGCCCTTATAGGTCATGGTCGGAATTTTTTTCTTTTTTTTCTGGGTGAGATGAAAGCTATTTGAGGGTTCTGAGTCAAGGAGTGACTTTCATTTTAATGGCAGGCTCCCCCTGGCTTCTGGGCAGAGAATAGCATGTATGGGTGTATTCCTCTGTTTTCACACTGCTGTAAAGAACTGCTCAAGACTGGGTAATTTACGAAGAAAAGAGGTTTAATTGACTCACAGTTCAGCTTGGCTGGGGAGGCCTCAGGAAACTTACAATCATGGCAGAAGGCAAAGGGGAAAAAAGGCACCTTCTTCACAAGCAAAGGAGGGAAGAGCCCCTTATAAAACCATCAGATCTCATGAGAACTCACTCACTATCACAAAAACAGCCTGGGGAAACCACCCCCATGATTCAGTTACCTCCACCTGGTCTCTCCTTTGACACATGGGGATTATGAAGATTATAATTCAAGATGAGATTTTGGGTGGGGACACAGCCAAATCATAGCAATGGGCTAAAGATAGAAGCAGAGAGCCCAGTGAGGAGGAAATCTCTAGTCCAGGCAAGTGATGGTGTTGATTAGATCTGGGTAATAGCAATGGAGATGGTGAAAAGTGGTCAAATTCTGGATCTATTTCAAGAATAGAGCCGACATGATGTGTTGATGGATTGTGTGGTGGTTTTAAAATACGTCTGCAAATTCTTCAACACTTTGAAAGATAAAGTCTATTTCCCCAATCTTTGAGTGCAGGCTCTCCTTAGCAACTGGCTTCCAATGAACATAAGTAATGGTGGGGAACTTCAGGACTAGGTCATAAAAAGCATTGCTGTTTCTTACTTGCCCATTCCCTTCAACTGATTTCTGTAAAGGAAGCCAGTCACCATACGGTGAGGACACTCAAGCAATCTGTGAAGAGATCCATATAAGAGAAGAGCTGAAATTTCCTGCCAGCAACCAGCACCAGGTGAGTGAACCATGGTGAAGTGGATCCTCCAGCCGTAGTTAAATCTCCAGATGACTACAGCCCCAGCCAACATCTTGACTGCAACCTCATAAAACACTGTGAGCAGAAATCATCCAACTAAGCTGCTCCCAGATTCCTGACCCACAAAAACTACAGTAGGTAAGAAATGTTTATTGTGTTTTTTTTTTGAGATAGAGTCCTGCTCTGTTGCCCAGGCTGCAGTGCAGTGGTGCGATCTCAGCTCACCACAACCTCCGCCTCCCAGGTTCAAGCAATTCTCCTGCCTCAGCCTCCCGAGTAGCTGGGACTACAGGTGGGACCACATCCAGCTAATTTTTGTATTTTTAGTAGAGACGGGGTTTCACTATGTTGGTCAGGCTGGTCTCGAACTCCTGACCTCGTAATCTGCCTGCCTCAGCCTCCCAAAGTGCTGGGATTACAGTGAGCCACCGCTCCTGGCCTAAGAAATGTTTATTGTTTTAAACTGCTAAATTTGGGGTAATTTGTTACAGAGCATTAGAAAACTAATGGTGATTAGGTTTGGGGTCTGAGAGAAAGAGAGGAATCAAGAATGACTCAGCCGGGAGCGGTGGCTTGCACCTGTAGTCCCAGCACTTTGCAAGGGCGAGGTGGGAGGATTGCTTGAGGCTAGGAGTTTGATAGTAGGATACTAGCCTGGGCAACATAGCAAGGCCTTGTCTTTTTTTTTTTTTTTTTTTTTTTTTGAGACAGTCTAGTCTCGCTCTGTCGCCCAGGCTGGAGTGCAGTGGTGCGATCTCCACTCACTGCAAGCTCTGCCTCCCAGGTTCACACCATTCTCCTGCCTCAGCCTCCCGAATAGCTGGGACTACAGGCGCCCGCCACTACGCCTGGCTAATTTTTTGTATTTTTAGTAGAGACGGGGGTTTCACTGTGTTAGCCAGGATGGTCTCGATCTCCTGAACTCGTGATCCGCCCGCCTCGGCCTCCCAAAGTGCTGGGATTACAGGCGTGAGCCACCGTGCCCAGCCCGGCCTTGTCTCTTAAAGGAAAGAAAAGTGTTTTTTAATAGCCAGGTGTGGTGGCACGCATCTGTTGTCCCAGCTACTCAGGAGGCTGAGTGGGAAGATCACTTGAGCCCAGGAGATTGAGGCTGCAATGAGTCATGATCGTGCCAGTGCCCTCCCACTTGTGTGACAGAGCAAGACCTCAAAAAAAAAAAAAAGACTCCAAAACTTTGGGCCTGAAGAATTGGAAGATGGAGTGACAATTTACTGAAAAGGAAAGTACTGGAGTGTGCAGGAGGTGGGAGGGAATCAATAGTTTCGTTTTGGGCGTGTTAAGTTTGAGATGTCAATTATACAGCCAAAGGCAGAGGTTAAGTTGTCCTTCACTGCAAGGAGACCTGGGAAATGAATCTTCCTGAGTCCGCAGTTCAGGGGAAAGTTTGAGGCTAGGCATATAAATTGGTAAGTCAACAGTATTGTAGATTGCGATGAACACTATGGCACTGCATGATATCATCTCGTGAGTGAGTGTAGCTAGAAAGGGCTAGGACTCCCCAAATTTTAGAAGCTAGAAAAAGGACGATCCAATGAAGATTGAGGAGAACCAGCCAGTGAAGAAGGAAGGAGGAAAAGCAAGAGGGAATTTGCCAGTAAAGGAGGAGGGGATCAGGTGAATTCAATGGGTAGAATTGCTGTTCTCAAACGTTAGTGCACATCAGTCACCAGGAAGGCTTGTTAAAACACAGACTGCCAGGCCAGGTGCAGTGGCTTGCCTGTAATCCCAGGACTTTGGGAGGCCAAGGTGGGCAGATCACCTGAGGTCAGGAGTTCAAGACCAGCCTGGCCAACATGGTGAAACCCTGTCTCTACTAAAAATACAAAAATTAGCTGGGCATGATGGTGGGTGTCTGTAATCCCAGCTACTCAGGAGGCTGAGGCGGGAGAATCGCTTGAACCCGGGAAGCAGAGGTTGCAGTGAGCCGAGGTTGTGCCATTGCACTCCAGCCTGGGCAATAGAGTGAGACAAAAAAAAAACACAAAAAAAAAAACAGATTGCCAGGCCCGCCCCCAGAGTTTCTGATTGAGCAGGTATATTCGCTTCCCGAGACTGCTGTATAAATTACTACAAACTTGGTGGCTTAAAGCAACAAAAATATATTATCTCACAGTTCTGGATGCCAAAAGTCCGAAATTAAGGTGTCAGCACGCCACTTCCTTCAAAGGCTCAGAGGACAATCCTTCCTTGACTCTTCAGTTTCTGGTAGCTCCTGGTGTTCCACTTTTTTTTCCCCTGTAGGGTCTTGCTCTGTCATCCAGGCTGGAGTGCAGTGGTGCAATCACGGCTCACTGCAACTTCGATCTCCCAGGCTCAAGCAGTCCTCCCACCTCAGCCTCCTGAGTAGCTGGGACTGTAGGTACATACCACAAAGCCCAGCTAATTTTTTTGTTAATTTTTGTAGACAGGGTCTCACTATGTTGCCCAGGCTGGTCTCGAACTCCTGGGCTCATGTGATCCTCCTGCCTCAGCCTCCCAAAGTGCTGGAATTACAGGCATGAGCCACCTCACCTGGCCCATAATAATGTTTTGATATATATAGTGTATGCAGTAACAGGTATTCTATTTGTAGTTGTTAGGATGTTTAAGGTTAGCTGATTTAACAAACAACCGTAAAATCTTAGTAGCTTAATACAACAGGTTGTTACTTACATAAAGTCCAAAATGCTTTATGTAAGTCCAAGGATAATTCTCAGCTTCCTGCAGCCAGTGAGTGAAGGGAGAAAGAGTAAGGATTATGGAGGACATTTCAGGCTGAGTCTAGAAATGGGCTGTGTCCCTTCTGCACCCATTCCATTGGCCCAAGACCAGTCACATGGCCTCAACTTCACTGCAAGGAGACCTGGGAAATGAAGTCCTCCTGTGTGCCTAGGAAAGAAGAAACCAAGTTGGTGAGCATCAAAGCTGCAGTGAGCCGTGATTGCACCACTGCACTCTGCCACCTACCCTTCGACTTCTGGTTAATCATGTACTCATCTCTGAGGAGGGATCAGTGGGTGGGAAGGAGGGATTGGTGTATTAGTCTCCTATGGCTGAAATAGCAAATTACCACAGACTTACTACTTAGAACAACAGAAATGTATTCTCACATGGTTCTGTAGGCCAGAAGTCCAAAATCAAGGTGTCACCAGGGCCACACTCCCTCCAGAGGCTCTGAGAGAAAATCAGTTCTTTGCATCTTCCATCTCCTGGTGGCTCCAGGAGTTCCTTGGCTTGTGGCTGTAGAACTCCAATTTCTGTGTCTACCATCACATGGTGCTCTCCTCTTCTGTGTCTTCTCCTCTGTGTGTTTCTTAGAAGGACACTTGTCAGCCGGGTGCGGTGGCTCACGCCTGTAATCCCAGAACTTTGGGAAGCTGAAGTGGGTGGATCACGAGGTCAGGAATTCAAGACCAGCCTGGCCAAGATGGTGAAACCCCATCTCTACTAAAAATACTAAAATCAGCTGGGTGTGCTGGCAGGCGCCTGCCTGTAATCACATTTACTCGGGAGGCTGAGGCAGAGAATTGCTTGAACCTGGGAGGCGGAGGTTGCAGTGAGCCGAGATCACACCACAGCACTCCAGCCTGGGTGACAGAGCGAGGCTCTGTCTCAAAAACAAAAACAAAAAACAGACACTTGTCATCAGATTTAGGGGTCACACAGATAATGCAGTATCTTGAGATCCTGAATGTAATTATACCCGCAAAACCCTTTTTTCCAAATAAGGTCACCACAAGTTCTGGGGATTAGGACATAGACATATCTTTTTGGAGAACGCCATGCAACCCACTATAATCAGCTATAATTATTTTTGTAGAAAATGATGGGAACCTGACTTAGGATGGTGGCCTTGGAAAGAAGTGGCTGGGTTTGCAATGTACTTTAATGGTAGAGCAGAGAGGCGTTGGTGGTGGTTAGAAACAGAAGCTGAGGGGCTGGGCGCAGTGGCTTACACCTGTAATGTCAGCACTTTGGGAGGCCAAGGCAGTTGGATCACTTGAGGTCAGGAGTTCAACACCAGCCTGGCCAACATGGTGAAACCCTGTCTGTACTAAAAATACAAAAATTAGTCAGGTATGGTGGTGCATGCCTGTAATCCCAGCTACTCTGGAGGCTGAGACAGGAGAATTGCTTGAACGCAGGAGGCAGAGGTTGCAGTGAGCCATAATCGTGCCACTGCACTCCAGCCTGGTCAACAGAGTGAGACTCCATCTCAAAACAAACAAACAACAACAACAACAAAAACCTGGGTGTGGTGGCTCATGCCTGTAATCCCAGCACTTGGGGAGGCCGAGGTGAGCGGATCACTTGAGGTCAGGAGTTCGAGGTCAGCCTGGCCAACATGGTGAAACCCCGTCTCTACCAAAAATACAAAAATTAGCCGGGCGTAGTGGGTCATGCCTGTAATCCCAGCTACTTGGGAGAATGAGGCAGGAGAATCGCTTGAACCCAGGAGGCGGAGGTTGCAGTCAGCTGATTGCACCACTGTACTCCAGCCTGGGCGAAGAGTGAGACTCTGTCTCAACAACCACCAAAAAAATAAAAGCTGAGGGATGAGGCAGGTGGTGACTCAGCGTTTGGATACAGAACTGTGTGGCTCAGGACTGGGTTTCAAAAAGACCCCTCTGGGGCTATGTGGGGGACAGACTGGAGGGAGAAACTAGAAGCCAGGGAGAAGCCTAAAGTCAGGGTCCAGGTAGGAGAGCAGGAGCCCAGAGCCTGCCTGAGCCCTCAGGACAGAGAAGAGGGGTGGAGTGGAGACTCAGCAGGCAGGAGGGATCTGGCTAAGAGACTGATGCGCTGTTGGGGAAGAGGGGACAAGATGGAGCTTTGACCTCATGACTAGATAGATGGTGGGGCTGCCTCAGATGAGGAAACCAGGTGAGAGAATTTGGGGACATCAGAGGAAACTGCAGAGGCCACTGGGTGTGCACCTGCAACCAGGCACTGCAGACCCAGATCTGACTGTCAGGATCCCAGGCTCAGTGCCTCCTCCTCTGGGGCCTCCGCTCCTCGGGCCCCACTGCAGAGGCAGGAAGTACCGCCTGATGCTCAGCTTCCGCTGGGGGTGTTGGCACGGCCCAGCGCCCTCCCCACTCCCAGGGACCTTCCCACCTCGAGCCTGTAGCACTTTCACTTCCCCAGGTACCCAGCCCCTGCCCCCAGCACCTGGGTGCTCCCTGGTCCAGAACAGGCTGCAGACTCTGAGAGGCACAAAAACAAGTGGGGAAGGGGGAGACAGAGAAAAGAAGACAGGCTGGGCACAGTGGCTCACGCCCATAATCCCAGCACTTTAGGAGGCCAAGGCAGGAGGATCACTTGAGCCCAGAAATTTGAGACCAGCCTAGGCAACACAGTGAGACTCCCATCTCTACAAAAAATGAAGAAAATTAGCCAGGCATGGTGGTGTGCACCTGTAGTCCCAGCTACTTGGGAGGCTGAGGTGCAAGGATTGCTCGAGCCTGGGAAGGTTGGGGCTGCAGTGAGCTATGATCGCACTACTGCATTCCAGCCTGGGCGACCCTGTCTCAAAAACAAAAACAAAAGAGAGATGAAGAGAGAAAGGAGGAAGGACCCAAAGAAGGGGCCAGAAGCAGAGAGAGGCCAGGCACAGTGGCTCACGCCTGTAATCCCAACACTTTGGGAGGCCAAGGCAGGAGGGTCGCTTGAGTCCAGGAGTTCCAGACCAGCCTGGGCAACCTAGTGAGACCCTATCTCTGTTTTTTTTTAATTAAATATAAAAAATACAACACTCCCACTCCATAGCAAGACCCCATTTCTACAAAAAATACAAAAATTAGCCAGGCATGGTAGTGTGCACCTGTAATCCCAGCTACTCAGAAGGCAGAGGTGGGAGGATAGCTTGAGCCCAGGCTACAGTGAGCTGTTTTCCCCACCGTACTCCAGCCTGGGTGAAAAGTGAGACCCTGTCTCAAAAAGAAACAAATATATAAATAAAATAAAGAAACACAGAGAGAGGGAGGATAGAGACCCCAGGAGGCAGGAGGACAGAGACCCAGAGGAGGGAGAGACTCTGCTGAGATAAGGGGACAGAGATGGGGAGTAGCAGGAAGGTGGGGACAAAGACCCAGAGAGGAGGAACAAGAGACCCAGGGCAGGAAATGGGAGACACAGCTGGATGCAGAGATGGGAGAGCTTAGCAGGCCATGAGGTCAGAGTGTCTGTGAGGTCAGCTGCTGTCCAGGGTCAGCCCTGAGGTCCCCATGCCCAGAGGTGGGTTCCAGTAGATCAGGGGTCCCTTTAGATCCCCCAGCGCCTGAGACATGGAGACCTGGGAGGGACTGCCCCATGAGTCCTTGGTGCCCACAAATTCCAAGGCCCCTCAGGTACCAGAGCATGTGTCCCAGTGGAGCAGGTGAGGGAGACAGGGACAGAGAGAGAGACAGAAAGCCACCTTACATGAAGCGGGAGTGGGTGGAGCCCCACCCCTGGAACTTCCTCTTTTGGGGTTCTTCCTTTCTCTCTCAGCTCTCCGTCTCTCTTTCTCTCTCAGCCTCTTTCTTTCTCCCTGTCTCCCCCACTGTCAGCACCTCTTCTGTGTGGTGAGTGGACCGCTTACCCCACTAGGTGAAGATGTCAGCCCAGGAGAGCTGCCTCAGCCTCATCAAGTACTTCCTCTTCGTTTTCAACCTCTTCTTCTTCGTGAGTTGCCTCATGGCTACCCAGCCGGGGCCCAGCCCCTGCCGCTAACCCAGCCCTCATCTTCCCCTGTGGCCCACCCCCGTATCCGCATCTCCTCTCCCCAGGTCCTCGGCAGCCTGATCTTCTGCTTCGGCATCTGGATCCTCATTGACAAGACCAGCTTCGTGTCCTTTGTGGGTGAGGGGGGCTGGGGCAGGTGGGAGGGCCTCCCCCAACCCAAGCAACTTCCTGGGGTCTCCCTTGTCTCAGGGAGACCTACGGTGCCCTACTCTGCAGGCAGGCTACAGGCTCCCATCCACTGCTCACCGGAGGCTTCTTGGAGCCTGAGTCTTCTTCCGGCAAATGGGGTTGTGCATACAAACAACAATGATCATGAGAGCCATTTCTCAAGCACTTCCTATCTGTCGGGACTTGTGGCTGGTCAGATGCCCCCACAAACCTTCCCCTCGCTTGAGGTTCAGAGAGGGGAAGCCCCTTGATGGATGTCATACAGCAAGGACGTAAAAGAGCCAAAATAACATTAATAATAGGAAAATAATAATGAAGTATGACCCTAAATAATAATGAAATATAACCCTAAACGCTCATATTTAAGAAGTCTTTGCCCTGTGTTGAGGACTGGGTTGAACACATGTCCTCATGTGTCTCTCAAAATGACCCTAGGGGCCGGGCGCGGTGGCTCACACCTGTAATTCCAGCACTTTGGGAAGCCGAGGCAGGTGGATCACTTGAGGTCAGGAGTTCGAGAATAGCCTGGCCAACATGGTGAAACCCTGTCTCTACTCAAAAATACAAAACGTTAGCCAGGCATGGTGGCACATGCCTGTAGTCGCAGCTACTAGGGAGGCTGAGGCAGGAGAATCACTTGAACCTGGGAGGCAGAGGTTGCAGTGAGCCGAGATCACATCACTGCACTCCAGCCTGGGGGACAGAGCGAGGCTCCAACTCAAAAAAAAACCCTAAGAAATAGATATCATCTCCTATGCCTCAGGGAGGTTTAAGGAGCCAAGCCAATGTCACAGAACAAGTGATAGGGCTGAAACTACTGGGGACGAGGAGGAGCTGAAGGAGGAAGGAGAGGGTAAGAGGAAGAGAGACAGAGATCCAGGGACGGGAAACAGGCCCAGAAAGAAGAGAAAGTTTCAGAAGGAAACAGGGACTCAGGGTGGGGCAGGGACAGAGTCCCAGAGAGAGGGGCACCAAGATACTGCTCCCCACTTGGGTGGCTGCCTAGGTGGGAAATGGGGCTGCCTGGAGCTGTGCCACACAGCTCATCATCACTCCCCTCACCTCTCCCAGGCTTGGCCTTCGTGCCTCTGCAGATCTGGTCCAAAGTCCTGGCCATCTCAGGAATCTTCACCATGGGCATCGCCCTCCTGGGTTGTGTGGGGGCCCTCAAGGAGCTCCGCTGCCTCCTGGGCCTGGTGAGTGCACCATCCCTCTCCGTCCCTAGGAACACTCCTATCCCCACCCTCAAAAATGGCCTGGGCCGGGGTTGCAGGGGTGGTCAGCCTGATCTCTCCACTCTGCTCCCCAGTATTTTGGGATGCTGCTGCTCCTGTTTGCCACACAGATCACCCTGGGAATCCTCATCTCCACTCAGCGGGCCCAGGTGAGCTTCCTGCAGTGGCCACCACCCACCCCCAGCAGGGAGGAGAGGGAAGGGAGTGGTGGGAGAGGGTGGAGAGAGACCGAAACAAGGGCAGACAGGGGCTAACCTAGATAAAGAGAAATAAGAGGCTGGGCCTGGTGGCTCACGCCTGTAATCCCATAATCCCAGCACTTTGGGAGGCTGAGGTGGGAGTCCAGGAGTTTGAGACCAGCCTGGGCAACATAGTGAGACCCCATCTATATTTAAAAAAAAAATCCGGGTGTGATGGTGTGCACCTGGGGTCCCAGCTACTTGGGAGGTCGAGGTGGGAGGATCACTTGAGCCAGGGAGTTTGAGGCTACAGTGAGCCATGCACTCAGCCTGGGTGACAGAGTGAGACCCTGTCTCAAAAAATAAATTAATAGAAAGACACACCGACCTGGACCAAGGGAGACAGGCATAAACAGCTCCAAAGGGAAACACACGGGAAAAAGAGAGAACAAGAGAAAGAAATAGACGCCCTGAAAGAAGAGACAGAGACTTATGAGCCGTAGAAATAGTGGAAGAAACAGAAAGACAGACCTGAAGTACACAGAGCTAGCCATTCAGTAAGGATTTGAGACTGGCCCAGAGATGCACAGGGCCCGCCTGAGGCTGGCACAGCCTGAGAGGGGGAGGGGTGGGGCGGGGAAGATAAGGCCCAGCCTCACTGGTGGCCTCTCAGCTGGAGCGAAGCTTGCGGGACGTCGTAGAGAAAACCATCCAAAAGTACGGCACCAACCCCGAGGAGACCGCGGCCGAGGAGAGCTGGGACTATGTGCAGTTCCAGGTAAGCCCCCCTCCTCCAGTTCCCTCCCGGACTGACCCGCCTCAGCCCTGTGCTTGGAGGAGACTCCACCCCAACGTGGGCCCGACCCCCAGCTCTACGATCCTAACACACCCCAATCCCTCCCAGGCCCGACGCTCCCCACTCCCCAGATGACACAACTGTCCCCGGCGTCGCCTGGTCTCCCAGTACCCAGACCCTGGCGTGGCTTCGCCATCTACCTCGAGAGACTCCGCCCCCGCCCCCGCCCCGACCAGAGGTTGTCAGGCCCCTAGTCCCAAGACCCTAGCGAGACACGGCTTCCTACCCCGTAGTGACTCTGGCTTCCACCGGACCCCGCCCCCGATGAGACTCACATGGTCTCGCACTCCTATTCACCTGTCGGGTATCAGAGGCTCAATTGCACCACCCACCCAATCTCTAGTCCACAGCGCGACCCTGCAGCTCCTTCCCCAGCCCCAGGTCACCCCGTGACTCGTCTTTCCCAGCCCCATGTTCCCGTAATGTCCCCTGGCTCCGGCCCCATCGTGACCCCAGCCCACTGTCCCCCACTCCACACCCACCACTTAGTCCCCTGCTCCCCGACCTGACCTCATACCCATCACCTTGTCCCCTGATCCCCAACATCATATGTCTCCAGTCCCGGTCCCTCTGACTCGTATCCCTCTCCCAGCTGCGCTGCTGCGGCTGGCACTACCCGCAGGACTGGTTCCAAGTCCTCATCCTGAGAGGTAACGGGTCGGAGGCGCACCGCGTGCCCTGCTCCTGCTACAACTTGTCGGCGACCAACGACTCCACAATCCTAGATAAGGTGATCTTGCCCCAGCTCAGCAGGCTTGGACACCTGGCGCGGTCCAGACACAGTGCAGACATCTGCGCTGTCCCTGCAGAGAGCCACATCTACCGCGAGGTGGGCAGGGGTTCGGAGCATAAACCTGTCGAATGGGGCGGGGCCTGCGGGAGGGGGAGGGCTGTCAGTGAGTAGCGGCCTGAGAAAGGGCGGGGTCTACGAGAAAAGGAAAGGTACGGCAGGAGGGGCGGGGCCCTCTGAAGGGGGCGGGGTCTGCAGGAAGGGCAGGGCCTAAAGAAAAGGCTGGGCTGGCTCTGGAATACAGATGTCTAGGGAGGGGCCAGGCTTGGAAAAGGTGAAGCGAGGGTGCACTAGTAAGGAGACTAGAGTGCCCTGGTGACTAGGGGAGCGGGTAGATGCCTGAAGACGGTGAGGGTTGGCCTGAAAAGAACGCTGGGCCTGGGCTTGAGAGTCCCAGAAAGAATCCCTTTAACTTTTCCCTACACCCCCCAGGGCTGCGCGCAGGGCCTCCAGAAGTGGCTGCACAACAACCTTATTTCCATAGTGGGCATTTGCCTGGGCGTCGGCCTACTCGAGGTGATCTGGCCCCGCCCCCACCCGCGATCGGCCCTAAATCCCTAGATGGCCCTGCCCTTCATTTCGCGTCCTTCGGTTGCCTGGGAAGGACGAGCTCAGGGCGGAGCGCAGCCCACCCCGGCCCTCCCGCCGCTCCACCCAGCACCGGAGGGTGGGGGCGGCCCAGCTTCAGGGAGCCCTGATTGGGTGTACGCAGGGAAAGCCTCCTGCTATTGGCTGCGATCTCCCTCCCCTTTCTCCGCAGATGACTGTCATGGTGCTGAGCGTACAGCTACAGCGCAGGGCACTCCGCCGGAAATGCGAGCCGCACGTGCCGGGCGCTGGGGATTCGAGCCCCGGGCCCAGCCTGATCGCTGACGGCGGCGGCGGGCACAGCGGCAGTCTGTGGGGTGGCTGGGGCATGGCGGGTGCCTGCCCCAACTGGGGAGACAAGGCACCGCAGGGCAAGCTGCCCATGGCCCTGGGGCTCTGGCCGCTGTGGGTTCAAGACGAGGACCAGCCTGACACTGGAAGTGCGGGCGCAGAATTAGAGGAGGCACAATTAGAGGCTGAGGCAGAGGGGGAAGACAGATGAGCCTCCAAAATAAAGGACCCTGGGCTTGCTTCCGACCTTACTCCTTCTCAGCCTCTACCCCCACTTGTAGCAGCTATTCCCGCCTCATCAGCCAGCCCTGCGGCAGTTCCCGTCGAGCCCCGCCCTTTTCTACCTATCCCCTTCTCCAGCCCCTTCCCGCCCAATTCACGGCCCCACCCCTGACCTTTCTCGCCCGGGTGGGCATCACCCCCGTCTCGCCAGCACCCCTTCGACTTCTCTGACCTCATCTCCTTTCTCTATAGCTCGGGTTCATGACGCTCTCGATATTCCTGTGCAGAAACCTGGACCACGTCTACAACCGGCTCGCTCGATACCGTTAGGCCCCGCCCTCCCCAAAGTCCCGCCCCGCCCCCGTCACGTGCGCTGGGCACTTCCCTGCTGCCTGTAAATATTTGTTTAATCCCCAGTTCGCCTGGAGCCCTCCGCCTTCACATTCCCCTGGGGACCCACGTGGCTGCGTGCCCCTGCTGCTGTCACCTCTCCCACGGGACCTGGGGCTTTCGTCCACAGCTTCCTGTCCCCATCTGTCGGCCTACCACCACCCACAAGATTATTTTTCACCCAAACCTCAAATAAATCCCCTGCGTTTTTGGTAAAATAGCTTTATCCTCTGTCAGAACACAAACAAACAAACTTTGAGAGGGGAGGAAGGAAACCGTCTAGCTCAGGGCTCACTTAGGAGAGGGATGAGATTAGAAAGTTCAACACACTGCTTGTGCAGCGGAGATAAAGTCAAGACCCTAGCACCCACTTATAAATATCTCGTTATATTAAAAAAAAAAAAAATGTCCAGGGCCCACCTGGCTCTGCTCCTGCACAGAAAGGGTTCATCTTCACTTTGTGATCTCACAGGTCATGGAGTGAGGGTGGTAGAGAGGGGCAGAAATTTCAGGGGGAGGGGTGGCTGGGAAAAAGTAAAGGGGACAAGCCAATGTGTAACTAGCGCTCTCCAAGACATGCAGAGGAGTGGGGGTGGCCTGTCAGGGGCTGAAAAGAAAAGCCAGTGCTGTACCTGGGGGGTTGTCTCACTCCTGTCCCCACAATCCCTGATACTCCGGAGTGATCTGTCCTTTCAGACACCCACTGTGAGGTCCCAATATCGGGGTTTATCCTTTCCTCAGTCCCAGCCTGTTCAGCTCTCCAACCAAGTTTTGGGGGCCCCTCTAATGGGGGGGATGGCCCCAGTTGCTTAGGCCTCTGAGGTCAACCCCTTTACATCACAGCCCTCTCCCCAAATAAGAAGCATGAGGTGAGCTGGAGGACCCTCCCTGGGAGGAGGGTGTTCTGGGGGGTGAGCCAGTTTTGGGGTCCCCCTTCAGTCCCTGACCAGGCGGTAAATGTGATGCTGGGCCCCACGCTCGCTGGTGGAGACCTCGAAGACATAGGCGGTGCAGAGCAGCAGTTCCTGGGTGTCTCTGTTTGTCACCACCTGCCAGGAAGGCCAGGACAAGGGACTTATGCTTAGAAGGGAGGGCAGGGACCCCTGTGCCCCCCTGCCAAGCTATCATGGAATACCCAGCAGGCTCTTTTCCATCTCCAGGAAACAGGCCGCCACCATATCATGTTCCCCAGGAGAAAGGGATGCCCAAAAGTCAGTTCCCTGGGCAATGGGGGTTACCCCTCAGCTGAGCGTTGGCAGTTATGGTGTATCACATCTCAGGGTTAATCGGGTTCCCATCACATCACATTCCCTGGGTAAAAGGGGTCCCCATCATGTCACAAGTAAAGGGAGAACCCTCCCTGCAGGTTCCGCGGTCAAGGGGTCTCTGCCTCAGCAGTCCAAAAAGTTAAAGGGGCTCCCACCATATCATGTTCCTTGACAAGCTGAGGATCTGCCTTCGAGTGCCCTCCAGTCAGCTTCACCAGGGAAGGAGGGACCCACCTTATGTGCGAGTGCTGTGGGGCTGGGCGTGGTGGCTCACACCTGTAATCCCAGCACTTTGGGAGGCCTAGGCAGGTGGATCACTTGAGGTCGGAGATCAAGACCAACCTGGCCAACATGGTGAAACCCCATCTCTACTAAAAATACAAAAATTAGCCAGGCGTGGTGGGGCGTGCCTGTAATCCCAGCTACTCGGGAGGCTGAGGCAGGAGAATCACTTGAACCCGGGAGGCAGAGGTTGCAGTGAGCCGAGATCTTGCCACTGCACTCCAGCCTGGGCGACAGAGCGAGACTCCATCTCAAAAAAAAAAAGAGAGAGAGTGCTGTGACATCCCCACCCTGGGTGAAGGGTCCCCTAAACTAAGGGTCAATGGTGGGGTCCCCGCTGCATCAGTTTCCTAGTTAAAAGAGCCTCAGGCTGAGGGCTCACTTTGGAGTCCCTGCTGTGTCAGTTCCTGGGTGAGGAGATCCCCTAGACTGAGGGTCTGTTATAGGTACTGTCCCTCCACACTGGGGGGCCCCACTCCAGCCCAGCCCCAGGCATCACCTGGAGGATGGTGAAGTTTTCCAGGACGCTGTTCATCATGTATCGCTCAGGCAGCTGCCGCAACTTGTGCAAGAAATTCACCAGGTACTCGCACATGGGCGAGCGCAGCAGGCGGTACACAAATCTGCCGTCCTCCAGCTGGGCCCGTTCCGTCTGAACCAAGGGGAAGGGAGTTGGGAAAATGGTGGCTGAGAGACCCACGGGTCACCCCAGGAATTGAGCTCCACCCTGTGCCTCTAAGATGCCACCACACTCACTCTCACTGCCACCTTCCTTTCATCACCCCACCCACAGTGACTGGAGACTGGGCCTGAACCCTCGGAGATCCGAATCAGGATCTCTGAGCCTGCAAATCACAAGCCCCTCAAAGTGATTCTCTGAACCCCCAAAGACCTCTGGACTCCTCTAACCTCCCAGCCCTCAGATACCCTCCAAAGACCCCTCCATGACGTCTTCAAACTCTGACTTCTAAACTTGAGACTTCCCCAAGTCTCCAGCAACTGTAAGTGTGACTTCTGAACCTTCTTGCCCTAAGAACCTCTCCATATCCATAAGACCCTTCTCAATCTCAGTGACTCTAAGTCTCTATACTACACATTACCTGTCAGCCCGCAGAATGATCCCTGCCTGTGACTTCTGAACTGCCCATTAGCTCCCAACGCATGCATTAAACCCTCAAAGAGGCTGGGACCCACTCCCTCCATGCATACTCCCAAATGCCTGAGTCATGATGGCTTCTGGTCCATTCTGCACCCCCAAGTGCTGACCCAGAGCTCCACCCCTCCAGCCTCACCTCCACCTTCTCCACCACCTGCTTGCCAAAAGAGCAGACCTTGGAGGAACAGGTGAGGGTCATGTGTTCCAGGCTCTCATACTGGCTGCTCACTCCGTAGAAGCCACCACTGCTGATGCTGCCACCGGCCCCTGCCTCCTCACCACTTGGGCCCCAGTTCAGGTCCGCCTGGGAGATGGGAAGGCACAGATGAGTCAGAGGGGACATCCCTTATAAACAGTGGGGACTACCAGGCGCAGTGGTTCACACCTGTAATCCCAGTACTTTGGGAGGCCGAGGCGGGCGGATCACCTGAGGTTGGGAGTTCAAGACCAGCCTGACCAACATGGAGAAACCCCATCTCTACTAAAAATACAAAATTAGCCGGGCGTGGTGGTGCATGCTTGTAATCCCAGCTACTGGGACACTGACGCAGGAGAATCACTTGAACCCGGGAGGCAGAGGTTGCGGTGAGCCGAGATCATACCATTGCACTCCAGCCTGAGCAACGAGAGCGAAACTCCATCTTAAAAAAAAAAAAAACACAGTGGGGACTCTGCCCCATAGCCTACCATTACCCCTGCAGTTCCCGGCTTGATTCTTCAGTGTTGTTTTGTTTTTTTGTTGTTTGTTTGTCTTTTTTTTTGGGGGGGGGGGAACAGGGTCTTGCTCCGTCACCCAGGCAATGTGTGGTGGTACAATCACAGCTCACTGCAGCCTCGACCTCCTGAGCTCAAGTGATCCTCCCATCTCAGCCTCCTGAGTAGCTAGGACCACAGGTGCATGCCACCACATCCAGCTAATATTTTGTATTTTTTGTAGAAACAGGGTTTCACCATGTTGCCCAGGCTGGTCTCCAACTCCTGGGCTCAAGCGATCCTCCCACCTTGGCCTCCGAAAGTGCTGGGATTACAGGCATGAGCCACCGCGTCAGGCTTTCAAAGTTCTCCAAGGGCTGGTTTCTGGAGAAGATCCACCGTCCATCAGCGTTGAAGAAGTCTGGGTCCCCAAAACAGTCTTGGCCCTGTCTCCCCAGTAACCAAAGGAGCCCTGGAATTCAATTTCAACCTTTTTTCTTTTCTTTTTTTTTTTTCTGAGATGAAGTCTCGCTCTTGTTGCCCAGTGCAATGCCGCGATCTTGACTCACTGCAACCTCTGCCTCCCGGGTTCAAGCGATTCTCCTGCCTCAGCCTCCCAAGTGGCTGGGATTACAGGCGCACGCCACCATGTCTGGCTAATTTTTGTATTTTTAGTAGAGACAGGGTTTTGTCATGTTGGCCAGGTTGGTCTCAAACTCCTGAACTCAGGTGATCCACCCACCTAGGCCTCCCAAAGTGCTGAGATTACAGGCATGAGCCACTGTGTCCAGCCAATTCAACCTTTTTCCCTTGAAGCCCGCAACTCAAGAGTTCAGCCCCTTCCAAGGGCCTGGTTACTATGGCAGTTACTTCTTAGCAACCAGTTCAAGATGAATACCTCCCTCTAAGCCCCTCTCACTCTGGTTGCTAAGGCAAGTGGCTACTCCCTAGCAACGGGACCTCACGGAGCCTGAGGAGGCCTGACTCCTCCTCAGAGCACTTCCCCCTCGGCCAAATCTGAGAGGTCAGACTCCCTCCATGACCCCAGTGGCCAAGTGTGTGTAGACAGCTGGCCAAGTGTCACTAGGCCAAGTGGGGCCTAAGGAAGCCTAAGAGCTCATCACACCTTTGGTCTGAGTCACCTCCTTGCGAGGCGCACCTCTTCCTCTTCCTAACTTTAGTTGCTAACACTGTGCCAGGTCCGTCTTCTCAGGGGCCCGACTCCATCTCTCACCGTGGCAAAACCAAAGACCTTACCAGCTGCTCCTCTGAACCCCTTCAGCAGCTGGGCTTCCTAAGGGGGTGGCTCTCCAGTCCTGGGACCTGATAAGGCCTGTCTTAAGCCCCAACAATGTCTAAGCCCTCAGCTGCACATCCCCAGAGCAGTTTCAGGCTTCTGCTTCACATGGCAGAAAGCTCCAGAACCGTGAACAGCAAGCTCCAGAACAACAACACTCCCAGCAAGAACAGTAAAGTTCAGGCCCTCAGCAGGCCTTTCCTTCCTTTCCTTCCTTCCTTCCTTCTTTCTTTCCTTCTTTCTTTTCTTTCCTTTCTTTCCTTCTTCCTTTCTTCCTTTCTTTCTTTCGGCAGGGTCTCATTCTGTCACCCAGGCTGGAGGGCAGTGGCACAATCTTGGCTCACTGCAGCCTCCACCTCCCAGGCTTAAGTGATCCTCCTGCCTCAGCCTCCACAGAAGCTAGGACCACAGGTGCGCACCACCACACCCAGCTAATTTTTTTCATTTTTTGTAGAGTTGAGGTCTCACTGTGTTGCCCAGGCTGGTGTCAAACTCTTGAACACAAGCGAAACTCTCGCCTCAGCTTCCCAAAGTGCTGGGAAGATAGGAGTGAACCACCACACCTAGCCAGGCTTTCTTCTCAGAGACTAGATCCCTCCACCACCTTTGTTACTATAAGAACTAGCACCCCCTAAACATCCAGGCAACATTTATTGAGCCCAGGCCAGGCACTGTGGCTCACACTTGTAATCCCAGCACTTTGGGAGGCCAAGGTGGGTGGATCACTTGAGGTCAGGAGTTCGAGACCAGACTGGCCAACATGGTAAAACCCTGTCTCTACTAAAAATACAAAAATTAGGCCAGGTGCAGTGGCTCATGCCTGTAATCCCAGCACTTGGAGAGGCCAAGGTGAGCGGATCACATGAGGTCAGGAGTTCAAGATCAGCCTGGCCAACATGACGAAACTCCGTCTCTACTAAAAATACAAAAATTAGCTGGGCATGGTCGTGCATGCCTGTAATCCCAGCTACTTGGGAGGCTGAGGCTGGAGAATCGCTTGAACCCAGGAGGCAGAGGTTGCAGTGAGCCGAGATCGCACCATTGCACTCCAGCCTGGGCAACAAGAGCAAAATTCCATCTCAAAAAAAAAAAAAAAAAAAACAATAAAAGAAAATAAAACACATTTATTGAACCCCTGTAGTGTTAGTCATCATACTGGACACCAAACCAAGTAGCCCTAAGAAACACGCAAGATGGGCCCTCTTAGTCCCAATCATATAAATAGCAGCTGACACCAGGCGTCTATATAGGAAGTGCTCAATAAATGATTGCTACATAAATACAGGACTTGGACGGGTGCGGTGGCTCACACCTGTAATCCCAGCACTTTGGGAGGCCAAGGTGGGCAGATCATTTGAGGCCAGGAGTTCAAGACCAGCCTGGCCAACATGGTGAAACCCCGTCTGTACTAAATATACAAAAATTAGCCAGATGTGGTGGCGGGTGCCTGTAGTCCAATCTACTGGGGAGGCTGAGGCAGGAGAATCGCTTGAATCCAGGAGGCGGAGGTTGCCGTGAGCCAAGATACAGCCACTGCACTCCAGCCTGGGTGACAGTGAGACTATGTCTCAAAAATAAATAAATAAACAAATAAATGAATACAGGACTTGGCAAAGCCACTCCATGGCTCTTTTCATCACTTCCTCAAAGCCAGACATTCTCTAGCAACAAGGTCTGGTGAAACTGATGCAAAGCATCAGTCCCCTCTTTAGAAACCAGTCTCCACAAGTCCACTGGCTACGGGGAGGGGTCTTTCCTTAGCAGCACGGCTTGGTGCAGTCAGGTGGGGCACAGGGAAGCCTGGAACATGGCAAGCCCATGCCCAGGACCCTATTAGCTACATGGCCAGGTAACTCACCGTATTAGTTACATGTGGCAATGTCTAGTGGGATCCAGGGAGGCCCAGACACCTCCAACCCACCCTGGGGGCTGGCCTCCTCGGTGTTCCTTGTTGCAAAGGGGGCTGACACTCCAAGCCATGAGGACTGACTGGTAAGTCCCAGGCTGACCTGGTAGGGCCCGCGACAGATTCTCTCAGGGCCAGAGGCCTTTGCTGGGACACCACAGGATTTGTGAGCACTTTTGATTTTGCTGTGAGAACTCACCCAGAACTTGACCAGGAAGAAGGCATGGGGGGGGCCACGATCATATAGCTCTCGGAGGCCACCCTTTTTCTCAGGGAATTTGTCGTAGATCTGCCGGACGTCCACACTCTCGAGCGGCGGCGCTCCGGGGCTGGGGCAGTGCTGGCTGATGTGCACGAACAGGTGCCTCTGGTACTGAGGAGGGTTGGCCGTGGGTGAGAAGTCGGAGGTGAGCTGGATCTCCAGCCTGTGCTGCCTGAGCCCACCAAATGCCGTCACCATCCCCACAGCTCTGGCCAGCTGTTCCACACAGTCCACCCAGCACTGGGCCTGACTGCCACCCATCGTCCCCACTCCTGCTTCTGCACCCAGTCCCCTGCAGCCCTGCAGTCCTACAGTCCCCAACTCCCTGCCACAACTCCCCCAACTCCATCCTCACTGCCTCAGCCTCACCTCAGGCCTCCCACCCTCACCCCAGCCTCCAACCTCGCCTCTCCAGTTCATCCCTCATGTGGCTCCAGACCTGCCCCTGACCCTCCCCTGGTCATGGCCCTCCCATAGCTCCCCAGCAGCCCCAGGGCAAAGCTCACACCCCCTAGGCCTGGTCCTATATAGAACAGGTGCTCATAAATGGTCAATGGATGGAAGAGTGAATGAATGGGAATCCACAGAGGTCTTGTGGTTGATGTTTTGATTGATGTTTATATGGTGTGGCAGAGACTGCTACGTGTTCACAAATCCTGGTTCCTTTACACAGTGTGAAACTACATTTCCCAGGCCGCTTTGCAGTTAGGTGTGACCACATGACTAAGTTCTGGCCAATGGGATGTGACCAGGCCTGAGAGTCGACACATCCAAGTCAGATTCCTAAAACCTCCTGCACAATCTTGACTCTCTCCCTTCCTCCATCTGCTGGCCAGATGCAGAGACTCCATCAGCAGATTCTGAAGCCTTAGAAAATGGCAGAGCCACAAAATGGAAGGAGCCTGGATCCCCAAATCACTTGAGTCCAAGGCTCCTGCTGAACCTACATTGAAATGTTACATGCAACTTATCTGGCATTCAGTCCCTAAGAGTTAGGAGCTGTTTCTTCTAACAGTCGGCCCACTCCATCCTAGCCCAGGAGAAGCTCAAGCACAGAAATAAAATCTTTTCCAAGTTCCTAGTATGCATCACAAAGCCTAGTGAACAGTAGAAACTCAAACACGTTTGATAAATGAATGAATGATGTCCTGGGGAGCTTTTCTGACCTTCCCAACTTGTCACCCTATGACCTTCCAGTTCCTTTATGCTAGTAGTTCTCAAAGTACGGTCCCCAGACCAGCTGCATCAACGCACCTGGTAGCTTATTAGAAATGCAAATTCTCAAGCCCCACATCACATCTAGCAAATCAGAAAGCAATCTCTGTTTTAAGAAGCCCTTCAGATGATTCTGATACATGCTAAAGTTTTAAAACCATGACTTTATACATTCCCTTCCTGTCACCCTCTATATTTCAAAATCCCTCAGCGACTGTACCAAAATTTCACTCACAGAATCAACTGCATCTGGCGGTTCCACGAAGGCTGAGAACTCTACCAGCTGCAACCGGGCGGTGCCCAGGCCCCGAGCCTGCCAGGCTGGGGGCGATGGGGTAGGTGGGGGCAGGGGTGAGAGGGCTTGGGGGGGCTCGTACCCTAGAGAGAGAGAAGAAAGAACAATACAAATTGCTAACATTTATGGAATATATCAGGTACTGTTGTCTCTTGCCTGCCTCCACTTAGAAGCTGAAAAAGCTAAATACTCACTTTCCCAGCCTCCCTTGCAGTTAGAAGTGGCCATGTGACACAGTCCTAGCCAATGAGACGTTAGGGGAAATCTGCTGGGGGGCTTCTGGGAAGGAGTTTCTTCCTGAATGAAAAAGACAGAACTTTGGGAGGAGAAAGCTTTTGGCCCTGGCCAAGTCCTGCTTGGGAGATTGATATGGTTTGGATATTTGTCCCCTCCAAATCTCATGTTGAAATGTGATCCCCAGCTGGGCACGGTGGCTCACACCTGTAATCCCAGCACTTTGGGAGGCCAACGCAGGTGGATCACAAGGTCAGGAGATTGAGACCGTCCTGGCTAACATGGTGAAACCCTGTCTCTACTAAAAATACAAAATATTAGCTGGGCATGGTGGCACGTGCCTGTAATCCCAGCTACTTAGGAGGCTGAGGCAGGAGAATGGCTTGAACCCAGGAGGCGGGGGTTGCAGTGAGCCGAGATTGCGCCACTGCACTCCAGACTGGGGGACAGAGCGAGACTCTGTCTCAAAAAAAAAAAAAAAAGTGTGATCCCCAAGGTTGGAGGTGGGGCCTGATGGGAAGTGCTTGGGTCATGGGGGTGGATCCCTCATGAATGTCTTGGTGCCTTCCCCATAGTAACAAGTGAATTCTCACTCTTTGAGTTGATGTGAGCTGGCTGTTTAAAGGAGCCTGGCTTCGCTCTCTTGCTCCCTCTCACCATGTGACATAGTGGCTCCCCTTCCCCTTCCACCATGGTCCTAAGCTTCCTGAGGCCCTCACCAGAAGCATAGGCTGGCAACATGCTTCCTGTACAGCCTGCAGAACTGTGAACCAAATAAACCTCTTTTCTTTATAAATCACCCAGTTTCAGGCATTCCTTTACAGCAATGCAAATGGACCAACACAGACATGATCCCTGGAGTTGCAACAGCCATCTTGGGACAATAAGACAGACATGAGAGGAACTACAGAGATTCCAGTCCTGATATTGCTAAGCCCACACGGGAACAGCCCACCTCCAGGCTTTTTGTTGCATGGATTCATAACATGAATGCTTTTACTATTTAAGGCACTTTTAATGTGGGTCTTCTGTTACTTGCAGCCAAAAGTATTCCTAATTGATAAATCTATGGAAACTAAGGGACTCCCTCTTTCACTGATGTGAGTTCTCAGGGCCATATCAGCATGGACTTCCAGAAGCCATCTTTGCTGCCAAGTAGCTGAGTCTGCCTGGGAATGAAGCCACCACAGTGGAAAGCAGATCAAAGTAATGACTGATGCCATCACTTGAGCCGCTGGATCCAGCCACGCCTGAGGCCATAATTCTGAACTGTCAGTTACTGGAACCAATAAATCAATACATTTTTCTTATTATTTTTTATTTTATTTATTTATTTATTTTGAGACAGAGTCTTGCTCTGTCGCCCAGTCTGGAGTGCAACGGTGCCACCTCGGCTCACTGCAACCTCTGCCTCCCAGGTTCAAGTGATTCTCCTGCCTCAGCCTCCCGAGTAGCTGGGATTACAGGCAAGTGCTACTGCTACCACGCCTGGCTAATTTTTGTATTTTTTAGTAGAGGTTGGGGGGGGTGGTTTCGCCATGTTGGCCAGGTTGGTCTCGAACTCCTGACCTCAGGTGATCCACCCGCCTAGGCCTCCCAAAGTGCTGGGATTACAGCTGTGAGCCACCGCACCTGCCTCTTCTTTTTTAAAATGTTGCTTCAGCTGGCTTGATTTGGATTTCTATCACTTGCAGCTGAAAGAATCTTGACTAACATACCTCCCCCATGTCTCATAAGCTAGCAAGTGGCAGAACACAAACCCAGTGTGTGGCTGCAAAGACCAAAATCTCCTAACCATCACCAGTTCCACCACTCAGCTCTCCAGCCCCTCCCGGCTCCCCCGCCCCCAACACACACACCCTGCCTCAAAGCTGGGCTTCAGTAAGAATGTATCCCCTAATTGGCCGGGTGCGGTGGCTCACACCTGTAATCCCAGCACTTTGGAAAGCCGAGGCAGGCGGATCACAATATCAAAAGATCGAGACCATCCTGGTCAACATGGTGAAACCCGATCTCTACTAAAAATACAAAAATTAGCCCGGCATGGTGGCGGGCACCTGTAATCCCAGCCACTCGGGAGGCTGAGGCAGGAGAATCACTTGAACCCAGGAGGCGGAGGTTGCAGTGAGCCGAGATCACGCCACTGCACTCCAGCCTGGCGACAGAGGGAGACTCCATCTCAAAACAAAACAAAATAAAACAAAAAAAACAATGTATCCCTCAATTGATGGAAGGTTGAAGGAAAGGCAGTAGGGGTCGAAGAGAGAGAGGGGAGACAAGGGAGGGTGGAGCGCAGGCTCTTACCTGGGAGGTCAGTAGATGGGGGAGTCAGTGACAAGGTGAACGGTGTCTGTGAGAATGGCTTCACACTGAGGGAAAAAGGAAGCCAGGGGTTAGCCAGGTAGAAAGATGCTAATGTCACCAGCAAATGTTTACTGAGAGGCCACAACAAGCAAGACCCTGTGCATTTTGTGCACAATCTCACTGAAGCCTCACAGTGCGTGAGGTAGGTAGAATGACTGCTCTTTTCATTGCACAAATGAGGACAACTGAGGTATAGAGGGGTCAACTGACCTGCCCAAAGTCACACAGTTGAGATGCAGCAGAGCTGGGACTTGAACCCAGGTCAGTCTCAGCCCGGTATCTCAGGCTCTTGATGATGACATTTTGGTATCTCTCACAAAATGTCAGAAAGAGAAGAGAAACCAGCCTGGCGTGGTGGCTCACACCTGTAATCCCAGCACTTCAGGAGGTTGAGGCGGGCAGATCACTTGAGGTCAGGAGTTCGAGACCAGCCTGGCCAACATGGTGAAATCCCATCTCTACTAAAAATACAAAAATTAGCAGAGTGTGGTGGTGCGCGCCTGTAATCCGAGCTATTCAGGGGGCTGGGCCAGGAGAACTGCTTGAACCCGGGAGGCAGATGTTGCAGTGAGCCGAGATTACGCCATTATACTCCTGGGTGACAGAGCAAGACTCCATTTCAAAAAAAAAATAAAAAGAAAGAGGAGAGAAGAGAAACCAAGTCTTGGAAGGCAGGGAGAAGACGCAGAAGACAAGGAATTTGGAGGAAGAAGAGGCTGAGGGGTTGGGAGGGTGGGAAGAAAATGACCAACACTCAGGAGATGGGACAGGAGGCCAAAGTCGGGGTGGGGAGGCAGCACTGGCCAATAGAACTTTCCAGGGATGGAAATGTTCTATTGGATGGAAATCTGTGCCATCCAATACGGTACCCAGTGCCCACATGTGGCTACTGACCACAGACCACGTGGCCACTGAGCACAAGTGTGGCTCATGGACCTGAGAAACAGAATCTTTAATTTTATTTAATTTTAATTTAAATAGCTGCATGAGGCTAGTGGCTACAGTATCAGTCACAGCCCTAGTAGCCCAAGAGATAGTGGTGAAGAGACTTAGATGTCAGAGGTCAGACCAGGCGCAGTCGCTCACGCCTGTATTCCCACCACTTTGGGAGGCCAAGGCAGGAAGATCGCTTGAGCCCAGGAGTTTGAGACCAGCCTGGGCAACACAGCAAGACCCCAGCTCTATTTTTTTTTGAGACAGAGTTTTGCTCTTGTTGCCCAGGCCGGACTGCAATGGCGTGATCTTGGCTCACCGCAACCTCCGCCTCCTGCATTCAAGCGATTCTCCTGCCTCAGCCTTCCAAGTAGCTAGGATTATTACAGGCTGTGCCACCACACCCAGCTAATTTTGTATTTTTTTAGTAGAGACGGGGTTTCACTGTGTTGGTCAGGCTGGTCTCGAACTCCTGACCTCAAATGATCCACCCACCTCGGTCTCCCAAAGTGCTGGGATTACAGGCATGAGCCACTATGCCTGGCCTCCTTTTCTTATTAATTCTTTGTTTATATGTTTATTGTCTGTCTCCTCCCCCGCCCACCAAATATATGAAGCTCCGTGAAGGCAGGAATTTCACCTGTCTTACTGCTGTGCCCCCAAACCAAGCACAGTATCAGGCACTTAGTAGGCACTCAACAAATACTGGACTGGCCTCCTCTAGATTCCTGGAACCCAGAAAGATCTCCTACCTGAGGACTTTGTCGTGTGCTATTGTGTCTGCCTAATATATTCCCACTCCCATTCTTTTTTTTTTTCCTTTGAGATAGAGTCTCGCTCTGTTGCCCAGGCTGGAGTGCAGTGGCACAATCTCAGCTCCCTGCAACCTCTGCTTCCCAGGTTCAAGCGATTCTCCTGCCTCAGGCTCCGGAGTAGCTGGGATTACAGGCGCACATCACCATGCCTGGCTATTTTTTGCATTTTAGGTAGAGATGGGGTTTTACTATGCTGGACAGGCTGGTCTCGAACTCCTGACCTCAAGTGATCTGCCCTCCTTGGCCTCCCAAAGTGCTGGGATTACAGATGCGGGCCACCATGCCGGGCCTCCCACTCCCATTCTTCACCTGGCTAAGTCCTACCCGGCCTTCAATGTTATCTTCTCAGAGAAACCCCTAGAACTTTCTCCTCCACCCCAGAACCTGCTGTGGTTCTTCACAGCACCTCACACATTCTTCGATTTTCTGTTTATGCAGGTGATGATTTGATGAACGCTCATTTCCCCCATTTGACTAACAGCTCCATGAAAGCGGAAACCCCAGCGTCAGGGCAGTGCCTGCCCAGCCCCCTACCTTCCAGCTAAGCAACCCCCCTGCAAAACCCTCAGCCCCCAGGTACTTGATCTGATGCTTCCCGTATCCCCATTCAGCAGCAGCTCCCCAGTGACCTTCCTTCTCTTCCAGTCTAGATCCCACACAGCCTGTCACTGCACTCTTTTTTTTTTTTTTGAGCTGGAGTCTCGCTCTATTGCCCAGGCTGGAGTACAGTGGCACAATCTTGGCTCAATGCAACCTCTGCCTCCTGGGTTCAAGTGATTCTCCTGCCTCACCCTCCTGAGTAGCTGGGACTACAGGTGCCTGCCACCACGCCCAGCTAATTGTTTTTTGTTTTTTTTTTTTTGGTGTTTTTAGTAGAGACGGGGTTTCACCATGTTGGCCAGAATGGTCTCGATCTCCTGACCTCGTGATCCACCCGCCTCAGCCTCCCAAAGTGCTGGGATTACAGGCGTGAGCCACCACACTCGGCCCTCACTACACTCTTTCTCTGACAATACCGTCAACACTCCTGCCTCACCGTCCTGCAGCCACACTACCCAACCAATGCCTAGCCTGGATCCATCAGTTCCTCTCTGGGCTGAGAAATACACCCCTAGCCCGCCACGGTGGCTCACGCCTGTAATCCCAGCACTTTGGGAGGTCCAGGCAGGGGGATCACTTGAGCCCAGGAGTTCAAGACCAACCTGGGCAACATAGCAAGACCCCCGTCTCTACAAAAATCAAAAAATTAGCCAGGTGTGGTGGCACATGCCTGTAGTCTCAGCTACTCAGGAGGCTGAGGCAAGAAGATTGCTTGAACCCAGGAGGCTGAGGCTGCAGTGAGCCATGATTGTGCCACCGCACCCCAGCTTAGGCAACAGAAGAATATCCTGTATAAAAAAAGAAAAAAAAAAAAAAGCACTTCCCATCATCTTCTGGGGCCCATTTCTATTCTTGTAGGCTACAAACATATCCCGTCACCTCAAGGCTCTCTCAGAACTGAAAAGGACACTCCCACTTACCTCTGGGAAACATTTTCTTCCTTCTGAACCTAAGAGAAGATTAATTATAACCTCTGTTCTACCCTCAGGTCCAAGAACCACCTAATAGAGGCTGGGCACGGTGGCTCACGCCTGTAATCCTAGCATTTGGGGAGGCTGAGGCGGGTGGATCACGAGGTCAGGAGTTCAAGACCAGCCTGGCCAACGTGGTGAAAACCCATCTCTACTAAAAATACAAAAATTAGCCGTGCATAGAGGCAGGCGCCTATAGTCCCAGCTACTCGGGAGGCTGAGGCAGGAGAACTGCTTGAACTCAGGAAGCGGAGGTTGCAGTGAGCCGAGATCGCACCACTGTACTCCATCCAGCCTGGGCAACGGAGCAAGACTCCATGTCAATAAATACATACATACATGCATACATACATACATACATACATACATAAATGGGGGGACACAGGAGCTAGAAGGTGGAGTGAGAAAGGTCTCTGTGGGAGTGTGAGGGTGGGGGGCAGGTGCTGAGCCAGGACACATAGTACTCACTCTGGAACATTCCAGGGGGGCCCAGATCCTCCAGACCAAAACTGGAAAAGCTCAGAGGCCTGGATAGGACACAAAGAAAAATGGTTGGTCAGTCCCCTGTGGACAGCTGCAGCCCCATCCATCCCCCTTTGCCCCCACGTCCCACAATCCCCAACCTGGACCACCTGAGGACCAGTGGGACCCAGTTTGGCCTGCAGAGAAGGCGCGGAGATGAGCTGGGCAGAGGACATGGTTGCCATTGTCTGGAAAGCCTTGTCCTTGGAAACCTGGTCCTGGAGGAGGAGGCGGAAGTTCATGTGAGAGGGGCATCTCAGTCAACATGGCAAGAGGGGGATGGTGCCAGGGTGGGGTGAAGACGGGGAGGTGCAGAGGTGGGGAGTCAAGGCAAAGGGTTAGTGGCCGGGCATGGTGGCTCACGCCTGTAATCCCAGCACTCTGGGAGCCGGAGGCGGGCAGATCACTTGAGGTCAGGAGTTCAGTATCAGCCTGGCCAATATGGTGAAACCCTGTCTCTACTAAAAATACAAAAACTAGCCAGGTGTGGTGGTGCACACGCATAATCCCAGCTACTAGGGAAGCTAGGGCACAACAATCACTGGAACCCAGGAGGCAGAGGTTGCAGTGAGTGGAGATCGTGCCCCTGCATCCAGCTTAGGCGACAGAGCAAGACCCTGTCTCCAAAAAGAAAAAAAAAGGCAAAGGCTTGGGTTGGGGGAGGGTTGAACCTCTCCCCACAGCCCTCTGCCCCTCCTCAGGGACAGGGCACTAGTTTGGAGTGAGCGTGGGTGGGAGGATGGGCAGAGGAACTTACCACGTTCAGAGCCTGCCCGTGGGGGTGGGGGAGGGTGCCAAAGGAGGAAAGAAAACATGACTTAGGAAGTACGGCCCGGACTCCCCCACCTCCCTGCCCTACCCGCCCGCACAGCCCCGCCACCCTGAGCTGAGCAGTGCCAAGGGATGGATGCGCAACAGGAAGTGGAGGTGGCCAGCCCTGGAGGGGAAAAGGGGCTCCCTGCCCAGAAAGACAGTGATGGGGGTTTCTAGAACAAGGAAACCCAGAAGGTTCCCAGATGTCCAGGAGACAGGAAATGAGAATTTCAGAGCCAGCGGGAAGACAAGGTAAATGTTTCCTAATCCAGACAGAACAGACAGGGAACACAGAAGGTCGAGAACAGACCGGAAGGGAAGGGTTTCAGACCTAGAGAGAAAGAAAGGGAAAGCTGCTGGATACAAAAAAAAAAAAAAAAAAAAAACCAGAAGCGACCGTCCCCAAGTCCAGAAAAAGAGACAGAAAAACCCCCACACACCCAGAAGGGGGAGAAAATGAGGGTCTCCGGCCAACAGGAACCAGGAAATCCAAAGGATGAGGAGAAGGAAATGAATGAGGAATCTCCACCAGGAAATGAAGATTTCTGGGCACAAAGAGTAGGCAGGTCATGCAAAGGTCAGGAAATGGGAAAACAAACCAGCGGAGATGAAGAGGAGGCCTTCACAGCACAAGAGGGGGAAGATATGAGACCGCCAGGAAGAGGGAAAGGAGGGACAGGAGCAGAGGGAAGGGAGGGGGACAGGAACAGTGGTCAAGGGAGGGGACCGACGGCCCATCCTTCCTGCTGTCCTGAGCAAAACCTTCAGCCTCCTCCATGCCATCGCTCCCTGCCCAGGGTCTCAGCAACCGCACCACCATCCCTATGCATCTCCCTTTGTGGGCCACTGACTCCCCACCCTGGATGACTGCACCCCCCGCCCTGACCACAGAGGTCCCTCACCTGAGGTCTCTGTCCCCCTCTGTCTCTGGGTCTCTGTCTCCCTCTGTCTCTGGGTCTCTGTCCCCCTCTGTCTATGGGTCTCTGTCCCTCTCTCTCTGGGTCTCTGTCCTCCTCTCTTTCTGGGTCTCTGTCCCTCTCTCTCTGGGTCTTGGTCCCCTCCCCCAAGTCTCTGTCCCCCTCTCCCTGGGTCTCTGTCCCTTTCTCTCTGGGTCTCAGTCCTCCCCGCTCTAAGTCTCTGTCCCCCTCTCCCTGGGTCTCTGTCCCTCTCTTTCTGGGTCTCGGTCCCCCACCCCCAGTCTCTGTCCCCCTCTCAGGATGTCTGCATTGGTCCCTACCTTCAACTTGGACTGGATTTCCCTTGATTTCCTTCGGGCCAAAACCTGGATGTGACTAGAAACCTGGAAGGATCAACGGAGAAGCAGATTCAGGCCACAGCCACCGCCCCTGTGTTCACTACCCCTTCTCTCCCTCCAGGTGCCTCACTGAGCTGCTGGACCATGAAAGGTGAAAAACACACTGAAGATGAGAGCCATCTCGGGAGCACCCGAACACAGATGTCCATAAAGGAGCTCGTGAACACCACGGACCCTCCCGGGACCCATCCCATCCAGGCCTCCTTCCCCTCCACCATGCTCTCTCTGTGGCTACTCTGGGTCTAACACAACCACTAGAAAAACTATCCCCAAACAGGCACAGTGAGAGCACACGAACAGACATGCTGATACAGTTCGGACATTCGTCCCTTCCAAATTTCATATTGAAATGCCATCTCCAGTGTTGGAGGTGAGGCCTGGTGGGAGGTATTGGATCATGGAGGTGAACCCCTCATGAATGGCTTTGCACCATCTCCTTGATGATGAGTGACTTCTCACTCAGTTCACACAAGATCTGGTTGTTTAGGCCAGGTGTGGTGGCTCACGCCTGTAATCCCAACACTTTGGGAGGCCTAGATGGGCAGATCACTGGAGGTCAGGAGTTCAAGACCAGCCTGGCCAACATGGTGAAACCCTGTCTCTACTAAAAACACAAAAATTAGGGCTGGGCTCAGTGGCTCAGCTGTAATCCCAGCACTTTGGGAGGCCGAGGCGGGTGGATCACCTGAGGTCAGGAGTTCGAGACCAGCCTGCCCAGCATGGCGATACCCTACTTCTACTAAACATACAAAAAATTAGCCAGGTGTGGTGGTGCGCGCCTGTAGTCCCAGCTACTCAGGAGGCTGAAGCAAGAGAATCGCTTGAACCCGGGAGGCGGGGCTTCCAGTGAGCCAAGATCACGCCACTGCACTCCAGCCTGGGCAACAGAGCGAGACTCCGTCTCAAAAAAATATTTAAAAAATGAAAAAATAAAAATTTGCCAGATGTGGAGGCGCATGCTTGTAATCCCAGATACTTGGAAGGCTGAGGCAGCAGAATCGCTTGAACCCGGAAGGCGGAGGCTGCAGTGAGCTGAGATCACGGCACTGCACTCCAGCTTGGGAGACACAGTGACTTTTCTCTCAAAAACAACAACAACAAAAAGATCTGGGTGTTTAAAAAGAGTCTGGGACCTCTGTCTTTCTTCTGTTGCTCCCACTTTCCATGTGCCAGGCCTGCTCCCACTACCCCCTCCGCCATGATTGGAGGCTTCCTGAGGCCTCACCAGGAGCAGATGCCAGCTCCATGCTTCCTGGACAGCCTGCAGAACTGTGAGCCAAAATAAAGCTCTTTTCTTTCTTTCTTTCTTTTTTTTTTTTTTTGAGGTGGAGTCTGGCTCTGTCACCAGGCTGGAGTGCAGTAGCACGATCTTGGCTCACTGCAACCTCCGCCTCCCGGGTTCAAGCGATTTTCGTGCCTCAGCCTCCCGAGTAGCTGGGATTATGGGCACACACTGCCACTCCCAGCTAATTTTTGTATTTTTAGTAGAGACGGGGTTTCACCATGTTGGTCAGGATGGTCTCGATCTCCTGACCTCCTGATCCGCTCACCTAAAGTGCTGGGATAACAGGCATGAGCCACTGGCCCAGCCTAAAGCTCTTTATCAATTATCCAGCCTTGCCAGGCACAGTAGCTCACGCCTGTAATCCCAGCAATCCCAGCACTTTGGGGGGCTGAGGTGAGTGGATCACCTGAGGTCAGGAGTTCGAGACCAGCCTGGACAACATGGTGAAACCCCATCTCTACTAAAAATACAAAATTACCCAGGCATGGTAGTGCATGTCTGTAATCCCTGCTACTCGGGAGGCTGAGACAGGAGAATTGCTTGAACCCGGGAGGCAGAGGTTGCAGTGAGCCAAGATCGCGCCACTGCACTCCGGCCTGGGCAACAGAGCTAGACTCCATTTCAAAAAATAAACAAATACATAAATAACCCAGCCTCGGGTAATTCTTTATAGCAATACAAACGGACTAACACACATGCCGAGAAGACAGATGAACGCACAGGAAGCAGCTTCTTCCTTGAACCTGAACCTGCCCATGCGAGGATGACCCTAAGAAGACCGGCCCATCCCAGACAGAAGCCCACAAGTCCATTCCGAGACCTGTTTTCGAGTTCGGGTCTTCCCCGTTCTCAGCTTGATGTAGCGGGCGATCAGTTCATTCCGACCTGAAGATTCAAAGACGGAACAGAGTTAGTTAGACTTTCAACAGAACTTCCCCACAGCATGGACACCAGGGAAGAAGAAAGCAGCATGGGTCCCCAAAGGTCTGCAGCAAGTGGGCTGCCGGTCCCCTCAGCTACGTGGAAGCCAGACTGCTTGGGTTCAAATCCCAGCTCCATCACGCACTGGCTCTGTGCGACCATAAGCAAATCACTTAACCTAGCTGTGCCTCAGTTTCCTCATCTGTGCAAATGGTGATGCTAGCTCCTACTTCAGAGTGCTCCATAAACCTTGGTTACTGTCATTATTCATCAGTGGGGGCCAGGGCAAAAGACAGAAGTAGACTCACCATACATCTTGCCTTCATCAGACAAAATTATTTTCCGGCGGCCGCAGGGTGGATAGATGGCCAGGGCCTCCTGGAAGCTCTGCTCAATGTCTGGGCTCCACACCCCCTCTGCATCCGGGCCCCCGTCACCCCCAGCCCCCTCACTGCCGCCGGTACCCTCCTCACTGCCTTCCTCACTGCCCGTCCAGCCGCTGCCATCGTCCAGGGCGGCCCCAGCCCGGGGTTCCCCCATCTGGGCCTGGAGGAACACAGAACTCAGCAAGCTTCCCCCAAACCCCACCCTCAAGGGACTTGAAGCTGAGAGGGCTGGGACTCTGGACCACTGGGTCTGAGGGAGGAGGGGCTGGGGACCTGGACTCCTGGGTCTGAGGGAAGAGGAGCTGGGGGGTATTCCTGGGTCTGAGGGAGGAGGATCTGGGGCCTGAACTCCTGAGTCTGAGGGAGGAGGGGCTGGGGCCCGGACTCCTAGGACTGAGGGAGGAGGATCTGGGGCCTGGACTCCTGGGTCTGAGGGAGCGGGGGCTGGAGGCCTGGACTCCTGGGTGTGAGGGAGAAGGGGCTGGGGTCTGGACTCCTGAGTCTGAGGGAGGAGAAGGAGCTGGATTTCTTGGAAAGCTGAGGATGGGAGTGTTCTCAGAGTTTCCAGAGGAACTCAATTGTGATGAAGTCACAATGATTACCCTAGAGTAATGCCGAGGGCCATGAAGGCTAAAGGTTCGGGTATGAATTACGGGTTTTAAAGAAGACAGGAGGCAAAAGTTAGTGGTGGGGAAGGAAGGTGTGGGTGAAACTTCCCCTGTCCCACCCCAAGAACAGGTGGTAAGATGTGAGCAGCAGCTGCCAGAAAAGAAGAGGGGCCAAGCAAGACTGAGGGGAGGTCTAGAGAGAGGGGGACAGAGACCCAGAGAGGGAGGGGGACAGAGACCCAGAGAGGGGATGGGGACAGAGACCAGCAAGGGGGGGGGACAGAGACCCAGAGAGAGAAGGGGACAGAGACCAGAGAGAGAGGGGGACAGAGACCAGTGAGGTGGGGATAGAGACCCAGAGACAGAGGGGGACAGAGACCAGAGAGAGAAGGGGACAGAGACCCAGTGAAGGGGGGGACAGAGACCAGTGACGGAGGGGACAGAGACCCAGAGAGAGAGGGGGACAGAGACCAGAGGGAGGGGGGGACAGAGACCAGAGGGAGGGGGGGACAGAGACCAGAGAGGGGGACAGAGACCCAGAGAGAGGGACAGAGACCCAAAAAGAGAGGGAGACAGAGACCCAGGGAGAGGGGGAGACAGAGACCAGAAAGAGGGGGACAGAGACCGGGGGGGGGGGACAGGGACCAGAGAGAGGGGTCCAGAGGCCCAGAGAGGGAGACAGAGACCCAGAGAGAGAGGGTGACAGAGACCCAGAGAGAGGGGGACAGAGACCCAGAGAGAGAGGGACAGAGACCCAGAGAGAGAGGGGACCAGAGACCCAGAGAGAGGGGGACACAGACTCAGAGAGAGGGGGACAGAGGCTCAGAGAGAGGGCAACAGAGACCCAGAGAAAGGGAGACGGAGACCTAGAAAGGGCAGGGACAGAGACTCAGGGCAGCAGCTGAGGCCGAGACCAGGAGAGACCCACAGAACCACAAGCTGGGGGACAGGGGCGCCCTGCCATCAGAAGAGCCAGAACAAAGGGCCCAGGCGTCCCCTCCCCCAGCTTCCCACAACCCCCATCAGGGGAGGGGCTTGCCGGCCAGGGCGACTCCCCTCCGGCACCGGGCCCCGCCCCTCCCCTCCCCCGTGCGCCGTGGGCTCTGATCCAACTCAAGTTCCCAGTGACTTTCCGGAGGCCGGGAACAGGGAAAACTTTTTCCAATACAGTCAGATCCCGCCTCCCCGGAGGCTCCATGTCCTCCACAGCTTTCCCAGGACCCCAGAGTCCAGGCCCCTATTCCCCTCCTCCCGCCGACCATAGCAGACAAAGACCCCAGCCAAGCCCAGTGGCGCTGCGGCGTTCAGGACCCCCGTAGGCCAAAATCCCAGCCCAGCCCTTCCCCATGTGGCCAGACAAAGGGACGGTGGAGCCGGGTAAGAAAGGTCCCCCTAATTTCCCGCCCCAGACCCTAAACCTCCAAAGAGGCAAGACTTAAGATCCAGAAAGCCCCGTAACCTCCCCTCGGCCACCCCAGAGGCCCTCCCTTCTCCGTAAGAAGGACCAAATGCCCCCCAGATTACACAAGGGGTCCTTCTCACTCCAAAGTGACACCGCCGCAGACGCACGCCCCACACCCCGCCAGCGCCCTTGGCCCGCACCCGCTCCTGCGCGCACGCCCAAACTCAGACCCAGCCGCAGGCACCCTAACTCCGGCCAGAGTTCCCACTCCTCACTGAGGCTCGGTCACGGGAGCAAATTCGGGCCCCCGGGCAAAAAGAGGGCTGCGAACCATTCAGAGACGGTCCCGCAAACGCACGCCTCACCTCCTAAGAAGCAACTCCCCACCCCAACTCACACACCCCAAAGCAGGATCCCCGACTCCCGCCGGCGCCTTCCTACCTCCCGGCCTGGGGCTGGGGAGCCGCGGGCGGGCGGGGCGCTGCGAGGGAGAAAGTTGCCGGGAGCTTTGTTTGGGAAAAGTGGGAGGGACCGGAGGGGGGGGCGGGCCCGGCCGGCGGACAGCGGGAAGGGGGATCCGACGGTGACAGTTTGGGGAAGGATTTTTGCTTTGGGAGAGATTAGTCTATCTCGGGGCTGGTAGGAACTCAGGATTTGGGTGCTTGGGAAAGGAGGGGGATTGGGGGTTCGGACTCCAAGTCGGAGGGAAAAGGCTGATAGGAGCCAGAAACCCCTGATCTGAGGGAGGAGAGGCTGGGGGCTGGGACTCCTGGGTCTGGGGGCTGGGACTCCTGGGTCTGGGAGAGGAAGCGGCTGGAGAGAGATATGGGCTCCTAGGTCTGAGAGGGGACGGGGCTAGGCGCCTGGAATCCCGGCTACCCTCGTGTTTGTGTATTGGGGGTGCGGAAGTGATACGAATACAAAGAGTCTTTACTGTTAAGCCCTGAGGTTTTTTTTCTTTTTTTCTGTTTGGTTTTTGGTTTTTTTGTTTTTTGTTTTTTTTGTTTTTTTTTTTTTTTGAGGATTGGGGTCTGGGGATGGGTTTTGACTGATTCCTATGACGACCTGGTTTCCTTGTGACCTCACCACAGTTAAGAGTCGTGGGCAGGACCACCGGGAGTTTATTGGAGGCCCACGTAGGTGCAGATTCCTCATCTACAGGCGCTAGTGGACTGGAGACGGCTGGCGGCTGTCCCGGGACGGGGAAGAGAGCTTTGGTGCCTGAGGGAAGATGGCTTAGGGCCCGGTCCCTTAAGGGTGAAAGGCTGCGTGTTCAAAATTACGGGACTAGAGGGGGCGGGAGTCCGGACCTGAGGTCCTCAGGGAAAAGGAAGTCTGATTCTGGGTTCCTTGGAAGATGAAATATAAGACTGGATTTAGGGTTTCCGGAGACAACGGGACTTTTTAGTGGAGCGGGAGCGGGAAAACCAGAAGGGACACGGAGAAAAGGTTCCGAAACAGATACACAATTAGAGTGAGAGCTAAAAGGGATGCTTGTACTCCGGTGTCTCCAGTAGGAGGAGCCTAGGACTGGAACTTGGGGTGATGAGGGCAAGATCTGGGACGCAGGGGCGTGGTCCAGTGCAGGGGCGTGGCCCAGTGCAGGGGCGTGGCTTTCAGCCAAGGGGCGTGGCCATTGCGATTGGGCGGGACTCCGAAACGAGGGCCGCAATCAGAGAACACCGCCAGGACTTCCAGGACTTGGTCTCCAGGACTGAGGTCAACTGACGTGGGCGTGGTCTGACTGTGTGGGCGTGGCCAGGGAATGAACTCACGGCTCTGGCTTAAGGGGTGTGGTGAACGAAGGATGGGGCGTGGCTGTGTCACCAAGGGCGTGGTCATGGAGTAGAGGCCCGGGCTCCTGGGTGAGGCCGGCAAGTTTGGAGCGTGGTCAGACAATAGGGGCGTGGCTACGGCTCGCGGAGCGCAACCAACGCTCTAGACCAGACCTGGGCTCGAGACCATAACTGTTTGGCTTTAACAGTACGTGGGCGGCCGGAATCCGGGAGTCCGGTGACCCGGGCTGTGGTCTAGCATAAAGGCGGAGCCCAGAAGAAGGGGCGGGGTATGGGAGAAGGTGAGGATTGAGATCTGGTGGTGAACGTGGGCGAAAGTGAGGAAAAGACCATTGGATGAGGCCGGGTGCTGTGGCTTACGCCTGCAATCCCAACACTTTGGGAGGCCCAGGTGGGCGGATCGCTTGAGATCAGGAGTTCGAGACCAGCCTGGGCAATATGTCGAAACCCTGTCTCTACAAAAAATACAAAAATTAGCCGGGCGTGGAGGCGCGCGCCTGTGGTCCCAGCTACTTCGGGGGGCTGAGGTGGGAGAATCACCTGAGCCCGGGGAGGTCGAGGCTGCAGTGAGCCGTGATTGTGCCACTGTACTCCAGCCTGGACTACAGAGTCTCGGTCTCAAAAAAAAAAAAAAAAAAGCATATGAGACAGAACCCAGAAGAGCCAGACCTGGGAGAAGACGGGGCCTGGCAAGGTGGAGGGTGTGGGAGTAGAAGAAAGAAGCAGTGGGGGAAATGAGCGCGGTGTGGGAGTTGCCTGAACTGGGGAGGCGACCTGGGCAAGGTGCTGGAGAGGGGCGTCTTGGGTGGGGGCGTGGCCACTGTGCGGGGCTCTGACCCCGACCCTTGCCACAGCCTCCCCACCTGCCCCCGCAAGGCGGCATCTGCTGGTCCTGCTGCTGCTCCTCTCTACCCTGGTGATCCCCTCCGCTGCAGCTCCTATCCATGATGCTGACGCCCAAGAGAGCTCCTTGGGTCTCACAGGCCTCCAGAGCCTACTCCAAGGCTTCAGCCGACTTTTCCTGAAAGTAAGCGATGGCGGGGGGATGGGGGAAGAAGTACTGAGAAGAGGTTCAGGGACACAGAGTGGGAGATGGTTCAGGGCCAGGCAGGGGGACAGACAGGATGAGAGGGCAACAGGGAGACCAAGAGATAGGAAGAGGGAAGGGACTGGGCCCAGGCTATAATCACAGCACTTTGGGAGGCTGAGGCAGAAGGATCATTGGAGCCCAGTACTTGGAGACCAGCCTGGGTAACATAGTGAGACCCTCATCTGTACAAAAAAATATAAAAAATAGTTGCAGGTACATGCGCCTATAATCCCAGCTGCTTGGGAGGCTGAGGCAGAAGGATCCCTTGAGCCCAGGAGGTCGAGGCTGCAGTAAGCCATGATAGCACCACTGCACTCCAGCCTGGATGACAGAACAAGGAGACCCTGTCTCTAAACAAATAAATATATACGTGCATAAATAAGAGAGGAAAGGTAACAGGCAAAGAGAGAGGAGATGGGACAGAGACAAGAGACTGGGGAAAGAGACAGGAGGAGAGGGGGATGGGGACAGAAGAGGAACAGGGATAGTAAGGCAATGGGACTGAGAATAGAGAGAGAATTCATGGGGGATGGAGGCCGGAGGTTAGGCCCTAAGTATCAGAGGGCAGAAAGTAAAGGGGATGGGAGGGACTTGGGGCAAGGCCTCGGGAGCATCCTAGCAGGGCTGCAGAAGGGGCTGTACTGAGGAGATGTGAGGTCCAGCAGCTCACCAGTCCCTCCTCCGGCCCCAGGGTAACCTGCTTCGGGGCATAGACAGCTTATTCTCTGCCCCCATGGACTTCCGGGGCCTCCCTGGGAACTACCACAAAGAGGAGAACCAGGAGCACCAGCTGGGGAACAACACCCTCTCCAGCCACCTCCAGATCGACAAGGTGCCTATGCAGGGAAGCCCTTCCTGAAGTCCCCTTGGGATCCCTCCATCCCGCCATCCCTCGTGCTGCAGTATCTGTTGGGAGGGAAGGAGGGCGGAGGAGGAAAGCAGGTTTGCTCTCACTCTCTCATCGGATCCTCACAGATGACCGACAACAAGACAGGAGAGGTGCTGATCTCCGAGAATGTGGTGGCATCCATTCAACCAGCGGAGGGGAGCTTCGAGGGTGATTTGAAGGTTAGGACGTGCCCCGCCGTCAAAGTGTCCAGGCCCAAACATTTTCTTTTTTTCTTTTTTAAAGAAGAGTCTCACTCTGTCACCCAGGCTGGAGTGCAGTGGCACGATCTTGGCTCACTGCAACCTCCGCCTCCGAAGTTCAGGCAATTCTCCTGCCTCAAGCTCCTTGGTAGCTGGGATTACAGGCACCTGCCACCACGCCCGGCTAATTTTTTGTATTTTTTTAGTAGAGACAGGGTTTCTCCATGTTGGTCAGGCTGGTCTTGAACTCCTGACCTCAAGTGATCTGCCCATCTTGGCCTTCCAAAGTGCTGGGATTACAGGCATGAGCCACCATGCCTGGTGAGGCCCTAACATTTTCTGTAGTTTAGGAGGACAAGAAGAGGAACTGACCCTCTTACTCCTCTGTGTGGAACTTCCTCCTTCTGAGCCTCAGTTTTGCCATCTCTCAAGTGGGGCAATCCAACTGTCAGAAATGAGATTTTTGACCTCAGAATACATCTGCAAGGGTTTAGTAGACCCTAGAGGGTTTTGTATCAAAGTGGTTTTCTTTTTTTTTTTTAACTACATAATAGTCAATCAAAGTGTTTCTATGAGCACCAAAATGTTTTATAAACCAAGAAGGGTTTTTAATTCTAAGTGCTTGGAAAGCTTCACCCTCATAAACCCCAAATTGTGTTTTTGTCTCAAAGTAAGTGCTCTGCAAACTTCAGAGTATTTTTCAATCTATCCCAAAGTGGTTGGTAAACCTCTCCATTATAAACTCCAAAATGTTTTTGTTGTTATTGTGGTTTTGATTTTTGGGGTTTTTTTTGTTTGTTTTTTTGGTTTTTTTTTTTGAGAATGGAGTCTTGCTCTGTTATCCAGGCTGGAGTACAGTGGCACAATCTCAGCTCACTGCAACCTCCAACTCCCAGACTCAAATGATCCTCCCACCTCAGCCTCCGGAATAGCTGGAACTACAGGCGCGGACCACCACACCCAGCTAATTTTTCTATTTTTAGTAGAGACGGGGTTTCGCCATGTTTCCCAGGCTGGTCTCGAACTCCTGAGCTCAGGCAATCCGCCCGCCTCTGCCTCCCAAAGTACTAGGATTATAGACATGAGCCACCACACCTGGCCCAAAATGTGATTTTCTTCTTCTTTTTTTGTTTTTTTTGAGATGGAGTTTCGCTCTGTTGCCCAGGCTAGAGTGCAATGGCACAATCTCAGCTCACTGCAACCTCCGCCACTGAGGTTCAAGTGATTCTCCAGCCCTAGCCTCCCAAGTAGATGGGACTACAAGTACGTGCCACCACGTCCAGCTAATTTTTGAATTTTTAGTGTAGACAGGGTTTCGCCATGTTGGCCATGTTGGCCAGGCTGGTCTCGAACTCCTGACCTCAGCTGATCCACCTGCCTCGGCCTCCCAAAGTGCTGGGATTATAGGCATGAGCTACTGCGCCTGGCCCAAAATGTGATTTTTAATACCAAAGAGCTGTATGAATGCTAAATGCGTTGTGTATTTCACCTTTGGTAAACTTTTTTTTTTTTTTTTTTGGAGACGAAGTCTCGCTCGTCCCCCAGGCTGGAGTGCAATGGTGCGATCTCAGCTCACTGCAACCTCCATCTCCCAGGTTCAAGTGATTCTCCTGCCTCAGCCTCCTGTGTAGCTGGGATTACAGGTGACTGCCACCACACCTGACTAATTTTTCTATTTTTAGAGAGACAAGGTTTCATCATGTTGGCCAGACTGCTCTTGAACTCCTGACCTCAGGTGATCCAACTGCCTTGGCCTCCCAAGGTGCTGGGATTATAGGCGTGAGCCACCATGCCTGGCCAGGCCACCTTTGGTAAACTTCTACAAGTGATTCTAATTATGAAGTGCTTTGCAAAATCAGGGTATTTTTAATCCTGAAAAGTTTTAAGAAACCCAAAGAGCTTGATACATCCATATGATACCCACGTACACCCATGCAATATCTTCATTTTAAAAATGTTTATTTAAAATTTTATTTTAAAAATTTCAGGACAGGCACAGTGGCTTACACCTATAATCCTAGCAATTTGGGAGGCTGAGGCAGGAGGATGACTTGAGCCCACGAGTTTGAGATCACCCTGGGCAATAGAGGGAGTCTTCATCTCTACAAAAAAATTTAAAAAGTAGGCCAGGCATGCTGGCTTACGCCTGTAATCCTAGCAATTTGGGAGGCCAAGGCAGGCAGATTGCCTGAGCTCAGGAGTTCGAGACCAGCCTGGGCAACACGGTGAAACCCTGTCTCTACTAAAATACGAAAAATTAGCCGGGCATGGCAGCCTGCACCTGTAGTCCCAGCTACTCTGGAGGCTGAGGTAAAAGAATTGTTTGAACCCGGGAGGCAGAGGTTGCAGTGAGCCAAGATCATGTCACTGCACTCCAGCCTGGGGGACAGAGTGAGACTCTGTCTCCAAAAAAAAAAAAAAAATCAAAAAAGTAGCCAGGTGTGGTGGTGTGTGCTGTGGTTCCAGCTACCCAGAAGCCTGAGGTGGGAGGATTGTTTGAGACGAGGAGGTTGAGTCTAAAGTGGGCCCAGATCATGCCACTGCACTCTAGCCTGGGCAACAGAGTGAGACTCTGTCTCAAAAAATAAATAAATAAATAAATAAATAAAATTTCAAGACTACAGAAAAGTTTTTTTTAAAAAACATACTTTATTATTTTGGAAATGGAGTCTCCCTCTGTCACCCAGACTGGAGTGTAGTGGTGCCATCTTGGCTCACAGCAACCTCCACCTTCTAGGTTGTGGAAAGTAAAAAAGTTTCTCTTTAAAGTTTTTATTAAATAATAAATCACAAGTGTTAGAAATAATATTTTTAATTAACTTTTTTTAAGCCTCTTTGCTTTGTGTTAGTAACTCTTTTTTAAACCATATCTTATGTAGTTGTTAGATATAAGGAAATAAGTACCTTCTGTGTCCTTGTACGTTAACCAAGATATTTGGTCTCGACGTGCTCAAGCATGTCCCAGCTCACAGCTTATGCCCTTTCCTTATTTGGAAATGTTATTACTTCTCCAAGTCTTTTGGCAAGCAACTTCCTCTTTTCCTTTGTTCTCCATTGCCTTTACCTATTTAAGAAAGTTTTTTAAGTTGTTAGCCAATTGGGTTTAGCTTAGACTGTGAGGTCCAGCTCCAACCAATGGAGACAGGACACAGCAGTAAGGACCCAATGCATAAGGGATAAATATTCCTGCCTTTCTTTGTTCATTGTGCTCTCCTGGCAGGATTGCTGATGGGCAGCACCCTTTCTACAGAAAGTAAAATTGCCTTGCTGAGAAAACTTTTTGTCTGAATGCTAATTTTTCCTTGCGACACCAAGAAACAAGCATTTTGATTCTAACACAGGTTCAAGTGATTCTCCTGCCTCAGCCTCCCAAAGAGCAGGGATAACAGGCACGCACTACAATATCCAGCTAATTTTTTTTTGTTTGTTTTTTGTTTTTTGTATTTTTAGTAGCGATGAGGTTTTGCTATGTTGGCCAGGCTGGTCTTGAATTCCTGACTTTGGGTGATCCACCCACCTCGGCCTCCCAAAGTGCTGGGATTACAGGCAAGAGAAGTTTTTCTTAAAATAGTACAACAGATTTTAGGCTCTTCTGTATCTGCCCACCGAGCTACTCTGTTCCTGGCTTAGAGAACCAGGAGAAGGGGAAGGGGAATCACCTGCCACATGCTGGAGGTTGGAGCCTGTGGCACCATGGCTTGCCTCACTGCAGTTGGTGGTGGCAACAGAGGCTGCAGTGTGGCCAGAGTGGCTTTTCTGGCTTTGCCCGCCCAGCCACTCTGAGAAAGGCTGGAGGAGAAAGTGAAGGAGGAGTCACCTGTGGTGAGGTGGAGTTTGGAGCTTGCAGATGGCACGGCTCTGTGGCTCACCTCCTACAGTTGTGGCGGTGACAGCGAGGGAGACTTCAGCCTGACTGGAGTAGAAGGGTGCTCGTGAAGGCTAGAGTATTGCCTCCAAGATGCAGCAGTGGATACTCAGGTTTCAGGAGACTCCACTGTCCATGGCGAATCCATGGTCTGCCAGCGCAGTTTTAGAGAGAGAATGTGCCACCGCAGGTGTCATCCTCATGTGCACCCTGGCAGGTAGCCATCTGAAGATTTCAAGGACAACCTGGCAGGGGAGCAGACCAGCGACACTTCCTCTGAACAGGTTCTTGCTGTTCACTTGACAGACTCAGCAACTCAGGCAAGTGTTCACATGGAAGATATCCTGGAAGGATACCAAGCCAGTGAAAGCTCAGATGAAAATGCCCCATGGCTTTGGAAGGCCAATGAATGTGCCAAGGAAAAAGGTGCCATGGAGGATCCTCTGGAAGACCTCGCCAATGAAATTTCAGATTAGGACACCCCACTGGATTTGAAGGCCAAAGAACGTGCCAAGGAAAAAGTTCCCATGGAGGATACCCTGGTGGAAGACCTTGGAAACGAAAGCTCAGATAAGGATGCCTCACTGGACTTGAAGGTTGACAAACGCATGAAAGAAAAAGTTCCCACAGAGGATACCCTGGTGAAAGACCTTGCCAATGAAAGCTCAGATGAGGACGCTCTACTGGATTGAAGGCTGATGAATTCACCAAGGAAAAGTTCCCACGGAGGATACCCTGGTGGAAGACCTTGCCAACAAAAGCTCAGATGGGGATGTTTTGCTAAATTTAAAGGCTGACAAATGAGCCAAGGAAAAAGTTCCCATGGAGGATACCCTGGTGGAAGACCTCACCAACGAAAGCTCACATGAGGATGCTCCACTGGATCTGAATGCCGACAAATGTGCCAAGGAAAAAGTTCCCATAGATAATCCAGTGAAAGAATTTGCCAACAACATCAAGGAAAAGGAGGCCCCATGTAATGTGAAGGCACCCTAGGGAGTCCAGGTAAATGATTTCAAGGATGACCTGGCGGGGATGGTGATCAGTGAAAAGTCCCCAGAAGCAGCCCTATCTCTTCACAGGGCAAAATGAGATGCCAAGAAAAAAGATTGCTTCGCCATTCTTGTAGCAGAGCTTCCTGAAGAGATGTCCTCAGGGCAAGTGCTGGCCGTTGTCACCGTGAAAGGCATCAAGAAAAATGGTGGCTCTGAGGACAGCTTTTCTAAAACCAGTAATGACAAAGACTCTTCCTGTAGTGGAGACACTCAAGCTTCTGGAGCAGATATGGAAGAGTCCAATCATGCAGATGACCATCAGCATATGCCAACAAGTACTCTCCCAGCACCTGCAGAAAAAACAATAGAGACAAAGCCTGAAAAGGCAGAAGAAATGTAACCCAGTGAGTTCAAGGAGGATGAGGATGCTGAAGAGCCTGACCTGACCTGTTGTGACCTTTGTTTTTTATGCTAGAAGTCCCTACAGATTTTTTGAACACCTGGAAGGGCCGGGTCACAAGACCTCACCCTGGCCCAGCAACCATCTGGACCGTGAGAGTTTTGGGGATTTTGCTACTCTCTCTGGACTTTTACATTCTCTTAATTTTTTAAAAAATATTCTTTCTTTAACCTGTTTTAAGATGCAAGCTGTCATTGCGTCATCATAGTTACATTTTATTACTCAAATAATTTTTCAATTGTTTTACTAGTTTTTTTTGGATCTTTGTCCACTGGTTTTAGAGTTTTTGTAATTTTGATAAATGATCTTTTATGCTTTGTATCATTTTCTTAATGACTTACCTTAGTTTTTAACAAATCCATGGTACAGTAAGTTATATTAAGACATAGTATTTTTATGTTTTTTTAAATTATACTTTGGGTTCTGGGGTACATGTGCAGACATGCAGTTTTGTTGCATAGGTGCATGTACCATGGTGGTTTGCTGTACCCATCAGCCCGTCACCTGCATTGGGTGTTTCTCCTGATGCTATCCCTCCCCTGACCCCCCACCCCCCACCGACAGGTCCTGGTGTGTGATGTTTCCCTTCCTGTGTCCATGTGTTCTCATTGTTCAGCTCCCACTTGAGTGATAACATGCAGTATTTTGTTTTCTACTCTTGTGTTGGTTTGCTGAGAATGATGGTTTCCAGCTTCATCCATGTCCCTGCAAAGGACATTAACTCATCCTTTTCTGTGGCCGAATAGTATTCCATGGTGTATATGTGCCATGTTTTCTTTATCTAGTCTATCACTGATGGACAATTGGGTTGGTTCCAATTCTTTGCTATTGTGAATAGTGCCATAATAAACATGCATGTGCCTGTGTCTTTATGGTAAAAAAAAATAGTATAATAAATATCCCTATAGTCTCTTTTCCATAAACCAAAATTTCTTAAGGTTGGCATCATTGGCATGTGGGGCTGGATAATCTTTATTGTGGGAGCTGCCCTGTGCACTGTAGGATATTTGATAACATCCCTGGGCTCTATCCACTAGAGAGAAGTTGCCTCCTGCCAGGCACAGTGGCTCATACCCGTAGTCCCAGCACTTTGGGAGGCAGAGACGGGCGGATCATGAGGTCAGGAGTTCGAGACCAGCCTGGCTAACGTAGCGAAACCCCGTCTACTAAAAATACAAAATATGGGGCCAGGCACAGTGGCTCACACCTGTAATCCCAGCACTTTGGGAGACCGAGGCAGGCAGATCATGAGATCAGGATATCAAGACCATCCTGGCTAATGCGGTGAAATCCCGTCTCTAGTAAAAATACAAAAAAATTAGCCAGGCATGGTGGCAGGCGCCTGTAGTCCCAGCTACTCAGAAGGCTGAGGCAGGAGAATGGCGTGAACCCGGGAGGTGGAGCTTGCAGTGAGCCGAGATCGTGCCACTGCACTCCAGCCTGGGCGACAGAGCGAGACTCCGTCTCAAAAAAAAAAAAAAAATACAAAGTATGGCCAGGAGTGGTGGCTTACACCTATAATCCCAGCACTTTGGGAGGCCGAGGCGGGCAGATCACCTGAGGTCAGGAGTTCGAGACCACCCTGACCAACATGGAGAAACCCCGTCTCTACTAAAAATACAAAATTAGCCGGGCATGGTGGCACATGTCTGTAATCCCAGCTACTCAGGAGGCTGAAGCAGGAAAATCGTTTGAACCCAGAAGGTGGAGGTCGCGGTGAGCGAAGATAGCACCATTGCACTACAGCCTGGGCAACAAGAGCGAAACTCCATCTCAAAAAATAAATAAATAAATAGGCTGGGCATGGTGGCTCACGCCTGTAATCCCAGCACTTTGGGAGGCCAAGGCAGGTGGATCACCTGAGGTCAGGAGGTTGAGACCAACCTGGCCAACATGGTGAAACCCCGTCTCTACTAAAAATGCAAAAATTAGCTGGCATGGTGCCATGCCCCTGTAATCCCAGCTACTCTGGAGGCTGTGGTGGGAGAATCGCTTGAACCCAGGAGGCAGAGGCTGCAGTGAGCCGAGATTGTGCCACTGCACTCCAGCCTGGGCTACAGAGTGAGACTCCATCTCAAAAAAAAAAAAAAAAGAACACAGTCATGTTGGATTAGGGCCCAACCTAATGACCTCATCTTCACCAATTATATCTTCAATGACCCTAGTTCCAAATAAGGCCACATTCTGAGGTATTACAGGTTAGAATTTCAAAATATGAATTTGGGGAGGAAACAATATGGTTGTTTGTTCGTTTGTTTTTTAAGCCTGGGTCTTGCTCTGTTGCCCAGGCTAGAGTGCAATGGCACAATCTTGACTCACTGCAGCCTCTGCCTCCCAGGTTCAAGTGATTCTCCTGCCTTAGCCTCCCAAGTAGCTGGGATTACATGAGCGCGCCAGCACGCCCAGCTAATTTTCATATTTTTAGTAGAGACAGGATTTTGTCATGCTGTCCAGGATGGTCTCAAACTCCTGACCTCAAGTGATCTGCCCACCTCAGCCTCGCAAAGTGCTGGATTACACACATGAGCCACCGCGTCCAGCCAGGAGGAAACAATTTAACACATAACAATCTCCTGCGCGGCTTCTCAGACCTCATCTTACTAAAAGGCAGACTGATTCAGCAGGTCTGAGTGGGGTGGGACCTATTAATTTGCATACCTAACAACAGCAGCCCACCCTTTGAATTGCAAGGACCAAACAGACACTCAGTCCATATTCAAACTTTCTCCCTCAACTCAAAGCTGTCCTTGAAAGCTTTATTTTTTTTTTTTCCCTTGAGATGGAGTCTCGCTCTGTCACCCAGGCTGGAGTGCAGTGGTGCGATCTCGGCTCACTGCAAGCTCCGCCTCCTGGGTTCATGCCAATCTCCTGCCTCAGCCTCCCGAGTAGCTGGGACTACAGGCGCCCGCAACCATGCCCGGCTAAATTTTTTTGTATTTTTAGTAGAGACAGGGTTTCACCGTGTTAGCCAGGATGGTCTCGATCTCCTGACCTCGTGATCCGCCAGCCTCGGCCTCCCACAGTGCTGGGATTACAGGCATGAGCCACTGCACCTGGCCCCTTGAAAGCTTTTGATTCAGGATCAATGAAGGATCACACATTGCATTTATGGTCATGAGTCTTCGGTAAACCCAAGAGCTTTTAGTCCTAAAGTGCTTTGTACATTTCAAACTGCTATCCTCTAAACCTCAGAGAGGATTTAATCCTAAAGTGCTCTAGAATCCCAACAGGCATTATAATCCCTGAAGTGCTCTATTACCTCCCTTTTGAAAGCCCCCAAACAAATTTTCCAATCCCAAAGCATTCTGTAAACCTCAGAGTATTTTTAATCCTTAAGTGTAAACCCAAGTGCTTTGTAAACCTCAAACAGGGCTTTTGAACCCACAAAGCATCCTGTCATCTGCAAAGTGGGCTGAATAGGTCAGTGGGGACTGACCATCCTGGGGTGCTGTTTGGAGTATGAGAGGGTCTCCTTGTTCTTCCTCCCCAGGTACCCAGGATGGAGGAGAAGGAGGCCCTGGTACCCATCCAGAAGGCCACGGACAGCTTCCACACAGAACTCCATCCCCGGGTGGCCTTCTGGATCATTAAGCTGCCACGGCGGAGGTCCCACCAGGATGCCCTGGAGGGCGGCCACTGGCTCAGCGAGAAGCGACACCGCCTGCAGGCCATCCGGGATGGACTCCGCAAGGGGACCCACAAGGACGTCCTAGAAGAGGGGACCGAGAGCTCCTCCCACTCCAGGCTGTCCCCCCGAAAGACCCACTTACTGTACATCCTCAGGCCCTCTCGGCAGCTGTAGGGGTGGGGACCGGGGAGCACCTGCCTGTAGCCCCCATCAGACCCTGCCCCAAGCACCATATGGAAATAAAGTTCTTTCTTACATCTAACAACACCATCTCCTTTCACTATTTATCCCCAACCGCCTGCCAACCAGGCCATGGCAAAGGCCCCCAGTCCCAGCTCTGAGCATGAGAGCTGGCTGTGCTAGCTCTTGCCTAAGTCTCCCAGGCTTGGTTTTCTCATTCAGGCATTGTCTGTGCTGTAGCCCCATCTGTCCACTCAGCACCCAACCCTGTCACCTCCAGCCCTGTCTGCACTCCCAACTCTCAGCTATTTTTTTTTGCTTTTTTTTTTTTTTTGAGAACAGGGTCCCACTCTGTTACCCAGGCTGGAGTGCAGTGGCACAATCACAGCTCACTGCAGCCTTGACCTCCCAGGCTCAGGTGATCCTCTCACCTCAGCCTCCCCAGTAGCTGGGACCACAGGTGTGCGCCACCACGCCCAGCTAATTGTTGTATTATTTAACATAGGGATCTCCCTGTGTTGCTCAGGGTGGTCTTGAACTCCTGGGCTCAAGCGATCCTCCCACCTCAGCCTCTCAAAGTGCTGGGATTACAGGCTTGAGCCACTGTGCCCGGCCCCCAACTCTTTCACTCCAGTCCTCTCTACTTGGCCCCCGTACTGTTACTGCCATAAAAATGGGCACAAACTTGGCAACTTAAAACAACACAAATGCATTATTTCACATATCATCCTGGTCAGAAATCCAGGATGGCTCCGCTGGCCCTCAGCTCTGGGTTTCACAGGGTGTCAGCCACCCGAGCTCTCATTGGGAGGCTCTGGGAAGAAGCTGCTTTCAAGCTCATTCAGATTTTAAGCAGAATCGAGTTCCTGGGCTTGTGGGACTGAGGTCCCCACGTTCTTGCTGGCTGTCAGCTGGGGGCCACCCATGCTTCCACGCTTAGCTCCAAGAGGCCTCTCTCCAGTTACTGCAGGTGGACCTGACATCCCAGAGCCACAGCCCAGTATCATGGCGGGACTCTGACTTCCCCTTGTGTCCCATCTCTGGTATGCCTTCCTCTTCTGGCAGAGACAGTCCTCTGCTTTGAAGGGCTCATGTGATTGGACTGGACCTACCGGGACAACATATTTACAGTTTTCAGGAATTATGGGGTGATCATCTTTGGGGGACCACTATCCAGCCCCACTCAGGTCCTTCCCATGTCATCTCCAGCCTCGACTCTGTGGTGTCCACACCCACCTATCCTTGTCTTCATCTTCTCATTCTCTCACTACCCCCTGACGGAGAGACTCCATCTCCAACTTGCTATTTCTCTCTCTTTGTCCCTCTATCTGACCCTCCCTGCTCACCACCTCAAACTCCCTCACTTCCAGGCCTGATGCCACGTCCAAACTTGGAAGCTCACAGAGCTTGCCTGTGGTGGTCTGTCCACTTTGTCCTTCCTCAGAGCATTTCCTGTCCCCTCTGAGAATCCTCCGTCATGACCCATCAAGGAGAAAGCTGATCTGATCCTCCCCAGTGCTGAGTCCCATCTAGGACCCGGACACGGCATGTACTCTCTCCCTTGAAGCCCAAGCTGAGCGCTGGATCACCCCATAGACTCACACACTCAGGAACCCAACAGTGAGTACAATGAATACAAGTCAACTTTTTTTTTTTTTTTTGAGACCGTCTCGCTCTGTCGTCCAGGCTGGAGTGCAGTGGCATGATCTCAGCTCACTGCAGTCTCTGCCACCACCCAAGTTCAAGTGATTCTCATGCCTCAGCCTCCCAAGTAGCTGGGACTACAGGTGCTCACCACCACGCCCAGCTAATTTTTGTATTTTTAATAGAGATGGGGTTTTACCATTTTGGCCAGGCTAGTTTCAAACTCCCAACCTCGGGTGATCTGCCCGCCTCAGCCTCTCAAAGTGCTGGGATTACAGGCATGAGCCACCACGCCCGGCCAAGTTTGGCTGCTTCTAAGGCCTCTCTCCTTGGCTTGAGGATGGCTGCTTTCTCACTGTATCCTCACATTGTGTCTTTTTGTTTTTTTTGTTTTTGAGACAGAGTCTCACACTCTGTCGCCCAGGCTGGATGGAGTGCAGTGGCGTGATCTCCACCTTCCAAGTTCAAGAGATTCTTCTGTCTCAGCCTCCCAAGTAGCTGGGACTACATGCACGCGCTGTCATGCCTGGCTAATTTTTGTATTTTTTAGTAGCGACAGGGTTTCACCATATTGGCCAGGCTGGTCTTGAACTCCTAACCTCGTGATCCACCCACCTCGGCCTCCCAAAGTGCTGGGATGACAGGCGTGAGCCACTGCACCCGGCCCACATTGGCTTTTATTTGCAATTCTAGAATAGGGCAGTACCTCATTCTATAAAGTAAAATGAGTGTTCCCATGAGCCGAGCAGAGAAGGGTTGTTTACGATCTCGGCTCACTGCAATCTCTACCTCCCGGGTTCAAGCGATTCTCCTGCCTCAGCCTCCCGAGTAGCTGGGATTAAAGGCTCCTGCTGCCACACCCAGCTAATTTTTGTATTTTTTGTAGAGACGGGGTTTCACCATGTTGGCCAGGTGGTCTTGAACTACTGACCTCAAGTGATCCGCCTACCTCAGCCTCCCAAAGTTCTGGGATTACAGGCGTGAGCCACCGCACCCAGCTAATTTTTGTATTTTTAGTAGTGACAGGGTTTCATCATGTTGGGCAGGCTGGTCTCAAACTCCTGACCTCAAGTGATGCACCCACCTCAGCCTCCCAAAGTGCTGGGATTACAGGCGTGAGCTACTGTGCCCGGCCAGGGATTACATTTCTTTTTTTTTTTTTTTAATTTTTTATTACAGAACAATTATTATCTGTCATCAAACTATCCTTTCAGATTCATTTTGAATACCTCCTTTCTTTTTTATTTTTCTTTGAGATGGGAGTCTCGCTCCGTCGCCCAGGTTGGAGTGCAGTGGCGCCACCTCGGCTCACTGCAATCTTTGCCTCCCGGGTTCAAGTGATTCTCCTGCCTCAGCCTCCTGACTCACTGGGACTACAGGTGCCTGCCACCATGCCCGGCTAATTTTTTGTATTTTTAGTAGAGACAAGGTTTCACCATGTTAGCCAGGATGGTCTCCATCTCCTGATCTCGTGATCCGCCCACCTCGGCCTCCCAAAGTGCTGGGATTACAGGCATGAACCACTGTGCCCGGCCTCAATTGGTCATTTCAAAGTTACTTTACTTGTGGCCAGGTGTGGTGGCTCACGCCTGTACCCCAGCACTTTAGAAGGCTGACGCAGGTGGATCACCTGAGGTCAGGTGTTCAAGACTAGCCTGGCCAACACAGTGAAACCACGTCTCTACTAAAAATATAAAAAATTAGCCGGGCATGGCGGTGGGTGCCTGTAATCCCAGCTACTCGGGAGGCTGAGGCAGAAGAATTGCTTGAACCCAGGAGGCGAAGGTTGCAGTGAGCCGAGATCACACCACTGCACTCCAGCCTGGGCGACAGAGCAAGACTCCGTCTCTAAAAACAAACAAAAAAACAAACAAAGTTACTTTACTTGTAAAGGTTAAAACAGAGGGGACTTCCTCATCATGCTAGCTAGAAGATGTGGCTATTATCTCTCTCTCCTGTCTCCCCTAAATTCTCAGAGGTCATATAACTTAGTTTCAGCTTGCTGACATGGAACTGTAACATGAGTGACTCCACTGGTCTCTTGGGCCTAGTGCAGGAGCTCGGTCCAAACCAATGGCTTCCTGTAAAATTTATTTAACAAGGCAAATCTACAGAGACAGAAAGCAGATTCATGGTTATGTGGGGCTTCACGGAAAGGAAGGTTGAGTTAGGAATAATGGCTAAGAGATGTAGGGCTTTGTTTTGGAGTGATGAAAATGTTCTAAAATTAATTGTGATGATTGTAGAACTCTGTGAGTACACTGAAAACCACTGAATTATACACTTTAAATGGGTAAATTATGTGGTGTGTGGATGATAACTCAATAAAGCTGTTAAAACAATTAGTTAATTAATAATTCTATTAAACAGTTTACCCTGAACAACTCAGGGCTTAGGGGACTAACCCCCTGTGAGGTAAAAAATCTGAAGATCAATTTTGACTCCCCAAAAACTTAATGACTAATAGCATGCTATTGACCAGAAGCTTTACATAAACAGTAGATGAACACATATATTTTATGATATATGTTTTTGGGGATTTTTTTTTTTTTTGATACAGGATCTTGCCCTGTCACCCAGGGTGGAGTGCAGTGGCACAATCATAGCTCACTCCAGGCTCGACCCCCCTGGTTCAAGCGATCCCCCCTCCTCAGCCTCCCAGGTAGGCAGGACCACAGATAAGGCTCTCACAACCACACCTGGCTAATTTTTGTATTTTTAGTAGAGATGAGGGTTTCACCATGTTACCCAGGGGTGTCTCCAATTCCTAGGCTCAAGCGATCAGCCCACCTTGGCCTCCCAAAGTTCTGGGTTTACAGGCGTGAGCCACCATGCCTGGCTGTGTTATATGTATTATATACTATATTCAAACAATAAAGTGAGCTAGAGAAAAGAAAATGTTATTAAGGAAATCAGAGGAAGTTAGGAGAGGGTTAAAAAAAATAAAATCGCCGGGCACGGTGGCTCATGCCTGTAACCCCAGCACTTTTAGAGGCTGAGGCGGGAGGACCACCTGAGGTCAGGACTTTGAGACCAGCCTGACCAACATAGTGAAACCCCATCTCCACTAAAAATACAAAAGTTAGCTGGGCATGGTGGTGCATGCCTGTAATCCCAGCTACGTGGGATTGTTCAAGGATGAACTGTATAAGTCACAATGGATCTGCTTCTCTGAGCAAACCCTAAAGGATAAAGCATTATTCAGCTTGTTGCAGTCTGCCAATCTAAAAAGGGTAGTTTCCTGTTGCTTTAATTGGAATGTTTCTGGTTACTGATCTTTTGAGCTCCTTATCACATATTTGTTAGTTTTTTGGATTTCCCCTTCTGTAAATTGCCTGCTTTTCTGTAAATTCTTGGTCATTTTTTTCTGTTGGGTTGTTATCTTTTTCTTTTTGATTTGTAGGAGTTCCTTCAATCACCTACCTTTTAATCCCTTGTCAATTTTATTTTTTTATTTTATTTATTAATTTTTTTTGAGACGGAGTCTCACTCTGTCGCCCAGGCTGGAGTGTAGTGGTGCGATCTCAGCTCACCACAACCTCCACCTCCCAGATTCAAGCTATTCTCCTGCCTCAGCATCCCAAGTAGTTGGGATTATAGGCATGCTCCATCACATCTGGCTAATTTTTGTATTTTTAGTACAAAAATACAAAATCTCTTGGCCAGGCCGGTCTCAAACTCCTGACCTCAGGTGATCTGCCTGCCTTGGCCTCCCAAAGTGCTGGGATTACAGGCATGAGCCACCACGCCCAGCCCCTGGTCAATTTTAGACAATGCAAATATCTTCCGCTCGTCCATCATCTCATCTCTCATGATCTTGGCCCTTGGGATCCTTGATGAATAGAAACCCTTAATACTGATGTAATCAAATTAATTTTTTTGACTTATGATTCATCCTTTTGAGATCCCTAAAAGAAGTCATTAATACTTTCCTACATTTTCTTTTATTAACTTTATAGTTTTACCTTTTGCATTTAGTGCTTTACTAGCAGCTGGTCTCCACTTTACATTATTATGTTATAGAGGAGGAGGGGCCTGAAAGCCTCTCAGTGCTCAAGATCTTTGAAGACTTAACTGGGCATTAGCTCAATTAGAGAGGAAGAAAGCAGTAGAGGATGGGGATGGACCACTATCTCCTGGGCCTCGCTTCCCCCAAGAAAATCCATGGACCCACCCACAACCACTACATCTCAGACTATTTCAGCATCTTCCTCCCAGTGGCTTCACACACCTGGGTGAGACCCCCAACATCTACTCAGTTACCAGGTCTGGTATTCCCTGATATCATCCTGATTTTTTGACTGGAAAAAAAGTGTTAATTCATAAGACTTTGGGTTTTTTTGGGGGGGCAGGGGCAGGCGATGGAGTCTCACTTTGTCACCCAGGCTGGAGTGTAGTGGTGTGATCTCAGCTCACTGCAACCTCTGCCTCCTGGGCTCAGGTGATCCTCCCACCTCAGCCTCCTGAGTAGCTGGGACCACAAGCATATGCCACCATGCCCGGTTAATTTTTATAAATTTTTTTTGTAGAAAGGTGGTTTCTCCATGTTACCCAGGCTGGTCTTGAGCTCCTGGGCTCAAGCGATCTGCCTGCCTCAGCTTCCCAAAGTCCTGGGATTACAGGCATGAACCAATGTGCCCAGACCCCCAACACTATTCTAAGCAGTGGGGATTAAGCAGTGAATAAACAATGCCCCAGCATCATGGGATTTGGTGGGGGAGAGAAACAATAAATATGTATCAAGCAATGGCAAATGCTGTGAAGAATAAAGCAACATGAGGCAGAAAGGAAACTCTGAGGGGACCGAGCTCATCTTAGATAGGGTAGTCTCTCTGATATATACACAGAGGGAGGCACTCTGATATATACACAGAGACTGAACTGGGGTAATGGAGCAAATCCGGTCCATGGTAAATCTGGAGAAAGAGACTTTCAGGCTGAGGGAATAGCAAGTGCAAAGGTCCTGAGGTTGGAAATGGCTTGGCTTGATCAAAAACAAGGAGGCCAAGGTGGACAGAGCAGTTATTGATGGAGATAAATAGGGGATAAGATCACAAAAGTAGACGTAGGGTACAGGAGAGCAGACCATGCAGGGTCTTTGGAGCGTAGTGAGGAGTTTTTATGTTATTCTATTTAAAATGGGAAGTGAGCTAAGTGTTACAATTAAAGAAGTAACATATATGTATTTACTGATCAAAAAGATTATCCGGACTTTTGCTTGTCACTATGATGGAGTAGCTAGTAGCTGACTAACTCCCCACCAAAAACTATAAAAGCTGAATACAAGCTAGGCATGATGGTTCACACCTGTAATCCCAACACTTTGGAAGGCTGAGGCAGGTGGATCACCTGAGGTCAGGAGTTCAAGACCAGTCTGGCCAATATGGTGAAACCTTGTCTCTACTAAAAATACAAAAATTAGTTGGGCATGGTGGCAGGCACCTGTAATCCCAGCTACTCGGGAGACTGAGGCATAAGAGTCATTTGAACACGGGAGATGGGGTTTCACCATATTAGCAAGGCTGATCTTGAACTCCTGACCTTGTAATCCACCCGTCTTGGCCTCCCAAAGTGCTGGGATTACAGGCATGAGCCATCGCGCCCAGCCAAGGAAATTAAATTCTTTCCGAGGGAAGATAATACCATCCAGTTTTTATATTTTAATTTAAAAATTACCAGTCTTGCCAGGAAACAAGACCAAATGACAGAAAACCAAGAGAAAAAACATACACTAGAAGTATGTACCCAAAGGTGATCCAGGTATTACAGTTCTCAGATACAGGCTTTCAAATAACTATAATTAATATGTTCCCCAAAAATAGATGAAAAGATGGATAATTTCATCAGAGAACTGGAATCTAAGGAGGAGGGAGAATCCAATATAAATTCTAGAGCTGAAAAATAAATTAATTGAAATAAAAATTCAGTAGATTAGTCCCACATCAGGTTAGACACACTGGAAAACAGATCAATAGAAAATATCTAGATTAAATTACACAGAAATAGGGTAGAAAATACATTAAAAACATATGAGACATATAGGTCATGGTTAAAAGGTCTAATACATACATACTGGAGTCCTAGAAGAGAGGAAAAAGACAATGAGGAGGAAGCAATACTAAAGAACTCCTGGGCAAGAATTTTAAAAAACTGATGAAAGACATCAACTCACAGATCCAAGGTGGGAGGATCGCTTGAGCCTGGGAGGTGGAGGTTGCAGTCAGTCAAGAATGTGCCACTGTACTCCAGCCTGCGTAACAGAGTGAGACCCTGTTTCCAAAAATAAGGCAGAACGTTGATAATTGCTAAAGCTATGTGTTAGGTATATACGGGTTCGTTATGTTTACTTTATGTATGTTTGAGATTTTTTTAATACTGTATAAAGATATTTTTAAGTAACTGACACTAAATACTCCAAATAAAAGGCACAGATTTTCTGATCTACAACTACATGCAACATGGTTGAATCTTATATGACATTTAACAAAAGAACCAGAAACAAAAATGTTTCTGTATGGTTTTATTTATTCTGAATAAAAAAACAAATAAAGCTTATCTATGCCATTAGAAATTGGGGTAGGCCGGGCACAGTGGCTCATGCGTGTAATCCCAGCACTTTTTGGGAGGCTGAGGTGGGCAGATCACCTGAGGTCAGGAGTTCGAGAGCAGCCTGGCCAACATGGTGAAACCTCATCTCTACTAAAAATACAAAAATTAGCCAGATACGGTGGCACATGGCTGTAATCCCAGCTACTCAGAGGCTGAGGCACGAGAATCACTTGAACCCAGGAGGCGGAGTTTGCAGTAAGACAAGATTGCGCCACTGCACTCCAGCCTGGGCCACAGAAGGAGACTTTGTCTCAAAAAAAAAAAAAAAAAAAGAAAGAAAAAGAAAAGAAATTAGGGTAAAAGTTACCCCTAGGAGAGTAGGGACTGGAAGGAGCCATGAGGAAGAATCTTGGAGGCAGGTAGTATGTTGTATCTTGATCTCGGTTTAGATAACACAGATGTGTTCAATTTCTGAAAATTCATAAAGCTTATCACTTATGATCTATGGACTGTTCTATATAAATATTACACTTCACTAAGAGTTTTGGTAAAGTCAAAAATCAGCAGTCAGCATAAAACAAAACCCAACTATATGCTGTTACAAGAGACATGCCTTAAATATAAGCACACAAAAAGATGGAAAGTTACAGGATGAAAAAGATACCCTATATAAACACTAACCAAAGAAAGCTGGAGAAATCTCTACATCAAAGTAGCCATTAAGGCAAAAAGCATTGCTAGAAGTAAAAAATGACATTTCAAGGTAATAAAGGGGTCAAGTCACCAGGAGGATATAACCATTCTAAATCTGTATGCATTTAATAATACAGCTTCAACATATATAAAGCAAAAATGACAGAACTGAGAGATGGAAAAATCCACAGTCATTCAGTACAAGAAGCAAACAGTGAAGATATTAAAGATTTGAACAGCATGATTGACAAACTTGACCTGACATAGCTGACCTGCAGGATACACACTCTGTTCTTTTCTTTTTTTTTTCTTTTTTTTTTTTTTTTGAAACAGAGTTTCACTCTTGTTGCCCATGCTGGAGTCCAGTGGCACAATCTCGGCTCATTGCAACCTCTGCCTCCCAGGTTCAAGCAATTCTCCTGCCTCAGCCTCCTGAGTAGCTGGGAAGACAGGCGTGTACCACCATGCCTGACTAATTTTTTTTTATTTTTAGTAGAGATGGGGTTTCACCATGTTGGCCAGGATGGTCTCAAACTCCCAACCTCAGGTGATCCGCCTGCCTCAGCCTCCCAAAGTGCTGGGATTACAGGCGTGAGCCACCACACCTGGCCTTTTTTTTTTCTTTTTTTTTTTTTGAGATGAAGTCTCGCTCTGTCTGGCCCAGGCTGTAGTGCAGTGGCGCGATCTCAGCTCACTGTACCCTCCACCTCCTGGGTTCAAGCAATTCTCCTGCCTCAGCCTCCTGAGTAGCTGGGATTACAGGCACATGCCACCACATCTGGCTAATTTTGTATTTTTAGTATAAACGGGCTTTCACCATGTTGGCCAGGCTGGTCTTGAACTCCTGACCTCAGGTGATCCACCCAACTTGGCCTTCCAAAGTGCTGGGATTACAGGTATGAGCCACCACGCCAAGCTACTCTTTTCAAATACACATGAAGCATTTGCTAAAATAGATGAAATCGTGGACTATAAAGCAAATCTCAACAAATGTCAAAGAAATGAAATCATATAGAGTATGTTTGTATGTTTTCTGACTACAGTGAATTAAGTAGGAAGCAATAATAAAAAGATAGCAGGGGGCCGGGCGCAGTGGCTCACGCCTGTAATCTCAGCACTTTGGGAGGCTGAGGCAGAGGAATCACAAGGTCAAGAGATCGAGATCATCCTGGCCAACATGGTGAAACCCCGTCTCTACTAAAAATACAAAAAAAAAAAAAAAGTTGGCTGTGGTGGTGCGTGCCTGTAGTCCCATCTACTCAGGAGGCTGAGGCAGGAGAATCACTTGAATCCAGGAGGCAGAGGTTGTAGTGAGCCCAGATCACGCCACTGCACCCAACCTGGCGACAAAGCGAGACTCCGTCTCAAAAATAAATAAATAATAAAAAGATAGCAGGGAAGTCATAAAATATTTGGAAAGTAAGCAATATATCTCTAAAAATTATCACTCAGGTCAAATTAGAAAATATTTTGAATTGATAATAATGGAAACGTGGCCAGGCATGGTGGCTCATGCCAATAATCCCAGCACTCTGGGAGGCTGAGGCAGGCAGATCACTTGAGGTCGGGAGTTCGAGACCAGCCTAGCCAACATGGAGAAACCCCCATCTCTACTAAAGATACAAAAATTAGCCAGGTGTGGTGGTGCATGCCTGTAATCCCAGCTACTCGGGAGGCTGAGGCAGGAGAATCATTTGAACCCAGGAGGCAGAGATTGCAGCGAGCCAAGATTGTGCCATTGCACTCCAGCCTGGGTGACAGATCGAGACTCTGTCTCAAAAAATAATAATAATAATAGAAATGTGGCATAACAAATGTGTCAAGTGTAGCTACAGAAGTTTTTAGAAGGCAAATGATGGCTCTAAACGCATGTATTAGAAGAGATCTTTAAAAATCAAATGACCTGGCTGGGCACATGACCTGGCATCAGCACGGTGGCTCACGCCTCTAATCCCAGCACTTTAGGAGGCCAAGGCAGGCGGCTCACCCGAGGTCAGGAGTTCAAGACCAGTCTGGCCAACATGGTGAAACCCCGACTCTACTAAAAATACAAAAAATTAGCCAGGCATGGTGGGGCACGCCTGTAATCCCAGCTACTCAGTAGGTTGAGGCAGGAGAATCGCTTGAACTCGGGAGGCACAGGTTGCAGTGAGCCAAGACCGCACCACTGCACTCCAGCCTGGGTGACAGTGAAACTCCGTCTCAAAAAAAAAATCAATGGCTTAATAACCTAAAAATATCAGTGACCTAAGCATTCACCTCAAGAAGTTGGGGGGAAAAAGCTGGAAAAAGAACAGCAGATCATGCCGGGCGCGGTGGCTCACGCCTGTAATCCCAGCACTTTGGGAGGCCGAGGCGGGCGGATCACGAGGTCAGGAGATCGAGACCATCCTGGCTAACACGGTGAAACCCCGTCTCTACTAAAAATACAAAAAATTAGCCGGGCGTGGTAGCGGGTGCCTGTAGTCCCAGCTACTCGGGAGGCTGAGGCAGGAGAATGGCGTGAACCCGGGAGGCGGAGCTTGCAGTGAGCCGAGATCGCCCCACTGCACTCCAGCCTGGGCGACAGAGCGAGACTCCGTCTCAAAAAAAAAAAACAAAAAAACAAAAAAAAAAACAGCAAGATCAGGGGCTTGAGGGCACATGGCTGTAGTCCCACCTACTCAGGAGGCTGAGGTGGGAGGATTACTTGAGCCCAGGAGGTGGAGGCTGCAGTGAGCTAGGGTCACATTACTGCACTCTATCCTGGGTGAGAACCTGTCTCAGAAAGAGAGGAGGGGGGAGGGGAGGGGAGGAAGGGGAGGGAGGAGGGGAGGCAGTGGACGCGGAGGGGAAGGGAGGGGAAGGGAGGGGAAGGGAGGGGAAGGGAGGGGGAAGGGAGGGGAAGGGAGGGGAGATAAAGGGAGGGGGAGGGGAAGGGAGGTGGGAGGGGAGATGAGGGGAGGAAAGTGGGGGGAGGAGAGGAGCAGAGGGGAAGAGAGGGGGAGGGGAGGGGAAGGTACGGGGGAGGGGAGATGAGGGGAGGGGAGTGGGGGAAGGGGAGGACAGGAGCAGAAGGGAAGGGAGGCGGGAGGGGAGGGGAAGGTACGGGGGAGGGGAGATGAGGGGAGGGGAGTGGGGGAAGGGGAGGAGAGGAGCAGAGGGGAAGGGAGGGGGGAAAAGAGAGATGGCACAAATTATTAATATCCGTCACCACAGATCTTACAGATATTAAAAAGATTGGGCATGGTGGCTCATGCCAGTAACCCCAGCACTTTGGGAGGCCAAGGTAGGAGGATCATTTGAGGGCAGGAGTTCGAGACCAGCCTAACATAAGACCGTGTTTCTCCCCCTCCAAAAAAAGACAATATTATGAACTTTATGCAAATTATTTGAAATTTTAGATAAAATGGAAAAATTCCTTGAAAACCACAACTTACCAAAACCACAACTTACCAGAAATAAAATAGAACATCTGAATAGTTGTATTTTTATAAAAGAAATAGAATTTGTAATTTAAAGTCTTTCCACAAAGAAAACTCTAGGTCCAGATGGCTGGTGACTTCTTCCAAACACATAAAAAATAAATAACATCAATCCTACACTAGCACTTTCAAAGAATAGAAAAAGAGAGAACACTTCTCCACACATTATATCAGCATAGCCTTGTTAACAAAACTCAACAGGGATCTCACAGAAAAGAAAAGAAAAGAAAATATGGCAATACATAAAAAGGACAGGCCAGGCGCTGTGTCTCACGCCTGTAATCCCAGCACTTTGGGAGGCCGAGGCGGGTGGATCGCCTGAGGTTGGGAGTTCGGTACCGGCCTGGCCAACGTGGTGAAACCCCGTCTCTACTAAAAATACAAAAATTAGCCAGGTGTGGTGGCGGGCGCATGTAATCCCAGCTACTCGGGAGGCTGAGGCAGGAGAATTGCTTGAACCCGGGAGGCGGAGGTTGCAGTGAGCTAAAATTGTCCCACTGCACTCCAGCCTGGGCGACAGAGCGAGACTCCATCTCAAAAAAAAAAAAAAAAGAAAGAAATGGGGGACGGACAAGGAGTCTCTCAGTTCAATTCCCCCTTCCTCAGCCCATTTCACCAAAGCCTGAAGCGGAAGAGAAAAACACGAGCCCCAGCATGGCGGGCGCAGCCACCCCCTCCTTCCACCACCAGACAAACTCCGTGGCCACAGCCCACACCGCCAGCGCGCATGCGTGACACGCGTCGGCCGCCGGTTTGCACCTGCGTCTTAAGAGGAGTCCGGGCGGGGAGGGGCGGGGCTCAGACGCTGCGCACGCGCACTCGCGACCCCTCGCCTCCTTTTGCTTTTTCTGGCGGGAAAAGCTCACGCGCACCTCCCCCAACTCAACTGCCGTTCGTCGTTCGTGGATGTCCGTTGTGTCCCGAGACTAGGACGTGGCTCCAGGTGCGCCCTGCCCCGCGGCGAGGTTCCCAGAATGGCCCTTCCCAGCCCCTACCGAAATCCTAGCGAAGCCCCCCCATATTGTGGGAGAGATACCCCTGCGTCAGGGCCCCCCAGATCCTGACCACTTGGGAGGCCGAGGCGGGCGGATCACGAGGTCAGAAGATAGAGACCATCCCGGGGAAGTGAAACCCCGTCTCTACTAAAAATACAAAAAATTAGCCAGGCGTAGTGGCACGCGCCTATAATCCCAGCTACTCAGGAGGCTGGGGCAGGAGAACTGCTTGAACCTGGAAGGCAGAGGTTGCAGTGAGCTGAGATCGCGCCACTGCACTCCAGCCTGGGTGACAAGAGTGAGACTCCGTCTCAAAAAAAAAAAAAAAAATCCTGACCACATCCCCTCAGATATACTGAAAGGAGTCCACCAGGAAATCTTATAGTTGACCCCCGAAATCCTGTCAGAATCGTCTAGAAATTGTCAGACTTCTCCCTCAGAGCCTGCCAGAAACTTTCCCCAAAATCCTATTACTCTCCCCAGATCAGCAGAGCCACCTAGACTCGTGTCAGAGATCCCCAGAAATCCTGGCAGGTCCCCTCCCAAACCCAGTCGGACCTCAGATTCCGTCAGAGAGCACAGAAGTCCATCAAAGACACCCCAGAAACGGAGACCCCGAAATGCACTCAGAGACCCCCGCAGAAATCAAGACCCTCCAAATCCAGCCAGAGACCCCCAGAAATCCAGTCAGACCCCTGCAGAAATCAAGACCCCCAAAATCCAGCCAGAGACCCCCAGAAATCCAGAGACCCCCGCATAAATCAAGACCCCCAAAATCCAGAGACCCCGAATAAATCAAGACCCCCAAAATCCAGTCAGAGAACCCCCAGAAATCCAATCAGACCCCCGCAGAAATCAAGACCCCCGAAATCCAGCCAGAGACCCCTGAAATCCAGTCAGAGACCCCCACAGAAATCAAAATCTCCAAAATCCAGCCAGACACTCCCCAGAAATCCAGTCAGAGACCCCCCCAAAATCCTGTCAGAGCCCTTGAAAGCCCGCCAAGGCCCACACCACCCAGAGCTCCTGCCAGGGCCCCATCCTGCTTCAGTGTCCCCGTCTCAGTCCCGTCAGACCCCCGAGATCAACCAACACCCCCGGGGTCCCTCAGGACTCCATCCCGAACCCACTCCGTGCGCCAGGGCCCAGCCAAGGCCATCGCCCCCCTTTGCACCCTGCAGGGTGTTCCAGACCCTGGAAGGGCCTCTCTTCAAAGACCCGTGTTTCCAGAACGGTGGCAGCGGGCTCACGTGGCTTGGGGAGAGCAGGCACTGGGGGAGCTGGGTGAGGACAGGCGAGCCCAGGCTCGACTGGTGGCCCCAAGGGGCGCCCGTGCCCGCTGTGATGATAGCAGCGCCCAGGTCTCTCTCTAGCCCCCAGAGTGCGGCCACTAAGGTTTTGGGTCGGCCTGGGTGGAATGGAGGCAGGATGGGGCCCCCCAAACTCCTGTCACTGCTGCAGGGACTGCCCAGAGCAGCTGCAAGTGGGGCTGGCAGGGATGAGGAGGAGGTGGCCTGGGCTTGGGGGACCATGTACATCCTGAGTTGGAACCCAGGGGAGCAGCAGGTTTGGGGCCATGATGAGGAGAGACCTAGGGGTTGCCCGACGGAGAGAAAAGGGACAGGAAGAGGCAGGAGCTTCAGAGACTACTCAATGCCACTCTAGCCTGAGGGACTGGAACTTAGTCCGGGGGCATTAGGGAGCCATGGGAGGATCAGGAGCAGGGGCAAGTCAGGATCAAACTCCCATGAGAAGCCAGCCGGCCAAATCCAGGCTGATGTGGCAAGAATGGCAGCTGCCCAGGGCTGTGTGGGAGCCAGACACGGCCCCTCGCTTCCCGGAAGAGGCCACGTGAAGCCGAAGCAGGATGCAGGAGGGCGTCCCAGGCAGAGACCTGGGCATGGGAGCGGTCCGCAGCTCAGAGTGGCTGGAGCATCATGTGCGATTTGGGGTGCTGAGGTGGGCGGTCAGCCATGCAGGGCCTTGGCGTCAGGGCCAGGGTCTCACCCGTACCCAGGATTCAGGGAGCCATGGAAGGGTACTTAGCAGGGGAGGGGCAGGTCAGCTCTGGGGCCCTGTGGGGACAGACTGGAGGACAAGCCTGGGGATAGGAGGCTGGGACAAAGGCCAGGGAAGAGGACCAGGCAGCCTGGACCGGCGGCAAGCCATGTGAAGAAAGGGAGGCAGTGACCTCCCCCACCCACCCACTAGCCCCTTTGATGTCAGCCACCTCGTTCTCCAGCCCACACCTCCAATCCATAAAACAGGTCAGAGCGGAGCTGCTCAGGTCACAGCGGGGGTGACAAACAGGTTGTGAGGACCCAGAGGTCCTGGGGCACAGGTGGGGCTAGGCAGGCCCCGACCCTTGGTGGCTGCTCTGAGGACACCATTTCCTGCTTCTCCTTCCAGGAGTGCTCGGGCCAGCTGGTCCTTTTCCCATCCCTCCCCATGAAGGAGGGAGGCTGGTAGCTTTGCCAGCAGCTGCGCCGCGGCAGGGGTGGCCCATGGACCTGCCCGAGGGCCCGGTGGGTGGCCCCACTGCGGAAAGTAAGTGGCTGGAACCCTATTTGCCCCGGGGAGGGTGAGGAGGGAGCCATGGGTGAATGGGTGCCAGGCTGTGACTCGGGGACTTGGGAGAGGTGGCTGGGGGTGGCTGAGCCTTTGCATGGGTGCAGAGTGGAAGGGAGGGAAGGGACTCTGGTAGATTAAGTGCCTACTCTATGCCCGCCCACCTGTCACTACCCCTTATCTCCTGTGGGGAGGCTGGACTGTGTGAGAGCGCAAGCAGCCGCACCCCTTACTCCATTCAGATCGCGGCCCAGATGGCACTTCTTACTTTATGTAAAGCAGCTGCCCTGTGACACTCTCTCCCCTGCCCCGCTTCATTTCTCTTCACAGTGCTCACATCTGTATGTCATGTTTTGTCTCTGTCTCCCCTGCTAGAGCATGAGCTCCACAAGGCAGCGTCTGTTTTATTCACTCTGGTATTCCCAGTCCCTAGAGCAGCGCTGTCCTGTGGAAGTATAATATGAGCCACATAGGTAATTTATTATTTTTTAAAAGAAAAAAGGAACAGGTGAAATGAATGTTGATAATGGATTTTCCTTATATAGCCAGACTAATACCCTGTATATTATATATGTATACAGGATATACATACATAGAGATATATATATGTATATAGCCAATATATAGCCAATATAAAAAATGTATCCAGATAATCTGTTTTTTTCATACTAAGCCCTAAAGATCTAGCGTGTACTTTACACTAACAGAGCATTTCAGTCTACACTCGCCTCAGTTCAGGTGCTCCAGAAGGAGAGACTGCCCTGTTGGCTGGGACCCCAGAGCAACTCCTGACTCACTGTGGGAGCTCACTTACTGTTGAGTGAACGGACGGATGTAGGTTGAACGGGTGTGAAAGCTGGCTTCAGAGGGTGGGGAGGAGGCACTGGGGTTGCCTCTCTGAAACTCATCTGCCAAGTGAGAGAGCCCAGTCTGATGGGGATGGTAGGGCCCCTTTCTTAGAGGCTCCCAGGCATCCACGGCACAGCCTGCGTCTTTTTCTACAAAGCCCCAGACCTCAGGAGGCTTTCCAGATAGGAGGGTCAGAGGTAGACACCAGGGTGTGGGAACCAGAGGACAGGCTGTCTAGTGACAGCCATCTAAACTTCACCTGCACCAGCAGAGGGCGTGCAGCCACCAGGATCCGGGTGGCAAGGGCTGAGACAGCTTCGAGAGGCTCTGGAAGGAAAGGTAGGAACACACCCAGAAGGAGAGATGGAGACAGAGGAAGGCAAAGGGAAAAAGAAACAGCAGAGGAAGGAAAGAGAAGACTTAGGGAATGGAGAGTCTCTGAGATATGGGAAGGGAAGCACAGAGACTGAGATACAGGGAAGAAAACGGGGACAAGCGACATGGAGGCAGAGAGACAGGACGTGGGGAAGAGAGACTGGGAGAAAGATAGAGAGAAAGAGCCAAAGAGAAATGTAACGAAGAGGCAAGGACAGAGACATAGAGGAGATAGAGACACTGAGGAAGGAGATCTTCCTGAGGAACAGAAATGACATCTCCCTGGGGGAATCCTGGGATGCGACTTCAGACACATGCTGATCCTCAGAGCCAGCACGACCTGATGCCAGTCCTGAGTTCTATTCCCAGCTTAGCTCTCTCTGGCAAGCAGCCCTGGGTGAACCATCTCATTGGGCCTCAGGGTCCTCGTTCATGTAACATGAGAAAGACACTGAGAGGGCTGGGTATGGTGGCTCACACCTGTAATCCCAGCACTTTGCGAGGCCAAGGTGGGCGGATCACTTGAGGTCAGGAGTTCGAGACCAGCCTTGCCAACAGGGTGAAACCCCATCTCTACTAAAAATACAAAAATTAGCTGGGCCTGGTAGCAGGCACCTGTAATCCCAGCTACTCGGGAGGCTGACGCAGGAGAATTGCTTGAACCTTGGAGGCAGAAGTTGCAGTGAGCGGAGATCACGCTACTGCACTCCAGCCTGGGTGACACAGCGAGACTCCATCTCAAAAAAAAAAAAAACAGTGAGAGGAGGAAAACAGACTGGGGCTAAAGCCCTGGTCTCCCCCTAACTGTGAGTCCACACGCCCCTTCCCAAGGGCCAAACCTAGGAGCATAGGTTCAAGACAGAGGGGGTGCAAATTTCACTCACTGCAGAGAATCCTGGAAGAGTTAGAGGGATGAGAAAGTTGACTCATATGTTAAACAGGGTGACCTTTGGCGAGTTCTTAGTTTCTCTATGCCTTAGTCCCCTCATTTGTAAAGTAGGGATTATAATAGCATCGATTATTATTATGCTAGTAGACAGTTCATGTAAAGTGCTCAGAAAAGGCCTGGCACCTACTAAATGCTCAATAAGTGTTCAATTCTATTCTTGAGTCCCCACCACGTGCCAGGCCTTCTGCCAAAGCCTTTCTAGATTGTATCTCATTTTCTCTCTAGGAAAGAGGTAACACCAACCCCATTTTCCAGAGGAAGAAACTGAGGCCCAAGAGAAGTTGAGTCCATTGCCCCAGGTGCCACCACTTGTCTGAGGCCAAGCCTCGGTTGCCCCCTGGATCTACCCCGTCCTGCAGCCTGTGCTCAGTGAGCTGCTGCACCCAGCTGTTCAAGGCCAGGGCAGGGAGCCTAGAAGTTCACTTCCAGCCCTGGGAGAGAGGCTGGGCCAGCCCAGTGGCTCCTGCAGTTGAGGATCTCTTCCTATGTCATGGAGCATTTGTTGAGCACCTGCCATCTGCAGGTGTTGTGGCTACAACAGTAGACAAATAGACCCCAGGACGTGTGTGTGTGTGTGTGTGTGTGTGTGTGTGTGTGTGTACATGCGTGTGCTTCACATACACAGAGCTAACTCAGCCCTGGTGAGGAGGATCACTCTACCCACCCCCCCAGTAGGGAAACCGAGGCTCTAACAGAAGAGACTTGCCCACAGATGTGCAGCTGGACTCTGCACCCAGGTCTGACACACTGATCCAGCTCATAACCATTCCCTCACTGCCCACCCTGTCTGGTTTACCCTATCCCTTCATGTCTCAGCCCCTGGCCATGGGCTCCAATGATGCCACCCTTGCCTTAGGGATGCAGGGAGGAGAGAGACCTGGTCCCCAGGGTGGGCTGGGAGACCGGAGATGCAGCAGGCGGGATCGATCTGGGCTGCCCATGCATTATTGGATTGTTCCTGGCTCCTGGGCCCCCCCTTCACTCTCAGCTCCTCCCAGAATCCTCTCTTCTTTGCCCTCCCCGACCCTGTCCCTCTCTGAGTCCAGCCTGGGAGGCTGGAGAGGAGAGGAGGAAAGGGTGATCTCAGAGCGTTCTTCTCTGGGCTCCTAAGCCAATTGGACACAAAAAGACAGCAGGGGGGACTTCCTGGTTTGAAAGATGGGGGGAAGTAACTCAGAGACCCTCACATTGTTGCCCCCTCCTGAAGCTTCCTGCTGTTCCCCACCCGCCCGAACTCTCAGTGCTCTGAGTGAATTCCCTCCCCGCTACAGAGCCCAGGAGGCTGAGGACCTGGGGTCACCCCTCTTCCTTCCTTATTCTTCCCACTGGTGAGCTGAGCCCTCTTGTCTCCCCAGTGTACCTCCGGGAGCGGCCTGAGGAGGCAAGGCTGGGAATGCCGGTCAGCTTGGAGGAGCAAATACTCAACTCCACGTTCGAAGCTTGTGACCCTCAGAGGACAGGTGGTGGGGGCATGAGGGGTGCTGGGGACCAGTGCGGGCAGGATGGGGTGGAGGCTGGGAACTGGGGAGCCTCAGAGAGAAGACTGGGCTAAGGCCCCCTCTTGGGGGTATTGTAAGAACAAAGTGGGTGATTATGGGAAGCTTCAGGAAGAAGAACGTGGATAATGGGGTGAAGGCCTTTTAGAATGAGGAAAACTTGGGGGACGTTGATGGAAGAGGGCAGAGTTTTGGGGTCGTGGGATAGGGGAGGGAGGCAGCCACCATGGTGGCGTGGGGCATGGCTGATGCTGTCCCTATGTCCATCCCCTTTGGTTTACCCTGTGATGGGGGGATGACTGGGCCCCATTTCCAGGTGAAAAAGTGGACTCAGAGGAGGGGAAAGGGCTTGCCCAGTGTGTCTCCACTGGGCCATGGAGCAGGAGTGCCACCAGCCTAGCCAGTGACATCCTGGTCCCAAGCTGCTGCCAGTCCATACCCATCACTCCCCACCTGCCCCAGACCCCCTCACTGCATGCTCTGTCACAGGCACTGTGGCTGTGGCCCAGGTGCTGGCCTACCTGGAGGCTGTGACAGGCCAGGGCCCCCAGGATGCACGCCTCCAAACATTGGCCAACAGCCTGGACCCCAATGGGGAGGGCCCTAAGGCCACTGTGGACTTGGACACTTTCCTGGTTGTCATGCGTGACTGGATTGCTGCCTGTCAACTACATGGGTGAGTCCCCACATCTTCATCCTCCTCTGGGAAGTCCTTCCTAAGATCTAACCTCATACCTGCTTACTGGAGCCAGCATCCTTTAGGCCCAAGGACCTACTGTGTTTGGAATGAGGCTGTGGAGAGAAAAATGAAGAGACGGGATTCAGAGGGGGTAGATAGGGAGTCTGAGGACAAAATAATTTGGATGAGGAAGCAGAGGGGGTCTGGGAGACAGAAATAAAATGGGGCTGGAGAAGGGAGGAGTTTGGGGCTGACAGAGGTCCCTCCCCAACCCTTCACCAAACCCACTCCTTGCCCCTCCTGCTTTTCCATCTGGCCACGGGCACTTGCCATCTGGCCTCACCCTCCTACCCTGTGGTGCCAGCTCTCACCTGACCCGGTCCCCTCCTCCCACCTGCAATCCCCCTGCCTGTGGCTGGTGAGGACTGAGGGGCAGCTACAGTGGGGCGCTAAGCCTCATCCCTTTGATACAGGGGATTAGAGCTGGAAGAGGAGACCGCCTTCCAGGGAGCCCTGACCTCCCGGCAACTGCCATCTGGTGAGATTGCTATATATAGAATGAAGCAGGCAGGCCCTGGGTCAGACAGTGTGGGGACTTACCACCCAGGGCAGAGCAAGGGATAGGGTAGGAACCAGGGACCTTTACTGTAGACTAGAGCTGTGAGTGTGGCTTTCTAGGTCCTCCGTCCCTTCCTTCCGTGAGCTTTGGGTTTCTTTTCTTCAGAGGGTGGTTTCCAACTCGTTCTCCTCACACCAGCCCTATTAGAGAGGCCTACGAGGCCCCGCCTACCTCTGCTCCATCATTAACATCACCTCTCCTCACTCTAGTCCAGGAATTCACAGGCCCACTGGTCTTGCTGCCCTTCCTCGAATGTGCCCCACTTCTGCCCAGCACAGGTCCTTGCTCAGGCTGTTCCCCTCCACTCCTTGCTCCCCACCCTGCTGGACTTTTTTTTTTTTTTTTTTTTTTTTTTTGAGATAAGAGTTTCACTCCTGTTGCCCAGGCTGTTGTGCAATGGCGCAATCTCAGCTCACCGCCACCCCCGCCTCCTGGGTTCAAGCAGTTCTTCTGCCTCAGCCTTCCGCATAGCTGGGATTACAGGCATGCACCACCACGCCCAGCTAATTTTGTATTTTTCATAGAGACGAGGTTTCTCCATGTTGGTCAGGCTGGTCTCGAACTCCCGACCTCAGGTGATCCAACTGCCTTGGCCTCCCAAAGTGCTGGGATTACAGGCGTGAGCCACTGCGCCAAGCCGTCATCCACTCCTCTGGCAAAGGGGAAGCCCTGGTATGCCCCTGGCTAGAGTTCCTTGCTCCCCATGCTCACTCCTAGACTTGTAGGCCTTTCCATTGGAACATCCACCTGCAGAGGAAATCTGATTATCTAGTTAGCCACTGGCACCTGGGTTTAGTTGGCTGGTTTGCTCACCATTGTATCCCCAGGACCTCACACATAGGAGGTGCTCCATAAAAAAAGTGGTCATGATTACAGGCGTGAGCCTGTAATCCCAGCATTTTAGAAGGCCAAAGTGGAAAGAACATTTGAGCCCAGTAGTTTGAGACCAGCCTGGGCAACATAGTGAGACACCATCTCTACTAAAAATAAAAAATTAGCTGAGTGCGGTGGCATGTACCTGTGGTCCTAGCCGGGACACTGAGTCAGGAGGATCGCTTGAGCCTGAAAGGTCAAAGCTGCAGTGAGCCATGCATTGCACCACTGCACTCCAGCCTGGGCAATAGAGCAGGATCCTGTCTTTTAAAAAAAAAAAAAAAAAATGGTGGTCATGTTCCATTTCTCTAGCCATACAAAAAACGGTGGGGAAGGAAGTTCTCTTCAACCTCCTTCATCAGGCTTGGGGGCCCAGGGAGGGCTGCAAGCAGAGGAGGGACTAGAGGCCAGAAGGCCAGAGAAGAGGCTCTGGTGAGGATCCAAGAGGAGAAAGCAAGGGCCGGGGCATGGAGACAGAGAGGAGGGGTGGAGCAGAGAGTCAGGGGCAGGAGGGAGAAGTCTGGGCTCTGCTGGACTGGGGGTGACAGGGAGCAAGGGAGCCAGGTCCGCCCAGTGGCTGAGTGGTCGGTGGGGGATCTGGGAAGGGGAAGGTGAAGTGCTGCCCAGTGTTGGGTGTAAAGAATGTGGGGAGTTAGGGTTATCTGGGAGATCCAGCCTGAGCTCAAGGTAGAAGACAAGCAAGAGGGCTTTACAGTGGGTATAACTGCAGCCCCAAAAGCCCATGAGATTCTCCAGAGCACAGGTGAGGGTGGAGGCAGATGGAGTCCAACCTCAGAGCCCTGGGGCACTTTACGTTTAAGGGTTCCAGGGAAGCCAACATTCTCTTGGCTCTCTCCCTCCAGGATGCCCAGAAGCTGAGGAGCCAGCCAACCTGGAGAGCTTCGGAGGCGAAGACCCCAGACCCGAGCTGTACCTATCCTCACACCCCTCCCTGACCCTCCTGCCCACACCCTGTCCCCTCCAGCCTGCCGAGGCCCGGGTAGGGCTTGGGATCCTTCAGGGAAATGAATGAGGGACGGGGCTTTGCTGAAAGTTCAGGGAGAGCAGAGGAGTCTCTCTCCTGTTTATCTTTCCCCAAAAGAGCCACATCTCCCCACCACCAGCACCTACCTCGACCCGGGGAAATGAGTCAGGGGCTGTGGACAGTGACCTGAACCCCTTCCTTGCCCCTAGACAAGCCACAGCTGACCTGCTGAGCAGCCTGGAGGACCTGGAGCTCAGCAACCGACGTCTGGTTGGGGAGAATGCCAAATTGCAGCGGAGCATGGAGACAGCTGAGGAGGGGTCAGCACGCCTTGGGGAGGAGATCTTGGCTCTGCGTAAGCAGCTTCACAGGTGGGCTGGATGCCACACCCACCCTCCCCAGCGCCCCTGCCTCCGTCCTCCCTGCAGCAGCCGGCCTCTATCTCCCATGCTCGTGTCTGCATCCTGCTCTTTGACTCTGTACCTGTCCTTTCTTTTCCCTTTTCTGTTTTTATCTTTTGTGTCTCTCTGATTCTTATCTCTCAGCCTCTGTTTTGGTCTTTTTATCTTTCCCTTGAGGGTTCAGACTTCTCTCTCTCTCTTTTTTTTTTTTTTGAGACAGGTTCTCACTCTGTCACCCAGGCTGGAGTGCAGTGGGGGTGATCACAGCTCACTGTACCCTCCGCCTCTGGGCTCTAGCGAGCCTCCCACCTCAGCTTCCCAAGTAGCTGGGACCACAGGCCCACCACCCTGCTTGGCTAATTTTGTTTTATTTTTTATAGAAATGAGTTCTCACTGTGTTGCCCATGCTGGTCTCAAACTCCTGGGCTCAAGCCATCCTCCCGCCTTATCCTCCCAAAGTGCTGGGAGTACAGGCCTGAGCCACTGCACCCAGCCTAGATTTCTCTCTTTATTCTTTAACTCTCTGATTCTTCATGTCACTCGCCCTTTCATCTCTCTGTGCTTTGTCATTCTTCATGTTTATCGTGGTCTCCCTGTTCTAGTCCCCCACTCTCTCTAGGTCTCTTTCCCACTTCCTCAGTCTTTTAGGTTAAAACTGGGTCTCTGTGCCCACACCAGGTCTCCTTCTCCTCTTTTCTCTCTGGGTCTCTGTCCTCCCCTCTCTCTGGGTCTCTGTCCCTGCCTACCACCTGGGATCTCTCTGTTGCTAGTGTCTCTCAGAATGGATCTGTCTCTGTGCTTCTCTGCCTTCCTCCCTCTCGTATGGCTCATCTGCCCCCACCCGCATTCAGCACCCAGCAGGCCCTGCAGTTTGCCAAGGCCATGGATGAGGAGCTGGAGGACCTGAAGACTCTGGCCAGGAGCCTGGAGGAACAGAATCGCAGCCTTCTGGCCCAAGCCCGGCAGGCGGTGGGTCTGGCCCAGGGGAAGGAAGGTGCCCTCTCTCTTCTTTGTTTCCTGGAGTCAGGGCGGCAGAGTGTGACTATGGAGTAGGAAGGGGCAGAGGTCACCTGGCTTTCTCCCTCTCTCCAGGCCCTGCTCACCCTAGACTTTTTCAAGCTTACCTGCCATCCTTCTCATGACAAAGGAGACAGCAGGAGCCATCAGGGCTTCCCAGACCCATTCCCCCAGGCCCTGGTTGTGTTTTCAGGGGTGGGAGAAGGGCAACATGGGGGCAAGGAGGCTAGAAATGAAACCTTTGTCCTCTCTCTGGGGTTGGTCAGGAAAAGGAGCAGCAGCATCTGGTGGCTGAGATGGAGACTCTGCAGGAGGAGGTGAGCGGAGGCCCAGCACCACCCCCACCCCTTCCCCAGTCCTTAAGGTCTTCTTGACACCACTCCCTTCTGCCCCCAACACCCCAGCAGCCTGTCTTGGGGAGACCTCAGAATGTCAGTAGTGTGGGAATGTCCCTGAGGTTATATCACACTGTGAGAACAGCCGTGGTTTACAAGAGTGTGAGGCATGGGGTCAGCCTACATGGCTTCAGGCTGAGGCCACCTACATAAGAGTGGACCAGTGCCTCCCTTCTCTGTGCCTCAGTTGCCTCACCTATAAAGATGAACAAAACAATGGCATCTGCCTCAGTGGTTTGTGTGAGACTTCAACCGAAGGATACTTGCAAAGTCTTGGGCACAAGGTAGGACACATAGGATGTGCTCACTAAAAGTTATCTAGCATTGTTTCTATATTAGTATTTTTTACAGTGAATAAAACAGCCAGGCACAGTGGCTCATGCCTGGAATCCCAGCACTTCGGGAGGCCTAGCTGGGTGGACCCCTTTAGCCTAGGAGTTCGAGACCATCCCGGGCAACATGGCAAAACCTTGCCTCTACAAAAAATAGAAAAATAAGCCAGGCATGGTAGTGTGCACCTGTAGTCCAGCCACTCAGGAGGCTGAGGTGGAAAGACTGCACGAGCCCGGGAGACAGAGGTTGCAGTGAGCCAAGATTGCATCATGGCATTCCAGCCTGGATGACAGAGCGAGAGCCTCTCAAAAAAAAAAAAAAAAAAAAAATTGGATTTGAAGTCAACCTTGAGTTCAAATCCCATCTCCGCCACTTACACAATAGGCAACCTTTAAGCATGTGACTTCTCCTTCTCAAGCCTTTACTTTTAGTTTCTTTTTTTTTTTTTTCTTTTTTTTTTTTTTGAGACAGAGTTTCATTCTTGTTGCCCAGGCTGGAGTGGAATGGCGCGATCTTACCTCATGGCAACCACCGTCTCCCGGTTCAAGTGATTCTTCTGCCTCAGCCTCCCAAGTAGCTGGGATTACAGGCATGTGCCACCACACCTGGCTAATTTTGTTTTTTTGTTGGTTGGTTGGTTTGTTTGTTTTAGTAGAGACGGGGTTTTTCCATGTTGGTCAGGCTGGTCTCAAACTCCCGACCTCAGGTGATCTGCCCACCTCAGCCTCCCAAAATGCTGGGATTACAGACATGAGCCACCACACCTGACCTACTTTTATTTTCAAAGAACTGGAAGAAGGGTATCTGTTCAGTAGGCTTGTTTTGAGGATTGACAGCATTTCACTGAGGGACTAGCAAACAATATGAAGAGACTGAGTTCAGCTTCACATTTAATTCAAGCCCCGTTCCATCCAAGACAGAAAAACATCATCTTAGTTCATTCTGGGCCCACCTAATTTTTTTTAGATTGAAACAAACTCATCAATTGACAATGAAACCTGTCACCACCCCCGACCTCAAGGTGGTATCTAAGTTGCAGGAGACTGATGCAGGAGCCTAGTGCTCTAGGAGGCTGCTGATCCTCACTCAATGTTTCTCCTCTCTGCTGTTCATGAGATTGATGGGTTTTGTCCAAGCGTTTGTCACCACTGTGTGCTGGCATCTACTGTGAGGCCCGCATTGCCTTTGGATCTCTGGACATACCATCTTCTTCATCTTCTGGTGGTGATCCCTTATCTGGGCTGGGACTCTTACTCCACCACTTCCACACCCTTCCAGAGCCAGGGAGGTGATTTGGCTACTTTCCTGTGAAAGGGAAGAGGCTGGGGTCACTGCCCAAAGCCCCTGCCTCATTTCCCCAGGCCAGGGTGGGTGCTCATGGTGGGGAGATGTGGCTTCTCTGGGGAAAGAGAAACAGGAGAGAGATTCCTCTGTTCTCCCTGAGCTGTTAGCAAAGTCCCTGTCCGTCACTCATTTCCCTGAAGGATCCCAAACCCCACCCAGGCCTTGACAGACTGGAGGACACAGGGCTGGGGTGGGCAGAGGTCTGGAGAGGACCCACCAGTGAGGCCTCTTTGCTTTCACAAGAAAGTAGCATCTCTATTATTCTCACACCGTGATGATTCTGAGAGTGCTCTGGGAAGTACACGCAAGGCCTCTCAGATCACAAGACTTCCAGGGCTCTGCGGTTCTCCATCCATACCCTCCACCCCTCATAGCTAGCCCTGGGTTAGGGGAAAACTCTGGGCTCATTTTCAGCCTATTCTCTTCTCTGTCTGTCCTGCATTCCTCCCCCAGCTCTAAGGATCTCTGCCTAGTCCAGACAGATCATGTATTCCCAAAAAATATCTTTGTCCTACATGTGCAGTGTTTTTTACACTGAAATCCAAAATCTTTCTGCTATTTTCTGGCTCTTCCATGAAAACTCACCCCCTTGGGGCAATGGGAATCTCACAGCAGGATGGCTGTACCATGTGAGACATGGAATGCAGCAGGATGTGACAGTTTCTTTCAGAACATCCCTTTTTAAGAATGAAAAAGTTGCCAGGCGCAGTGGCTCACGCCTGTAATCCCAGCACTTTGGGAGGCCGAGGTGGGTGGATCACCTGAGATCAGGAGTTCGAGACCAGCCTGGCCAACACGGTGAAGCCCCATCTCTACTAAAAATAAAAAAATCAGCCGGGTGTGGTGGCACACACCTGTAATCCCAGCTACTCGGGAGGCTGAGGCAGGAGAATCGCTTGAACCCAGGAGGCAGAGGTTGCAGTGAGCCAAGATGGTACCAGTGTACTCCAGTCTGGGCGACAGAGCAAGACTCAGTCTCAAAAAAAAAAGGAAAAGAAAAACTTTCCGGCTGGGCATGGTGGCTCACACCTGTAATCCCAACACTTTGGGAGGCCAAAGCAAGATTGCCTAGGCCAGGAGTTCGAGACCAACCTAGGCAACATAGTGAGAGCCCGTCTCTATAAAACAAAAAAAAACAAAAAAAGTAAATAAAAGAATGAAAGGCCAGGCACAGTGGCTCACGCTTGTAATCCCAGCATCTTGGGAGGCCGAGATGGGTGGATCATTTGAGGTCAGGAGTTCGAAACCAGCCTGACCAACATGGTGAAACCCCACCTCTACTAAAAATATAAAAATTAGCCAGGCGTGGTGGCAGGCGTCTGTAATCCCAGCTACTTGAGAGGCTGAGGCAGGAGAATCACTTGAACCCAGGAGGCAGAGGTTGCAGCGAGCTGAGATTGTGCCACCGCATTCTAGCCTGGGTGACAGAGCGAGACTCTGTCTCAAAAAAAATTTTTAAAAATGAAAAACTTTCCCTGAAGCCCCCTGGCAGAACTTCCTGCCTTACAGTTCATTGCCATTCAGCCATTATAACCAGACTACATGGATAATATGGCCACTAATGGGTCCAGAACGCTCCAGGGAAGAGAACAAAGAAATGATGACTTCAATCTACACGACATTCATTTCCTTAACCAGAGGTTTAGAAGAAGGTGGTCTCTGGGAAGAAGGTGGTCTCTGGGAAGAAGGTGGTCTCTGGGAGGTTTGGTGGCTCCCTGGCTGCCTGTGGCCTCATTATTGCAGATGACTGCAACAGCTTCAATCTCATGTTCTCATTCAAAGTAGGAAAACGTGGGGCAAAGGGGAGCCATGAGGCTGGGCGCGGTGGCTCACACCTGTAATCCCAGCACTGTGGGAGGCCGAGGCGGGCAGATCACAAGGTCAGGAGATCGAGACTATCCTGGCTAACATGGTGAAACCCCCGTCTCTACTAAAAATACAAAAAATAAATAAATAAATAATTAGTTGGGCATGGCGGCGGGCCGCTATAGTCCCAGCTACTCTGGAGGCTGAGGCAGGAGAATGTCGTGAACCCAGGAGGCGGAGCTTGCAGTGAGCCGAGATTGTGCCACTGCACTCAGCTTGGGCGACAGAGCAAGACTCTGTCTCAAAATAAAAAAAAAGGGGGGGGGCAGCCAGGAAATGCCCCTCTCGTGGCTCCTTTCATCAGAAGCCTCTCACCCCACCCCCAGCAGCTCTTACATCTCACTGGCCAGAACTGGCTGACATAACGCCCCCAGCTGCAAAGGAGCCCAGGAGAATATGTGACCTTTTTCAGCCTCTAGAGTGGCAGGTGAACAAGTGAGAAGGGGTGAGAATGGCTGCTGGCTTAGCTAACCAGCTGAGCTTCCTGCATCTGCCAAGATTTCCACCTTGACTCACTCCCATGGCTGGGGCTGGGACCCATCTGCCCTCAGACAGAGAGAGTAGATCCCTCGACAAAAGCAGAAGGAGTAAGCAGGGTAAATAGCAACCAGCAGTCTCATCTCTACCTCCTCCCCACCAGGAAGGCCTGCTGCCAGGTTGAGTGCCTTGAGCAGCATCTGGGACACCCTCGGCCCTCGATAAACTGGAGCTATTCTTGGTTCCCTCCCCTCTACCTTCCCCCTCCACACAGCTGCCTACAGAGCATCTATAGATTGAGTTCTCAAGTTACAGTAGAATAATGCTGGAGTAACAAGACACTCAGACACTGAAGATCCAGGCAGCCTTCCTGTGGAGAACCTACAGAGCTGTCTCAGGTTACTGCAGAAGGAGGCAGGAGCAGCTGAGTAACCAGGTTCCCTGCCGAGTGGCCCAGGATCTGGCCTGCAAATCCCTACCAGGTGGACAGATGTTGAGACAGCACTCCTTTCCCGTCCTTCCTCTGCCCTTCACCTGGCAGCCCAGGCCCACTGAGACAGAGGGAGAGCAGCTGATGGAGGACTTGGAGCTGGCTGGAGGGAGGGAGAGGCTGGCCTTGGTGTATCCCCTGGAGTGCCAAGAGGAGGGGCGTGGTGAAAGGGAACTCTGGACTGCCTCCATGCCCCAAAGTGCATTTCCCCAGTGACCACCTCGCTTTGAAACCCTGTGCAACTTGATAGGTTTTTGGTGCCCCTAAACTTTAGACTGGAATCTGGGCCATTTTATGTTCAGGTCCCATTTCATGGCTGGCATGGGCTGCCCTCTCCGGCCTATTGTTTTCCCAGCTAACTGCCCTCAGCCTTGAAGACTCAGCAACGCCTCCTCAGGAAGCCTGTTAGTGCTCCCATGGTACCCAGGCTGTAGGCCTCACCAGAGCCCACCTCGTGCATTGTTACCCGCTTCTGCATCCATCGCCACCTCTAGAGCCTAATTCCCTTTGTGTCCCATTCTCACCCAGGGCTGTGTCTGGCTCACATGAGAGTCTGAGGATTATAAACAGAATTTGGAATCACACAGATTTAGGTTTGAGTCCATTTACCATGTGACCTTGCCAAGTCTCTTAGCCTCTCTACTCCTTTATAAAATTGGAAATGATTATACTATTAATAGGGCAACCAGACTTGGCATTACTCCTGAATGGCACAATTTGATATGTATAGCACCACCCAATCTTGCCAAGAAATTGAACAACAGTCTGGACAAGGCCCTGGATCTACCTACCAGTTTATAAGAAATAATGATAGAGGAAAGTGGTGAACATAACCACAGGGAACAAGAGCGCAATCAGCCTAATCTGAACGCACCAATCCTACAGGACAAGGGACCTGCTTTCTTCCACAGAATGAGGGCCTGAAGAGTACCAGGGTCGGGGTGGAGGGGGCAGAAATTACTGTCAGATTAAAAGAAGTAAGACATTTCAACCAAAAGCAATGATGGACCTTGTTTGGACCCTCAATCAAAGTAAATGTAAAGAAATCTCTGAGACAACCAAAATGAAAAAGGAGCACAGGCCCGGTGCAGTGGCTCACCCCTGTAATCCCAGCACTTTGGGAGACCAAGAAGGGTGGATTACCTGAGGTCAGAAGGTCAAGACCACCCTGGCCAGCGTGGTGAAACCCCGTCTCTACTAAAAATACAAAAATTAGCCAGGTGTGATGGCGTGTGCCCGTAATCCCAGCTACTCTGGAGACTGAGGCAGGAGAATCGCTTGAACCTGGAAGGCGGAGGTTGCAGTGAGCCGAGATCACGCCATTGCACTCCAGCCTGGGCAACAAGAGTGAAACTCCTCTCAAAAAAAAAAAAAAAAAAGAAAGAAAAAGGAGCACAAACTTTCTAGTATGAGATGATACTGAGTTATTGTTAATTTTGTTAAGTATGATAGTGGTATTGTGGTTTTGCTAAAGGAAATAAGTCCTCAAGTAGGAGATAAATGCTGGAGTAACTACAGGTGAACTAATATGATGCCTGCAATTTGCTTTAAAGTAATCTACTTAAAACATCTGGAGGAGAGCCGGGTGCGGTGGCTCACACCTGTAGTCCCAGCACTTTGGGAGGTGGAGGCAGGTGGATCGCCTGAGGTCAGGAGTTCAAGACCAGCCTGGCCAACATAGTGAAACCCCGTCTCTACTAAAAATACAAAATTAGCTGAGCGTGGTGGCACATGCCTGTAATCCCAGCTACTTGGGAGGGTGAGGCAGGAGAATAACTTGAACCCGGGAGGCAGAGGTTGCAGTGAACCAAGATCATGCCATTGCATTCCAGCCTGGGCAACATGAGGGAAACTCCGTCTCAAAAAAAAAAAAAAAAAAAAAATTAGCTGGGTGTTGTGGCAGGTGGCTGTAATCCCAGCTACTAGGGAGGCTGAGGCAAGAGAATCACTTGAACCCAGAAGGCAAAGATTGCAGTGAACCAAGATCGCACCATTGCATGCCAGCCTGGGCAACAAAAGCAAAACTCTGGCTCAAAAAAAAAAAAAAAAAATCTGGAGGAGAAACATCTCAGTTTAAACAAAACCGAGAAAATGCATATAATTATTGAAGCTGGGTGATAGATAATGTGGATAACAGGCTGCTTATATTGTTCTTTTGATTTTAAAATTGGGGATAAGAAATGAGTCAACACATGCAAAATGCTCAGTAAGTGTTAGCGATTATTAACCTATCTAATCTTTACAGCAATCCCATAAAGTAGGTCCTAGTTAAGCTCCGTTTTTTTGTTGTTGTTTTTTCCTGAGACAGTCTCGCTCTGTCGCCCAGGCTGGAGTGCAGTGGGGCGATCTTGGCTCACTGCAACCTCCGTCTTCCCAGTTCAAGTATTTCTCCTGCCTCAGCCTCCTGAGTAGCTGGGATTACAGGCACGCACTACCATGCCCAGCTAATTTTTTTATTTTTAGTAGAGACGGGGTTTCACCATGTTGGCCAGGCTGGTCTTGAACTCCTGACCTTGTGATCCGCCCGCCTCAGCCTCCCAAAGTGCTGGGATTACAGGCGTGAGCCACTGCGCGTGGCCTAGCTCCATTTTTATAGATGGGGGAGCCACACTCAAAGAAATTAAAGCTGTGGTCCCACTGGAATGGTTGGAGGAATTAAATGGGTTAAAACATATGAAGTGCTTAGCATGAGGCCTGATGTATATCAATCAAGTGTTTAGCAAATATCTGCTGTTAATTTTGACATTACCACTTGCTGGAATGAACGTGACCAGCCATTCCTTCTTCTAGAACGGGAAGCTGCTTGCCGAGCGGGATGGAGTGAAAAAGAGAAGTCAGGAGCTGGCCATGGAGAAGGACACTTTGAAGGTGCCACTCCTTCCTAGTGCCTGACAACTTTCCACCACCCCGGGGCCATTTTTCCCATTTCCGGTTTTAGTGACTGCAGCCTGATAAGGGCAGGGTCTTCCATCAAGCTGTCAGGCTCCCAGGACCACCCAGGCATCCCTAAAATCCCTGAAGTCCTGGAACATCTCAGGAGGCTGAATACGTGGGGGTGCGAGAGAACAGGTGGGGCCAGGTGGAGGGCAGGACCAAGGGGAGTCCTGGGAGGCTGGATGGATGGACCGGCTCCTTTCTTGGCAGCGGCAGCTCTTTGAGTGTGAACACCTCATTTGCCAAAGAGACACCATCCTCTCTGAGGTAAGGGGCCCCGGGAGGGAAAGAGATTCGCTTTCCATGTGCACCAGCCACTTCCTGCCCCTGGTCTAGAAAGGGAAGTCCTACTTGGGTCTGATCCTTGGATGTGCAGCTGGAGAGACTGGAGGGTTTCCCCAGGTCCCAAGTGTGACCCCTCAGGGATCTAGAAGCCCTTCTGCCCGGTGCTCTCCCTTGTGCCCCAGCTCTTCCCTCAAGCTCACCCTGTCCCTTAACCCCCCAGCCAGTCCCCCCGCCACCACCACCCCCAGTGTCTTTGGGGAACTGGTCCCAGTCTCATTTGGCTTTCGGCTTTCCTAGCGCACTCGCGATGTGGAGAGCCTGGCCCAGACCCTGGAAGAATACAGAGTGACGACGCAGGTAACTCAGCGGCCCTCGCCACCCACCGCGGCCCTCGCCACTTCTCTTTTGCCATCTCTGGGACTTGCTGCCTCTCCTCCTCGTGCCTCTTTGTCAGTGGCCACATCTTGCTTCTTCCATCCTTGATGTATGACTGTATGACTGCATGTCTCCCCCTCTGTTTCTGTATCTGCCTTTTCACTTTTTCTCTGTTCCTTCCATTCACTTTCATTCTCTGTGGGTGTCTTCTCACACACCTCCTCTCCTTATCTTATTTTTTTTTTGAGACGGAGTCTTGCTCTGTCGCTAGGCTGGAGTGCAGTGGCACAATCTCGGCTCACTGCAACCTCTGCCTCCCAGGTTCAAGCGATTGTCCTGCCTCAGCTTCCCAAATAGCTGGGACTACAGGTGCATGCCAGCATGCCCAGCTAATTTTTGTGTTTTTAGTAGAGACGGGGTTTCACCATGTTGGCCAGGATGGTCTTGATCTCTTGACCTCGTAATCCACCCCTCTTGGCCTCCCAAAGTGCTGGGATTACAGACGTGAGCCACCACACCCAGCCTCCCCTCCTTATCTTTATGTGTCTCTGCGAGGCTCGTGTGGGTTCCTGTCTCTGCCTCTAGGTCTAGGCTGTCTGTCTCCCTAGGCAAGTCTTCTCTGTTTGGCTCTGGTCTTTACCAGTCTCTTAGCCCTCATGTTTCTCTTGCCTGTCTGTGAGTCTGTTTCCATCTATGTCTCATTTTTTCATGCATCTCTGCCTCTGCCTTCCTTCTTTTAATTGTCTTGGCTGTGCTTTTTTTTTTTCTTTCTTTTTTGAGATGGAGTCTGGCTGTGTCACCCAGGCTGGAGTGCAGTGGTGCAATCTCGGCTCACTGCAACCTCCACCTCCTGGGTTCAAGCGATTCTCCTGCCTCAGCCTCCCAAGTAGCTGGGACTACAAGCGTGTGCCACCATGCCCGGCTAATTTTTTGTATTTTTAGTAGAGACATGGTTTCACCCTGTCAGCCAGGATGGTCTCGATCTCCTGACCTTGTGATCTGCCCGCCTGGGCCTCCTGAAGTGCTGGGATTACAGGCATGAGCCACTGCGCCTGGCCTCTTGGCCTGTGCTTTAGCTTCTGGATTCCTGTTGCTCTCTCTCTTTGGCTTCCTAACATTCTGTCATGGCTTTCTTCCCCTTGTCCCTAGGCAGTATGTGTCTGGGGAGCCCAAAGTAGTCAGGAAAGGGGAAAGAACCCTGGAAGAGGAGCCCAGAGGTGGATGGGAGGGTGGGAAAAATGCAGAGCCAAATGTGCTCCCCACTTCCTCCTTTGCAGGAACTGAGGCTGGAGATTTCACGCCTGGAGGAGCAGCTGAGTCAGACCTATGAGGGGCCCGATGAGTGAGTGGAATTTCAAGGGGTAGGAGGAGGCAGGAGGGGAGCCTAAGGGCAGGGACACCCTGGCCTCCAGCCCCAAGGTGGGCAGGGAAGGGAGGCCAGCATGAGCTGACTGAGTGGCCACCAGGCACAGAGGCCATCTTCCTCCCTCCTTCCTGTGTGGCCAGGCTACCTGAAGGGGCCCAGCTGAGAAGAGTGGGCTGGACCGAGCTGCTACCCCCATCGCTGGGCTTGGAGATCGAGGCCATTCGACAGGTGGGCCTAACACCCCTGGAATAAGCTGCAGGCCACCAAGGCAGAATCTCCAAACATCTCCCTACTCTGATCCTCACACCAGCCTAGCCCTAACCCACATTGCTGCCAGAGGCTCCTATCGCAACCTTAGCTTTTCTCTAACTCTCTCTACCTCGGATCCTAACCCCAAACCCACTGCCAGACCCAGGCCTGTGCCAGACCCCAGTCTGATCCAGCTTTGACTCACCCCTATCTCGTCTCCCTCCATGACCATCTCACTCCTTAACTTCATCTCGAACCTAGACCTTGGTCCTGGCACCAAATCCTCCCCTGTTCCTGCTTCTGCCCACTCCCCAACCCCAGCCCCACACCAGCCCTTTTCTATCTCTCATCCTATTTTCAGCCGCACACCTAAACCTATTTCTATCTCTGACCTTGTTTTCTACCTTAATATGGCTCTCCCTGACCTCGGAAACAACTTCTGTCCCAGAAACAGGAAGTGGCAACTGCTGATCTCTCCAACCCTCTGTGTGGGGTGTGGCAGTGGGAGGAAGTCATCCATGAGACCAGTGAGGAAACTGAGTTTCCATCTGAAGCCCCAGCTGGGGGACAGGTGAGCACAGGAAAAGCTCTGAAGTCCAGGAGCTGGAAAGGGGCCAGGAGCTCCAGGTGCCGCCCTGGCCAGCCCATTCACTCACACTTTTGCTTGTTCCCCATTTGATGAGAAAATGTTAATTGAGGGCCCAGTGTGTGCTGGACACCCAGCCACAAGCCAGACCAGACACCACCCCTACCCCAGGGACTGACCTGCCAGCGTTGTAGACAAAGGTGAACCAAGCAAACACACAAGTTGCACTGTGGCTTTTATTGTTGGTTTGTTTTTTAGAAAACACTCTTGGGAATTACATTATTTAAAATCGTACTACTGTAGGAAGGGAATAAGTAAGTTGTTTATTCCAGCATTTTAAGGATATATTAAGCATTTATGTTTCAAATGTTAGCACCTTTAAGAAAAGCCAGCAAGCTCACTATGACATCTTTAACTCAGCAATAACCATTGGGGTTTTTTTTGTTTTTTGTTTTTAGAGACAGGATCTTGTCTTATTCTGTTGCCAAGGCTGGAGTGAACTTGACTCACTGCAGCCTCAATCTCCTGGATAAGCAATCCTCCCACCTCAGCCTCCCAAGTAGCTGGGATTACAGGAACACACCACCATGACTGGCTTTTTTTTTTTTTTTGAGATGGAGTCTCACTCTGTCACCCAGGCTGGAGTGCAGTGGCACGATCTCAGCTCACTGCAACCTCCACCTCCCAGGTTCAAGCAGTTCTCCCTGCCTCAGCCTCCCAAGCAGCTGGGATTACAGGAACCTGCTGCCACACCTGGCTAATTTTTGTATTTTTTTTAGTAGAGACGGGGTTTCGCCATGTTGGCCAGGCTGGTCTTGAACTCCTGATCTTAGGTGATCTGCCCGCCTCGGCCTCCGAAAGTGCTGGGATTACAGGCATGAGCCACCATGCCCAGCCTTTTTAAAATTTTTTTATAGAGTTGAGATCTCACTGTGTTGTCCAGACTGGTCTCAAACTCCTGGGCTCAAACTGTCCTCCTACCTCAGCCTCCCAAAGTGCTGGGATTACAAGCATGAGCCACTGCACCTGGCTTTTTTTTTTTTAATTAATTAATTTATTTTGAGACGGTCTCACTCGCTTCTCTGTTGCCCCGGCTGGGGTGCAGTGGCATTATCACAGCTCACTGCAGCCTCAATCTCCCTGGACTCAGGTGATCCTCCCATCTCAGCCTCCCAAGTAGCTGCAACCACAGGCATGTGCCACCATGTGTAGCTAAATTTTCTATTTTTTGTAGAAATGAGGTCTCCCTGTGTTGCCCAGTCTGGCTGAACTCCTGGGGTCAAGTGATCCGCCTACCTCAGTCTCCTAGAGTGCTGGGATTACAGGCATGAGCCACTGCTCTGGGCTCTCTCTCTATTTTTTTTTTTTCTTTTAAAGAAAATGTTGTAAACAGCTCTATAAACAAGCTGTATTGTCTTGAGAACTGCACCACTTCAAAGCTCTTTGCCATCCTTAAGGAGAGACTCATTTCTCTGATCACTTTTTCCCTGGTTTGAGAAAAGCTTTTGTTTCTCTTTGACACCAGAGCTTGTTTGGGTTCTCATTTAACTCTCCCAGTATCTCTGTAAGGCAGGCATCCTCATCTTGTTACTCATGGGAAACTGAGGCTCAGGGAGAAATCACATGCCAATGGTCACACAGCTTGTTGGGGACAGAGCCTCATCCCTCAGAAGTGTAGGTTAGATTGGGCTTCTGCTTTGAGCTGTCAGATGCCCCTGAGAGACAGGCTTGTCAAGGGGAAGACTGAGCCAGGCCTCAGAGTGCAACCTGCGATGGGCCCAGGGATACAGAGCTGAGTCCCTTGGGGCCGGGCCTCTCAGTGCTCAAGGCCTGATAGGAGAGACCCTGCAAATGGGTTGCCCCAGTGCAGAATGATCATTGTGCTAGAGGTGGGGGATGGGCCTGTGGGAGCCCAGAGAAGGGGTATCTGTGTCAGGTCAGAGATTGGGGAAGATATTGAAGGAAAACTGATACTTGAGTGGAAGGAAGGAAGGAAGGAAGGATGGAAGGAGGGAGGGAGGGAAGGAGGGAAGGAAGGAAGGAAGGAAGGAAGGAAGGAAGGAAGGAAGGAAGGAAGGAAGGAAAGAAGGAAGCCAGCCTTTGAGGCACTAGCACAGCCTGTGCAAGGCCTTGGCATAAAATCACGATATGCTTGAGGAGTAGAGGGTAACTAGGGGTGACTAGTGAGAGATGAGGCCAGGGCCAGATCATGAAAGGAAATCTCTGACAAGCTAACAGATTGTACTTTTCTTCATAAAGCCACAAGAAGGGTGGGGTCAGCTCCGGGCTTAAAAAGATCCCTCTGGAACCATGTGAGGGACCTACTGGAGGCAGGGAGGAGGCTGGAGCAATGGTGATGAAGCCTGAGCCAGGCCAGGGCCCTAGGGATGGAGGAAAAGGGACAGACAGACATAATTGGGGTGGAGGGACAGAGCAGGGGTCAGACGGGATGTGGGTGATGGGGAGGGAGGAAAGGAGGCAAGACTTGGAACTTGTGACCTTGTGAGGTGAAATCTTGAGGGATGTCTGGGGGCTGCCTGGAAGAGTTGGGTGCACCATCCTGGAGCTCGAGGATTGCGTTTAGAAAACAATGGCAAGTTGGTTGCTGAGGTCAAGGGCAATGCCAATATGTCTCTGGAGAAACCGAGAGGTACTTGGGTCCTGAGGGAGAGCAGATAGATCCAGCCCAAGTCTGGGAACCTGGGATGAGAAGGCGGTTGGACAGGGAAATGCTGATCTCCTCTGGGACCCAGATAAGTGTACGAGATCTGTGGAACATCCAGGAAGTTTAGGCAACCGGGACTCCTGGGTCCTGTCAGGGAAGGGGGCTTGGTGGCATCGAGAACAACCCTTTGGTTTTTGGCTTCTGCCCTTAGGGGGCTAATAGGGCCATCCTCATGTAGGGCAGCACGAGAGGAGGGCAGGTTGTAGAAGGTGGTGAATTCATGTGTAGGTTGCAGCCTGGAAGACCTTTTGTATATGGGGTCTGGGACCGGCGGGGGAGACAGTGGGCACTGTTAGGGTTGGAGCTTTGAGTGAGAAGAATCAGAGAAGAACTAACCTTTTTGTTTCCACAGAGAAACTTCCAGGGAGAGCCAGCGCACCCTGAAGAAGGAAGGAAGGAGCCATCCATGTGGTAAGGAGCTGAGCCATCCGTCTGCCTCAGGGTGACACCTTATTCACAGCTGTTTACAGTAGGAGGACTGGATGTGCCCTGAGGGGATCGGCATTCATTCATTCACTCCTTCTTCATGTCTTCCGGGAGCAGAACCTGGGCCTGTAGGCCAGGAGATGAGGCCTGGCCCTGCCCTCAGGTCTAGGAGGAGATCTGGTTCCTGACCCTGCCTTGGGGGAGGGCTCCCAGCGAGGCTGCCATGCCTGAATGGGGTGAGGGGGGGCCTCTGGAATCAGCGTGGATTCAGATTCCAGCTCAGGTACTTTGCAGTCAGGCTGGTGTAAGCATTTGGTTGTATGCCGTGAAGTCCCAGCCCTGTGATTGGGATGTGATTGTTAGGAGGCTGTGTCCAGGCCTCTGAGGATGGAGAACGCACTAGATGACTGGGCCCACCCTCCTCCGGGGCCCTGGCCTTCGGGCCTCTGGTTTCCTGTGTTGCTTCCCTCTCCCCCTCCCCTCTTTCAGGCTCCCAGCTGCGGCTACTAATGAGGCTGCCTGCCAAGGCCTCTAATTGGACTTGTCTGGGAAGAGCTGAGATTGGGCGGGATGGGAGCTCTGGAGCTATGACCTCCCTCTGCGTCACCAGAGAAAGGAGGGGAGAAGGGGCTGAGCAGTAGTGGAAGTGGGGGAGGCAGGTGCCATGCGAGTTTCCAGAGGTCAGGGGCAGTTTGATCCGCAGGTTGGAAAGCTGGGAGTGAGGAAGGTGGTGAATACAACGGCTCCTAAATGTAGCCAGCTGTGAGGGCTTGGACCTTGAGAGGGGTTGGGTCCCAAGTAGAAGTTTCAGGGGATCAGATAGTGTATGTCTGACTGGGGCCTAAGAGCCTGGATCCTTTATCGCGTGGGAGCACAGCTGTATTCCTGAGGGTATCTCTGAGGGTTTTGGGTCTGAAGCTGGTGGTGGTGGCAACTGCAGGGCTGGATCTCTGGTCCCCAGTGAAGGCAGTGGCTGGTGGTATGGATGGCTGGGTCTCTAAGGGGCATTCAGGCTGGGCAGCTTGAGGCCTGAGTCCCCAAAGCAGCATTTCAGGGACTCAGATGGCTGTGACCCTAGGAGGGGCCTCCCTAGGAGCCTCCCGCCGAGGCAGGGTCAGGAGCCAGATCTCCTCCTAGACCGAGACTCGCTGAGGGAAGGGTCAGGTCTCATCTCCTGGCCTACAGGCCCAGGGTCTACTCCCGGAAGATGGGAATGAATGAGGGGCATGCTAACCCCTCAGGGCTCTTCCAGTCCTCCTGGAAGAGGGTCTTGCACCTAAGAGGATTCGGCATGGGGAAGAGCTCCAACAGTTGAGTTCTGTGGGCTGGGAGGTCTGAGTTGGAGTCCCAGTCCTCAGAGAGCACCCAGTGACAGTCATTGAAAAATGGCTCAACCCACTAGACAGGAAGGGGGTTTCGACACGTGCTCTGGGGTCTTACAGAGGCCTGAATCTCTGGTATTTTGGAGGGTGAGAGAGCCAGAAGCCTCAGTTCCCAGCTGGGGGATCTGCTGGGGAAGTAGTGGCTGAGAAAACCAATCTGAGATGAAGAGGCCCCCTTATTCTTTTAGTGGTTCACAGACCCTTTGGGTAATTTGGTGAAAATTCCTGTGAAAAATACATATGCAGGACACCCCCCAGGCCCGTCCGTGCTGCCTGGCCTCCCCCAGGCCCGTCCGTGCTGCCTGGCCTCCCCCAGGCCCGTCCGTGCTGCCTGGCCTCCCCCAGGCCCGTCCGTGCTGCCTGGCCTCCCCCAGGCCCGTCCGTGCTGCCTGGCCTCCCCCAGGCCCGTCCGTGCTGCCTGGCCTGTGCTAAGACCCCCTGCTCCAAGGCTTCTCTCCCAGCCCATAGTAGGCAAAGGGAACCAGGGAGAAGAGGACGAAGCCAGCAGTGACTTTGTTGGCCCTCAGGTTGACCAGAAGAGAGGAAGAGGAGGATGCAGAGAGCCAGGTCACGGTAGGCAGTCCCCAGCACCCCTCCCCAGTCCCCATCCACTCCACACCCACAGAGGCTGAGTCGTTTCAACTCTTCCCAAGCCCCAGCCTCACACTCCAACTCCTCAGGAGCAGAGAGAAAAATCATTTGGCCAAGAGATAACAAGGCCTTTGCTGTAGCTAATGAGAGCGATGGTGAGGTGGGGGGAGGCCTGGAGGCTAGTGGGCGGCCAGGCTGCTCCCAGGGGACCCTCCCAGCCACACACACAGGGCTGCAGCCACCACACCGCAGGCCTCATAGACGTGGCTACACCCCCGGATTGCATAAATGCACACGCACATGCGCCCACACTCGGGAGAGGTTGGGCCGGCCCTCCCCAGCCAGCCTCAGAACTCCCTGGGGGCGTAGTGCCCGCAGCCCCCCTGCCTGCAGCCACACAGGCCAGTTCCTCTGCTCCTCAGAGCCCAGTGCCCGGTGGGGGTTAAGATTTCCATTCTCAGGCAAGGACGGGGAAAGAAACTTGGTAAGGAGAGGTGAGGAGCCCTCAGTTGTGAGCTGAGGAATGCAGGAGCTGGGCTGGAGTCTGCCTGTTGTGGGTCAGGCACTGTCAGGGCCCCTGGGGCTCTTCAGGGTCCAAACCGGCCAAGATGGCTGCCTCCAGGACACTCAGCTCCCAGCACCCTGGCCCCGAAGCCCACCTCCTTCAACATACTACACTCCCTTGCAGAGACTGGGGCTCCACCTCAGCTTCCTCACAGCTCACATGGGCATAATCTCTTCCTTGCTCCCAGGGTGGGGAGGAGGGTTAAGGACTATGTCATAAAGGGCCTGGGTCCCTGCCTGGCACAGCAGGTGGTAGAGGTGAAGATATTGATTGTGATTGGTGTTCTGTTTTTATTTACTGCCATTATCATTGTCATTCATCATCCTCATCTGTGTTAAAAAGGTATGGGGGTAGGAAAGCCAAAGACCCATAGAGGGGAGGCCCTTCCGGGGAGACATGGGGGATGAGGCGGTGCAGTGGGTGGGGCCTGGCCCTGGAGGAACAGCTGGGGCTTTGATCTTTGAATCCTCAGATGAAGTGTTGGAATTAATCAGTGAATTTAGTGTGGTTGCTGGGTGAAAGATCAAAATAAAAAATCATATTTCAGTATAGCAACCATGAGCAATTAGAAAAATAAATTTGTAATTATACCATTTATAATGGCATGGTGTTTTGTTTTTGGTTTTTGTTTTGAGATGGAGTCTTGCTCTGTCGCCAGGCTGGAGTGCAGTGGTGCGATCTCGGCTCACTGCAAGCTCCACCTCCCAGGTTCACACCATTCTCCTGCCTCAGCCTCCCAAGTAGCTGGGATTACAGGCACGTGCTACCATGCCCGGCTAATTTTTGTATTTTTAGTAGAGACGGAGTTTCGCCATGTTGGCCAGGTTGGTCTCCATGTCCTGACCTTGTGATCCGCCCGCTTCAGCCTCCCAAAGTGCCGGGATTACAGGCATGAGCCACTGCACCTGGCCTGTAATGGCATGTTTTTAATTAGTAAAGCGCCTGCCGATTCTGGCATAGGCAGGAAGACAGGATTCTTCATGAGGCCCAGCACAGGGGTGGGCACCTGTAGAAGATGTGGTCTCTGCCCTCAGAGAGCTTAGATACTTCCAGAATCCAATGGAAAACGGAGGTGATGATATTGAATAGCTCACACAGACATTGAGCACTCACTATGTACCAGGCGCTGTCCAAGCTATTGCCCCCGCCTTTTTTTTCCTACATTCACTCATTTAGTCTCCATGTTAACCCTATGAGGTGGGGACATCCCTGGCCAGCAGATGGGGAAAGAGCGGCACGGAGAGGTGTGGTGACATGCCAAGGACCCTCAGCCAGAAGCTGGCAGAAATGGGAACCCGACCTGGCAGCAGAAGTGCACTCACTTATCTCCTGAGCTCCACCACTTTCTATGTGGCCACTTGTGTCCAGTGGGCTGACCTGAGCACCTCTCAGTCCAGAACCCGGTGCCTCCAACGCATCTCTTCTGTCCTTGCAGGCTGATCTCCCTGTCCCTCTAGGAGCCCCTCGCCCTGGAGACATCCCAGAAAACCCTCCAGAGAGGTAATAGGACCCACAGGGTCCAGGAGGGACACTGGGGCAAGGAAAAACCCAGTGGTGATTCCCTCCTTCACCCCAGCAGACCTGCGCGGCGGGAACTCCAGCAAGCCCTGGTGCCTGTGATGAAAAAGCTGGTCCCAGTCAGGAGGAGGGCCTGGGGCCAGCTCTGCCTGCCCCCACAGCGGCTCAGGTGTGCCCCCAGGCGTCTCCAGAAGGAAGGAGGTGGTCTGACATTGGGAAGAGCAGGGGCTGCCCAGACCCTGCCCTAAATGCTCTCCCACCTCCCCACCAGAGTCACTCGACATCCACTGATCCCAGCTCCTGTCCTGGGCCTGCTGCTGCTGCTGCTGCTCTCTGTCCTGCTGCTTGGCCCGTCCCCACCTCCCACCTGGCCCCACCTCCAGCTCTGCTACCTCCAGCCCCCTCCAGTGTGAGAGGCTCTACTTGCCCCTCAGAGCAGTGTCTAGCTCAATAAATCCCCTGGCCCTCTCTCCACTGGGATCCCCATTGTTAGTCCACTGTTGCGCAGGCTTACCCTAGATAGAGTACAGGGGATCCACATCCCTGTATTTTTATGTGAAGTCTCCTAGTTTTTTAATGCTGACATTTCTTAACAATAGCAAAACTCCCCCAGTAATGGATTAAGCACTAAGGATTATTCCCTCACAAAACAAGCCTGGCGAGGGCAGCTGTGGGCACACAGCTAAGTCTCGGTTGCCTTGGGGTCAGGGCCTCAGTGATTCTCCTGTCCCCTCCCTCATGCTCAGGAGTTGGCAGTTGTAGCTTCCTACATCACATCTGCGGGAAACGGAAATTTCTTCCTTCCTTTTTATAAAGAGAGGCAGTAGCCTCAGTGTGCAGTGGGTAGATTCAAATCATATTCATAATAAAAGAGAAGCAGTTGCCTGCCCAGAGCCACCAGCAGACTTGTGTTTGTTTCACTAGCCAGACTGTTTGGTGTGACCACCCTTAACTGTAAGGGAGGCTGGGAGACCTGGGAGGTCAAGTACCTCTGCGGGGACTGGGTACCTTGAAAGTGCCTTGCCACACACCTCATTCACACTGAAAAACACTGCAGGCCATGGACCTAACAAACACTCTGGGAGTCACCTACACACCACCACCAGTGTGCAGCTGCTGAGTGGCCTTGGCATGCATGGCCAAGCTGCTTCGAAGGGCTCCAGGATACCTCTTCTCCTTGATTTCTTTCTCCTTCCTACCTTCTCTACAGCTCTGCCTTGCCCTCCCCCGATAGGATCCTGACTCTGTCCTGCCACCCCTCCACGGGTAGCAGCCTAGGTTGACCCAGTCCCAACTGCATCCTAAGTCAATAAAGAACAATCTTCTTGGGCCGGGCACAGAATCACTTGAACCCGGGAGGCGGAGGTTGCAGTGAGTGGAGATTGTGCCACTGCACTCCAGCCTGGGAGACAGAGTGAGACTGTGTCTTAAAAAAAAAAACAAAAAACAAAAAAAAAATTAAAAAAACACATGCGAGACCCCAACCCCTCCCTCTTATTCACATGGACCATCTGCATGGTGCAGCTCTGAGGCATCATTATGCTGTAAGCCCCTTCCCAGCTGGAGTAAAGCTGAGGACACCAAAGGGAAGCAGATGGAGTCTGAGAAGCCTACCCTACTCCCGAAAAGAATACATGATTGGGCACCCACTCTGTGTGGCATGTGGCCCATGGTATTATGCAGGGAATGCCCCAAGCTTTGCCTGCCTCATAGCACCGCCAGCAAGATCCTTACACCATGGCTCCAACGCTCCCTGTAAACAACAAGAGTGGACACCCAGGATGGCTGGCCCCAGGGTGGGAGGGCGCTGAGCTAGGCACTTTGAGATATGTATTTAATCTTCACCTCAACACTAGGAAGTAGATGGTGCTATTATTGCTTTACACATGAAGACACTGAAGCACAGAGAAGTTAAATGACTTGACCTAGATGTCACAGCTAAAAATTATGAGAGTTGGGATCCAAACTCAGTCTGAGTCCAGTTCAGCAAATGAACTCACACGGTGGCTGTCTGCTGTTTGTAGCAGCCTATGAGTTGAACATCCTTCCTTGCCTGGGAAAATCCCAAGATAGGAAGGAGACAGGGCCCCACCTTCAACCAGGAGAGTCAAAGGAGGGTCCCCTTCCCCAGCTCCCAGGGGGTTGGGCTGCTATGACAGGCAGTGTGTGGGGCCCATGCCCATCCCTGTGGCCAAGGAGAAGGATCACGAGATTGGCAGCCCCACCAGACCCTCCAGTCACAGCTGTCGAAGGCAGCAGCAACTCTACAGAAAAAGGAGGACAGGGATGAGGACCAGGCACACACCAGAGTTGTCCTCTAGAGTGCAAATGGTAAACAGGAAAAGCACCAGGGTGCCATTTATTCATTCAACAAATATGTGTTCATCATCTCTTTGCAACAGCTAGACCTTAGAAGATGAAGCTGTAGAGGAAAGCAGGACCTCCAACATCAAGCTGAGGAGCTTAGATTTTCTCCTGAGAATGATGGGGCTTTGGGAGGTTTTATTGCTTGTTTGTCTTTGGTTTTTTACATTTTAATTGAGGCGCAGCTTACATACAGATAGGCAGACAAATCTTAAGTATCAGCTGGATAAACTTTTGTGTACGTATATACCCATGAAAATCACAGCCCAGGTCAAGAGAGTAGACAGTTTCAGCACCCCAGATGCTTCCTTGGAGAGTTTTGAGCAAGGGAGGGACAGAATCGGACCTATTTAAAGACAGATGGAGGTAGCTGCAGGTCCTGTGAGAGTCCAGAAAAGGCAACTGATTCGGCTTGGAGGTTACAGGATTCTTTCCAGACAAGTGACATTTGTGTTTAGTCTTGAAAGATGGGTAAGGTTTGGGTTACAGTCAGCAGGGGCCCAGGGAGGGTGTCATAGAGGTGGGAAAGAGACCAGTGTGTCTGGAGAGCCATAGGCGGCATCCTGTTGCTGGATTTAAAAAAAAAATTTTTTTTTAAAGATTTGGAGCCTGGGAGGGATTGAAGGCTACAGAGTGGTGGGAAATAAGAGAGGTAGGCAAGAGCCCATGAAGGGATTTGAACACCAGCTTGAACTTTATTCCCTAGTGCCGGTAAAAGGGTTGTGAGCAAGGGAAGGCAGAACTCTGGGTAGGAAGAAGAGCATTCAGGGCCTGTGGAGGAGATGAATGAATGAAGGGGATGAGAATGGAGGCCAGCAGGTGGGGAGGAGTCTGGGGCTGTGGTCCAGGTTGGAGAGAATGAGGCCTGAGGCAGGGCATGTGGGTGGAGAGGAGGGAAGAGCAGAGCCAGGGCAGGGTGGGAGGGACCGGGCTGGAGACTGACAAGCTGTGAAGGATGGCGAAAGGGGCAGGACAAGGACAACCCCTGGGACCTGGCCCAGTGACTAGTAGACAGTGGAGCCATTCCCAAGATAGGGAACCCATGATAAGGAGTGAGTTCAGAGAAAGACTCAGTTCATTTAGGGGCTGGAGTCCTGAGCCCTGAGCTCCCAGGCTGGAGAAGGGGGTCTGGGTGTTGTCAGCTGTGGGTGGTGGCAGAAGCTGTGGGGACTGCTGAATTTGCTTGAGAGTAGAGTGGGGAGGGAGGAGGCTCCAGACACCATTTTGAGCAAAACCTCAAATGTTCTGATACGGATCGGGAAGAAAATAGAGTGTGGGAAGAGACCAGGCCAGTACCCAGCTACCAGGCCCGCGGGGAAACAGGAGGAGGCTCTTCATAGGGTCTTTGTGAGGTTAAAAGAGTTAATGCAAGCACAGCACTTAGAAGAGTGCCTGCTATATAGCAACTGCTCATTCACATTTTCATTCCATTTCTCCATGAGAGTGGCGGAAAAGTCTAGACTTTTGAAATTGCACATACCCGGATTCCAGTTATTCTTTTGTCGCTTAGTAGCTCTAACAACTTAGGAAAATTCCTCCTGACTTTCAGTCTTATTTGTAAAATTAGGCCAACTCCAGATAGTTTTGAGGAATGCAGTCTTTCCTTTGTTATTCGGAAGGACAGAGGAAACAGTCCCGCCCCCACAGTCCAAGGGCCAATTAGGGCTCGGTCCGCCTCCCGAAAATGCAAATTTTGGGACGCCTTGCCAAACACGCGCGGCGGCCCCGCTTCCCGCGCAGCAGACGCGGCCGGCTCCACTCTCTTCTTTAAACCAATGAGAGCGCGGTCCGCACGAACGGCGCCCCAGGCGCGCTGATCTAGCCCTCTGCGGACCACCGGGTTGCCATGGTTACCACGAGGGGCGGAGCTGAAGGGCAGGCTGGACCTCCGGGGAGAGAGACAGATTTCGATTGGCTCTTTTCTCGCTTCACCTGCAGCCCAGGTATCTTCCCGCCCTTTCCCTGTCCTTTTTGGAGCCTGACGCCTGCTCCTTTCTCTTCTCCTGCCCCAGCCTGGCGCCCCGAAGGTCTCTAGAGAAGGAGACCCGAAGTCAGAAAACCCTGAAAAAAATTGCTGGACGCTGCTGTGAGAAGAGGAAACCCTTTTCAAATAAAAGCGTTTTGCTACGTAACGGGCGCTGTACTGAAGTCTTATGAAGTATATCTTATTGGATCCTCGTAACAGATGAAGAAAAGGAGACACAGAGACTGACGTCAAGAAGGCTTTCTCAGTACTACGCAGCTAGATTTGGAGGACCCTGGGTTTGGATGCTAGGGCTGCCTCACACCAGAGCCCGCGATCTTTCCACTGTGCCTGGGGAGAAGTCTGGAAGTGATGGGAGGGAGGAACAGCGAAATTCAAAGATGAGAGCTGATGGAGAGACAGATAGAAACCTAACGGAGGAAAGAAAAGGAAGATATGAAGGAGTCAGGCAGAGGAAAAAGGAAAAAAGAAAGTGATGGAGAAGGGAAGGAAGAGTTTCAGAGGCAGAAGGAGAATAGAGAGAGGAGGCAGAGATTCCCAGAAGACCAGAAAGCCAAAAGGGTGAAAGGGGAGATAACCACAAGGACCCAGGGAGACGGGGACACATACCCAGAGAGGAAAGAGACCCAGAGAAAGGGACAGAGACGGAGGAGGACAGAGACCTTGGAGATTACAGAGAACCAGAGAGAAGGGGACAGAGATGGGGGTAGGGAGGGACAGGGGCCCAGAATGAAAGGAGGGGGCGGGGGGGTGGGGGCGATAGGGAAGCAGAGATCCAGAAATAGGAAAGAAGCCAGCTTCCTGGACAAAGACAGGCAGAGAGAAACGGAATTGAGGAAAGAAAATAGAGTGGGGACTGAGGAGAGAGATGCCAGAGTGGCCGACACAGAGTCCTGTCTCTTTTCTACCCCCCATTTCAAGCCCCGCGCCCCCAACCCAACGCACACGCAGGTCGCGCAGGAACTAGGCGCAGTCCGGAGCGCAGGGCATGGTCTTTATTAAGATGGGGACGGGCAGCGCGCTCAGGGCGCATCCAACACCAGCAGCTTGTGCATGTACGAGTTCAGCCAGTGGCGGCGCTCGAGGGCGGCCAGCAACCGCGCGCGCTCCCGGAAGGCCGCGTCGTCCGCCAGCGCCAGGCTCCTCCGCGGCCTGGGGGTGGCGGGATCCGCCCAGGCCCGTCCTGGGGGGCGGAGGCTGTGGAGAGACGCGGTGACCGCGCGTCCAGACTCGCTCTTGCCGCCGCCTGTCCTCCCCGCGGTCTAACTCGAAGCCCCGTTACTGCCCAGTCCGTGGAGTGGCTCGGTCCGGCTCCCCCTGTCTCTCTCGTTCTCTGTGTGGGTCTCTGTCTCTCTGCTCACCAGGTTCGAAACTCCCCAGGTACTGAGACCGAGTCTGATGCACTTGTCCGCCCACAGCGCTCAGCGCATGGCCAGGCGCACACCAAGAACCCAATAAACGTTGCTCAAAGAATGAATCCGTTTCTGCAACGACTCCTTTCGAGCCTCTCCACGCCTTTCTCGGGATCTATCTTTCTGTGTCTCTTTCCCTTGCTGATTTTCTGTCCATTTCCCGCACCACCACTACCACCAAACCCTCCTCCCGCCTTCCCCCACCCCTAGTCTCTGTCTTCTCGCTGGGTCTCGGTCGCCCTCTCTTTGGGCTTCTGTTCCGCTTTCTGGATCTTCCGTCCCCTTTCTCTTTGGTTCTCTTCCCACTTCTCCAAGTTCCCACCCCTCCCTGGGAGTTCTGGGACTGGCACCTACCTGAGGACCCCGACCGGGGGCAGGGCGACTCCCGAGGCAGTGCGGACGCCCCAGGGCACCACCAGCAGCAGCAGCAGCAGCAGCAGCAGCCGAACCCGAGGGCTCCTGGACACCTGGCGGGTCTCCATCACCTGTGGAGAACCAGAAAGGGGCTCAGTAGGGCTGCATCCCGGCCCAGAACCCCGGGCCCCACCATGCATCCACCCCCAGCTTCCCGCACAGTCCCCTACCGTGCAGTGGGCTGGGGCAGCGATGGTGGCAGCCCCCTTATATCGCCTCCGCAGCCCCCGCACCGGGCAGTGACGCAGGCCGGGGGGCCGGGGACGCGGGGTCACCCCCTCCCCAGGCTCATTAGGAGCCGCCAGCGGTAATGAGGAGCCGGGGGTGGGGGACCTGCCGCTGCCTTGGCCGCCACCAACTAATTGGGACCAGAAGCTGGACCTGAGACGAGGGAGGGGGAGAGACAGACAGACAGAGAGGTGGACACAGGGGGTGTGTCAGAGGGCTAAAAATAGAGACTGGCGGAAGGACCGTCAGAGGAACAGAGACACAAAGAGAAGGACAAAGACAGAGTGGCCGAGGAAGAAATAGAGAGAAAGAATGGGAACGACAGAAAAAGAAAGGAAAAGGAAGAAAACAAGAAAAGAGAGCGAAGGAGATGGAAACGAACAGTCAGATGGAGATGGAGGAGGGAAAGAAAAGGCTCTCAGAAAGACAGACGGAAATGGAAGGACGTCCTGGTCTGGAAGGAGCTGCCCAGAGATAAATACAGCAGCGAGAGGCCCAGAAAGATCGAGGGTGAGGTAGGGAGGGGGGAAAGGCAAGAAATGGCAAAGGGTACGTGTGGCAGGGGTGTGAGGACAGGAAAAGTGACAGACCACATCAGAAAAACCTCAGAGAGTGAGAAGAGGGGAAAACAGACAGGGCTCCTGAGCTGCCCTAAGGATGTGTCTAAGCCCTTATCTGGGAGGAGTTTGGGGGTGCTGTGAAGATTAAAGCCCAGTCCTCCTCACACTGACTCTTTTTGTGTGTGTGTGTTTGTCTGTTTGAGATGGAGTCTTGCTCTTGTTGCCCAGGCTGGAGTGCAATGGCACTATCTCGGCTCACTGCAACCTCCACCTCCCAGGTTCAAGCCATTGTCCTGCCTCAGCCTCCCGAGTAGCTGGGATTACAGGTGCCCACCATCACGCCCAGCTAATTTTTGTATTTTTAGTAGAGATAGGGTTTCGCCAAACTGTTGGCCAGGCTGGTCTTGAACTCCTGACCTTGTGATCTGCCCTCCTTGGCCTCCCAGAGTGTTGGGATTACAGGCGTGAGCCAGCACACCCAGTCCACACTGACTCTTAAGAGGGGCCTCAGCCGGGTGCTGTGGCTCATGCCTGTAATCCCAGCACTTTGGAAGGCCGTGGTGGGTGGATCACTTGAGGTCAGGAGTTCGAGACCAGACTGGCCAACATGGCGAAACTCCTTCTCTACAAAAATACATAAATTAGGTGTGGTGTAATCCCAGCTACTTGGGAGGCTGAGGCAGGAAAATCGCTTGAACCTGGGAGAGGGAGGTTGCAGTGAGCTGAGATCGCACCACTGCACTCCAGCCTGGGCAACAGAGTGAGACTCTGTCTCAAAAAAAAAAAAAAATTTAAAAAGAGGGGCCTTTATACACAGTGAGGAGAAGATGGGCAAAACTTGGAAGTCCTACAGAGCAGTAGAAACTTGGGATGTGGGAACTTGGGCTCCTAGTTTCCTAGGAAGGTGGTGGCAGAAGCTTGGACTCCTGAGTCTAAGAGTGGATGGGACAGGGACCCAGATTCCTATGTTCTGGGGAAGGAGGAGGCTGGGGACTTGGATTCCTGAATCTGAGGAAGGAAGGAGCTAGAGGACTGGAGTTCTGAGTCTGGGGGGAGGGAGCTGGGGGATACAACTTAGGGGACTTGAAATAGGAAGGTACCAGGGAACTAGACCCCTGGGTTTTCAGGTAGGAGAGGGTAGAGGGCCAGGACCACTGGTTTCAAAAAAATAATTTGGGCCACATCTCCACTAGATCAATCCAGTTTCTAACTCCCTTCCCCACCCCAGAGAAAATGTCCTTTACTTCTGTCCCTTTAAGAGTCTAAGTCTGTCGCTAGGCTCCCAGGATCCCCTGGGAGGGGGTGAGGTGCGTCACCTGTGTGCCCCTGAGACCCTACCTCCCACCGCCCTGCCCAGATCTGTTCTGCAACATTCACCGTTCTCTGCATCCAGCTCTGCTTATCTGCTGTTACCTTGGACACCAGAGCAGGTAAGAGACCCCAGGACCTCAAGTAAGCCTGTCCCATCGATGTGTCGGCCGCCTCCACCTCCACCTGAACACAGACCTATGCTTCTCTGCCCAGACTGGCCCCGGAGATGCCGAAATCCTAGCTCCATCTTCAATAACAGACTTGAGAGTCCTGCCCCAAAGCTCTCTTCTTCAAGTCCCTACCCCTCTACTCTGCAGAGCCCAGACCCCAGACCCTATTTCTGGAGGACTCAGAGCTCCCAATTCCTTTCTAACTCAGGAACCAAGAGCTCAAGGCCTCTTATCTCCTTTCACCCCTGCAATCCAGCCCCCAAACCTTGCTCCCTCAAAATTCTAGGCACCTGAACTTCCAGCCTTCTCCTCTCTAAAGAACCAGGAGCCAGGAACCTCAGCCCCCTCACCCTGCAAGACGCAGGAGTCTGAACCCCCAGCAACCTTCTTAACCCAGAGCCCAAATGTCTCCCTCCTCCCTCAAATCCATGAGTCCAGCCCTCAGCCGTTAGGAGCCTCCTGTAGTGTAAACAACTGTTGAGTCAAGGTGTCCCGGGGGACCTCGGAGAGGAAGGAGATCCCACGTCCCCTCGAAGCCCTGACACTCCCTAAAGTCGAAGTCGAGGAGATCTGAGGCCTGGAGAAGTGTCGTTCTTTCCCAATTTTTCTAGGACCCCTCGCTGAAACAGATAAGGAAATTAACTACGACTCCCAAGTAGCCCCGCGCCTCAGTCTCTCTTGGCTACCTGGGCCATCGCCCCACAAGCCTCCAAGGGACTTGCGATTGGGTTCTCTTCCCATCCCTGGCGCCAAGCTGGGCCCCGGACAGACGTGGTCCACCTGTGTTCCAGTGGGCGTGGCCTCCGGGAGTGGGCGGGGCTCCTGGGAGCCTTCGGCCTTAACCCCTTCCTTCCCGCTCTCCCCCGCAGCTATAGGTATCTGCCAGAGCTATGAAATCATTCAGCCGGATCCTCTTCCTCGTCTTCCTCCTCGCCGGCCTGAGGTCCAAGGCCGCTCCCTCAGCCCCTCTGCCTTTGGGCTGTGGCTTTCCGGACATGGCCCACCCCTCTGAGACTTCCCCTCTGAAGGGTGCTTCTGAAAATTCCAAACGAGATCGCCTTAACCCAGAATTTCCTGGGACTCCTTACCCTGAGCCTTCCAAGCTACCTCATACGGTTTCCCTGGAAACCTTCCCACTTGACTTCACTGAGCCCCTCAACCCTGACCTCCGAGAAACCCCGCACCCAGAGTCTCCTGAGACCCCCAAAGCTGACTCACTCACAACCTCAATATCAGAATCCCTGGACATGCCCAAAACTAACCTCTCCAAAATGGCACACCCAGAGTCTTCTGAGACCCCCACACCTGGCCCAACTGAAATGCCACACCCAGGATCCCCTGAGACCCCCAAACCTAACTTCTCCAAAACTTCACGCCCAGAATTTCCTGAGACCCCAAACACTGACCTTATGCAAACTACACCCCAAGAATCCCCAGAGATTCTGCAGCTTAATGCCACTGAAGTCTCACAGGCAGAACTCCCCGAGACCTCAAACACTAACCCTACCAAGACCCCTGACCCCAAATCCCCAGAAAAGCATGACCTCAACTCCACTGAGACCCCAAACTCTGAATTTCTCCAAGCTCTCCATCCTGACCCTTCTAAAACCCCCCACCCAGAATCCCATGTGACCCACAATCCCAGCCCCACCGAAATTTCCCAAACAGAATTCCCCACAACCTACTACCAAAATGCAACAGATGTACCCAGGACCTCCGACCCTCAAATCTCCACTAGTCTCTACCCAGAAACACCTGTGCCCTTCAAGGATGACGCCACTGCTCTAAATGAGCTGTCCCTGAATCCCAAACCAGGAACACCTGCAGCCATCCAGCCCGACTCCCCAAAATTGCCCACTTCAGATTCTCCAGGAATGGTTGAGCTGAAGGCCCCCCAGAACTCTGGCCCTAAGGAGTCCAACGTCCCTCCTCCCTCAGCCCGGATTGCAGGTCCCCCTGCTCTTCCAGGGCGCCCCAGTCAGTTGGCCCCTGCCACTCTGCGGGCACCCCAGAGGCACAGCCGAGGTGAGGGAGTCAACACCATCATCGTGGTGGAGCGAGTGAAGGAGACCGGTGAGGGGCAGGAGCCGGACTCCTGAGTCTGAGGGAGGGGCTGGGGGCCTGGACTCCTGGGTCCGAGGGAGGAGGGGCTGGGGGCCTGGACTCCTGGGTGCGAGGGAGGAGGGGCTGGGGGCCTGGACTCCTGGGTCCGAGGGAGGAGGGGCTGGGGGCCTGGACTCCTGGGTGCGAGGGAGGACCGGCTGGGGTCTGGACTCCTGGGTCTGAGGGAGAAGGGTTTGGGAACAGGAATTCCTGGATCTGAGGGAGGAGGGGCTAGGAGCTTGGACCCCTGGGTCTGAGAGAGGAGGGGGTTAGGAGCTTAGATTGCTGGTATCCCCCTTCAGGCGTGACTCTGGTGGGGCGACCACGTGGCGCAGCAGGCGGGGCCCTCTGCCTGTTCTTCGCGGGGACCGCGCTGCTGATCGGCATCTTTGTGCTGCTGTGGTGTCTTTACCGCCGGGCAGCTAGACAGCGGCCCTTCGCACATCACCGGCTTCCGGACGACGGAGATGAACCGGGTGAGCGCCCTGCCCCTTGAATGCCTGCACTTTTCCATAACCTGGTCTCTCCCGGCACTACAGGGCGCCAGCCAAAAAAGCACAGGTCCCCCACCCAAGGTCAATGAAAGCCCTGGCTCTTCCATGGCAACGTCCAGCCCCCTAAATGTCTGCAATTTCACCCAAGAGTCCAGTGCCGCTCCCAATGCGGTTGGAAACGGCTTCAGGCCCAGAGCCGGCCGTCCCCGCCAGCCCCGCCCCTGCCCCTCCAGGTACGCGGCCCGGAGCCCTGTACTTCCCGCCCTCCACTGCAGGCCCCGCCGCTGCTGATCGGACGCCACGCCTCCTGGTTTCTGCAGCGGCCCCCACCCTTTTTATTGAAAACTCAGTTCAAATGCAGAATCGGAATCCTCTCTCCGGCCTCCTGATCGGTCGGCCGCACAAAAGCGGCCCTGGAGATGATCTGGAAGGGGGCCTGGAGGGTCAGCCCAGAGATGACCACGCCCCTTTGCACCCACAGTTCTGCATTTGGACGCCCCGAAAGACCCCTACGACCTCTACTTTTATGCTCCGGATACCTGGGTCCCTTCCCACATCGCCACCAAGCAGCCCCCGCCCACACCTCCTCTGCCACCAAAGCTGCCCCCGCCGCCCCGCGGGGGTCGCCCGCAGCGTCTGGAGGCCCTGTCCCCCGCCACGCTCCCCAACAACTTCGTGTGAGCCCCACCGAGTTCTGCCGGACCTGCACATCCCCACAGTGAAGGAAAACCCTGCGCTTCTGGTATGCTTAGCTAGAGTAGTGCCCCGGATAAAGGGTCTAATATACAGAGATGCTTGCGCTGTGATCAGAGAACAAGGTCTGAGACCGAATAAATATCATGTTCCCATGGCTAGACCCCTCCTCTGGCCTGAGCCCTGGGGTGGGAGGGGCTGGAGTCTGAGACCGCTGAAACTTGGGGAGGAGAGGCTGGGGTCTGGACCCCTGGGTCTGAGGGAGGAGGGGCTGGGGCCTGGACTCCTGGTCTGAGGGAGGAGGGACGGGGGTCTGGACTCCTGGGTCTGAGGGAGGAGGGGCTGGGGCCTGGACTCCTGGGTCCGGGAGAGGAGGGGCTGGGGCCTGGACTCCTGGGTCCGGGAGAGGAGGGGCTGGGGGCCTGAAACCCTGGGTCTGAGGGAGGAGGGGCTGGGGCCTGGATCCCTGGAACTGAGGAAGGAGGAGCTAGGGGCCTGAACTCCTCGGTCTGAGGGAGGACGGGGCTGGGGACCAGGATGCCTGTGACCTCCACAGCCAAGAACAACTGAGCCTATACACCAAAGCTTTTATTGGGAGTGGGGCAGGGCAGGATTTACAGTCACAGAGACAGAGACACAAAGACACAACCCTGCACTGGGAAAAAACACCCCTGGCTCCTGCCCCATTCCCTTTCATGGGATTCTGTGACTTCTCTATAGGTTCCCCAAATTCTAAGCTGAAAGAGGGGTGTCTGAGAGGGGAAGGATCCCAGATTTTGAGTCATTAAGCCCCTGAGGGACACAACAAATGGCCACTGAGAAACAGGGTAGTTCGAAACCACCCAGGAGAATAAAGTGCGAGGAATTGGGGAGGGGGCATCATGAAACCACCATGGGGGAGTTCAATGGTGGTAGCTTCAAACCTTTGAGTTCATGGACTGGAGCAGCCACTATTTAGACCTGAAAACCATGTCAGAAAAAGTGCACGGGGGTAGAGAGGCATATTGTTAAAATTGCGATTTTGGTTGTTTCCCCAGACATTATGCTAAGCTAGGGAGAAGAGGGTCTTGAGAAATTTGGTGCTTTCGCAGAATCTGCTGGTAGGGGAGATGTGAAGTGGGCACGGAATCGGGGACTTGAAACCGCCATTTTCCATCAGAAACGCTGGTGAGAATCAATCCCTGGAATGGCGGGGACGAGTAATTGGTTAAACCAATCTGGAAGATGCAGAACAGAGTTGGGAGAGATTTGAAACTTCTAGAGGAGGACCTTGAATTTTTCTGAAAGGAGATGGGAGCTGAGTGATCTCAAAGGTTAGCCTGAGAGTCCCTGGAGATAAAGGAAAGCGGGGGGTGTGGGTGCCTCAAAACCACAAGAGAGAGTAAGAGGTCGAACTGTCCATTCAAATAAAGCCCTGAAAGGAGAGATTTGAAACCACTGAGGCAGAACGGGTGGAGAGGGAACCTTTAGGGGAATTTGGGTATCCTTGAAACTGTCAGTCTGCAGCTTCACTACCCCTGAGAGGCAATTGGGAAGGAAAGAGGATTTGACAGCACTGGGAACAAGGGAGAGTGCTTCTTAGGCCTGAGGCAGGACAGAGAGGAGCAGGGTTCCTTGACACTGTCACTCAGGCCAGAGATGAGTGGAATGGAGGTCCTGGAAACTGCCATTCAGTGGGAGGCACATGGTCAGTAGTCCCGGACAGGGGGTGGGGGCCTGGGGGGCTGAAATGTGCTGTGTGTGGCCCCATAGGAGGGCGGGGGTGCAGGGGGTGCCCCCGGGGGCTCAGCCTCATCCTCCATTTCGCTGTCGTCACTGCCAGCCAGCTGGTCATGGCCAACGAAGCCACACTTCTCCTCGCTCATCTCCTCAGGCTCTGCCCACGGCTGCTTCTCTCCAGAAGCAAAGACCCCGTAGAAGATGACACCTCCATAGTGCACCAGGGAGGCAATTAGGAACACGTACTGCCACTCCTCCCGAGTCTGCAGGGGACAATAGGGCTGAGGTCAAATGGGAGGACAGAGAAACAGAGGCGGAGAGAGGGGGAGGCCTAGAGGAAGGGAGGCAGAGACCCAGGGAGGCTGAAAAGGCAGGGATGGCACCCCAGAGACAGTGCCACCACGTGGTCAGTTAGGTACGAAGCACACACTTGGAGGCAGACTGAGTCAGGACTGCGGCACCCACCTTGTGCTTAGTCATGGCCCCCACGATGATGGGGCACACCATGCCCGACAGTGTGCCCACGCCGTTGGAGATGCCCATGAGGATGCTGGCGTAGCGCGGGGCTATGTCCAGGTGGTTCACGTTGAACCCTGGCGGAGAGACAAGTCGGAAGGCGTCACACCGGAATCTCACTCGAGTGATTCCCACTGGGACGTTCTCAACCCTCTCCCCTCCCCGCCACTCATGTTCCACCTTTTGTGAGGCTGAGAGGCCCCGTTCCTGAGCCAGGAAGTTCCCTACAGAGCTGACCAGAGTCCCCCAAGCTGCGGATCCGCGGTTCTCACCAGAGATGGCGAAGCCGCTGAAGCCCACGGCTAGGACCAGGAAGGAGATGGCCACGCCCTTGGAGTGCGAGTAGCCGACCACCAACAGCAGCGTGGCTTCCATGCCGAAGCCTACGGGGGCGGGGGGGGCCCGCGTCTCCTGAGTGTCGGCCGGAGCAAGGCGCAGGCTGCCCCACACCGCCCTTCCAGACCTGCTCCAGCCCCAAACCGCGTCTATCCACCCCAGTCTGGCCACCTCCACGCCCAGGCCTCTTCGCGCCCTCCACGCCACCCGCACCCACCCTAACCAGGCCCCTACTTCTCCAAGACCCAGCCCTGACCACGCCCACCAGCTCCATCGCCCCTCCCGTAGCTCCACCCCTTGACTAGGCCACTCCCCGAACACGCAGGATCCCTGCTGTGCACGCTCACACCTTCCCCTCAATCCCCACTCATGAGTTTTTGGTTTTTTTTTTTTTTAATTTTTGATTTTTTATTTTTTTTAAGAGACAAAGTCTCACGACGTTGCCCAGGCTGGTCTCAAACTCCTGAGCTCAAGTGATCCACCGGCCTTCGCCTCCGAAAGTGCTGGGATAACAGGGGTTAGCCACCATGCCCTGCCTGTTTTTTAATTTTTAATTGTAATTTTAATTTTTCTAGAAACAAAGTCTCGCTCTGTCGCCCAGGCTGGAGTGCTGCGGCGCGATCATAGCTCACTGCGGCCTCGCAGTTCTGGGCTCCAGCGATCCTCCCTTCTCAGCCTCCCAAGTAGATGGGACCACAGGCGCGCGCCACCACGCCTAGCAAATCTCACTTGTTAGACAGCAGGCCCCCTAGGACCCTGTCTCTCCAGGTGCCTTGCTCTTAGCGCCTCTTCATCACCTAGTTCATGTCCTACCACACCCAACTTTGTGCAGGTCTTGTCCCTCCAGGCCCAACTCGGTCTTCTCTCTGCTCCACCCGGGAAGTCTCGCCCACCCTGCCCTTCCGCGCGGTGGCCCCTTGGACGGCCGCGTGACAGTCCCTTTCATCCAGGCCTGCCCTGCCCCGGCTCCACCCTGTTGGCCACGGCCCTTTGCATAGAAAGGGACTCCTGGGGCAGGCTGGATGGTTTCCGCCTGTAACCACTCCCCATCACCTCTCAATCCGGCTCTGCTCCACCCAGGCTGTCCTAGAGCCGGCCCAGGCCCCGCCCCACTCACCTCCGCAGTTCATCAACTTGCGCACGTTGGTGGTGGACATGATGCGGCGGCTCCGCAGGAAGTCCGCGATCTGGCCGCCGATGGGCACGATGATGGTCATGACCAGGTGGGGCAGCGCGGACACCAGGCCTACCTGCGGGAACAGGTGTACAGGGACACTAGGGTTCGGGGCCGCCGGCTCGGCGTCTCTGCCCGGTCCGTGCACCACCGGCTCCTCCCTGCCTCGGGATCGCCGCCAGTTCCCTCCCGCCGACCCCTCCGCGCCCCCCTGCCCTCTCCTCCTGGGCTCTACCTTGCTGATCTCGAAGCCGAACACTTCTTCGAAGTAGGCGGGCTGGGAGATGAGCAGCAGGTAGAACGTCCAGCTGCGGCAGAAGTTGGCCACGATGATGGCATAGACTGGCATAGACGTGAAGAAGCGCCGCCAGGGAGTGCTAAACTTCTGTGGGGGCGAGGGGAGGGCCGCTAAGACGGGGAGCGGGGCTGAGGGCTTCTCCGCGTCCCTTCAGGGACCACAGTGTAGTTCTGCAGAAACCAAAGGATCCCGACCGCACTGAAACTTCTATGGACCCAAAGGCGCGGGCTACACCATGTTGCCGTGGGGACCCAGGGATCCTAGCCTCAAGGTGACACTTGAGTGATGAAGGGGTCCTGGCCCTATGGTAGCCTCTCAGGTCCGCAGGTGTCCGGGCCCCTCAGGGACCTGTCTTTTTCTTTTTTTCTTTTTATTTTTACTTTTTGTATTTTGTATTTTGAGTAGAGACGGGGGTTTCGCCATGTTGCCCAAGCTGGTCTGGAACTCCTGGGCTCAAGCGATCCTGCAGCCTCCACCCCCAAAGTGTTGGGATTGCAGGCGGAAGCCACTGAGCCTGCCCTAGGAGTCTCTTTTTATCAAAAATGCTCCCAAAATACAGCCTCAACTCAAGGTCTAAGCAAAACCCCCACATTCTAATCCCTTCTCTGCTGGCTTTAACTATGCCCTGTCAGTGGTTCTAATCCTGCTCAACTCCCGACCTAACCCTGCCCCCAGCACCTGAGAATCTCGTCCTCCGCGGGTTGCAACCCGCCTCCTAGGTTCTAGCCCCTCTCTTTGCGTTCCAGTCCCGTCTCCTCTAGAGTCTGCAGGAACCGTCCCTGATCTACACGCTGTGCAGGTTCGTGGCTTGCTATCTCTCCCCGCCCCTTCCCCGAAGATTTGGTCCCGGACCGTGAGGGGGTTCATGAGTTTCGCGCTCTCTCCGATGGCGTCCTCGATGTACTTGCGCTCCTCCTCCGAGATGCTGGGGTGCAGCGCGGGGGACTCGTAGGAGACGAGCAGCCAGAACAGGTACCAGAAGATCCCGAAGCTGCCTGGGGGGGTCAGGAGGGGGATGGGAGCGAGGTGAGGACCGGCCCCGCTCCGCCCCAGCGCCACCCGGAACCAGGCATCCGGGTCCCTCACCGTAGACGTAGAAAACAGAGCTCCATCCTGAGTACTGCACAAGGACCCCGGCGAGGGGCATCGCGACCACCGCCCCAGCATAGGAACCTAAGGGGGAGGATGCGGGGGAGAGAACAGGCCCATCTTCCCTCAGATCAAGGAGTGCGGACCCCCACCGCTTCCCCCTTTCCAGACACTGAATTACAGGCCACAGCCCCTCCTCCCTTAGACCCAGGAATCCAGGCCTAGCCCCTCCTCGCTCGGACCCAGGAATCCAGGCCCCCAGCTCCTCCTCCCCCAGACCCAGGAGTCCAGGCCCCCAGCTCCTCCTCCCTCAGACCCAGGAGTCCAGGCCCAACCCCTCCTCTCTCAGACACAGGAGTGCAGGCCCCCAGCTCCTCCTCTCAGACCCAGGAGTGCGGGCCTCCAGTCCCTCCTCCCTCAGACCCAAGAGTCCAGGCCCCCAGCCCCTCCTCTCTCAGACCCAGGAGTCCAGCCCCAGCCCCTCTTCCCTCAGACCTGGGAGTCCAGGTCCAGAGTCTCCTCCTCCTCCCTCAGACACAGGAGTTCAGCCCCCCCAGCCCCTCCCCGCTCAGACCCAACAGTCCAGGCCCCAACCCCTCCTCCCTCAGATTCAGGAGTGAGGATCCCTCTTCCTCTCACCACAAAAGGCTGTCGTCGCCAGGCGACTCCGTTCTAAGGGTGGGGCCCATTTGCTCCAGATCCCATGGCAGGCGGGGTATGTGACCCCCTAAAGAGGAGAAAACCAAGGTCACTGAGAAGAGGCAGGGTCCGAGCGAGGGCAGGGTCATATCAGGCGGGGATTTACCTCTACCAACCCCTGCAGGATCCTCACGAAGATGACACAGCCATAGTGGACGCGGGCAGCTGAGGGGATCAGCATGTTTAGAGTGGATGTTGCCACAATAGCAAAGCCGAAAACTCTGATGGGAAGGGTCAGAGAAAAGAATCCAAGCTATCCAGCCATGCCCGGGATTCTGCCTTTCCCGCCCACAGCAAGCTAGGCCCAGTGGTCCCCGGGACCCCAGGTCCCACCACCTCTCTGACTTACACCTTCCTCAATCGCAAGCCCCACCTTTCTCTAAGACCCACCCCCAAATCCAGGCTTCTCCCATTTACCAGAGCCAGCCCGCAAATTCAAGACCACGCCCTCTAACTCCACCCACACAACTGTAGTTACCGCCCACTTTGAGACCCCACCACTGTACCTGTTGGCTGCAAATTTTTGACAGATAAATCCTCCTGGAATCTGAGTGACAATGTAGCCCCAGAAAAAGGAGCCGTGTATGAGGCCGACAGTCTCTGGATCCCAGCTGAACTGGGCTTTCTGCGGGCCAAAATGTACATTAAATCAGCCGCCCTGTCCAGGCTCTGCCGCTCCACCAATCAGCACCCACAGACTTAGCGTCTCGACCTATCAGCAACGAGGAACCCCTCCCACCTCCAAAAGCCTGCCAATCAAAGCTCACACTATCTTTCTGTCAATTAAAGTCTACAAACTCCGCTCTTCCACGTTGCTAGGGCCTATGCTGCCTTAACAACAGAGTCCATCACCACCTAGACGCCTTGCTTTGCCTGCTTCCTTGCCTCCATGAAAGCCTAGGGGCCCATGTATGATGATGACTCTCTCCACTTATATCCAGCTTATGAGCGTTTGCGGAGTGACCTGCACAGGGTCCAGGCGGGGACACGAAGCAGCCAAGGGGGCGGACCAGATTGGAAGGGAGCAAGGGGAGGAACTTCAGGTAGGACAAAGGCACAAATCAGGACTCTTTTCTGATGCAGGGGCAAGGCCTATGCTGAAATTAAAATAGGAGAAAGGACAGGGCACGGTGGCTCACGCCTGTACTCCCAGGACTGGGAGGCCAAGGCAGGAGGATCGCTTGAGCCCAGGAGTCCGAGACCAGCCTGGGCAACATAGTGAGACCTTGTCTCTACAAAGATAAAAATAAAAATGTTAGCTGGGTATGCCGGCGCACGCCTGTAGTCCCAGCTGCTCAGAAGGCTGAGGCAGGAGAGTCACTTGAGCCCAGGAGTTCGAGGCTGCAGTGATGGTGCCACTGCACTCCAGCTTGGGCGACAGAGCAATGGCCCCACTGCACCGTAGCCTGGGAGACCCTGTGGGTCTTTAGATAAGGGACACAACACATGCAGTGGGACGTAGGCAGTGGCAGGGTTTCAAAAAAGGATCACATTCAGGGAGGAACCTGAGATGGGACTGAGATTAAATAGATGTGACCCGGGGACATGAGCTTGGGGTACAGGCGTGAGCAAAATTGCTAGTAGGTCCAAAATGGGGCAGGGGCAACCCCTAGGGAACCTGATGTTGGGGCGGACTCTACATTTTTCAATCAAGCCCCTGGAAATAAGGGCGGGACTTCATTTAGATCAGGACGGGGCTTAGGAAACGGAGGCGGCCCCTAAGGCGAGGTCAGAACTAAGGGGCGCACGGATTGGGCGGAGCTATTCCGACAGCGTTTCGGAAGGGGCGTGGCCTGGACGTCTGGTGGGTGAGTGTGACGTCATGGGGGCGTAGGCGGAGCTCGGTGAGCGGGGCGGGGCTCTGCAAGGGCTCAGGCCTTGAGCTACCTGCACCACCACGTGGCCCCCGCGGTGGGTCGTGCTGTTATTGACCATGGAGACGATGGCCACGCCCAGGTTGCAGCGGATGCCAAAGCTGATGCAGAAGCCCAGACCACTCATGATGGCGATAATGTAGCGGCGAGGGAGGCCGAAGCAGGTGCAGTCCACCACCGGCGGGTCCCGGGTCTGCGTGGTCACCGGGCGCCCATCCGCACTCAGCTCCAGCGTCTCCGCGCCTTCCTGCCGCTTCTCCAGAAGGCTGCGGGACAGCAAGAGCCAGAGACTCGGAAGTCCAGGCCCCCAGCCCCCTCACCCCCAAGACCAGGATCCAGGGCAAAACCTGCTTTTCAACATCCAGAATTCTAAGCCCGCACCTCCTCCTTCACCAAGAGTCCAGGTCCCTGGCTCCCTTCGCCCCCCTGATCCAGAAATCCTCCATCTCCCTCAGACCGGGAATTCAGGCCCCCAGCCCCCTCCTTCTTCACATTGACGGTCTTCAGTCCCCCTCTCCCAGCTCTGTCAAATCCTTCAACTCAGGAGACTTAGACCCCAGACAACCCTTTGGGATTCAAGAGCCTGTGCCCCCACTCCGAGGCCCAAAGACTCTCCAGCCGCCTCTCCCGGATAAGAGTCTATTCGAGGAAGCAAAAGGTGCTAAGGAGATGCTTCAGCAAAGGTGTCAAAAGAACAGATGCTTCTCAGCCACGTTTGCTAGGGGGTGGGGAGATGTCCAGGACCCTGGGAATCCAGCAGCCCGTCCCAGGCATCCCTAGGGAACCTTGAGTCCAGGCTGCCAGCCTAGGGGGTAGGGAGGGGGAGTGGCGGGTGGTGTCCTGGCAGGGGACAGATGGCCCTGGTAGGGGGATTGGCTCATTCCCCAGCGTGACTCTCGCCCCCGCCCGTTCTGGATCCAGAATCAAGTCTGTGATGACGAAGAGGGTATTTGGAGGGCTGCCTCAAACCCAGAGAGAGGCTGCAGAGAGAGAGAGGTGCCTTCAGACAGGTGGAGAAAGACCCAAAAAGAGGGTGACAGAGATGGGGGGAGTTGTACAGAGGCCCAGAGAGAGGGGGTCACAGACAGAAGAAGGGAGAGAGATCCAGTGAAAGGGGGACAGAGATCTAGAGAGGAAGAGACAGAGACCCAGAGAGAGGGAGAGAGAATAACAAGGGAGCAGAGACCCAGAGAGAGAAGGGGACAGAGACCCAGAGATACAGGGGGACAGAGACCCAGAGACATAGTGGGACAGAGACCCAGAAAGAGGGGGACAGAGACCCAGAGAGAAAGGGAGACAGAGACCCAGAGAGAGAGGAACAGAGACCCAGATAGAGAGGGGGACAGAGACCCAGAGAGAGGGAGAGAGAATAACAGGGGAGCAGAGACCCAGAGAGAGAGGGGGACAGAGACCCAGAGATACAGCGGGACAGAGACCCAGAGACATAGCGGGCCAGAGACCCAGAAAGAGGGGGACAGAGACCCAGAGAGAAAGGGAGACAGAGACCCAGAGAGAGAGGAACAGAGACCCAGATAGAGAGGGGGACAGAGACCCAGAGATGGAGGGGTCAGAGACACAGAGGATGACAGAGACCCAGAGAGAGGGAGACAGAGACCCAGAGAGAGGGGGAGAGAGACCTAGAAATAGGGGGACAGAGACCCAGAGAGGGAAGAGATGGAAACCTAGAGAAGGAAGCAGACAGAGTCCCAAAGAGAGGCGGGGACAGAAACCCAGGAGATAGAACATAGATGCAGAGAGATGAGAACAGAGATCCAGAATGCAAGAGAAAGATGGAGAGCCTGGGAGACGGAGGATAGACAGGCTGGGGACGTGATTTGTGAGGTGCAGCCCCTCTCTGAGGTGGGTAGGCAGCCAGGGGATCGGGCTGGATCCCAGGAAGGGGCTGGAACAGATGGAGGCGAGGGAGACTGGGACGGGGGAGGAAGGAACAGCCAGACGGTCCAGGGGGAGGGAGGTGGAAGAGCTGTGAGAACACAGCAACCCCTCCCCATCCTAGAACTTAAGGAGGTGGGGAGGGGCAGTTAAGAAACAGGGGTGGGAGAAGCCAGGGAGTGGACAGAACCCAGAAGGAGTAGGAATGAGACCCCAAGAGGAAGAAGACAGAGAGCCAGAGATAGGGGGGATTGAAGCCACTAGGACGAATAGTACAGGATGGCAGTAACTCCCCCCACCCATCAGAACCCATCACCCAAAGAGATTAGACTGACCCAGGTTGACATCGGATGATATTTGACCCTGAAACTCAAGATGTGATTGCAGCCCCTGATGTGAGATTCCTTGTTAATATGAGGAGATGTCAGATCTCTAATCAAGGCTGTCTAAACAGGGGGTCTCAGTATCCCACATCTATAAAATGGGACAAGGGCAAAAATGCAAGAGAATAAAGAGGGAACTTCAAGGTGATATCAATCATTTTAGAGCAAGAGGACCAAGGACACAGAGATGAAGGTGGCCCTGATGCTTTGCAGGGGACAAGGACAGAGAAGGGAGACCCTAGATGTAAATCCCCCTCCCCTCCCTGGATACCCCAAACTCAGGCCTGGGGACTTGGCGATGAGGAAAAACAACACTTAGGAGGCCATTACCCCAAATTGAGATGTCTCAACTTCTCTGTCTCTCCCTCTCTCTCTCTCTGCTTCTCTCAGGATCTCTGTCCACTCCCCCACGTCTTTGTCTCCTTATGTCCCTCTGCTCTCTCTTCTCTTCCCATTGTACAACTAAGGAAACTGAGGCTCGGGGAGCTGAAGTGGCACTCCAAGGTCACAGACAAGAACAGCAATGGGACCTGATCCCTTACTGGCCCTCGGCATCCCCCTGCCCAAGACCTGGCTCTCAGAAAGGAGGCACCTTGGGTTCTCATCTCTCTGGCATCCCATTCCCCCATGTCCTTGTTCCAAGTCACCCTGGGTGCAAGGAAGCTCCCCACCAGCTGTGGCATCACTCTTCTCAAGGAAGAGCTCTGTTCTAGGCTTGGGAGGGAGACTGACCTGGGTTCAAATCATGGGGCTCATACTCATCCACTGATCTCCCCAACCCCAGAATGGAGCCTCAGTTTCCCCATCTTTGTCTAGAGGATTAAATGAGATCAACCTGTTGTCTCTAATATGGGGTATTCCCCTCTCCCTCCAACCATCAGAGCAAACCCCAGGCATTGGAAGCAAATGCTTTTCTCTGCACAAACTCCCTGCTGATGGTCCTGGCCAGAGCCCGGGGGTCTCTGGGGACCCAAGAGGTAACTCAGAGAGTGAGAGCCAGAGAGATTGACTGTGAGAAACCCTAGCACAGATGAGAAACAGAGGCAGAGACTGAGGGAGGGGCCTGAGGAATACATCCCTCCCGCTGCCACCCCCCAGCCCCCTCCACCAGCACGTCTCTTTCTCTCTCTCTCATTCTCCTGACTTCACACTGATGTATTTTGAGAAACTCGTGAAAGGAGGCGAGAAAAAGGGTGGGGAGGGGCTGGAAAATTGGAAAAAGAAGGGGTGAGGTTATCTCAGCTTCCCCTCCACCACCAACCTCCGTCACTGCACCATCCTCCTGCCCACCTCCCCCCACTTCTGTCCAGCCTTATTCTTGTCTCTCATGTTACTAGAGGGTGGGGTAACTTTGGAGCTAAGAGGTGATCTGCAGCAAGCAAGACTGATGTTAGACTTAGCAAAGGACCCCCATGGCCTAGCGAGGTGGACTGAAGCTCAGCGAAACACAGGGTCAGGGCTGTGGGCCAAGGGGACAGGGCCTGAGGGCACGGCGGCAGGGGCATGGTGCTGATGAGGCCATCTCCTTCGTGCACTGTGGCCAGATATATTTTTAGGCTTTTCCGCAGCTGAGTAATTTATCTGACTTAGAGCCAAAGCTGGGGTTGGGGGTGAGAGCCTGTGGGGAGGTGTCCAGATTATCCTGAGGGACACTCGGTTCACTGGGGTCATCAACCTGGTTGGGAGGGAGTCCCTGTCAGCCCCAGCCTGTATCCTTTGGGAAGGCTGTCCTACCCCAGGAGCCGAAATTTTTGGCCTCTAACTCCTTTCTCTCCCAGGGACCCAGGGTGCTGTGACTTCTTCCACCCAGCCTCACCCCCTCAAGGACAACGGGCTATGAGCCCCAATCCGCTTTAGCTGCAGATTAAACTCCATGCCAGACAGAAACGGAAAAAGACACAGAGAGACGGAGAGACCCATGGTGGGAGAATTAAAACACAGAGACGGGGACAGGGACCCAGAGAAGTGGGGACCAGAGATCCAGGGAAGAGGAGAGACCCAGAAAGAGGGGGACAGAGACTCTGAGTCAGGAGTTGATAGAGATCCAGTGAGAGCAATGGCCAGAGAACCAGAGAGAGGGGCACAGAGACGCAAAGAAGCGGAGGCAGAGATCTAGGGAGAAGGAGGGGCCCAGAGAGAAGGGAGCCGAGATCTGGAAAAAGAGGGAGACGGAGACCCAGAGAGAAAAGGGGCAGAGACATCCAGAAAGAGACGGGGACAGAGACCCAGAAGTGGTGGGGGAGGAGCCAGAGACCCGGGAGAGAGGCATTTACAGCACCAGAGAGAGTGGAGCCGGGTGGGGTGGGGTGCAGAAAAAGGAACAGGATAATGGACAAGGCTCGACCAGGGAGAACAGCGCCGTCGGAGCCCACGGCAGAAAACTGGACAGATGGGTGGACCCCCATGCCGGGGTATCGCCCGTTCATCTGTCAGTCTGCGCCCAGGTGGGAATTAGCATCCTCCTCAGATCCTCCCACTCTTCTCCCGGGACCCCCGCCAGGCTCACCGGTGCAGCTTCCCGAGAGCACGACCCGCTAGCTTCCGAAACTCCTCCTGGCGGAACTCCATGGTGGCGGCTCCTGCCGCCGGTCACCCCGCGGGTCCCCCCCGCCGATCCCCCCGCCCGCGGGCCCGGGCGGCCGCGTCCGGGTTCCCGGGGTCCAGCCCCGGCCCGGCCGGCCCCGCAGCTCCGCTCGGGGGGAAGGAGGCTGCAAGTGCAGGCGGCCCGGGGGCTGTCACAGGACTCAGCGCCGGGGGCGGGGCGCGGGAGGCCCCGCCCCGGCCCCACCAGGCCCCTCCCCTCGTCTGTCAGACCCGCCCCCTCTCGCAGCCCTTTCATCCTCGTCCTGTCCCCTCCTGAGCCTTCCAAGACCACGCCTGTGGGTTCTGAACTCACGCCTCCGAGTTCACGCCCCCCAATTCTGTTCCTTCCCCAGGCTACTCCCCCTATCCCTGTTCCATCACCCCTGGCTCCTACCCAGATTTTCTCTCCTCTCCTGAGTTCTCATCCCCATCATTTCTCTCCCCGACTTCTGTTCCCCCTAATTGCGTCCCTTACAATCCTGTCTTCTCTGACTTTCCCTCTGCGTTCATCCTCCAGTTCCTTCACTCCTCCCCGCCCCCACCCCGCAATTCCATCCCCATCCCACCTCGTCCCCAGTTCCAATAGTCTCATCCAGGGAGTTCTTTGTTTTCTCATTCAAGGGAAATTCTTTCCCCTCAAGTCCAACGCCTACTTCGATCCACCTGTCGTCCCCCTCTAGTCCCTTTCGCCACCCGGGTTCTTCACCCTTGAGCTCCATCTCCTCCTTAGTTTCCATCTTTCCCCTTTGAATCCCATACTCCTCCAGCTCTATTCTCCCTCCGGCGTCTCTCTCCTCCCTGTTGCTTCTCTCCCTGAGTTTCATTCCCTAACCCCGATTTTCTTCCCTCTGGCTTCCGCCCCCCACAGTTATATTTCACACACCCCGCCAGTGCCAGCTGCGACCCCATAGTCTCCCCATTGTGTTATTTCTCTGCTCCTCTGGGATCTGTCCGCGCTCTGAGTTCTTCCCTAGCTCCGGGGGATCCATTCCTCTATTTGAGTTCTGTCTCCACCCCCTGAGATCTGTCCCGCCCCCTAAATTGTGATCCGCACCCCCTGGCATCCTCACCCGCCCTCTGAATTTGTCTCCTCCCCTAGGATCTGTCGCTGACCTGAGTTCTGCCCCCGCCCTCTGAGTTCTCTCCCCACCGTTGGAGTTGTGTCCCCTTCTCCTAGGATCTGTCCCTGGCTCTGTTCCCGCCCTCTCAGTTCTGTCCTTGCCCCCTGGAATCTGTTCCTGCCATCTGAGTTCTACCCCTTCCCCACAGGATCTATCTCTGCCCCCTGGAATCTGTCCCCACCCACCGAGTTCTGGCCTCCGTCCCTGGGATCTGTCCCCGCCCTCTGTGTTCTACCCCTGCCCCATGGGATCTGTCCCCGCCCACCCAGTTCTCCCCGCCCCCTGGATCTCTCCCTACCCTCCCAGTCTTGCCCCGGCCCCATGGGATCTGTCCCCGCCCTCCGACTTCTGACCCTCGCCACTGGGATCTGTCCTCGACCTCCCAGTCCTGCCTCCGCCCCCGGAATCTGACCCCGCCCACCGAGCTCTGGCCTCCGCCCCTGAGATCTGTCCCCGCCCTCCCAGTCTTGCCCCTGCCCCATGGGATCTGTCCCCCGCCCACCGCCTCCGCCTCTGGGATCTGTCCCTGCCCTCCCAGTCCTGCTCCCACCCCCGGAATCTGTCCCCGCCCACCGAACTCTGTCTCCACGCCGGAATTCCAGCGCCGCCCCGTTGGGTAGAGCCCGGCCCTTCCCTGTCCTGGGCCCGCAGACAGGGTCCCGCCCCGCTCCTGTCCTCAGACCAGCCCATCTCCCGGCGCTGAGTCCACCTCCAGATCCAGGCCCCAGGAGGGTGATCCTTTCCCCACTACCTCCCCGCGTCGGGCCGCAAATGCATTTGGTATTAAATTTTCATGATGCGGCCCGCGGTGGGGTGGGAGGAGCAGACGGCGCGTCGGGCGGGCGCCAAGGACGGGGTGGCCGGGAAGCCACTGACCGCCGCAGCCTCTCGCTTCCAGCCTTGACTGGCTGTGTCTCTGGGTCTCACAGCTTTGAGAAACCCCTGGGACCCCAGAACGGAGGACGCTGCGGGTCTGAGGCAGGAGGGAGGTAGGAACTGGGACTCGTGGGGCTGAAGTAGCAGCGCGGGAGCCGCTCACACGCGCCACCCAGTGGCTGCAGAGTCCCCGGCCCGGGTGCGGAGGCGGTGGTTGCGGCTTGGGGCCAGGTGTGAGGGTGGAGCAGATGGTGAAGAGGAGGGAGTGGGAAGCGGGCCCCGCCGCTGCCAAAACTTGGGCCTTTGCCGAAACCATCGCCATGGAAACCGAGGAAGGAGGAAAGGACTCAGCCGCACACTTTTTCAGGACCTGGGAATGAGTTACTCGGCCCCCTCCAGCGGCTCACCGTCCCAACCACAAGTCCCAGCGGCCTCTGAGCCTCAGCGCTCGTTTGAGAAGGGCCGCGCACTCCGAGGGCCGCTGGGAGATGTAGTTCTCTGAGACGATGGGCAGGGAAAGGTTGCGCCCTCTGGTGGACACGGCGCCCACGTTCGCTCATCCGTTCCGCGGCCGGAAAGACCCTACCTGAAGTCACTCCCACCCTGACCTCTTCCCCGTCTTTTCTCCCCCTCCCTCACAATTCACCCCATTGCAGACACATTGTGCTTGCCTGCCTGCCTTTTCTTTCCTTCCTTCCTCTTCTTTCTCTTCTTTTTTCTTTCCTTCCTTCATTCCTTCTTTCTCTGTCTTCCTTCCTTTCCCCTTCCTCCTTCCTTTTTCTTTTTTTCTTTCCTTCCTTCATTCCTTCTTTCTCTGTCTTCCTTCCTTTCCCCTTCCTCCTTCCTTTTTCTTTCTCTTCTTTTTTCTTTCCTTCCTTCATTCCTTCTTTCTCTGTCTTCCTTCCTTTCCCCTTCCTCCTTCCTTTTTCTTTCTCTTCTTTTTCCTTCTTTCTTCCTTCTTTCCTTCCTTCCTCCTTTCCTTCCTCCCTTCCTTCCTTTTTGAGACAGGGTCTCACTCTGTCGCCCAGGGGCAGCTCACTGCAGTCTTAACCTCCCTGGGCTCCCACCTCAGCCTCCCGAGTAGCTGAGGACAACAGGTGTGCACCACCATGCCCCACTAACTCACATTGTGCTTTGAGCATTTACCACTGAAGTTCCTCCATCTACTGATGATCCTAGGATTCACTAAAGAAGAGGAGGGTATAGACCATCACTTTTTTTTTTTTTTTTTTTTTTTTGAGATGGAGTTTCGTTCTTGTTGCCCAGGCTGGAGTGCAATGGCGCCATCTGGGCTCACAGCAACCTCCGCCTCCTGGGTTCAAGCAATTCTCCTGCCTCAGCCTCCCTAGTAGCTGGGATTATAGGCGCTTGCCACCACGCCAGGCTAATTTTGTATTTTTAGTAAGAGACGGGGTTTCTCCATGTTGGTCAGGCTGGTCTCAAACTCCCGACCTTGGGTGATCCGCCCGCCTTGGCCTCCCAAAGTTCTGGGACTACAGGTGTGAGCCACTGTGCCCGGCCTCAACAATCACTTATTAACTCAAGAAATATTTATCAAGGCAGGGCGCTCCTGTAATCCCAGCACTTTGAGAGGCTGAGGAGGGCTGATCACTTGAGCTCAGGAGTTCGAGACCAGCCTGGGCAACAGATGGAGACCCCGTCTCTATAAAAAATATTTAAAAATTAGCTGGGCATGGTGGCACCTGTAGTCACAGCTACTTGGGAGGCTGAGGTGCAACCATCACTTGAACTCGGGAGGTTGCAGAGTGAGTCAGGATTGCACCACTGCACTCCAGCGTGGGCCTAAGAGCCAGACTCTGTCAAAAAAAAAAAGAAAGAAAGAAAGAGAGAGAGAAAGGAAGGAAGGAAGGAAGGAAAAGAAAGAAAGAATAAAGAAAGAAACTTCTGCAGATGTACTGGGAAGAGGATACAAAGTAGCAGGAACAGCAGAAACTAAGAGATGAGGGAAAATGGGTGTGGTCAGGACACTGTTCAGTATGACTGGGCTCCAGTTAGAGGAAGAGGTCAAAACTAGGCTGGGCACAGTGGCTCACGCCTGTAATCCCAGTATTTGGGGAGGCCATGGTGGGAGGATCACTTGAGGCCAAGAACTCAAGACCAACCTGGGCAACATAGCAAGACCTCATCTCTAAAAAAATGCAAAAAATAAAATTAGCTGGGCACAATGGTGCATGCCTGTCATCCTAGCTACTCAGAGGCTGATGTGGGAGGATCACTCGAACCCAGGAGTTCCAGGCTGCAGTGAGCTACATGATTGCACCACTGCACTCCAGTGACAGAGTGAGATCCTTTTTTTTTTTTTTTTTTTGAGACGGAGTTTCGCTCTTGTAGCCCAGACTGGAGTGCAATGGCACGATCTCGGCTCACTGCAACCTCCGCCTCAGCCTCCCGAGTAGCTGGGATTACAGGTTTGCGCCACCATGCCCAGCTAATTTTTGTATTTTTAGTAGAGACCGGGTTTCACCATGTCGGCCAGGCTAGTCTTGAACTCCTGACCTCAGGTGATCCACCCAGCTCGGCCTCCCAAAGTGCTGGGATTACAGGTGTGAACCACCGTGCCTGACAACCCTGTCTCTTAAACATAAAAGTGAGCCATGACCCGGGGCTCAGATCACACAGAGCCTTGAGTGCTTGGCTGAGGGGCTTGGACCTTCTCCCAGGGCGGCTGGGGAGCCACAGGAGGGCTGTGAAGAAGGAAAGTGCAGGGCCAGCTCTGGGGCCTGGGGAGGATTAACAAGGGAGACTGGAGGCCAGGAGGCTTCAGGGAGGATCCAGGGGGAAGGATGAGGCCTGAGCTGGGGCAGTGACCTCTATAGGACTGGAGGGGCACAGCCCAATGTCCCTCTTCCCTCCCAACACCCACATATCCCCAGTCAGAGACAGAACAAAGGCAAAAATCTTTTATTTCAACTTTTAGGGAAGCCAGCAGCCTCTTCTCCACATCTCAGAAGCACAAGGAGACACCCTGATCAAGAAGGCACCGGCAGAAGCGGCATGGCCACCATTAATTGCTGAGGAGACAGAGCAAAGAGAATGAGGATCCAGGACCCAGAAGTCCAGCTCCCAGCCCCCCTCCCTGGGAGACAGAGTCCAGGCCCCGCCAATGTCCCAGCTTCCCCAAGCCCCTCCCCCAGGCACCTTTCTCTTCCGGTGGAAGGCTGCCTTGCTCTCATGAGAGTTGATCTGCAGCGGGATATAAGCGTCTAGATGATACAGCTGCTGGGGGCCCCCCATCACCAGGCGGTTCTCCCCGATCTCCAGCGACAGCCCCAGGGCTCCATCCTGGAGAGGTGGCGGAATCAGGTCACCCTCCCCAGCAACAGGATGATCACCTGGACCAGGCATGGTAGCCTCACACGCTGGGAAACTATATTTGAAGGGTCTAATCTCCCAGGAAGAGACAGAAGACAGCAATTACAAGTCTCAACGACCGAGCACTTACAATCCCTTGGGCGCCCTCAGGACAGCACCAGAAGGTGGCCTGTGGGCCTCCTGGCAGAGAGGACGCAACTGACAAGTCCAGCAACAACCCCTTGTCACTCACACTCAGAGACAGTCCCTGACCTTTCCAGACCTCATTCCCCTGCTCTGGTCCAGCGCGCAAAACTCACCAGTTTGGGGAGGTCAACTTCGGCCAAGAGGAGGTCGGGGGCTTCCAGCCACAGGTTCAGGTGAGGCTTTTCAGGCCTGAGGAGGAACAAGGTCCAGGGCTGAGCACAGCTGCCAGGTCTTTGCCTGGCGTGCTGTCCCTTTTCTCCCTCCAACCAGCCCTATTGGCCTCAGGACGCCTTCCCAGTCAGGAGTTCTCTCTCCTCCCTCTCTCAGTGCCCAGGGCCCCAGGACATCACCCAGTGTGGGAGGATGGAGGGAGGGATTCCCAAGAGCGTTGAGGAAACATCAGACCGGGGATCTACCGAAGGCCCACCCTGACTCAGCTCTCCCGGGGGCGGGCGTGTACAGGTCCCCCAGCTCCTGGATCCGAGGACGCTGCTCCGAGCGGATGTTCTGCTGCGAGATGGAGCCCATGAATGGCCGGTTCTTCATCATGCGCCATTCTGAGGGTCAGGAGCGCCGTCAAACATCGTACAGGTCAGGGTTCCCTTTGTGGGGGCCAAGAGCCTCCCGGGATAGGCTCCACCGGCTCACCAGGACTCTTGGGGTCTGACCACACCCCGCAGGCTTGGCTCCAGGAAGCCCGCCCACCTTAGTCACGCCCCTCCCATGATATGCCCCAATAAAACCCACCCCTGGAGATGTTCCTGGCCCCGCCCCCTCAGGGCGTCCAGACTCCACCCCCTCCTAGTAGCACAGACTCCAGGGCACCCTGCCCAAGCCAGCCCCTCCTCTCCTAGGGGTGTTCCCCAAACCGCTCCTGGCTCCACTCTTTCCCGAGGGCCCAGGACCTGCCCCTCACCCGGATTCAGCTGCAAGTTGTATTTGTCCTCAAGGCCCTCCCTGGCGATGGTGATCACGAGCTCCCGCAAGAAATCGCTGTTCTGGGGTGACAGAGAGGGAAAAGACAGGCGGTGGCGGGGAGGGTAGGGGTAGAGACCCCTGCCCAGGCCTCAACCGCAGCCCCGCCCCCAACCTGCATCCTCCGGTAGAAGTCGCTGTTGACAGCTACGTCGTAGGCGGTACATCCCTGGCCTTCTGCGGGGAGAAAAAGGGGGTGAGGACCCCCCAGCCCTCTGCAGGAAGCCCACAGCCCAGACCCAGACAGGGAAGAAACATTCAGGGACAGCGGCCGTAAGAAGCAGAGAGAGACATAAGGAAGTGAGAGCTGGGCACTCACTTTCCGCTCTGGACTCTCCGCCCAGCCTCCTCCCTGGCCTCTTATCTCCTGTCCATCAGTGTGATGTCACTAGAGTTGACCCTATCCCTTCCCTGCTCACAGCTCTTCTCTGGCTCCCCAGTGCTCCCAAGTGAAGGTCTGAGCCCCACAAGCCTGGCGTTGGAGACCCTATGTGGTCTGCCCCTCCCACCTCTGGAGAAGACCTCATTCTTCTAGCAACCTCGGCCCACTGAATTTCTTTCAGTCACTCTCCATTACTGGCTGATCCAATCCAATCATTCTCTCCCAGCTCTGGGCCGCTCTACCTAGAACCTTCTTCTGTCTGCCTGCTGAACTCCTCCTGTTCCTTCAAATCTTATCCCACACCCCCTCCTCCAGGAAGCCTTCCCTGACCCCTTCATGTGGGTGACGAGCCCTCTCAAGGCTGTGCTGGGTGCCCCCCTCCAAAGCAGCGTGAATCACACCCTATTGATACTGCATCCATCTCCTTGAGCCCCACCCATGACAGCGAGTTTCTGGAACGTGGAATGTGCATTTCATAGGTCCTTATTCCCCGGGGCACTGCCTAGAGCTTGGTCCCAGAAAGCTTCAAGAGACATATTGAAAAAAGGATATAGAGGCAGAAACAGGGACAGAGGTGAGGCAAGACAGAGATGGAGAAAGGGAGAAGGGCAGAGGAGAAAACAGGATGAAAGAGAGAGCCGCAGGCTGGGTGCAGTGGCTCACACCTGTAATCCCAGCACTTTCGGAGGCTGAGGCGGTGGATCACCTGAGGTCAGGAGTCTGAGACCAGCCAGGCCAACGTGGCGAAACCCCGTCTCTATTAAAAATACAAAAATTAGCTGGGTGTGGTGGAGCACACCTGTAATCCCAGCTGCTTGGGAGCCTGAGACAGGAGAATCGTCTGAACCTGGGCAACAAGAGCGAAACTCCATCACAAGAAAAAAAAAAAGAAAGAAAGAAAAAAGAAGGAGACAGCAGGCTCAGGACTAAAGCCAGGAGATCCGCTAATGCACGAAGAGCACTCTGCCCAGGCCTCCCGGCCCTGGAGTGGGGCATGGAAAAGTGCCAGCCTGGCCAGGTGGCAGAACCAGGACTGCCCGGGTGTGGGATGTCCAGGGCACTAGAGATCTACCATAGGGAAAAGAATCAGATCGAGGGGCCAGATCTCCAGGAGCTGAGGGAGGAGGGTCCTGGGCCCAGGATTCTTGGGTTCTAGGGAAGAAGGGGCCTAGCGGGCCAGACTCCTGGGTCCTCTGAGGGCACTGACTTGCATCCAGTTCTGCATGAGGCTCTCCCAGACTCATGGGGATGCGAAACCCAGCTTGGTCCTCCTCTAGCATCTGAAGCAGCTCCTCCTCGGTCACGTCGGCGGGAGGAGGGATAGAGGGGGAGTGGCAGATGTTGATGAAAACCTTCCCTTCCGAGGAGTTGGTCTTTATGCAGAAACCTGGTGGGAGTGGGTTAGTCATGACAATCCTTTTCTGCACAAGTCCCAGTCCCCATCCATTGTCTCCAGGCTCTGTCTCTTTTCCTTTTGCCCTGTCCCCCTTTTTTGTTCCACTCCCCACCCGAGATCCCTCACTTCTCTTTTTTTTTTTTTTTTTTGAGACAGACTCTCACTCTGTCACCCAGGCTGGAGTGCAGTGGCGTGATCTCGGCTCACTGCAACCTCCACCTCCCAGGTTCAAGCAATTCTCATGCCTCAGCCTCCCAAGTAGCTGGGATTATAGGCGCCCACCACCACGCCCGGCTAATTTTCGTATTTTTAGTAGAGATGGAGTTTCACCATGTTGGCCAGGCTGATCTCAAACTCCTGCCCTCAGGTGATCCTCCCGCCTTGGCCTCCCAAAGTGCTGGGCTCCCGGCCCCCTCTCTTCTTTGTTTTCTCCTTGTTTGTTTTTTGAGACAGGGTCTCACTGTGTCACCCAGGTTGGAGTGCAGTGGTACGATCTTGGCTCACCGCAGTCTCTTCCACCTGGCTCAAGTGAGCCTCCCACCTCAGCCTCGTGAGTAGCTATGACTACAGGCACGCACCCACCAAGTCCAGCTAATTTTGTTTATTTTTAGTAGAGATGAGGTCTCACTATGTTGCACAGGCTGGTCTTGAATGCCTGGCCTCAAGCAATCCTTCCACCTCGGCCTCCCAAAGTGATGGAATTACAGATGTGAGCCACTGTGCCCAGCCTCTCTTCCTATCTTTGTTGTTGTTGTTTGTTTCGTTTTGTTTTTGAGACAGAGTCTCGCTCTGTCACCCAGGCTGCAGTACAGTGGTGCGATCTCCACCCACTGCAACTTCTGCCTCTTGGGTTCCAGCAATTCTCCTGTCTCAGCCTCCCCAGTAGCTGGGACTACAGGCACGTGCCACCGCACCTGGCCTCTTCCTATCTCTGATTCTCTGGCCCCCTACCTACTCCTACTCTGTCCTCCAACTCCTTTCTGTCCTAGGATGATCTCTGTGGGTGTCTGCTCACCCCACCCCCACCCTAGGCCTTTATTTTCGTGTCTCTTTCCTTCCTCCTCTCTCTGTCCTCTCCCTGGGTCTCCTGTCCCTCTCTCTCCGGTGTCCTTTCTCACCAGGCTGAGGCTGGATTTGTGTCGATTCTGGTCTGGTTGTCTGGGCTTGCTGGAGCTCCTTCGAGGCCTGTATAAAGGAAAACTACCTCCAGGCTCGGAGTCTGTGCCATCAGACCCCTCATTTGTTCCTCAAATGGAGCAATTCTTATGCATGAGAGCTGTGGATAACGCGAGAAATTAGACGGTTTAGGTCCCCTTTCTCCTTTGAGAACTAGAAGAACAACCCCAACCCCATTCCCATTTCTTTTTTTTTTTTTTTTTTTTTGGAGACGGAGTCTCACTCTGTCGCCCAGGCTGGAGTGCAGTGCCGAGGTCTCGGCTCATTGCAAGCTTCGCCTCCCGGGTTCACGCCATTCTCCTGCCTCAGCCTCTCCAGTAGCTAGGACTACAGGTGCCCGCCACCACGCCCGGCTAATTTTTTGTATTTTTAGTAGAGACGGGGTTTCACCGTGTTAGCCAGGATGGTCTCGATCTCCTGACCTCGTGATCCGCCCGCCTCGGCCTCCCAAAGTGGTGGGATTACAGGTGTGAGCCACCGCGCCCGGCCCCCCACTCCCATTTCTTAGCAAACTTGAAGCCCATTAACCTCAATTCCCCGAGGCCTGGTTCCCGCCTTAGTGCATTCTGGGAACTGCAGTCCCATCTTTGAGCACCCCGCCAAAATCCCCGAATACTCAAGGATCCAGGGGTCCGGTCACTGCACCTGCAGCAGCAGCTCCTCAAATCGCGCCGAATCAGCACCGATCGCCTCCGCCTCGCTTAGCCCCATTCCCAGCAGCTTCGGGTTCGCCATGGCCCTGGGAAAGAGATCTAGGCGTCCTCGAGACCCTCAACGTGGGAAACTTTGCCCAGGATCCGAACCCCAGTGCCTGCTCTGGCCCTCAATCGACTCCGGATACCTACTATCCTGTTCAAAAACCTAAGACTGGCCTAAGACTACATTTCCATTCAAGACCGAACACCATCGTCAAATCCGTGGGGAATATGTGTCTCTAGACGCACTACCCTCCGTCCTACGTGCCGAACTGTAAACGAAGCCACACTTCCGGTCTATCGGTAAACACAGGACTGGAGTATGCCACACTTCCGAGTACCCCAGTGTTCATTCACAAGCTGGTATCGCGTTATCGACAAGCCACGCCCCTCGCATCAATCAAAAATAAACCCCAAGGCGGATCCCTGAGTGCCACACTTCCTGTATCTATGAAAGCCACACTTCCGGCTGGGCGCTGTGGCTCCTACCGGTAGTCCCAGCACTTTGGAAGGCCAGGGCAAGAGGATCGCTTGAGGCCAGGAGTTCGAAACCAGCTTGGGCAATACAATGAGATAACGTCCCACACCCCATCTCTTAAAAAAAAAAAAAAAGCGCCAGACTTCCACTCTTTCCACAACCAAAACTGGCCCCCTTACTTTGCAGTGAAGGTTGCATTTTCCAAACCTTAATCTCAATGTCCATCCTAAAAGGTACCCTTTTTATCTTTGAATTATCACTTCCTGCCAGCTCTAGATCCTAATACGTCCAGATCTAGACCCGCCAGGTCTAGATCTAGATCTAGACCTCTAGTCAATATAATTAGAAAAGCTGCACTTTGAGGCTGGGAGGCCGAGGTAGGAGGATCGCTTGAGCCCAGGAGTTCGAGACCAGCCTGAGCAACATAGCAAGATCCTGTCTCTACCAAAAAAAAAAAAAAAAAAAAAATTAGCCAGGCTTGATGGCACCTGCCTGTAGTCCCAGCTACTGTGCAGGCTGACGCAGGAGTAATGTTTAAACCTGAAAAGTCGAGGCGACAGTAAGCCGTGATCGGACCACTGCACTCCAGCCCTGGGCGACAGAGGGAGACCCTGTCTCAAGAAAATAAAAGGTAAAACAAAACCTGCACTTCCTGCTACTATAAAACAAGGCACTGGGAAGACGCATCAATAGGACGACCCTTTTTTTTTATTACTATTTTTTTTTTAGACACAGTCTCCCTTTGCCACCCAGGCTGGAGTGCAGTGGCGCGATCTCGGCTCACTGAAACGTACACCTTCTGGGTTCAAGTGATTCTCCCGCCTCAGCCTCTTGAGTAGCTGAGATTACAGGCGCGCACCACCACAGCTCGGCTAATGCTTGTATTTTTAGTAGAGACGGGGTTTCACCAAATTGGTCAGGCTGGTCTCGAACTCCCGACCTTAGGTGATCCGCCCGCCTCGGCCTCCCGAAGTGCTGGGATTACAGCCAAGAGCCATCGTGCCCGGCCACGCCGATCCTCATAAATCCGGAGCCCTCCTAACTATTCGCAAAGTACCCACATCGCCGTCTCCCCTTCCTCCCCGTTTTAAGCAGTGCGCATGCTCCTAAATACGCTTCCCCGTGGGGGACGTAGGCGGGGCCATCGGGTCCTAAGGAAAAAGTGTGGGCGTGGCTGCTCTCTGTATCTTGTAGCCCCACCCCATTCCCATTAGCCCCGCCCCTTTGGGCTGGAACCGGAGGTGTCGCTCTTCGGACCTCAAGGTTCCCCTTAACACAGAGCGCCCCGCAGTCTTCGCGGAAAGCGTTCGGGGTAGGCGATGGCTGCGACGCGTGCAGGGCCCCGCGCCCGCGAGATCTTCACCTCGCTGGAGTACGGACCGGTGCCGGAGAGCCACGCATGCGCACTGGTGAGAGTCTGCCCGGCCGGCGCTGCTCGCTGCGTTCCCCAGGCCTGGGCGCCCGGTTTTTCGCGGGGAGTCCCGTCATCCACTGCGGTAGCTCAGCCGCTCCGCCTCTCTTAGTCCCCGTGATTCCCGCCGCCCAATAGGATCGCGCCCTGTAGGACGCTCCCTTGAGCCTTGGCGGTGGCAGCCTTTTAGTCTGTTCCGGTCTTCCCCACTGGTTCTCTTGCCCCTTGATCCTGAACTCCTCGTAGTGTTTCCGCGGTTTTCCTGAACTCCTCTAGACGCTCTCGTGATTCCTCAGGGTCCCCTCAGAACCTGACGCCACCCACCAGACCCCTTAGGATTCCTGTGAGGCTCCAGTGACCCACAACCCCCATTGTCTTTCCACGACTCTTCAAAACATCCTATGGCTTCCATGGGCCTCCAGAGCACCCCAGACCTCCTGAGGGACTCCCTTCATCCCTTTGATTACCCAGAGACCTTCAGAACTTCCATGGAGCCCCCGTGATCCCATAGGACCCCTCAATACTCGTGGGGTTCATGTGACCTCATCGGAACTCTCAGGAGCCTAGAATACATCAGGACTTCCGGTTTGGGTTGGGTTTTTTTTTTGTTTTTTTTTTTGAGCCAGGGTCTCACTCTGTCGCCCAAACTGAAGTGCACTGGCGCTATCACACCACTGCAGCCTCAACCTCCTGGGCTCAAGCCATCCTCTCACCTCAGCCCCCCAAGTAACTGGGACCAGAGACGCGCGCCACCACTCTCAGCTAATATTTGTACTTTTTCTAGAGACAAGGTTTCAGCATGTTGGCCAGGCTGGTCTCGAACTCCTGGCCTCAAGTGATCCACCCACCTCGACTTCCCAAAGTGCTGGGATTACAGGCGTGAGCTACTGCACCCAGCCACATCAGGACTTCCTGTAATTACTTATGGCCCCTCACAATACCCTCACGGGGCTCCTATGATCTCTCTAGCTCTCAGAATGTCCCATAGGGTTCCCATGATTGTTCAGGAACCCCTGAAGTCCTCGTGAGGGTCCCATGATCCCCTGGGGGTCCTCAGAACCTCCCTAGGACTCCCATGACCCCTCAGAGGCCCCCAGAACCCTCGTGGGGTTCCTGCAAATGAGTAGGGCACCTCAAACTTTCTGTCGTTTCCCCAGGCACTCTCAGAATTCCTTCACGGGGCTCTCATGATCCCCCAGGGTCCCCCAGCACCCAGGCGAAAGGAGCTTAGGCTTCTTTGAGGGGGAGGGCAGGAGGCCAGAGCAATGATCCAAGTGGAAGGAACTGGATCAGAACCCTGGCACAGCCTAGAACTTGGGGAGGCCAAGACGGGCAGATCGCCTGAGCTCAGGAATTCGAGACCAGCCTGGGCAACATAGTGAAACCTCGTCTCTACTAAAATACAAAACATTGGGCCAGGCGTGGTGGCTCAGACTTGTAATCCCAGCACTTTGGGAGTCCTAGGTGGGCGGATCACCTGAGGTCAGGAGTTCGAGACCAGCCTGGCCAACATGGTGAAACCCCATCTCTACTAAAATACAAAAATTACCTGAGCGTGGTGGTGTTTGCCTGTAATCCTAGCTACTTGGGAGGCTGAGGTGGGAGAATTGCTTGAATCCAGGAGGCAGAGGTTGCAGTAAGCTGAGATTGCACCACTGCACTCCAGCCTGGGCAACGGAGCAAGACGCTGTCTCCAAAAAAAATACAAAAATGGCTGGGCGCAGTGGTTCACACCTGTAATCCCAGCGCTTTGGGAGGCCGAGGCGGGCGGATCATGAGGTCAGGAGATCGAGACCAGCCTGGCCAAGATGGTGAAACCCATCTCTACTAAAAATACAAAAAATTAGCTGGGCGTGGTGGCAGGCACCTGTAATCCCAGCTACTTGGGAGGCTGGGGCAGGAGAATCGCTTGAACCCAGGAGGTGGAGATTGCAGTGAGCCGAGACCACGCCACTGCACTCCAGCCTGGGCAACAAGAGCAAAACTCCATCTCAAAAAAAAAAAAAAAAAAAAAAGGAAACAGAAAACAAAAGATTAGCCGAGGATGGCAGCACACACCTGTAGTCCCAGCTACCCGGGAGGCTGAGGTGGGAGGATCACCTGAGCCTGGGAGGTGCAGTGATCATACCACTGAACTCCAGCCTGGGTGACAGAATAAGACCCTGTCCCCCCTGAAAAAAAAAGAAGTTGAGGCCAGGCAAGTGGCTCACACCTGTAATCCCAGCAGTTTGGGAGACCGAGGCAGGAGGATCACTCGCACCTAGGAGTTTGAGACCAGCCTGGGCAACATGGTGAGGCCCTATCTCTATTAATATAAAAATAAAACATAAAAAGTGAAGTTGAGACTTGGACTTGAGTCCTTGCATTTCAGACCCGTGGTCTTGCCTACACCAGCAAAGTTCTCAACCGTACAGTCTCTGGGCCAGACTCAACCAACAAACATGTTTTCTTTGGCGTGAACTTTATTTTTTTTTTATGTGAAATGCTGGACAATTGATTCCATGTAAACATCCGGGAGGTCCTCTTGAAAATAAAATTCCAAAATGTGTCAACATTTGGCTCAACTTCCCTGACAAAAGTCATCTGGGACCAATAGCTCCTGTCTTTTCCATGAATCGTTAAGCTCCTCTTCTCATCCAGGCCCTCTTCTCAGGCCTCCTGGAACCCTCTGGACATTCTTTTGGAATTTTGTTTTTCTTTTGGGGGGAAGCTTTCCAACTTGCACAGAATAATTAGCATTTATTTTGAACTCCTGTTTACCCATCACTGTGCCTCAACCATCATCAACATTTATCCCAGCGCTGTTTCCTTCTGTATTTTCTTTGGAGTAATTTAAACAAATCCTGGATGTCACAGTATTTTCCTATAAATATTTGAATCCTTTCTTCTAACAGATAAGGGCTCATTTTGTTACAAAACTACCATGGTCTGTTACCACACTTAACATTAAGTCATTCTTTTTGTTTTTTGTTTGTTTGTTTGAGACAGGATCTTACTCTGTCGCCCAGGCTAGCATTCAGTAGCGTTCATAGCTCACTGCAGCCTGAAACTCCTGGACCCAAGCAATCCTCCCACCCCAGCCTCCTGACTAGCTGAGACTACAAGTGTGCATCATCATGACTGGCAAATTTTTTACTTTTATTTTTGTAGAGATGGGGTCTTGCTGTGTAGGTCCAGACTAGTCTCAAACTCCTCAGCTCAAGCAATCCTCCCGTCTCAGCGTGGGAAAGTGCAGGGATTACAGATGTGAGCTACCATGCCCGGCCAACAATCATTCTTTAATGTCATCTGATGCCCAGTTCATGTTCAAATATCCCTGACTTTCTCACAGATGTCTCTCTCCCTGTGGGCGTTTGAGTTTGGAACTTCTAAGTAACTTTTTTGCTTTAAAGAGAAAGGAGAAGCCAGGCACAGTGGCTCATGCTTGTAATCCCAGCACTTTGGGAGGCCGAGGCGAGTGGATCACCTGAGGCCAGGAGTTCGAGACCAGCCTGGCCAACATGGTAAAAACCCATCTCTACTAGAAATATATAAATTAGCTGGGCATGGTGGCGGCCGCCTGTAATCCCAGCTACTTGGGAGGCTGAGGTAGGAGAATCACGTGAACCCAGGAGGCGGAGGTTGCAGTGAGCTGAGATCGCACCATTGCACTCCAGCCTGGGAGACAAGAGCAAGACTCCATCTCAAAAAAAAAAAAGAAAGAAGGGCCAGTAAGAGAAAAATCAGGAATATGTGACATCAGAGATGCTAGGGGAGTCTGTAGAAGGAGCAAGTGAGCAGTGTGCTTTGGATTTAGCATCAGGGAAGACGTGACCAGGATGAGAAAGAAATATGGAGGAGAAGTCCGGGCGCAGTGGCTCACGCCTGTAATCTCAGCACTTTGGGAGGCCGAGGCGGGCGGATCACGAGGTCAGGAGATCAAGACCATCCTGGCTAACACAGTGAAACCCCATCTCTACTAAAAATACAAAAAAATTAGCCAGGCGTGGTGGCAGGCGCATGTAGTCCCAGCTACTCGGGAGCCTGAGGCAGGAGAATGGCGTGAATCCAGGAGGCGGACCTTGCAGTGAGCAGAGATCGCGCCACTGCACTCCAGCCTGGGTGACAGAGCAAGACTCTGTCTCAAACAAAAAAAAAAAAAAGAAAGAAAGAAATATGGAGGAGATGTGGTGAGTGAGATGTGGTAAAAAAATTTTTTTTCTTTGAGACAGAGCCTTGCTCTGTTACTCAGGCTGGAGTGCAGTGGCGTGATCTTGGCTTACTACAGCCTCTACCTCCTGGGCTCAAGTGATCCTCCCACCTCAGACTCCCAGGTAGCTGGGACTACAGGCACTCACCACCACACCCGGCTAACTTTTTGTATTTTTTGTAGAGATGAGCTTTCACCATGTTGCCCAGGCTGGTCTTGAATGCCTAGGCTCAGACCACCTCGGCCTCCCAAAGTGGACTCCAAATAGGTGCCACTGTTGTGGCACCAGCCCAAGGACTCAGTTGAGACCCTAATTGAATGAATTAAAGATGTTGACACATCCATAATCCCAGCACTTTGGGAGGCCAAGGCGTGCAGATCACTTGAGGTCAGGAGTTCAAGACCAGCCTGACCAACATGGTGAAACCCCGTCTCTACTAAAAATACAAAAACAAAACTAGCCGCATGTGGTGGCGGGCGCCTGTAGTCCCAGCTACTCAGGAGATTGAGGCGGGAGAATAGCGTGAACCCAGGAGGCGGAGCTTGCAGTGAGCTGAGATCATGCCACTGCACTCCAGCCTGGGTGACAGAGCAAGACTCAGTCTCAAAAAAAAAAAATGAAAAAATGTTCTAGAACTAGAGTGGTGATGGTTACACAACACTGTAAATGCACAGAATGCCACTAAACTGCTGAACTATACACTTTGAAATGCTCTATTTTACCACAAACTTTTTTTTTAAAGCAATAGGAGGAAAAGAATTAGCTGATGGGGCAGAGGGAGACAGACGTCCCCTCCTAGAGGATTCTGGGTAGGGGTTGAACTGCCCCAGCTCCTCCCGAACCCCTTTCCAAACTGTCTCTACCTCCCCCAGGCCTGGCTGGACACCCAGGACCGGTGCTTGGGCCACTATGTGAATGGGAAGTGGTTAAAGCCTGAACACAGAAATTCAGTGCCTTGCCAGGATCCCATCACAGGTACGAGATGTCCCCCAGTCATTAGTGGAAGGGAGGTATCTGTGCCCTCTAGCCCTACCCACCAACACCCATTCCCCTTGCCTAGGGCCCTGAGGGCAGGAAACAGCTGGTGGTGGGAGATGGGCTGCGATGTCTGGTTCCTTCTGAAACCAGTCACCCTAATTATGGTTCCGGGTCTCTGTGGAGGCTTTGTGAGACTGCTGTCTGTTAAAATAGCTTCCTTGCCCTGGAGGTGATCATAGCCGTGACCCAGCAGAGAATGGGGACCAGCTTTACACTCTTGGGCTGATCCAGGCTCCGAAAATCTCAGCCCCCTCCAGATATGACATGGGCTACTCCTCCCATCTGAGTCCCCCCACTTTTCTCCCCAGGAGAGAACTTGGCCAGTTGCCTGCAGGCACAGGCCGAGGATGTGGCTGCAGCCGTGGAGGCAGCCAGGATGGCATTTAAGGGCTGGAGTGCGCACCCCGGCGTCGTCCGGGCCCAGCACCTGACCAGGTGATGCAGCTGAGGTGTGGACCCCGGGAGGCGGGGAACCCCAGCATCCACTCGAGACCATGGGAACAAAGGCTATTTCCCAAGATCCCACTGAATTAATTTGCAGCTAAGGCTCAGATTCCCAGTATGTGCTGGAGGCAGTCGTGGCTGAAACATGCATCCGTTGTCCACTATTCACTGGGACTAGAAGCCACAAAGCCTCTATTTCCCAGGACATTCTTGGAGTGCATTGGGGCTCAGTTCACTGGGGCTGGTGAAGCCCCTAAATCCATTTCCTAGCCGCTTGCGGGGAAGCTAGAGACAAAAATTCCATTTCCCAAAACGCAATTGAGGTTAGAAGCTAAGACTCAATTTCCCAAAAGCTTCAGGGATTTCCGGCGGCCAAGACCTTTACACAGCATCCTCAGGGTTTGTGTTTCCATGACTATAATTCTCATAAATCTTCACTGCCCTCTGCCCCAGGTAAATGGTGGGGATGCCTCAGGGGCTCATGGGGATTGTAGTCCAGGTATATAGGAGCAGCCCAGGACTCTGCAAGGCTGAGGGCCGTTGGAAAATGAGCACCCTCTTGCTTTCTCGACAGGCTGGCCGAGGTGATCCAGAAGCACCAGCGGCTGCTGTGGACCCTGGAATCCCTGGTGACTGGGCGGGCTGTTCGAGAGGTTCGAGACGGGGACGTCCAGCTGGCCCAGCAGCTGCTCCACTACCATGCAATCCAGGCATCCACCCAGGAGGAGGCACTGGCAGGCTGGGAGCCCATGGGTGAGACCCTGGAGTCCCTAGCCCTATCCTCCCACATGACTCAGCAGTGCTAGCTCCAGTCCCCTCATTCTTTTTCTTTTAGACAGAGTTTCGCTCTTGTCGCCCAGGCCGGAGTGCAGTGGCGCAATCTTGGCTCACTATAACCTCCGCCTCCCGGGTTCAAGTGATTCTCCTGCCTCAGCCTCCTGAGTAGCTGGAATTACAGGCACCCACCACCACACCTGGCTAATTGTTATATTTTTATTAGAGAAGAGGGGTCTCATCATGTTGGTCAGGCTGGTCTCAAACTCCTAACCTCAGATGATTCACCTGCCTTGGCATCCCAAAGTGCTGGGATTACAGGCATGAGCCACCGTGCCCGGTCCCCTCATTCTTTTTCTTTTGTTTTTGTTTTTGTTTTTTTCTTTTTCAGACAGGGTCTTTCTCTGTCACCCTGGCTGGAGTACAGTGGTGCAATTATAGCTCACTGATACCTCGACCTCCTGGGCTCAAAATCCTCCCACCTCAGCCTCCCAAGTAACTGGGACTACGACCATGCACCACCACACCTGACTAGTTTTTGTTTTTGTTTTTTTTTTTTTTGAGATGGAGTTTCGCTCTTTGTTGCCCAGGCTGGAGTGCAGTGGTGCGATCTCGGCTCACTGGAACCTCCGCCTCCCGTGTTCAAGTGATTCTCCTGCCTCAGCCTCCCGAGTAGCTGGGACTACAGGCATGCACCACCACGCCTGGCTAATTTTGTGTTTTTAGTGGAGATGGGGTTTTTCCATGTTGGTCAGGCTGGTCTCGAACTTCCCACCTCAGGTGATCCGCCCACCTCGACCTCCCAAAGTGCTGAGATTACAGGCGTGAGCCACCACACCCGGCCATTTTTTTTTTTTTTTCCTAATGTAGCCATGGGGTCTTGCCATGTGGCCCAGGCTGGACTTAAACACCTAGCCTCAAGGGATCCTCTTGCCTCATTTTTTTCTTGCAGGAGTAATTGGCCTCATCCTGCCACCCACATTCTCCTTCCTTGAGATGATGTGGAGGATTTGCCCTGCCCTGGCTGTGGGTAAATGATGGCCTGGGGGGTCCTGACTCTTGGGTCTGAGAAAGGAGGGGATCGTGGGGCCCAAACTCCAGAGTCTGAGAGACAAGGGGGCTGGAGGCCTGGACTCTGTGGAAGGAGTCTGTGGGAGGAGGGGCTGCGGGTCTGAACTCCTAGGTCTGAGGGAGGAGGAGCTGGAGTCTGGACTCCTGAGTCTGAGGGAGGAGGAGCTGGAGTCTGGACTCCTGAGTCTGAGGGAGGAGGGGCTGGAGTCTGGACTCCTGGGTCTGAGGGAGGAGGGGCTGGGGTCTGGATTCCTGGGTCTGAGGGAGGAGGGGCTGGGGTCTGGACTCCTGGGTGTGAGGGAGGAGGGGCTGGGGTCTGGACTCCTGGGTCTGAGGGAGGAGGGGCTGGGACCTGGACTCCTGGGTCTGAGGGAGGAGGGGCTGGGACCTGGACTCCTGGGTCTGAGGGAGGAGGGGCTGGAGTCTGGACTCCTGGGTCTGAGGGAGGAGGGGCTGGAGTCTGGACTCCTGGGTCTGAGGGAGGAGGGGCTGGGCCTGGACTCCGGGGTCTGAGGGAGGAGGGGCTGGGGGCCTGGACTCCTGAGTCTGAGGGAGGAGGGGCTGGAGTCTGGACTCCTGGGTCTGAGGGAGGAGGGGCTGGGGGTCCAGATTCCTGGGTCTGAGGGAGGAGGGGCTGGGCCTGGACTCCTGGGCCTTTGAGCTGCCCCACTTCCCCAGGCTGCACCGTGGTGGCCCTCGTGCCCCCGGCCTCCCCGGCGCCCCTCCTCCTGGCCCAGCTGGCGGGGGAGCTGGGCCCCTTCCCGGGAATCCTGAATGTCCTCAGTGGCCCTGCGTCCCTGGTGCCCATCCTGGCCTCCCAGCCTGGAATCCGGAAGGTGGCCTTCTGCGGAGCCCCGGAGGTACCTTCGGGACAGGGGTCGTGGCGGAACGCGGCTGGGGGCCGCAAGGCTCCTCCTGCGGCTGAACTGGGGGGGGTCCCTAGGAAGGGCGTGCCCTTCGACGGAGCCTGGCGGGAGAGTGTGCGGAGCTGGGCCTGGCGCTGGGGACGGAGTCGCTGCTGCTGCTGACGGACACGGCGGACGTAGACTCGGCCGTGGAGGGTGTCGTGGACGCCGCCTGGTCCGACCGCGGCCCGGTGAGACCCGTGCGCTCCCGTCTCCTCATACCCTGGAGGCCGTTGGTGTCTGTCTCCAGTCTTCGGGGTCCCGAGTCTCTGTTCATTTTATTTTATTTTATTTTATTTATTTTGAGACGGAGTTTCACTCTTGTCGCCCAGGCTGGGGTGCAGCGGCGCGATTTTGGCTCACCGCAACCTCTGCCTCCCAGGTTCAGCCTGGGAGTAGCTGCCTCAGCCTCCCGAGTAGCTGGGATTACAGGCGGGCACCACCATGCCTGGCTAATTTATGTATTTTTAGTAGAGACGGGGTTTCACCATGTTGGCCAGGCTGGTCTCGAACTCCTGACCTCAGGTGATCCGCCCACCTCGGCCTCCCAAAGTGCTGGGACTGCAGGTGTGAGCCACCGCATCCGGCCTCTCTGTTCTTTAGGACTCTGTTGATTTATCTGAGTGTCCATGTCCCTAGTTTTCCAGCCTCTGTCTTCACTCTTCAGATCACCAACTTGCTAGAGTGCAATGGTGTGATCTCCTGATGCCCCTTTTCCTCACAGGGTGGCCTCAGGCTCCTCATCCAGGAGTCTGTGTGGGATGAAGCCATGAGACGGCTGCAGGAGCGGATGGGGCGGCTTCGGAGTGGCCGAGGGCTGGATGGGGCCGTGGACATGGGGGCCCGGGGGGCTGCCGCATGTGACCTGGTCCAGCGCTTTGTGCGTGAGGCCCAGAGCCAGGGTGCACAGGTGAGGCAGGGGGTAGAGACTTGAGGGTGTCAGGGGAGGAGGGGCCTGGAGACCCAGCTCCTGGGTCCAAGGGAGGAGGGAGCTGGGCGTGGACAACTGGGTCCGAGGAAGGAGGGGCTGGGAGCCTGGACTCCTGGGTCTGAAGGAGGAGGGGCTGGGCCTGGACTCCTGGGTCTGAGGGAGGAGGTGCTGGGGCCTGGATTCCTGGGTCTGAGGGAGGAGGGGCTGGGGCCTGGACTCCTGGGTCTGAGGGAGGAGGGGCTGGGCCTGGACTCCTGGGTCTGAGGGAGGAGGTGCTGGGGCCCGGATTCCTGGGTCTGAGGGAGGAGGGGCTGGGGCCCGGATTCCTGGGTCTGAGGGAGGAGGGGCTGGGGGTCCAGACTCCTGGGTCTGAGGGAGGAGGGGCTGGCGGCCTGGACTCCTGGGTCTGAGGGAGGAGAGGCTGGGGGTCCAGACTCCTGGGTCTGAGGGAGGAGGGGCTGGGGGCCTGGACTCCTGGGTCTGAGGGAGGAGGGGCTGGGCCTGGACTCCTGGGTCTGAGGGAGGAGGTGCTGGGGCCTGGATTCCTGGGTCTGAGGGAGGAGGGGCTGGGGCCTGGACTCCTGGGTCTGAGGGAGGAGGGGCTGGGGGTCCAGATTCCTGGGTCTGAGGGAGGAGGGGCTGGGGGCCTGGACTCCTGGGTCTGAGGGAGGAGAGGCTGGGGGTCCAGACTCCTGGGTCTGAGGGAGGAGGGGCTGGGGGCCTGGACTCCTGGGTCTGAGGGAGGAGGGGCTGGGCCTGGACTCCTGGGTCTGAGGGAGGAGGTGCTGGGGCCTGGATTCCTGGGTCTGAGGGAGGAGGGGCTGGGGCCTGGACTCCTGGGTCTGAGGGAGGAGGGGCTGGGGGTCCAGACTCCTGGGTCTGAGGGAGGAGGGGCTGGGGGCCTGGACTCCTGGGTCTGAGGGAGGAGAGGCTGGGGGTCCAGACTCCTGGGTCTGAGGGAGGAGGGGCTGGGGGCCTGGACTCCTGGGTCTGAGGGAGGAGGGGCTGGGGTCCTGCAGTCCTCGGTCTCAGCAGGAAGGGACCAGAAGTCGACTTCTAGATCATTTCTCTCCCTAGGTGTTCCAGGCTGGTGATGTGCCTTCGGAACGCCCATTCTATCCCCCAACCTTGGTCTCCAACCTGCCCCCAGCCTCCCCATGTGCCCAGGTGGAGGTGAGACCCTTAAGGCTGCAGAGCTCCTACCCACCGCCAGCCAAGGGCAGCAGCTCTGTGCCTGGGGAAGCCCTTGGGGTAACCATGTGACCTGGGCGTGGGGGCTGCTGCCTGCTCTAGGCTCCTTCCCTGGTGGGTGGGCCCTGGAGGGCTGAGCCTCCCGGTCACCCCTTGCAGGTGCCGTGGCCTGTGGTCGTGGCCTCCCCCTTCCGCACAGCCAAGGAGGCACTGTTGGTGGCCAACGGGACGCCCCGCGGGGGCAGCGCCAGTGTGTGGAGCGAGAGGCTGGGGCAGGCGCTGGAGCTGGGCTATGGGTCAGTCTGCGTGGCCCGGGCGCTCACTCCTCTCCTCATTCTTCCATCTTCATCTCCCTTCTCCCTGGGTCGCTCCCCGCGCCTTTAACTCACCCCTCTCCCGGCCTGCCACCGTCTGTTTTCCTCTGTTGGACACCTTCATCTTCCCCACAGGCTCCAGGTGGGCACTGTCTGGATCAACGCCCACGGCCTCAGAGACCCTTCGGTGCCCACAGGCGGCTGCAAGGAGAGTGGGTGTTCCTGGCACGGGGGCCCAGACGTGAGTACATCCCCTCCCCGTCACCAGCCCCCCCGCCGCCCCATGCCCTTGACACTCGCATCCGGCCTCGCGTGCCCCTTGCATCCTCTTGACACCGTCCCTCTCACAGGGGCTGTATGAGTATCTGCGGCCCTCAGGGACCCCTGCCCGGCTGTCCTGCCTCTCCAAGAACCTGAACTATGACACCTTTGGCCTCGCTGTTCCCTCAACCCTGCCGGCTGGGCCTGAAATAGGGCCCAGGTGAGTCGTTGGGGGCCAGTGGTCTGGGAGTGTGAACGGGGAGAGGGGAATTGATGCCTGTTTCCCCGTGGACTGGAGGGCTGGCGCGAGGTCCATCCAAACCATCTCTTAGTCCTGCTGAGTACCACGTTGTGGCCTCACACTTTCCCTACCCCAGGCCTGCCGAGACTCTCAGCTCTGCCCCATGAATGTCTGTACTCTCCCAGAAACTCATGGGTCTAGGAGCTTGGGGTCCCCCAGAGGTTCACTGGAGCAGAAGCTTGGGGTCCCTCAGAGGCTCATGGGAGCAGGAGCTTGGGGTCCCCCAGAGGCTCATGGGAGCAGAAACTTGGGGTCCTCCAGAGGCTCATGGGAGCAGGAGTTTGAGGTCCCCCCAGAGACTCAAGGGAGCAGTTTAGGGTCTACCAGAGGCTCATGGGAGCAGGAGCTTAGGGTCCCCCAGAGGCTCATGGAGCAGGAACTTAGGGTCCTCCAGAGGCTCATGGGAGCAGAAGCTTTGGGTCCTCCGGGGCTCATGGGAACAGGAATTTGGGGTGCCCCACAGGCTTATGAGAGCAGTTTAGGGTCTGCCAGAGGCTCATGGGAGTAGGAGTTTAGGGTCCCCCAGAGGCTCATGGGAGCAGGAGTTTAGGGTACCCAGAGGCTAGTGGGAACAGGGGTTTGGGGTCCCCCAGAGGCTCATGGGAGCAGAAACTTGAGTCATCCAGAGGCTCATGGGAGCAGGAATTTGGGGTTCCCCAGAGGCTCATGGGAGCAGTTTAAGGTCCCCCAGAGGCTCATGGGAGCTGGAGTTTAGGGTCCCCCAGTGAATCATGGGAGCAGGAGTTTTAGGGTCCCCCAGAGGCTCATGGGAACAGGGGTTTGGGGTGCCCCAGAGGCTCACGGGAGCCAAGGCAGTCTTCCCAGTGCGGTAGAGCATAGGGTCTGAGCAGATTGAGGCCCCAGGACTCCTCCTCATGTCCCACCCTACTCCAGCCCAGCACCCCCCTATGGGCTCTTCGTTGGGGGCCGTTTCCAGGCTCCTGGGGCCCGAAGCTCCAGGCCCATCCGGGATTCGTCTGGCAACCTCCATGGCTACGTGGCTGAGGGTGGAGCCAAGGACATCCGAGGTGCTGTGGAGGCCGCTCACCAGGCTTTCCCTGGGTAAGGGGTCACACGGGAAAGCCCAAGGGTCATGGTGTGGCAGAGAGGGGAGCCTGCCCACAGCAATTGGTGGACTGGGAGGCTGGGCCCCCAGGGTAGGGGCTGTGGACAGAGGTGGGGTGTCAGGAGAGCCAAGACCAGGATGCCAACCCCCACTGTGCGCTGTCTGCCCACAGCTGGGCGGGCCAGTCCCCAGGAGCCCGGGCAGCCCTGCTGTGGGCCCTGGCGGCTGCACTGGAGCGCCGGAAGTCTACCCTGGCCTCGAGGCTGGAGAGGCAGGGAGCGGAGCTCAAGGCTGCGGAGGCGGAGGTGGAGCTGAGCGCAAGACGACTTCGGGCGTGGGGGGCCCGGGTGCAGGCCCAAGGCCACACCCTGCAGGTGAAGGGTCTGTGGGCACCTGGGCCAGCTGGGCAGGCGGGGTGGGGCTCAGACCAGAGGCTGTGAGATAACCCAGGCTTGGAATTCGGGCCCAGCCCCACCGCCTTCCACGGCAGGATCATCAGCAAGTGGCTTCACCTCTCCCTACCTCAGTTCCCTCATCTGTACAGTGAGTGGGCACACAACCCGCCTCGTAGAGTAGCGTTCGCCAGATGATGGATAGCGACCCATTCCTGGACCCTAAAATCAATTTAGTGGGCTGTTAGGCGGTTCTCACATTGCTGTAAAGAAACACCTGGGGGCGCAGTGGCTCACGCCTGTAATCCCAGTACTTCGCGAGGCTGAGGCAGGCGGATCACGAGGTCAGGAGATCGAGACCAGCCTGGGCAACACGGTGAAACCTGGTCTCTACTAAAAATACAAAAAATTAGCTGGGTACGGTGGTGGGCACCTATAGTCCCAGCTACTTAGGAGGCTGAGGCAGGAAAATTGCTTGAACCCAGGAGGCAGTGGTTGCAGTGAGCCGAGATCGTGCCACTGCACTCCAGCCTGAGTGACAGAGTGAGACCTTGTGTCACAAAAAAAAACAAAAAACAAAAAATACCTGGCCAGACATGGTGGCTCACGCCTGTAATCCTAGCACTTTGGGAGGCAAAAGTGGGTGGATCGCTTGAGGCCAGGAGTTTGAAACCAGCCTGGGCAACACAGTGAAACCCTGTCTCCACAAAAAATAGATAAATTAGCTGGGCATGTTGGCACCAGTCTCCCTCTGGCACCCGGCTGGAGTGCAGTGCCACAATCATGGCTCACTGCAGCCTCAACCTCCGAGGTCCAAGTGAGCCCCCCACCTCAGCCTCCTGAGTATCTGGGATCACAGGCACACACCAGCACACATGACTGGGTGTTTTTGTATTTTTGCAGAGACAAGAGACTCGCCATGTTGCCCAGGCTGATCTTGAACTCCTAGCTTCAAGTGATCCGCCTGTCTTGACCTCCCAAAGTGCTGGGATTATAGGCGTGAGCCACTGCGCCTGGCCAGGGATTACATTTCAACATGAGATTTGGGTGGGACATCTGAACTATATCATGGGCCAAACCATATTTCTTTCTTTCTTTTTTTTTTTTTTTTGAGACAGAGTCTCGCTCTGTCGCCCAGGCTGGAGTGCAGTGGCGCAATCTCGGCTCACTGCAACCTCTGCATCCCAGGTTCACGCCATTCTCCTGCCCCAGCCTTCCGAGTGGCTGGGACTACAGGTGCCCACCACCACACCCGGCTAATTTTTTTTTTGTATATTTAGTAGAGACAGGGTTTCACCATGTTAGGATGGTCTCGATCTCCTGACCTCGTGATCCGCCCACCTTGGCCTCCCAAAGTGCTGGGATTACAGGTGTGAGCCACTACACCCGGCCTTCTTTTTTTTAAATTTTATTTTACTTTAGTTCTGGGATACATGTGCAGAACGCGCAGGCTTGTTACATAGGGATACACGTGCCATGGTGGTTTGCTGCACCTATTGACCTGCCCTCTAAGTTCCCTCCCCTTGCCTCCCACCCCCCAACACCATATTTATTTTTAACAAAAGAAAATAGACCAGGCGCAGTGGCTCACGCCTGTAATCTCAGCACTTTGCGAGGCCAAGGTGGGCAGATCACAAGGTCAAGAGATCGAGACCATCCTGGCTAACACAGTGAAACCCCGTCTCTACTAAATATACAAAAAAAAAAAATTAGCCGGGCATGGTGGCAGGTGCCTGTAGTCTCAGCTACTCAGGAGACTGAGGCAGGAGAATGGCGTGAACCCGGGAGGCGGAGGTTGCAGTGAGCCAAGATCGCACCACTGCACTCTAGCCAGGGCGACAGAGTGAGAGTCCGTCTCAAAAAAAAAAAAAAAGAAAGGCGGTTATGCAGGATGTTTCTCACCGCCCGAACCCCCGTGGAATGATTCACTTTGACCAGCGTCTGCGAAATGGCAGGGGCTTCCACAATGGTGCGGTTTGGGCCAACACCAAGTGTTGGGGAGAATGTAGAGGAACTGGATCTCTCATTTACTGCGGGCGGGGCTCCCCTGCCCCACACGTGACCCACCTGTCCCTGCAGGTAGCCGGGCTGAGAGGCCCTGTGCTGCGCCTGCGGGAGCCGCTGGGTGTGCTGGCTGTGGTGTGTCCGGACGAGTGGCCCCTGCTTGCCTTCGTGTCCCTGCTGGCTCCCGCCCTGGCCTACGGCAACACTGTGGTCATGGTGCCCAGTGCGGCCTGTCCTCTGCTGGCCCTGGAGGTCTGCCAGGTATAGCCCCCTGCCTTCCTGCCTCTCCTCCCCGTAGCCTCAGGGCAGCAGAAAAAGGCGCCCCAAAGTCGGCAGGAGCTTGTCTCTTACCCCACCCTCCGTGGTACCCATGCTGCCCCCAGCCCCAGCACCCAAACCTTCACTCCTTGGGGACCCAGTGCCCATTCTTCACCCTAGGCCTGGGGCTTTCTCCTCCATGACCCCCCATCCCCTTCCCTCCCATGGGCACCCCCTGAATGCCCACTCCTTGCCCTGCCCCCACGGCCTCCCCAACCTTTCACTCTCTCTATCCCCTAGGACATGGCCACCGTGTTCCCAGCAGGCCTGGCCAACGTGGTGACAGGAGACCGGGACCATCTGACCCGCTGCCTGGCCTTGCACCAAGACGTCCAGGCCATGTGGTATTTCGGATCAGCCCAGGTGCTCTTTGTTCTGTTTTGCCATCTTCAGCATCTCAAACTTCAAACAGGCTCCTCCTTTTCTGGAAACACAGCCCCGCCCTCTTAGAACTCCTGTTGGTAAGGGGAGAAACTCCTTGACAAGAAGGTTTTGAGGCCCCGCCCTTAGGACTCAAGTTACTAAGGAAGAGGCTGTCCTTAGCAACAGGGGCCTGAGAGCTGCCTAGCCCAAAGACCTCGTCTCAGGGGACAGCCCGTTGCTAAGGACCACACCCTAGATTTGGAGGCCCACAGTCTACGCTTTGTTTTTCTATTTTGAGACAGAACCTCACCCTGTCACCCAGATGCAATCATACCTCACTGCAGCCGCAACCTCCCAGGCTCAAGCCACCGTCCCACCTCAGCTTCCTGAGTAGCTGGGACCACAGGCGTGCACCACCATGCCCAGCTAATTTTTTTCTTTTGCAGAGACTGGGGTTTCTCTATGTTGGCCAGGCTGATCTTGAACTCCTGGGCTCAAGTGATCTGCCCGCCTCGGCCTCTCAAAGTGCTGGGATTACAGGTGTGAGCCAGCACAACTGGTTGAGTCTACTGTTTTTTTTTTTATTTTATTTTATTTTATTTTATTTTTTTTGAGACAGAGTCTCACTCTGTCGCCCAGGCTGGAATACAGTGGCACGATCTTGGCTCACTGCAACCTCTGCCTCCCGGGTTCAAGTGATTCTCCTGCCTCCCAAGTAGCTGAGACTACAGGCACTCACCGCCATGCCCAGCTAATTGTTGGGGGTTTTTTTTTAGTAGAGATGGGGTTTCGCCATATTGGCCAGGCTGGTCTCGAACTCCTGACCTCGCGTGATCTGCCTGCCTCAGCCTCCCAAAATGCTGAGATTACAGGCGTGAGCCACTGTGCCCAACCAATTTTTACTTTTTAAATGGAGACGGGGTCTCGCCATATTGTCCAGGCTGGTCTCAAACTCCTGAACTCAAGCGATCCTCCCGCCTCAGCCACCCCAAGTGCTGGGATTACAGGAGCGAGTCACCGCGCCCCACCGTCCACTCTCTTAAACCTCCTGTTGGTAACAGATGTGAACTTGTTGACAAGAGCCTTGGGGCCCATTCCTTTCAACATGGGCTGTTAAGGGAGAGGAAATTCCCTAACCACTGGGTCCAGTGCTTTTCCCTACCATCTGGAAGTTCTGCTTGGGAGGAGCTGGGCATTGTAGCTGCAGAGCCTGGGTCCAGCCTGAAGCCCCTCGTCAGTAACAGTCTTCATCGCGGAGGAAGCAGGTGCTCAGCAACAAGCCTGCAGAAGTGCTTACCCCCGTCTCTTCCTCCCCTCAGGGTTCCCAGTTTGTCGAGTGGGCCTCGGCAGGAAACCTCAAACCGGTGTGGGCGAGCAGGGGCTGCCCGCGGGCCTGGGACCAGGAGGCCGAGGGGGCAGGCCCAGAGCTGGGGCTGCGAGTGGCGCGGACCAAGGCCCTGTGGCTGCCTATGGGGGACTGATGCCTGAGCGCCACCTACTGCATTTTGGACACCTCACACCAAGGGGAGATGCACCCCACAGACACCTGGGACTTTCCCCTTCTGGTTCCTGTGTCTCCCAATAAACTCTCTGACCAACCCTAGCTGTGCTTCTGCGAGAAGAAAGGGTGTAGCAACTTCTGGCAGATATGAGGCTTTTTTCTTTTTTTTTTTTTTTTTTGAGACAACGTCTGGCTCTGTCACCCAGGCTGGAGCGCAGTGGCACAATCTCGGCCCACTGCAGCCTCGACCTCTGGGGCTCAAGGGATCCTCATGCCTCAGCCTCATATGTAGCTGGGGCCACAGACATGCACCACCACACCTGGCTCGAGGCCATTTTAGTTCTGAGGTTGAGCAGCTCAGGAGCCGGCTCCAGCACGGTGCTGTGTTTGTGAAACAGAGAAAGGGGACCCCCGAGGACCCCAGACAGGGCCTTAGGACTCTCATATCTTCTTGTCTTCTCCATCTGGTGGCTCTTGCTCTCTGGTTTTCTCTACCTTTTCATGGCCCCAGAATCCATATGCAGTAAAGGAACTCTCTGGAATAAAATTAAAGTCCTCCTATATGACTTTTGTCAATTTCCATGATGTAAATGCTCCCACCGTGCCGGATTTCAAGGTACAGGTGATTAAACAACTGCCTGCGAGATCCTGAATTGTTAACAGGTCAGCTCCCATGAGCCAATACGAGCCGCTTCAGCACACCACTGCCTTAGGATTCTGGTTGTGGGTGGGTTTTTTTGGTTTGTTTTTTGTTTTTTCGAGACAGAGTCTCTCTGTCGGCCAGGCTGGAGTGCAGCGGGGTGATCTCGGCTCACTGCAACCTCCGCCTCCCAGGTTCGAGCGATTCTCCTGCCTCGGCCTCCAGAGTAGCTAGAATTACAGGCTCGCGCCACCACACCCAGATAATTTTTTGTATTTTTAGTACAGACGGGGTTTCACCATCTTGGCCTGGCTGGTTTCAAACTCCTGACCTCAAGCGGTCCGCCTGTCTTGGTCTCCCCAAAGTGCTAAGATTACAGACTTAAGCCACTGCGCACGACTGTTGATTTTTAAATAAAGGATCTTGCTCTGTTTTTTAGGCTGTAATACAGTGGCGCAGTCACAGCTTACTGAACCCACCCTCGACCTGGGCTCAATCCTCCCACCTCGGCCGGGCGTGGTGGCTCACGCCTATAATCCCAGCACTTTGGGAGGCCGAGGCAGGTGGATCATGAGGTCAGGAGATCAAGACCATCCTGGCTAACACGGTGAAACCCCGTCTCTACTAAAAATACAAAAAAATTAGCTGGGCATGGTGGCGGGCGCCTGTAGTCCCAGCTACTTGGGAGGCTGAGGCAGAAGAATGGCGTGAACCCGGGAGGTGGAGCTTGCAGTGAGCCGAGATCGAGCCACTGCACTCCAGCCTGGGCGAAAGAGTGAGACTCCGTCTCAAAAAAAAAAAAAAAAAATCCTCCCACCTCAGCCTCCTGAGCAGCTGGGACCACAGGCACGCACCACCATGCCTGGCTAATTTTTTTTTTTTTAATAGGCAGAGTCTACCTACGTTGCTCAGGCTGGTCTTGAACTCCTGGCCTCAAGCGATCCTCTCGCCTCAGCCTTTCAAAGTGTGGGACTGCAGGCATCAGCCACCACACCTGAAGTAGAATTCTTTTTGATGTAAGAAACCCACTCTTACTAGTTTAGGATAAAAGGGAGTTTTCAGAGGCCAGGCTCGGTGACTCAGGCCTGTAATCCCAACACTTTGGGAGGCCGAAGTAGGCGGATCACCTGAGGTCAGGAGTTTGAGAGCAGCCTGGCCAACACAGTGAAACCCTGTCTGTACTAAAAATACAAAAATTAGCTGGGTGTGGTGGCGGGCACCTGTAATCCCAATTACTCAGGAGGCTGAGGCAGAAGAATCACTCGAACCCAGGAGGCAGAGGTTGCAGTGAGCTGAGAGCACACACTTCACTCTAGTCTGGGCAACAGAGCAAGGCTCCATCTCAAAGAAAAAAAAAATGAGAGTTTTCCGGACTAGGTGTGGCAGTTCACACCTGTAATCCCAGCACTTTGGGAGGCCGAGGTGGGTGGATCACTTGTCAGAAGTTTGAGACCAGCCTGGGCACCATGGTGAAATCCCGTCTCTACTAAAATTATAAAAATTAGCCAGGCGTGGTGGCGGCACCTGAAATCCCAGCTATCTGGGAGGCAGGAGAATTGCTTGAACCTGGGAGGCAGAGGGGGAGCTTGCAGTGAGCCAAGATCGTGCCACTGCACTCCAGCCTGGGCAACACAGCGAGACTCGGTCTCAAAAAAAAAAGAGAGAGAGAGAGGAGTCTTCTGGAAGGCTACAGAGATTCCCTAGAGGCAATAGGGCGATAGGGCAGGACACACATTGAGGGGCCCCAGGACTTGGTCAGGAAGGAGCTAGAGCAGGTCCTTTGTCCATGGGCCACATGAGCTATTGGGGCTTGTATCTCTGCCTCTCTGCTTCATTTAAATCTTTCTAGCCAGATGGAAGGTCTGACCATTGGGTGCGACAAGGCAGCTAACCCAGGCTGAACAGGAAGTGAGGCAGGCAGAGGGATCAGGGAAGGGAAATGGATGATGAAGGCCAGGACGGGCGAGGCTTTGCTGCAGTAACACATAACCCCCGAATCTGCGTGGGCCACAACCACAACATTAGTTTGTTGCTTACACTCCCTGTGCTCATCCGGGGCTGGCAGGATCCCTGTGCTCCTCCGAGTGGCACAGGAAACTTGGCTGATAGAGGCGCTCTCTCCATGCATCCTCCACCATCCACTCCCCGGTCCCTTAGACTTCCATTCAGAAGTGACACCTGTCACCTCCACCCTCATGTGACTGGCCAAAGTGAGTGTGGCCATGTCCGAGTTCCCCAGGATGGGACCTCGAATCCTCCTGCTGGGGGGGTGGGGGCAGCAGATGTTTCAGGACAGTCTGCCACGGATCAGATGGGTGAGCAAGAGATTCAGGATGGGCGTGATGGGTCACACCTGTAATCCCAGCATTTTGGGAGGCCGAGGCAGGCTGATCACCTGAGGTCAGGAGTTCGAGATCAGCCTGGCCAACATAGTGAAACCTCGTCTCTACTAAAAATACAAAAATTAGCCGGGCATGGTGGCACGCACCTGCAATTCCAGCTACTTGGGAGCCTGAGGCACAAGAATTGCTTAAGCCCAGGAGGCGGAGGTTGCCGTGAGCCGAGACTGTGCCACTGCACTCCAGCCTGGGCAACAGAGTGAGACCCCATCTAAAAAAAAAAAATGCTTCAGAGATTCAGAGATCCACAGATGTGGAAGAGAGCTTCTATTTTGTCTCATGTACCACCTCACCCCTCAGTTTGGAGTTGGAGAAGCCGAGGCTTAGAGAGGTCAAGGGGCTGGCCAAGCTCCCACAGTGATAAAGCTAGTGCTAGGGCGACACCTGCCAGGCCCAATGTGACAAGATGCATCCTGAGTCCTGTGTGCCAAGCCTTGGCGGGGCAAAGTTGGGGCCCGGAGGACGGTAAGACACAGCAACTGCGAGTTCCCAGAGACAGATCCGGGTTCCAGCCCCAGCTCACCATGCACTGGGCGTGCCACCCAGGGAGTCAGCCCCACTGCAGCCCCCGCTGCGGGGCGTCCGGAGAACGCGCCATCTGCGGCGTGAGCGGCCGCCTCTCACCACCAGGGGGCGCGCTCCGCCTGGGCCCAGATTCCACCCCTTGACTGTCTCCCCCCAAAAATTTCCTTTCACTTTCGGTCTCTGGCTGTCACCCGGCTTGGCCCCTTCCACACCCAACTGGGGCAAGCCTGGTGCGTGAGGAGACTTGGACTCTAGGTCCCCAAGGGGCGGAGCCAGGGTCCCCACTCCTGGGGCAGGGGGAGCAGAGGGTGGGGGGCTGGGTTCCCGGGTCCCTAACCTGGGGAGGGTTCTGGGGACCAGACGTCGAGGTTCTTAGAAGTGGAGATGAAGAGTTTTCACCGTAACTGGGGCAGACGCAGGAAGCCTGGGGGAGGAAGGGGCGGAAACTCAGCCACATCAATGGGACGCGGGAGGGGCGGGGAGGCAAAGGGGCGGGCAGGGCAGGGGCTGGGGCATGAGGGTCCGAGACTTGTTCTTCTGTCCCTTCCAAGACCCGGCGACAGGAGGCATGAGGGGCCCCCGGCCGAAATGACAGTGCTGGCGCCAGCCTGGAGCCCAACAGTGCGTAAACCCCAGGGACAAGATCAGGGGAGAGGGGAGGCACAATGTCAGGATGGGGCAGAGATGAGGGGAGATGGACGGGAGAACAGATGGACAGATGACGAGGAAATAGGAGGGGAGATGGACAGATGTGAGGGGAGATGGATAGGAGAGGAGACGGACAGAGGAGGGGGAGATGGACAGAGGATGGGGAGATGGACAGAGGAGGGGGAGATAGAGGAGAGGGAGATAGAGAGGAGTGGGAGATGGACAGGAGCGGGGAGATGGACAGAGGAGGGGGAGATGGACAGAGGAGAGGGCAGATGAACAGAGGAGAGGGAGATAAAGAGGAGGGAGGTGGACAGGAGGAGGGAGATGGACAGAGAAGGGGGAGATGGACAGAGGTGGGGGAGATGGACAGGAGGGAAGATGGAGAGGAGGGGGTATGGACAGAGGAGAGGGGAGATGGACAGGAGGGGGAGATGGACAGAGGAGAGGGAGATGAAGAGGAGGGGGAGGTGGACAGGAGGAGGGAGACGGACAGAGGAGAGGAAGAGAGACAGAGGAGGGGGGAGATGGACAGAGGAGGGGGAGATGGACAGAAAAGGGGGGAGATGGACAGAGGAGAGGGAAGGTGGACAGAGCCAAGAACAAATGAAGAGGACGTGGACCAAGATCAAGAGAGAAGCAGGCAACAGTGGTGTAGAAGGCAGAGGGAGGGACAGAGCTGGAGGAACCCGGGCGAGGAAACCAGACGTGAAGATGAGGTGGTTGGAGAGAGACCAGCAGAGTGGGGGAGATGGGGAGAGAGAGGGGTGGGGCAGAGGGGGATGCAAACTGGACAGCATTGGACCAGAGGCAGAGAGAAACCGGGAAAGACAGGCAGAGATGGGGCCATGTCTCCAGAAAGTGTGGAAGAGGCAGAAGGACACCCAGGGAAGGAGGAGCGGGGAAGACAGAACAGTACAGGTGGGAAGCCCGGAGGAGGGGGCTGTGTGTGGAACAGCAGAGGGCTCCCCCAGCACCCGCTCCCCTGCAGACCTATCTCCTCCTGCTGCTGCTGCTGAGCTCGGGACTCAGTGGGACCCAGGACTGCTCCTTCCAACACAGCCCCATCTCCTCCGACTTCGCTGTCAAAATCCGTGAGCTGGTGAGCGGCGCTGCCCCGGACCCCCTCATGTGATCCCCCTTCCCCCCACTTTTTTTTTTAAGTAGAGATGGGGTCTCTCTCCCTGTGTTTCCCAGGGTGGTCTTGAACTCCTGGGCTCAAGCGATCCTCCCACCTTGGCCTCCCAAAGTGCTGGAATTACAGGCGTGAGCCACTGTGCTTAGGGGTGTCATCCCTTTTTAAGGGCAAGGTTCTGTGGCTTCTTCTGGGCTCCCCCTCTCTTGGTCTTGTCCCTCTCTCTCTGGATCTCTGCTGCCACCTCTGGGTCCCCACAGTTCTGTTTCTCGCTGTTTTCAGCCAGGCCTGATCCTGTTTTCTCCCGCAGTCTGACTACCTGCTTCAAGATTACCCAGTCACCGTGGCCTCCAACCTGCAGGACGTAAGTCATGTTGGGAGGGACCTGGGATGGAGGTGGGGACCACAGACTCAAGATGCTCCACCGAGGCGAGTGGATAACCAGGCCCTCCCCTCCCCAAACCCAGGAATCAGAGTCCTCAGCCCCTCCTCCCTCAGACCCAGGAGCCCCGGCCCAGCCCCTCCTCCCTCAGACCCAGCAGCCCCGTGCCCAGCTCCTCCCTCAGACCCGTGGGTTCTCCCCTCTAGGAGGAGCTCTGCGGGGGCCTCTGGCGGCTGGTCCTGGCACAGCGCTGGATGGAGCGGCTCAAGACTGTCGCTGGGTCCAAGATGCAAGGCTTGCTGGAGCGCGTGAACACGGAGATACACTTTGTCACCAAATGTGCCTTTCAGGTCAGCCCTCAACTTAGGGGACAAGTGAGGGGAGGGAGATGCCTTCCTACGAATTAGAAGTAAAGCTCCACTAGGCCTTATTGGCGATTTGGACCATAGCCACCCAACGAAGGTAGAGCGAGAAGCGCCACCCTGCAGAGCCCTGTTCCTACAGAACAACACGTCCCCAGGCACCGGTGATGGGGAGCAGTCTGGTCCCATTCTGGGGCCCCGGTTTCCTAGGCCATGATGAAGGGTGCCACTGAGGGGTTCTTCCCCCAAAAAAAAACAGGGAGAGAAGGGGTCTCTAAACTGAGGAGGCCGGGCGTGGTGGCTCACTCCTGTAATCCTAGCACTTTGGGAGGCTGAGGTGGGCGGATCACTTGAGGTCAGGAGTTTGAGACCAGCCTGGCCAACATGATGAAATCCCGGCTGTACTAAAAATACAAAAATTAGCCGGGCATGGTGGCTCAGGAGGCTGAGGCACAGGAATCGCTTGAACCCGGGAGCCAGAGGCTGCAGTGAGCCGAGATCATGCCACTGCACTCCAGCCTGGGAGACAGAGTGAAACTGTCTCAAAAACAAAACAAACAAACAAAAACCTCTCTCTGAGGGCTGGGTGCAGTGGCTCACACCTGTAATCCCAGCACTTTCGGAGGCCAAGGTGGGAGGATTATTTGAGCCCAGGAGTTCAAGACCAGCCCGGGTAACACAGTGAAACCTCATCTCTGCACAAAAATAAAAATAAATTAGCCAGGCATGGTGGTGCCCACCTGTGGTCCCAGCTACTCAGAAGGCTGAGGTGGGAGGATCACTTGAGCCCTGGAGGTCGAGGCTGCGATGAGCTATGATTGGGCCACTGCACTCCAGCTTGAGCGACAGAGCAAGACCCTGTCTCAAAACATAGAATAGGCCGTGTATGGTGGCTCACGACTGTAATCCCAGCACTTTGGGAGGCTGAGGCGGGTGGATTGCCTGAGCTCAGGAGTTCGAGACCAGCCTCGGCAACGTGATGAAAACCATCTCTACTAAAATACAAAAACAAAATTAGCCAGGCATGGTGGTGGGCACCTGTAGTCCCAGCTACTTGGGAGACTGAGGCAGGAGAATTGCTTGAACCCAGGAGGCAGAGGTTGCAGTGAGCCGAGATCACACCACTGCCCTCCAGCCTGGGCGACAGAGCAAGACTCCATCTCCAAAAAAATAAAAATAAAATAAAAGCCTGGGTACAGTGGCTCACGCCTGTAATCCCAGCACTTTGGGAGCCCGAGGCGGGCAGATCACGAGGTCAGGAGTTTGAGACCACCCTGGCCAATGTGGTGAAACCCCGTCTCTACTAAAAATACAAAAATTAGCTGGGCATGGTGGCGCGCGCCTGTAGTCCCAGCTACTCAGGAGGCTGAGGCAGAATTCCTTGAACCCGGGAGGTAGAAGTTGCAGTAAGCCGAGATCGTGCCACTGTACTCCAGCCAGGGTGACAGAGCAAGACTCTGTCCCCAAAAAATAAATAAATAATAAAGTAACTTTGGGAGGCCGAGGCGGGCGAGTCACCTGAGGTCAGGAGTTCGAGACCAGCCTGGCCAACATAGAGAAACCCCGTTTCTACTAAAAAATATAAATAAATAAATAAATAAATAAATAGGCTGGGCACGGTGGCTCACGCCTGTAATCCCACACTTTGGGAGGCCGAGGCGGGCGGATCACAAGGTCAGGAGATCAAGACCATCCTGGCTAACACAATGAAACCCCATCTCTACTAAAAATACAAACAATTAGCCGGGCGTGGTGGCAGGCGCCTGTAGTCCCAACTACCTGGGAGGCTGAGGCAGGTGAATGGCGTGAAACCAGGAGGCGGAGCTTGCAGTGAGCCGAGATTGCGCCACTGTACTCCAGCCTGGGCAACAGAGCGAGACTCTGTCTTAAAAATAAATAAATAAATAAATATGGCCAAGCACGGTGGCTCATGCCTACAATCCCAGCACTTTGGGAGGCCAAGGTGGGCAGATCACCTGAGGTCAGGAGTTCGAGACCAGCCTGGCCAACATGGAGAAACCCCGTCTCTACTACAAATACAAAAAATAGCTGGGCATGGTGGTGGGCACCTATAGTCCCAACCACTGAGGAGGCTGAGGCAGGAGAATCACTTGAACCTGGGAGGCAGAGGTTGCATTTCACCACTCCAGCCTGGGCAACAGAGTGAGACTCTATCTCAAAAAAAAATTAATTAATTAAATAAATAAACTCTGAGAGCCAGAGCTCACTGGGCCCTGTTGCTGGGCATCGCCAGCAGGGAAGGGCCTTTGGCCTGCGGAGGGGCGGTGGGGGGATGACGTGGTGGTGACGTCTCCCTCCCCTGCTCCCAGCCCCCCCCCAGCTGTCTTCGCTTCGTCCAGACCAACATCTCCCGCCTCCTGCAGGAGACCTCCGAGCAGCTGGTGGCGCTGAAGCCCTGGATCACTCGCCAGAACTTCTCCCGGTGCCTGGAGCTGCAGTGTCAGCCCGGTAAAGGCTTCCAGGCACCCCCACTCCTTCCCCTCCTGTCCTCACGGCCGCTCCTCCTCTCTGCACAGTGCATCCCAGACCCCATCTTTCTCATATTGGTTGTGACAAGGGCAAGCTTATTCCTCTTTCTGGAGCTCAGTTTACCAATTTTTTTTTTTTTTTTTTGAGACGGAGTCTCGCACTGTCGCCCAGGCTGGAGTGCAGTGGCGTGATCTTGGCTCACTGCAAGCTCCGCCTCTCGGGTTCATGCCATTCTCCTGCCTCAGCCTCCCAAGTAGCTGGGACCACAGGCGCCCGCCACCACACCCGGCTAATTTTTTGTATTTTTAGTAGAGACGGGGTTTTACCGAGTTAAACCAGGATGGTCTCGATCTCCTGACCTTGTGATCCACCTGCCTTGGCCTCCCAAAGTGCTGGGATTACAGGCGTGAGCCACAGTGCCCAGCCTACCTTTTTTTTTTTTTTTTTTTTTGAGATGGAGTCTTGCTCTGTCCCCCAGGCTGGAGTGCAGGGGTGCTATCTCGGCTCACTGCAAGCTCTGCCTCCTGGGTTCACGCCATTCTCTTGCCTCAGCCTCCCCAGCAGCTGGGACTACAGGCGCCTGCCACCTCACGCGGCTAATTTTTTTTTTTGTATTTTTAGTAGAGACGGTGTTTCACCGTGTCAGCCAGGATGGTCTCGATCTCCTGACCTCGTGATCTGCCCGCCTCGGCCTCCCAAAGTGCTAGGATTACAGATGTGAGCCACCGCGCCCAGCCTATTGTTTTTTTTTTCTAAGTCGGAGTCTTGCTCTGTCGCCCAGGCTGGAGTGCAGTGGCGCAATCTTGGCTCACTGCAACCTCCATCTCCAGGGTTCAAGCGAATCTTCTGCCTCAGCCTTCCGAGTACCTGGGATTACAGATGCGCATACCATGCCTGGCTAGTTTTTGTGTTTTTAGTAGAGATGGGTTTTCACCATGTTGGCCAGGCTGGTCTTGAACTCCTGACCTCAAGTGATCCACCCACCTTGGCCTCCCAAAGTGCTGGGATTATAGGCGTGAGCCACCGCGCTCAGCCTATTCACTCATTTAATTTGTGACAGTCTGATGAGGTAGGTACAATGATTATCCTAGTTTTACAGATGAGCAAACTGAGGCACAGAGAGGCCAAGCAGCCCATCCAAGGTCACACAGCCAGTGGCAGCCAGGCCTCTCTTTCCTTCCTTACCCCAGCCCTTCTCCTTGGTCACCCAGCCTCCTCTTTCTCCCCAGACTCCTCAACCCTGCCACCCCCATGGAGTCCCCGGCCCCTGGAGGCCACAGCCCCGACAGCCCCGCAGCCCCCTCTGCTCCTCCTACTGCTGCTGCCCGTGGGCCTCCTGCTGCTGGCCGCTGCCTGGTGCCTGCACTGGCAGAGGACGCGGCGGAGGACACCCCGCCCTGGGGAGCAGGTGAGCAGGCTGGGAAGAGGGGGTGAGGGGGCCGAGAGGGTGGCCCACTTGTGGCTGACACTTTGGGGCCCACAGGTGCCCCCCGTCCCCAGTCCCCAGGACCTGCTGCTTGTGGAGCACTGACCTGGCCAAGGCCTCATCCTGGTGAGTCCTTCCTGGGCTATGGGGCCTGGACTTTGTGTCTGCAGGTTGGGAGGGTCACTAGGAGGCCATGGAAGGGTGGTGAGCAGTGGAGGGGCAGGGGCAGCTCTAGGTGCAGAAAGACCCCTCTGGGGCCAGGCGCGGTGGCTCACGCCTGTAATCCCAGCACTTTGGGAGGCCGAGGCGGGTGGATCACTTGAGGTCAGGAGTTCAAGACCAGCCTGGCCAACATGGCAAACCCCAGTCTCTACTAAAAATACAAAAATTAACTGGGCATAGTGGTGTGTGCCTGTAATCCCAGCTACTCAGGAGGCTGAGGAAGGAGAATTGCTTGAACCCAGGAGGCGGAGGTTGCAGTGAGCCGAGATTGCGCCACTGGACTCCAGCCTGAGTGACAGAGCTAGACTCCGTCTCAAAAAAAAAAAAAAAAAAGAAAAGGAAAGACCCCTCTGGGGCCACGGAGACAGACTGGAGACCAAGCCGGAGGCTGTGGGAAGGCCCAGGGTGAGGACCATGACTGAGCCAGGGCTGGGACCATGGGATGGAGTGGAGTGGATGGGCAGAGAGTCAGGGGTCAGAGATCAGGAGGGACCGGCCTGGGGCCTGACAGGCTTGAGTTGGCACAGATAGCCCTGGTCCAGTGATGGGGTGGACAGGGGGGAACCTGGGGGAGGAGTCAGATTAGGGAAAGACATGGAGCTCACTGGGGACCTGAAGGAGCAAGGGGCCCTGGGGAGATCTGTGGATGTGGGAGTTTGCAAGCCTCCTGGGACAGGAAGGAAATGGCATTCCAGAAAGAGGGAACTGCCTTTGGAAGCCCTTTGGTATGAGAAAGCTCAGGGTGTTCCAGTAACTTGGGCCAGCGTGGGGCAGCAAGGAGCCATGGGAGGTGTGAGAGGGAGGAAAGGAGCTGGGAACAGGTGTGGAGGGTGCAGGCAGGTAGGCAGGTGGGCCAGGAGGGAAGAAGGAGGGGAGGCCCCAGCGGGTCCCCTAACATTTCAAATCTAACATTTTGTAGTAATTGCTCGCACATATAGTGCCTTGGTAATGCAGGCCTCATGTGGGGCTGGCTTGCTTGCTTTATTTTTTTTTGAGATGGACTCTCACTCTGTCACCCAGGCTGGAGTGCAGTGGCGGGATCTTGGCTCACTGCAACCTCCACCTCCCAGGTTCAAGCAATTCTCCTGCCTCAGCCTCCCAAGTAGCTGGGATTACAGGCGCCCGCCACCATGCCTGGCTAATTTTTTGTATTTTTAGTAGAGATGGGGTTTCGCCATGTTGGCCAGGCTGGTCTCAAACTCCTGATCTCAGCTGATCCGCCCGCCTCAGCCTCCCAAAGTGCTGGGATGACAGGTGTGAGCCACTGTTCCTGGCCCATGCTGGGCTTTCCACAAATGAACTCACTTCCTTGAGAAGTTCGTGCCATTATGATCCCAAGGCATAGAGAGGTAAATAATTTGCCAAAAGTCACACAGCTCAAGGGTGACAACCAAGATTTGACTTCAGGTTGTCTTTTTTTTTTTTTTGAGATGGAGTCTTGCTCTGTCGCCCAGGCTGTAGTGCAGTGGCATGATCTCGGCTCACTGCAGCCCCCGCCTCCCAGGTTCAAGTGATTCTCCTGCCTCAGCCTCTGGAGTAGCTGGGATTACAGGTACCCACCACCACACTCGGCTAATTTTTGTATTTGTAGTAGAGACGGGGTTTCACCATGTTGGCCAGGCTGGTCTCGAACTCCTGACCTTAGCTGATCCGCCCGCCTCAGCCTCCCAAAGTGCTGGGATTACAGGCATGAGCCACCACGCCCGGCCTCGAGTTTGTCTTGATCCAGCATCTGTGCCCTTCACTCTGCTGCCTCAGTTTCCTGATCTGTACAAAAGGCTCTAATAATAGTCCTTCCACCATAGGGTTGTTATGGGGTGAAGTGAAGTGACACAGGCAAGGCTCTTAGAGCAACGCAGTGGAAACGGCATGTGAGCCACCTGTGCGATTTTCACTTTCCTGGTAGCCACATTTTTTTTTTTTTTTTCCTGAGATGGAGTCTCACTCTGTCGCCAGGTTGAAGTGCAGTGGTGTGATCTCAGCTCACTGCAACCTCCACCTCCCGGGTTCAAGCGATTCTCCTGCTTCAGTCTACCGAGTAGCTGGGATTACAGGCACGCGCCATCACGCCCGGCTAATTTTTTGTGTTTTTAGTAGAGACAAGGTTTCACCATGTTGGTCAGGCTGGTCTCGAACTCCTGACCTCATGATCCACCCGCCTCAGCCTCCCAAAGTGCTGGGATTACAGGCGTGAGCCACCGCGCCCGGGGTCACAGTTTTTAAAAAAGGAAAAAGAAGCAGGTAACTTTATTTTATGCAGTATATCCAAAATGTTGTTATTTCAACATGTAATCAGTATTTCTCAATGATTAATGAGACATTAATCAGTTGGAATCATTCATCATTTTGGGATATTTTACATTCTTTTGTCATACTAAGCCTTCAGCATCCAACGTATAGTTTATTTATTTATTTATTTTTCCTTTTGAGATGGATTCTCGCTCTGTCACCCAGGCTGGAGTGCAGTGGCGCGATCTCAGCTCACTGCAACCTCGGACTCCCTGGTTCAGGCGATTCTCCTGCCTCAGCCTCCCGAGTACCTGGGATTACGCCACCACACCCAGCTAATTTTTGTACTTTTAGTAGAGACCGGGTTTCACCATGTTGGCCAGGATGATCTCCATCCCCTGACCTCGTGATCCGCCCGCCTCAGCCTCCCAAAGTGCTGGATTACAAGTGTAAGCCACCGCGCCCAGCCCAGACAATAAATTTTTATCAGAAATGCTTCATCTATATTTAAATTTCATGAAATTTACAGTTGCCAAAAGTAGACTCACATAGTCAAGTTGTTCAAAACATACATTAAACCAGCCTGGGCCACATGGTGAAACCCCATCTCTACAAAAAATTTTAAAAAGTAGCTGGGTGTGGTGGCACATGCCTGCAGTCCCAGCTACTTAGGAGGCAAAGTAGGAGGATTGCTTGAGCCCAGGAGGTCGAGGCTGCAGTGAGCCCTGATTGTGCCACTGCACTCCAGCCTGGGTGAGAGAGCAAGACCCTGTCTCAAAAACAAAAAAACCACACAGAAGAGTTTAGAATCCCAGTTGCTATCTCTGGGAATCATCATGATTGCTAAGACCGGTATCTATCCAACAACAACAAAAATAATTAGTGCACTCCAGCCTGGGCAATAGAGGGAGACTCTGTCTCAAAAAAAAAAAAAAAAAAAAAAAAAAGATCAAAGACCAGTATCTAAATTGCTCTGTCGCCCAGGGTGGAGTGCAGTGGCACGATCTCGGCTCACTGCAACCTCCGCCTCCCGGGTTCAAGTGATTCTCCTGCCTCAGCCTCCCCAGTAGCTTGGACTACAGGCGCGTGCCACCACACCCAGCTAATTTTTGTATTTTTAGTAGAGGTAGGGTTTCACTATGTTTGCCAGGATTGTCTCGATCTCTTGACCTCGTGATCTGCCCGCCTCAGCCTCCCAAAGTGCTGGGATTATAGGCGTGAGCCACCACGCCCAGCCTATCTTTTTTTTTTTTTTTAAGAAAAGGTAATACATTGAGCAGTTTTCCTCCCAACCTAGTCCCTGTCCAATCTGTTTCCTGTCTTAAATTTATTTTTTATTATAATTTTTTTTTTTTTTTTTTTTTGTGAGACAGACTTTTGCTCTTGTTAGCCAGGCTGGAGTGCAGTGGTGCTATCTTGACTCACGGCAACCTCCACCTCCCAGGTTCAAGCGATTCTCCTGCCTCAGCCTCTGGAGTAGCTTGGATTACAAGCGCCTGCCACCACGCCCAACTAATTTAGTGTATTTTTAGTAGAGACGGGGTTTCTTTTGTTGTTGTTGTTGTTTTTGAGACGGAGTCTCACTCTATTGCCCAGGCTGGAGTGCAACGGCACGATCTCGGCTCACTGCAACATCTGCCTCCCGGGTTCAAGCGATTCTACTGCCTCAGCCTCCTGAGTAGCTGGGATTACAGGCACACACCACCACACCTGGCTAATTTTTGTATTTTTAGTAGAGATGGGGTTTCACCATATTGGCCAGGCTGATCTCGAACTCCTGACCTCGTGATCTGCCCGCCTTGACCTCCCAAAGTGATAGGATTACAGCCATGAGCCGCCCTGCCCAACTAATACCTGATATTAATTTTATTGTATCTCACCCAGCATGGTGGCTCACACCTGTAACTCCTTGGCAGATCGCTTGAGCCTAAGAGTTCAAGACCAGCTTGGGCAACATGGTGAAACCCCGTCTCTACTAAAAATATAAAAATGAGCTGGGCATGGTGGCGTGCACCCGTAATCCCAGCTAACTCAGGAGGCTGAGGCAGGAAGAATGGCTTGAACCCGGGAGGCAGAGGCTGCAGTGAGCTGAGATCATGCCACTGCATTCCAGCCTGAAACAGAGCAAGACTGTCTCAAAAGAAGTTTAAGTCCAGCCTCAAACTCCTGGACTCAAGTGATCCTCCTGCCTCAGCCTCCTGAGTAGTGCACCGGCCCCATCTCAAGTGTTCAGTATTCACATGTGGCTTGTTACTCCCGTATTAAAGAGCAAAAATAGAGAACGTTTCTTTTTCTTTTTTTTCTTTTTTTTTTTTTTTTTGAGATGGGAGTTTCGCTCTTGTCGCCCAGGCTGGAGTGCAATGGCACGATCTTGGCTCACCGCAACCTCTGCCTCCCAGGTTCAAGCGATTCTCCTGCCTCAGCCTCCCAAGTAGCTGGGATTACAGACATGCACCACCATGCCTAGCAAATTTTGTTTTTGTTTTTGTTTTTTTCTTTTGAGACAGACTTTTGCTTTTATTGCCAAGGCTGGAGTGCAATGGTGCAATCTCGACTCACTGCAACCTCCGCCTCCCGGGTTCAAGCAATTCTCCTGCCTCAGCTAATTTTGTAGTTTTAGTAGAAACGGTTTCTCCATGTTAGCTAGGCTGGTCTCAAACTCCCAACCTCAGGTGATCCGCCCGCCTCGACCTCCTAAAGTGCTGGAATTACAGGCGTGAGCCACTGTGCCTGGCCCTAATTTTGTATTTTTAGTAGAGATGGGGTTTCTCCCTGTTGGTCAGGCTGGTCTCAAACTCCCAACCTAAGGTGATCCACCAGCCTCAGCCTCCCAAACTGCTGGGATTATAGGCATGAGCCACCGCGCCCGGGGAAATATAGGGAACATTTCTATCATGGCCACGTTCTCTTGGACAGCAATGCCCTAGCACATAGTAAGCGCTTGCTGGGAATGGAGTTGTTTTGGGCATAAATCTGTGGCCCGCCCCAAGCTAAGCTACTTTCCCTCTCCTCTCTCAGCGGAGCCTTAAACAACGCAGTGAGACAGACATCTATCATCCCATTTTACAGGGGAGGATACTGAGGCACACAGAGGGGAGTCACCAGCCAGAGGATGCATAGCCTGGACACAGAGGAAGTTGGCTAGAGGCCGGTCCCTTCCTTGGGCCCCTCTCATTCCCTCCCCAGAATGGAGGCAACGCCAGAATCCAGCACCGGCCCCATTTACCCAACTCTGTACAAAGCCCTTGTCCCCATGAAATTGTATATAAATCATCCTTTTCTACCAGCTCTGGCCAGGTCTGTCTATGGATGGGTGTGAATGGGGTAGTTTTGATTTCAGAATCTTGGTTTTTGAATTGCAATGCAATGTTTCATTCAATACGTGTTTTCTGAGGTCCCCTGGAGCCCCGGGCCGGCGCTGGGCAATGTCAGAGCCTGGATTTGAGTCAGAACCAGCCCAGGTGCCCCAGGTCTCCTTGGCTATGGACGAGAAGACAAGGGATTCAGCGAGCCTGGGTGCAGGATGCCATAGGCTACTATGGAGATAAAACAGAGGCAGTGTGAGGGGCAACTCACCCAGGCAGGGAGAGCAGAGAGGCTTTCCAGAGCCAAATGGCATTGCGATGGTGACAAGCCAGATTTGGAGGGGGTGGGGAGGGCATCCTGGGCAAGGGACCCAGCTGAAGCAAAGGCCGACAGTCCAGAAAGTGAGAAGTTCCTCTGAGGAACGCTCAGTGGATTGGTGCAGCCAGGCAACTAGAAGCCATTCCTTGATCCACTCTTAGAGCCCCTGGGGAAGACCACCTCCATCTGTTTTACAGATGGATAAACTGAGGCCCAGATAAGGCCAAGGGTTTCTCCAGGTCACAGTGAAGTCGACCAGACACAGGAATCCAAATCTCTAAGCCTAGAATGGGCAAGGCTCCGGGGCTCACGCCGGTAATCCCAGCACTTTGGGAGGCCGAAACGGGAGGATCGCTTGAGCCCAGGAGTTCGAGATCAGCCTGGCCAACATGTCAGACTCCCCCCGTTCCCGGGCCACAACAAAATATATATATATATATATATTAGCCAGGCATGGTGGCGCGCCCCTGTAGTCCAAGTTACTCGAGAGGCTGAGGCAGGAGGATCCCTTGAGCCCAGGAAGTGGAGGCTGCGGTGAGCCATGATCGCCCCACAGCACTCTGGTGTGGACAACACAGCGAGACCCTGTCTCACAAAATAAAGTAAGCCCGGACTGAGTGCGGAAAGGCGGGCCTGGCGGGTCTGGTCTCCCCATGCGGGCCACCAGAGGCCCTGCAGCCTTCAGTCGCTTGAAGGGGTAATGGCGCTTCCACTCACAAACATGGCGGACAGAGCGTGTGAACGAGATGAACAGCCCCTCAAAAATATGGCCGCCGAGGCTGGACGGCCGTGCCCCAGCAGCACCGCCTCCGCGCCCCACGTGATCTCTCGCCGGGCACAGCGCTGACCGCGGAGGTCCAACCGGAAGAATGTCCGGATTGGACATTCGGAAGAGGGCCCGCCTTCCCTGGGGAATCTCTGCGCACGCGCAGAACGCTTCGACCAATGAAAACACAGGAAGCCGTCCGCGCAACCGCGTTGCGTCACTTCTGCCGCCCCTGTTTCAAGGGATAAGAAACCCTGCGACAAAACCTCCTCCTTTTCCAAGCGGCTGCCGAAGATGGCGGAGGTGCAGGTATGGGCTCCGCGCGGGCCGGGGCGGCAAGGGGCCGGGTGGGATCCAGGCCGGAATGGGGTCGCACCCTCTCTGTCTTGCATGTTTTGCGGAGCTTAACATCCATAATGAAGCAAAATGGAAGTCTTTTGGGATAAGGGGAATCTGTAGGAAATGCCGCGGCTCTCTTTAGGCCTAGGGTTGGCTACAATGTGGCATTTCCTTCTCGAGGCGAGGGTGATAGAGCTTCCAGCACAGGACAGGTATTTTGCAACTAGATTTTGCTTACCTTGAACTCGGGTAGTGGGTGGGGGCCCTGGGGTAGAGTCTTGGCCGAATTGGACCCTTGTGTGTCCTCAGCGATGAGGAACACGCGGAAGTGTGGCCGGGCGGTCTCGGGGCAATGAGAAACTGAGTTTTGGCCAAAATGGAAGGTATTTTTATCCCGCTCAGTGCGCGGGCTACTTTGATTTCACGTGGAGGTGTTAATCGGGGTCCCCTGCAGCTCCGGTTCTTTTAATTCTCAATGCCTTTCTGCGGGGGGTCGAGAGCTGTTGGCTGCGGGGCACTCTGGAATGAACTCGTTTTCCGTCGTTTTGGGGATTGGCGATTGTCCTGAGGCGTGTTACTGGAAGTCGAGAGCTGTGATGAATGGTTCCACAAGGATGGGACATCTTTTGGGCCTGACACCTGGGGGCCCTTTCCCTGGCTCCTGGTGTAGCTACTTAAGTATAAAGGAGGGATTGGCCCTGGAAAGGTTTCTTTGTGAGTAGTCTGTTGTTGGGGCGGGTGACATTTCAGAGCCAGGCCGATCTAGGCAAGTTGTGTTCACCAAGCATGTGTCTTTGTGCCTAGCACAGTTCGCAATGTTTTGCGTAGTTCAGTTAACCATATTCCTGAGGCAGTTACTGGTATCCTTGTTTTACAGAGGAGGAAATTAAATTGGAATTGGTGATTTTGGGCCAAGGTCACGACTTCAGGAAGTCTGTCTGGATTTTAGAGTCTTTGTACCAACGCTTACAAAGCATGTGTAACAACCAGTGTGTGCTTCATGCTTTTGCATTAAAACAATGAGGATTTCTACTTTTAGTGTTTTTTCTGAGACGGAGTCTCGCTGTGACACCCAGGCTGGAGTGCAATGGTGCGATCTTGGCTCATTGCAACCTCTGCTTCCCAAGTTCAAGTGATTCTCCTGCCTCAGCTTCCCGAGTACCTGGGACTGCAGGTGCCTGCCACGACGCTTGGCTAATTTTTGTGTTTTTAGTAGAGACAGGGTTTCACCATATTGGCCAGGATGGTCTCGAACTCCTGACCTCAACTGATCTGCCCACCTAGGCCTCTCAAAGTGCTGGGATTACAGGCGTGAGCCCCTGTGCCCGGCCAGGATTTCTACTCCGGAGGAAGCTGAGGTTCGGTGCCTGAGCAGTTTACCGGGGAAAGCAGAGTGCTCTATAGCAGAGCTAGCATGGGCTTTTGACTACTCTGCCTAATCTCATCCCACCTGAAATTCGGTTTTCTTCCAAATTAAATTTGTGGTAGAAACATCCTATACATTAGAAGAGAATTAGATTGTGTTAACATCCTACAATTGATTGGCCACAGTGGCTCAAGCCTGTAATCCGAGCATTTTGGAAGGCCGAGGCACACGGTTCACTTGAAGCGAGGAGTACAAGAGCAGCCTAGGCAACATGGCAAAACCCTGACTCAACAAAAAAAAAAGTACAAAAATTAGCTGCGTGTGGTGGTGCGCGCCTGTAGTCCCAGCTACTCATGAGGCTGAGGTGGGAGGATAGCTTGATCCTGGGAGGTCACAGGATCACAGGACAGCCTGTGCAACAGCGAGACCCTGTCTCAAAACCAAATCCTACAGTTTATTAGTTACAAGGTCTTGTAACTGGGTAGTCAGTGGGCAGAGCCTTGCTGGTCTTCGTTCAAATCCAATTGCTTTGCAAAATACAATCTGAGCATAAAATACTCATAGAAGAACTCAGATATGAGGGGAGTTTGGGCCTCTTAAACTGCTCACTCACTGATCCTGAGGCAGCCTTGCTTTCTCAGTCCCTGTTCCTCATCTGTAGAACGGGGCTCCGTGCATAGTTCCCAGCTCTGATGGCTGGGTGCAAGGCACGCTGTTGGCACGGTAGGACAAAAGAAGGGAATGCTTGCTTGTGAGGACAATCAAAGGCTGTCCTTGTCTCTGAGTCCTTTTGCCCTTGTCTCCCACAGGTCCTGGTGCTTGATGGTCGAGGCCATCTCCTGGGCCGCCTGGCGGCCATCGTGGCTAAACAGGTACTGCTGGGTAAGTCGCTGCTCGTGGCCCCTCTGTCATGGGCCCCCGCTGGAGGTCAGTGATGAGCAACATTCACCATCTTTCGTTTGAGTCTCACGGCCATGAGATCAACCCCATGCACCGCTCTGAGACCTGCCAGCCACTCTTCCCCAGGGTTGGGGACTCCAGGCTCAAGAAGTAATTATGTATTAGGCTAGTTTTTCATTTAAACAGGAACTTAGCTCTGGCAAGTACTGCGCTGTGTCTGGAGGGTGACTGCATAGGCAGTGGTGGGACCCTCAGGCGGCTCGGCCCTGCTAAGCCTTTCCCTCCCTCTAGGCCGGAAGGTGGTGGTCGTACGCTGTGAAGGCATCAACATTTCTGGCAATTTCTACAGAAACAAGTGTAAGTTAGGACCTGGGAGGAGCACTGGAGAGGGTCTCCCTGTGGGGTGTTGAGGCTCTGAAAGCAATTGCAGCCGTGTTGGGAGAGGCTACTTGGGGTTTCTGAGAAGGCCCTTGGAAGTGGGGTTTTGGGGGTGCTGGTAGACTGGGCAGGCCTCACACTCTCCCCTCTCCCTAGTGAAGTACCTGGCTTTCCTCCGCAAGCGGATGAACACCAACCCTTCCCGAGGCCCCTACCACTTCCGGGCCCCCAGCCGCATCTTCTGGCGGACCGTGCGAGGTGAGCAGAGCGTGGGGACTGCAGGTGGTGACGGGCAGGCGGCCGGTGATGAGAACTTCTCCCACTCACATTCGAGTTTCCCGACCATGAGATGACTCCACATGCACTACCATCTGAGGCCACCCCATGGGCCCACCTCAGTGGGGTGGGTGGGCATCCTTATGAGGCCCTCTGACTGGGCCTGCTATCTGTCACCCAACAGGTATGCTGCCCCACAAAACCAAGCGAGGCCAGGCCGCTCTGGACCGTCTCAAGGTGTTTGACGGCATCCCACCGCCCTACGACAAGGTGAGCTATGCCAAACCCCACAGGCAGCGGCCTTACCTGTGGCGTCCATGATGTTCCGCAACTACCTACATTGTTTGATCCTCATGAAAGCAGCACTGGCTGAGACGCCAGTCCAGCCGACCTCCTTCCCTGTCTGTCCCTCCCGGGCTCTTAAGCCCCTCTCTTTCTCTAACAGAAAAAGCGGATGGTGGTTCCTGCTGCCCTCAAGGTCGTGCGTCTGAAGCCTACAAGAAAGGTGAGTCCCAGCTTACGCTGCACCATCTACTTGGGAGATTTCAGGCCTGCTGAGGGACCTGGGGACCTGGAGCCTGGCAGATGATGTCCTTATCTCACGATGGTCTGCGGATGTCCCTGTGGGAATGGCGACAATGCCAATGGCTTAGCTGATGCCAGGAGGCTTGGGTGGGTGCTTTTCTAACAGGCCTGCAGAGAACAGTTGCATTATGATATGCCCAGCTGTCAGTCACCTCCCAGCTCTCAACAGCTCCGGCTCTTCAGGGTGTGGGGGCTTAGATATCCTTACAACTTCATTTGTTCACCCCCCCCCCCCCCCCCCGCAGTTTGCCTATCTGGGGCGCCTGGCTCACGAGGTTGGCTGGAAGTACCAGGCAGTGACAGCCACCCTGGAGGAGAAGAGGAAAGAGAAAGCCAAGATCCACTACCGGAAGAAGAAACAGCTCATGGTGAGGCCAGGGGCTGGTGCTGAGGGGGGCATCTCACTCCTGGACAGGCCTGGCAGGTGCCTTGCTCACAGAGTACTCTTAACTGGCAAAGGACCAGCCGGGGTTGGGGTGGGATGCAGTCCATGTAATGAGGGCAATGCAACCCCTCCTGACCACCACCACCTGCACTTATTCTTGGCAGAGGCTACGGAAACAGGCCGAGAAGAACGTGGAGAAGAAAATTGACAAATACACAGAGGTCCTCAAGACCCACGGACTCCTGGTCTGAGCCCAATAAAGACTGTTAATTCCTCATGCGTTGCCTGCCCTTCCTCCATTGTTGCCCTGGAATGTACGGGACCCAGGGGCAGCAGCAGTCCAGGTGCCACAGGCAGCCCTGGGACATAGGAAGCTGGGAGCAAGGAAAGGGTCTTAGTCACTGCCTCCCGAAGTTGCTTGAAAGCACTCGGAGAATTGTGCAGGTGTCATTTATCTATGACCAATAGGAAGAGCAACCAGTTACTATGAGTGAAAGGGAGCCAGAAGACTGATTGGAGGGCCCTATCTTGTGAGTGGGGCATCTGTTGGACTTTCCACCTGGTCATATACTCTGCAGCTGTTAGAATGTGCAAGCACTTGGGGACAGCATGAGCTTGCTGTTGTACACAGGGTATTTCTAGAAGCAGAAATAGACTGGGAAGATGCACAACCAAGGGGTTACAGGCATCGCCCATGCTCCTCACCTGTATTTTGTAATCAGAAATAAATTGCTTTTAAAGAAATCTGGCGTCTTTGCACTGTGTCTGCTGTGGAGGCAGGCCCCTGGCAAATGGGGGGTGAGGAGCTTGAAGAGGGTAGAATGGGCTGTGCTAATATACAGAATATATGTAACTTGCTATAAATTGAATGATCCTTTATAGACACCGTTTACAAACCAAAGACATAAAATGTGGCCAGCAGTGCCTGGTGCTTCCTAGTTAATGTAAAGCTGTCTCATTCTAATTCAGCTGCAAAGTATGGACCCATGCCCTGCTGCCAGGCTGCTGTAGTCCCGGCGGTCTGTAGAGACTAGCATTTTGCAAATGATAAGCACTAGAATAACAGATAACGCTAGGCTTTATGCACTAAGAGAACCCATTAGATCTGCCAGTCTGAATCCCAGAAAGGGCACTGATACAGAGCATTTAGTACTAGGTAGCAATTTCATAAAATGTCCCTGGTCAAAGCTTGCTGGAGCAGGCCCCGTTCCCATTTTACTGATGTCTAGCAGTCGTGTTCAGTAATACGTCATACCCAGGTCTCCACGCTAAACAGCCTAAACACTAAAAGTAAACATGCTGTGAAGTAAAGGAAGCTAGATTCATGCTGTCCTTGCGGTTGGATGCCAAGATTCAGGAGTAACTGTTTGTTACCTGTATACTTACATGTACAACCTTACCCCAGAGAAAGATGAGTGGACAGTGATGTGCATTGTGTTGATAGCAGATTATAACTTGCCACACCATTCCATCAGGGGCTTATTAACCTTTCCAGAAGAGTCTGAAGAGACCGCAGTGGCTTGTGTTTTCCCTGAGAATCAGTGAACATGGGTGGTGCCTACCCCTGCCAGAGTCCCCACATGGATTCTCATCCACCAGAGAAGCCGACTCCAGAAATAACCAGACTTAGAGCATAATCTTCAATTTCACCAATTCCATGTGAAACGGCACAATTATCCTCCAAAAGCATGATCCATTAGCAAATGGGAATGTGGGCTTTATAAAAATTTTTAAGACTGAGAAGACACCATCAGGAAAGACGAGCCACAGACTAGGAGAAAACATTTACAAGTCATCTCTTTTTGAAGGTCTTGTATCCTGCCATAAAGAACTCTTGGCCAAGTGCAGTGGCTCACGCCTGTAATCCCAGCATTTTGGGAGGCCAAGGCGGGTGGATCAACTGAGGTCAGGAGTTAGAGACTAGACTGGCCAACATGGTGAAACCCCACCTCTACTAAAAATACGAAAATTAGCTGGACGTGGCGCAGGGCGCCTGTAATCCCAGCTAGTCGGGAGGCTGAGGTAGGAGAATCACTTGAACCCGGGAGGCAGAGGTTGCAGTGAGCCGAGATTGCACCACTGCACTCCAGCCTGGGCGACAGAGCAAGACTCCGTCTCAAAAAAAAACAAAAACAAAAAACAAAAAAAACTCTTACAGGATGTGGTGGCTCACACCTGTAACCCCAACCATTTGAAGTGAGAGGACTGGCTTGAGTCCAGGAGTTGGAGTCCAGACAGGGCAACATAGGGAGACTCTGAGTTAACAAGAATTTTTTTTTTTTTTTTGAGACAGAGTCTGGCTCTGTCGCCCAGGCTGGAGTGCAGTAGCGCGATCTCGGCTCACTGCAAGCTCCGCCCCCCGGGTTCACGCCATTCTCCTGCCTCAGCCTCCCGAGTAGCTGGGACTACAGGTGCCCGCCACCGTGCCTGGCTAATTTTTTTTATTTTTAGTACAGACGGGGTTTCACCGTGTTAGCCAGGACGGTCTCGCTCTCCTGACCTCGTGATCCACCCGCCTCCACCTCCCAAAGTGCTGGGATTACAGGCGTGAGCCATCGCGCCCGGCCAATTTTTTTTTTTTTTTTATTAAGATGTTCTATAGCTGCACTAACTGATACACAATACACAAGCCACTAACCCCACTTGTGGCTCCTGAGCACTTAAATATGAATAGAGTGAGGCTGGGTGCAGTCTCACCTGTTCCCGGAACTTTGGGAGGCCGAGGCTGGAGAATCACTTGAGCCCAGGATTTCGAGACCAGTCTGGGTAATATAGCGAGACCTTGTCCCTACTAAAAATAAAATAAATTAGCTGGGCATGGTGACACATGCCTGTAGTCCCAGCTACTTGCAAGGCTGAGGTGGGAGGACTACCTGAGGCTGGGGAGGTCGAGGCTGCAGTGAGCTATGATTGAGCCACTGTACTCTAGCCTGGGCGACAGAGAGATACCCTAGGGAGTCTCTAAAAATAAATAAAATACCGGCCGGGCGTGGTGGCTCACGCTTGTAATCCCAGCACTTTGGGAGGCCGAGGCGGGCGGATCACGAGGTCAGGAGATCGAGACCACGGTGAAACCCCGTCTCTACTAAAAATACAAAAAATTAGCCGGGCGTGGTGGCAGGCGCCTTGTAGTCCCAGCTACTCGGAGAGGCTGAGGCAGGAGAATGGCGTGAACCCGGGAGGCGGAGCTTGTAGTGAACCGAGATCGCACCACTGCCCTCCAGCCTGGGTGACAGAGCGAGACTCCGTCCAAAAAAAAAAAAAAAAAAAAACCGTAATATTCAGCTATAGACTTGTGCTGTTCAACACAGTAGCCTTTAGCCACATGTGGCTATTTAGATATAACACAATCAAAGTTAAACATTTATGTCCTCAGTCATAAAAGCCACATTTAGAGTGCCAGTGACTACCGTGTCCACCAGCGCAGATATAGAAAATTTCCATCACATAAAGTTCTACTAGACGATCCTGTTATCTTCAGAAAAACGGCAGAAGGATCGCTCCACGCCAACCCCTGGCACCAATTAAATCATCGTCTGCGGATGAAATGAGGAGAGAGTAGCTTTCTTTCTCTTTTTTTTTTTTTTTGAGACGGTCTCGCTCCGTCGCCCAGGCTGGAATGCAGTGGCGCAATGATAGCTCACTGTAGCCACGACCTCCCCAGCTCAAGCGATCCTCCTCCCTCGACCTCACAAAGTGTTGGGATTACAGGCGAGGCGCACTGCACTCGGCGAGAGTAACTTTCTTTCTTTCTTTTTTTTTTTTTTGAGACGGTTTTGCTGTTGTTGCCCAGCCTGGAGTGCAATGGCGCGATCTCGGCTCACTGCAACCTCCGCCTCCCAGGTTCAAGAGATTCTCCTGCCTCAGCCTCCTGAGTAGCTGGGATTACAGGCATGCGCCACCATGCCCGACTAATTTTGTATTTTTAGTAGAGACGGCGTTTCTCCATGTTGGTCAGGCTGGTCTCGAACTCCTGTCCTCAGGTGATCCGCCCACCTCGGCCTCCCAAAGTGCTGGGATTACAGGCGTGAGCCACCGAGCCCGTTTTTTGTTTGTTTGTTTGTTTTGTTTGATACGGAGTCTTGCTCTGTCGCCCAGGCTGTCTGTCGGCCAGGCTGGAGTGCCATGGCGCGATCTCAGCTCACTGCAACCTTCGCCTCCCAGGTTCAAGCGATTCTCCTGCCTCAGCCTTCCAAGTAGCTGGGATTACAGGGGCCCGCCACCACGCCCGGCTAATTTTTGTATTTTTAGTAGAGACGGGGTTTCACCATGTTGGCCAGGCTGGTGTTGAACCCCTGACCTCAGGTGATCCGCCTGCCTTAGCCTCCCAAAGTGTTGGGATTACAGGCGTGAGCCACCGCGCTAGGCCGAGAGTAACTTTCACTGCACCTCTGAAAGTTCGTGGGCAGCTCCTGCCCCTAACAAAGATGGCGACGCCGCCACACATGCTCCTAGCACTCCCCGGCCGCCCACCCTTCAAAAAGATGGCAGCCGCCTCATCCGGTTTGAAGGCTGAACGAACAGAGCCACGCGGTATCCAAATCCCACGGGAGCCTACGCCACGCCGAAACAGGATGGACTCCGTACGACTCTCGCGATAATACGGGCGGGCTGAAGGCTGGTCACATCTTCCCTGCCTAAATAATCGCGCCCGGCGTTGTGGGGCCTAAGACTCTCGCGAGACACCGTCTAGCACTTCCCGCCCGTCAGTCCTTCACAGTGCCCGAATCGCCCGCTGGTTTAAGTGCAGCCTGTCAATCAGAGCAGCTCTCGAGGCCCCGCCCAAGGCCGTGCTGCGTTTCTCCTTACGTCACTTCCTCTCCAGCCCCTGCGTAATCGATAAGGAAACCCGGACGCTGCTGCCCCTTTCTTTTTTTCAGGCGGCCGGGAAGATGGCGGACATTCAGGTGCGGACTCGGGGTTGGATGCCAGGGTGCGGGGTCCGCCTTGGCCTTCAGGGGCGCGTCCGGGAGGGCAGAGCCCGGCGGCCAAGTTCGGGGGTTAATTCCGGGCGTCCGTGATTATTTTCTAGAGATTAACTGGAGTGGAGGGCGCTTGCTTTTGTTTCTAGATGAGTGCTTCCTAATTCCTGGGGGCTCCTGGCGTTAATGGAGGCTCAAGCGTTTTAGGACTTACCTTCTTAAAAACCAAGTTTAAGAAGGTTTTTTTGGAGTTCTCCGGTCTTCAGGGGTAATTCTGTGGAAACGGACTCCTAAGGGCTAATCCAGGGAGCCTGCCGTCTGGTATTTAATTCTGAATCCTTATGTACTACATAAGGAGTGAATCCTGGGTGGGCGATCTTGGGTCTTGGAGAATGATCCTCGCTGAAAGGTGTCCAGGGTGTGAGAGGGTTGATCCTGGTTTAGAGGATGAATTTTGCAATCCCTGAGAGGCCTTCTGGAGTATATAAATTGAAATAACCTCGGGCTTAGATCTGAGTATGAATTACAGGTAAGGTCAGGGTGGTCATGTCTTAGAGGGTGATTCTGGGGCACCAGGCCTTGGACGCCGGCGCTTTGCAAGTAAATGTAGAGCATGGGGTCTGGGAGGTTCTGGGAAGGTCTCTAGGGCTGGTTGGCTGCCGGCTTCAAACTTAGCAGCTCATCAGTTTTCTCCTCATAATCTGTAGACTGAGCGTGCCTACCAAAAGCAGCCGACCATCTTTCAAAACAAGAAGAGGGTCCTGCTGGGAGAAACTGGCAAGGAGAAGCTCCCGCGGTACTACAAGAACATCGGTCTGGGCTTCAAGACACCCAAGGAGGTGCGGGGAACCTCAGAAGAAAGAAGGGGAACCTGGCGTTCCTGCACGTGTGCCCACGACGAGTTGCCCTGCCTGCATCTAAGTGGCTTCTGGGGCTGCTGGGAATTGTAGTTGCTTCCCTGAGGCCACGCCCCTGGCTCTTTTAAGGAACCGCCCGCCCAAGGCTCACTCCTTTATCTTTCCTATCCTTTCAGGCTATTGAGGGCACCTACATTGACAAGAAATGCCCCTTCACTGGTAATGTGTCCATTCGAGGGCGGATCCTCTCTGGTAAGTGCGGGAGTTACTGGTGTCTGGGGCCTGAAATACTGAAAGAAGGGTCTTGGGGCCCAGACTCCTGGGTCCTGGGTGAGAGGGGTGGTTAGGAATGCAAACTTGTAGGTCCAGGTACATTGGCAGATGATGTTTGTTTTCACGATGGTCTTCAGATGCCCACGTGGGCACTGCTGAGAAAGCCACTTGGTAAAACTGATGCCGGAAATGGGGCTTTTTGGGATCCCTGCTCAGCTGCTTCTGAGTCCCAGCATGCCCTGGGTTACCTATGGCCCTCTTTCCCATGGGACCTGACCTATGATCGGCCCCCGCTCCTAGGCGTGGTGACCAAGATGAAGATGCAGAGGACCATTGTCATCCGCCGAGACTATCTGCACTACATCCGCAAGTACAACCGCTTCGAGAAGCGCCACAAGAACATGTCTGTACACCTGTCCCCCTGCTTCAGGTGAGCGCAGTGGCCCATCAGGTTGCTCAGGCCACGCTCTCTCAGCCTTCAGATTCCAGATCGGACCAATTTAAGGCCAACTGAGGGAGGGAAAGACTGAGGTGGCATCTCTGGGAAGCCCCAGAATCTCAGGATTTGTATATCATATGTTCTTCAGAATCAAAGCGTTCTACAGGGTGAATATCTCTACCTGAAATGCTTGGAACCAGATTTTGGAATGTTCTCGCATACATAGTGAGATGTTTTGGGGATGTGACATAGGTCTAAACAAGAAGCTCATTTGTTTCATATACACCTTATTCACATAGCCTGAAAGTAGTCTTACGCAGTGCGTTTTATAATTCTGTGTGAAACAAAGTTTGCGTACATTGAACCATTGGAAAGCAAAGGTGTCACGCTGGTATTGAAGAAGTTTCAGATTCTAGCCAGGCACCGTGGCTCAAGCCAGTAATCCCAGCACTGTAGGAGGCTGAGGCAGGAGGATCCCTTGAGCCCAGGAGTTTGAGACCAGCCTGGGCAACATGGCAAAACCCTCTCTCTACAAAAAATACAAGTTTGCCAGGTGTGGTAGCATGTGCCTGTAGTCTCAGGTCTTCAGGCGGCTGGGGTGGGAGGATTGCTTGAGCCCAGAAAGTGGAGGCTGCAGTGAGCCGAGATGGCAGCACTGCTCTCCGGCCTGGGCGACAGAGTAAGACCCTGTCTCTCCCACACACACACAAATTCAGATTTTGCAGCGTTTCAGAATTTTTGGATTAGGGTGCTGAACCTGTAATAGGCAGGTGCGTTTGAACCAAAAGGTTAGGATGTCATACCAGATGGGAACCTCAGAAATGTTGGAATTAAACGTTTGTTCATTCCCTCAGCATGTTTTAGTTAGAGCTTATCACGTACCAGGTGTGGTGTGAGATGTTTGGGGTTCAGTGGTGAGCCAGGAACAAAGTCCTGCTCCCTCAGAGGGCACCTTCAAGCAGTGTGGGTGCCAGATGACAGCCAAGTATAACCAGAATGGGGATGTGGGCAGCTGATATTGGTGGCCCTCTGGGCGGGGAGGATCTTGGGAGCAAGGTGAGGAGTCCTGTGGGTGGAGAGGAGGGTGGCCCAAACTGATGCTGAGCGATAAGGGACCTGTGGTTGTCAGTGCTGCAGGATCCCCCTGCTGCTCTGCTGGGGAAGGGTGGTGAGGCTGCTGACAACTTGGGGGCCTCCAGTTTGCTTGTGAAATGGAGCTCGTCCACCCCAGCGGTCCTCGGAGGGGTGGTGGCCTGCTCTGTGTACAGCGTTGAGCTTGGTGCTTGGCACAAAACTTGTACGAAAGGAGGGGACAGGTTGAATTGGCGAGTAGAGCTTGGTTGGGGTTTGGTGGAGCCGAAGCAGAGAGCCTTTAGCCTGGTGAAGGGGAGGGAGGGCCTCCTGGGGTCTGCTGGGGTGGCCCCTCCTGAGGACATGGCCCTACCTGCCTCCACAGGGACGTCCAGATCGGTGACATCGTCACAGTGGGCGAGTGCCGGCCTCTGAGCAAGACAGTGCGCTTCAACGTGCTCAAGGTCACCAAGGCTGCCGGCACCAAGAAGCAGTTCCAGAAGTTCTGAGGCTGGACATCGGCCCGCTCCCCACAATGAAATAAAGTTATTTTCTCATTCCCAGGCCAGACTTGGGATCTTCCGCGCCTTTACCAGAGCATTGGTGGGGGTGGGGGTGTGCCTCGGGGAATTGGGCAGAGCTGCTGTCAGAGAGGCTGCCTGCCCATGTCTGTGGGTGAGGACAGTGGAGCCTGAACTGAGATGCCTGCCTTCCCCTGGGTCTCCTTCTTTGGTCCTTGTCACCTTTTCGGTGTCTGAATAAGGCTGATTACCTGGCGTTGCGCTGTCCCCCCGCCCCCTCCGGTCTCTGGGGAGGAAGTGAGTGACGGCGGAGGCCCCTGGGTCCTCCAGGCCCTGGTCTGTCTCTTTCCTGACCACCTCGGGTGGGGAGGGGAAGAAGCTGCAGCCCCCCCCTGCTGTGGGCATGGGCTCACCCAGGTAGAGTGGGATGTGCTGAGGCCCTGTTGTCTGGCTGTGAAGTGTAAAGGTCTTGGCTTTAGCCTGGGCCTCCTATCCCTCCTTACAGCCAAGGATGGGGGCCCCATGCACGCACCACACACGCCTAGTTGGGCACCAGGCCTATCTGCAGATGAGGAAACTCATCTGGGAGAGGCCAAGCCCTCCACCTGAAGTCCCAGTGAGTAGCTGAGTTACAGGTCTCAGATTCTAGAAACTTCCTCTGCGCCAGCTGCCTCAAAATCGCAGTAAGGAAATTGGTGGTGTGGGCAAGTGGCATCATGAGGCTCCCCTGGAGCCTGTTCAGTGGTACCGGGGCCCAGGCTGCTGGGAAGGAAGTGGGCAGGAAGCGTCCGGAGACGGCCCAACACACACAGGCCGCAGAGATGGGGGCCTTGAGAGGAACAGGACAGGACACACGGTGGCCCAGGGTTGTGGCACATGGGGAGGAGGGGTTTTGCAGAGCTGGGGAGAGCACAGACCACCGCGAGAGGCAGGTACAATAGAAACAGGTGTACTTTGCGCATCACACAGAGGTGGGGACGACAGGCATGGGGTGGGGGCGGTGAGGCAGGAGCGCACCAGAGGATATGTGGGACCCGAAGGGGAGAGACGCATAAAAGCCGCAGCAGAGATGGGAGTACAGGGAGGGGAGGTCCCAATGCCCGCTCACCTCACCCCTTGGGGCCTGCCGGTGCCGGGGTCCCCAGGTCCCTGTCCCCCAGGCCTGTACCAGGGTCTGAGCCCAGCACTGGTACAAGGGTTGGGAGACAGGGCCATGGGGAGAGGAGCCGCCGCTGCCGCTGCTGCCTCGGGGACGCTGCCTCCCCGTGGGCCCAGTCCCTGCCTTATACCCAGGTCCAGGGAGGGCGGGGGTTCCTGCCAGAGGAAGTGGGGCCGCATCAAAGAGGGCAGGAAGGGGCAGGGACAGGTTGGGGGGACGCCACCCTGAGTCGCAGAAACTGCACACCCACTCCACCCTATGCTGGGGGCAGTAGAGAACCAGCAAGGGGCAAAGAGGGAGTGTGGACTCCAGAGGGAGGGGACGGAGACCCAGAGGGGAATAGGAGGTTGCGGCCCCCTCCCCTCAGCCGCAGGTGTTTCCGTTCGGGTGGGGCTGCTGTGTTTACAACAACAGCCCGGCTCCCCGGTTTCCTCCCTGATTGTTGGGGCGTCTCCTTGGCACCCCATCACGTCAGGTGGTGTGCTGAGGTCAGAGTGTGTGCTGGGGAAGGACCTCTGCTGGGCCTGCTGGATTGCAAAGAGCAAGTTTAAAAGACCCCCTCGGACCTCTTGACAGGCCTTCCACCTGAAGAGTGGGGATAAGGACCATAGGTTCTTTTTATTTTTTTATTTTTATTTTATTTTATTTTATTTTTGAGGCAGATTCTTGCTCTGTCGCCCAGGCTGGAGTGCAATGGCGCGATCTTGGTTCACCGCAACCTTCGCCTCCCAAGTTAAAGCGAATCTCCTGCCTCTGTCTCCTAAGTAGTTGGGATTACAGGCATGCACCACCACACCCAGCTAATTTTTTAATTTTTAGTAGAGACGGGGTTTCACCATGTTGGCCAGGCTGGTCACGAACTCCTGACCTCATGATCCACCCATATTGGCCTCCCAAAGTGCTGGGATTTTACAGGCGTGAGCCACTGCACCCTGCCCACAGGTTATTTGATAACCCAAGGAGATACAGTTCCTAGGTCAGCGGGTTCCCCTGTCTCCCCTCCCACCTGCTCTCCCTCTCACTCAGCCCCACACCCCCAGCACCCACCAGACCTGCTGTTCCTCTGAGCCTCCTCACCATCTGTTCCCTCTATGTGGAATACTCTGACCTGGAGTTTCCACCTGGCTCCCTCCCTCACTCTCTTTGTCTTTAATTAAGTGAATGAATTAATTTTTTTATTTGTTAATTGTTTATGAAGAGAAACTATTTCTTAGCCCATATATTCATGTGTCATCGTTCAGGAACAAGTCAGTGACAAACTTCTAGGTAATTCAACCTGAAGAAATTCTTTATATTCCAAGATCATTGCACTCTGAAAGATACCAGCCTTCCAGCCAGGTGCAGTGGCTCATGCCTGTAATCCCAGCACTTTGGGAGGCCAAGGTGGGTGGATCACGAGGTCAGGAGTTCGAGACTAGCCTGACCAAGATGTGAAACCCCGTCTCTACTAAAAATACAAAAATTAGCCAGGCACAGTGGCAGGCACCTGTAATCCCAGCTACTCCGAAGGTTGAGGCAGGAGAATCGCTTGAACCCGGGCAGTAGAGGTTGCAGTGAGCTGAGATCGCGCCACTGCACTCCAGTCTGGGTGACAGAGTGAGACTCCATCTCAAAAAAAAAAAAAAAAAGATACCAGCCTTCCTCATCTCAAAATCTTTCATGGAATCGTAATTTCTGTAGAAATCTGCATATGCCTTCTTTCTTGGTTCAGCCACAGCAAACATATAGAAAGCTGCAGCCCCCAGGGATACCATGGATGCTTCAACAATATGAAATCACAGACGCTTGGCCAGAAGGCCACACATCTGAGGCTTTGGCAAAACTTTGGAAGCCATGGTAGTTACTGTCCTTGATAACGTATGTCAGCCTCAATACCAACGTCCTTCCTGACTGATGGAAAAATGGATGGTGAAGGAATGAATTATGTGAAGTTGCCACATTCTGGCTGGGGGGACCTTGACCCCTAGGCTTCAGGGGCTCAATAACTGGAAGCAGTAAAGCTGAGCCAGAGGCCCCAGAGGTAGCAGAGACCCGCCGAGGCTCTTTTCCAACTTCTGGCCCTGTAGCTCCCTAGCTGTGTGTGACCTTGGACAAGAGACCCACTCCTCCACCACAGAGCCTCAGTTTCCTAATCTGTAAAATGGCTTCTTGCCTCCCTGCCCTATTGGGAGGATCAATATGCTCATGTGAGCCAGGTCCCGTGGCTCACGGCTGTAATCCCAGCACTTTGGGAGGTTGAGGCAGGCGGATCACTTGAGGTCAGGAGTTCAAGACCATCCTGGCCAATGTGGCGAAACCATGTCTCTACTAAAAATACAAAAATTAGCCAGTGTGATAGCGCGCACCTGTAGTCCCAGCTACTCAGGAGGCTAAGGCAGGAGAATCGCTTGAACCTGGGAGGCAGAGGTTGCAGTGAGCCGAGACAGCACTCCACCTAAGCAGCAGAGGGCGACTCAGTCTCAAAAAAAAACAATGCTCGTGTGTGATAATGGGACAGAACCAGTCCTGATTAAGTGTACACTGGAAAGTAACAATGCCGGGGGCCCTCAGCTTGGTGTTGGAGAAAGGCCCATAGTGTCATGTTACAGCATCCTGTGGGGCCCCTTGGGCAGGCTTAAGGACCAGGGCCTCTGGCAGGCAGCCCTTGCTGTAATGGACCCACGGTTTTTATTTTAATATTTGTTGTATGGTTGCGGAATCCTGGCTCCATTACAGCAAGCCCTGGTAGTTTGTCACGGGATGTTGAGTCTGTTTTAGCATGCCTCTGGAATATTCTGTCGAATACCTATTATAGGGGGCCCCAATGGCCTTGCCTTTTCACAGGAAAGTTAGCTTTTATAGTGGGGTTCTGGGTTTATAATGATAGCGGTCAGGCCAGGTGCCGGGGCTCACACCTGTAATCCCACTACTTAGGGAAGCCAGGGCAGGAGGATCGCTTGAGCCAGGAGTTAGAGACCAGCCCGAGCAACAAAGGGAGACTCCTGTCTCTATTTAAAATATATTAGGCCAGGTGCGGTGGCTCATGCCTGTAATCCCATCACTTTGGGAGGCCAAGGCAGGTGGATCACGAGTCAGGAGTTCGAAGCCAGCCTGGTCAATATGGTGAAACCCCATCTCTACTAAAAATACAAACATTAGCCAGATGTGTAGCGGTGCCTGTAGTCCCAGCTACTCGGGAGGCTGAGGCAGGAGAATCGCTTGAACCTGGGAGGCAGAGGATGCAGTGAGCCAAGATCACACCACTGCATTCCAGCCTGGGCGACAGAGTGAGACCCCATCTCAAAAAAAAAAAAAATTTTGCTGGGTCTGTAGTCCCAGCTACTCGGGAGGCTGAAGCAGGAGGATCACTTGAGCCCAGAGGTCCGAGTCTATAGCAGGCTAGGATGACACCACTGCACTCCAGCCTGGGTGACAGAGTCAGACCCTGTCTCAAAGAAAAAAAAAAGACAGGCATCAAACCTACCGTGTGAAAACAGGGCAGGTCTTGATTATCTTGTATTGCGGCCCTGCACCTCCTGCAGCAGGTCATGGGTCTGTGATATTAGAGCCGGATGGCCATCATTGCTGCAGCCTCCTGTGGGCTATTATAATACTAAGTAAGGCCTTGGGCTCCTGTGACAGGCCCTGCTGATATTACATGGTTGCAATACTCAGGTTAAATTATAGGCCAGCCCATGGCTACATTTATAATTATATAATATAAAATATGTGATCGGCCGGACGCGGTGGCTCACGCCTGTAATCCCAGCACTTTGGGAGGCAGGTGGATCACGAGGTCAGGAGATCAAGACCATCCTGGCCAACATGGTGAAACCCCGTCTTTACTAAAAATACAAAATTTAGCTGGGCGTGGTGGTGGGCGCCTGTAGTCCCAGCTACTCGGGAGGCTGAGGCAGGAGAATCGCTTGAACCCGGGAGGCGAAGGTTGCAGTGAGCCGAGATTGCACCACTGTGCTCCAGCCTGGTGACAGAGCGAGACTCTGTCTAAAAAAAAAAAAAAAAAAAAAAAAGTTATTTATATAGGAGGCACCTGAGCTCATTGAACTAGTCCCAAGGTGTGTGAGTGGAGTCTGGAAATTGAATTGGAGTGTGTTCCAGGAGTAGTTAAGCAGACCCACTGCCGAGTGTCAGCACTACCCTGAGCCCAACAGGAATTCCTGGGTCTAACACTGTAGTAGGTCCTGGCTCTATTACGTATTATAGCAAGACAGGCCAGGCACAGTGGCTCAGACTGCAATCCCAGCACTTTGGGAGGCCAAGATGGGAGGCTCTCTTGAGCCCAGCAGTTTGAGACCAGCCTAGGCAACATAGGAAGACCCCATCTCTACAAAAAAAACTTAAAAATTAGCCAGGTGTGGTGGTACGTACCTGTAGTACCAGCGACTCGGGAGGCTGAGGTGGGAGGATCGCTTCAGCCTGGGAGGTCGAGGCTGCAGTGAGCTATTATCATGCCACTGCATTCCAGCCTGGGTGACAGAGTGAGACCCTGTCTCAAGAAAAAAAGTAAAAATAAAAGACCGATGGATGTTTCAGAGGTCAGTATAGATTTAGCTAGAACATTCTAGCAGAACACCAACGATGTTCTAGATGAGTTTGAGGAACACATCAAGCCTTCCCAGGGACATTCATTCTACAAATGTTTATTGCGCTGTTCCCCAGGGATGGCTGCAAGAGTGAGCAAGACAGCTCCAGCCAGAGCCTGGTGTCAGAGCCTGCAATCCAGTGGGATCCCTGGGGGCCCAGCCTGGCTGCGGAGTGGGGGCGTTAACAGGAACCGGGGGCTACTATGGACGCCCTGTGTGCCACGTGGAGCCTTTGGCCTGCTGAAGCCTCTAATGAAATAGTAGGTTGGGCCGGGCATGGTGGCTCATGCCTGTAATCCCAGCACTTTGGGAGGCCGAGGCGGGTGGATCACAAGGTCAGGAGATCGAGACCATCCTGGCTAACATGATGAAGCTCCGTCTCTACTAAAAAAAAAAAATTAGCCAGGAGTGATGGCAGGTGCCTGTAGTCCCAGCTACTCAGGAGGCTGAAGCAGGAGAATGGCGTTAACCCGGGAGGCGGAGCTTGCAGTGAGCCGAGATCGCACCACTGCACTCCAGCCTGGGTGACAGACAGAGACTCCGTCTCAAAAAAAAAAAAAAAAAAGAAATAGGTTGGTGCAAAAGCAATTGTGGTTTTTTGTTTGTTGTTTGTTTGTTTTTGAGTCTCACTCTGTTGCCCAGGCTGGAGTGCAGTGGCACAATCTCATCTCACTGCAACCTCTGCCTCCCAGGTTCAAGCGATTCTCCTGCCTCACCCTCCCAAGTAGCTGAGATTACAGGTGCCCACTACCATGTCTGGCTAATTTTTGTATTTGTAATAGAGATGGGGTTTTGCCATGTTGGCCAGGCTGGTCTCAAACTCCCGACCTCAGCCTCCCAAAGTGCTGGGATTACAGGCGTGAGCCACCGTGTCTAGCCAGCAATTGCGGGTTTTTTGTTTGTTGGTTTTTTTCAGATGGAGTCTTGCTCTGTCACCCAGACTGAAGTGCAGTGGCACAATCTCGGCTCATTGTAACTTCCGCCTCCCAGGTTCAAGCGATTCTCCTGCCTCAGCCTCCCAAGTAGCTGGGACTATTCAGCGAGTGCCACCATGCCTGGCTAATTTTTGTATTTTTAGTAGAGACAGGGTTTCACCATGTTGGCCAGGCTGGTCTGGAACTCCTGACCTCGTGATCCGTCTGCCTCGGCCTTCCAAAGTGCTGGGATTATAGGCGTGAGCCACCGTGCCCGGCCTGCAATTGGGGTTTTAATGGCAGAAACCGCAATTACTTTTGCACCACCCTAATATAAAGACACAATTATTATCCCCATTTTCCAGATAAAGAACCTTTGGCTGGGAGAGGTGTACCTGGAAGAGTCGTGTTTTGGTTTTGAACTCAGGTGTGATTGCCCCCCAGGTCAGTAGGGGGCACTATTGTGTAAGGGTGGAGAGGAGGGGCAGCGGTTAGGTGGTTCAGGGTGCACAGCTCAAAGCTGCCTGGGGCCATTCTAGGCACAGAGGCAGGGGCCAGGGCCGGCTTTAAGGCCAGCTCCTCGTGCAGTCTGAGGAGTGGATCAGAAGGGACCAGCACCTGGTGAGTGCTCTACTTGAACCATCTTGAAACTGGAACCAAGGGGACCACATTTTTGTTTTATGCTGAGTGTGTCCTGCCATGGGCTTTTCCTTTCCCTTCCCCTTCTCCTTCCCCTCCCCCTTCCCCTTCCCCTCTCCTCTTCTCTTCTCTTCCGTTTTTTGGAGACGGAGTCTTGCTCTGTCGCCCAGGCTGGAGTTCAATAGCGCAATCTCGGCTTACTGCAACCTCCGCCTCCTGGGTTCGAGTGATTCTCCTGCCTCAGCCTCCCGAGTAGCTGGGATTACAGGTGCGCACTACCACGTCCGGCTAATTTTTGTATTTCTAGTAGAGACGGGGTTTCACCACGTTGGTCAGGCTGGTCTCGAACTCCTGACCTCGTGATCCGCCCACCTCAGCCTCCCAAAGTGCTGGGATTACAGGCGTGAGCCACCGGCGCCCGGCTCTTCCGGCTCTTCTTTTCTTTTTCCTTTTCTTTCTTTCTTTTTTTTTTTTTTTTGAGACAGGGTCACACTCTGTCGCCCAGGCTGGAGCACAGTGGCGCGATCTCGGCTCACTGAAACCTCTGCCTCCCAGGTTCAAGCGATTCTCCTGCCTCAGCCTCCTGAGTATCTAGGATTACAGGCACAGGCCACCAGGCCCAGCGAATTTTTGCACCATAGAGATGGTGTTTCGTCATGTTGGCCAGGCTGGTCTCGAACTCCTGACCTCAGATGATCTGCTCGCCTTGGCCTCCCAAAGTGCTGGGATTACAGGCATGAGCCACCGCGCCCGGCCTTGCCAGGGGCTTTCTACTGCACTATAGTGTGGACTTCAGGACATTGTAGCTGTCCTGGGGGAGCCCAGGTGACAGTCTAAGGGGGTTCTAATAGAGCCCTGGGGACATGACAGCAGGATCCCAGGGGGAGAGAGGGTGTAGTCAGGGCTCATTAGAACAGAGCCCTGAGGATCTGATGCAAGTCAACCAGCTGATGCTATAAATGGGCTCCAGAGACATTGCAGGAACCCAGGGCATCTGCAAGGGTTTCCCAGGTGGCACTAAGGGACCTTGAGGCCTTTTTCTTTTTCTTTTTCTTTTTCTTTAGGGTCTCGCTCAGTCATCCAGGTTGGAGTGCTGTGATGCAATCATGGCTCACTGCAACGTTGACTGAGACCTTTTTCTTCCGTGACAGGAAGGAGGGCTATGATGGGGAATGTCTAGGCAGACCCCTGGGAGGCCTCCTGGTTAAAGCCCCAGGCCATTACAACAGCAAGGAGAGGAGATCAGAATGGGGCAAGGAAAGACACTCCAGATGACCACGGCCAGCTGAATCATGGCCTCAGAGACGTCCATGCCCTAATCCCCCAAAACCTCTGGCTGTGGCCTTATATGGGAAAAGGGACTTTGTGATGTGATTAGGTTAGGTTCAGATGGGGAGACGATCTCGGATTATCCAAGTAGCCCTAAACATAATCACAGGACTCCTTTGGAGAGGGAGGCAGGCGGGTTGGTGTCGGAGAGAGAAGACGTGAGGACCGACATATGGGTCAGAGAGGGGAGAGGATGCCGTGCTGCTGGCCTTGAAGATGGAGGACTGGGCCATGAGCCAAGGAATGCTGGTAGCTTCTAGAAGCTGGGAAAGGCAAAAACACCGATTCTTCCCTGGAGCCTCCAGAAAGAACACAAAATTGTTGGGTGCGGTGGTTCACGCCTGTAATCCCAACACTTTGGGAGGCCGAGGCGGGTGGATCACGAGGTCAGGAGTTCGAGACCAGCCTGGCCAATATGGTGAAACGCCGTCTCTACTAAAAATACAAAAATTAGCCGGGTGTGGTGGCGGGTGCCTGTAATCCCAGCTACTCAGGAGGCTGAGGCAGGAGAATCTCTTGAACCCGGGAGGCGGAGGTTGCAGTGAGCCGAGTTCGCACCAGTGCACTCCAAGCTGGGCAACAGAGCCAGACTCCATCTAAAAAAAAAAAAAAAAAGGAACACAAAACCTGTGAGTATCATAGGTGGTCCAAGGAGCTTTACGAATGTCCTGGTAATGTTACAGCAGGGCCCTGGGGGTGGGGACGTGAGAGCTAAGGCTGGGTTATAGAGGACCCCACAGTGATGGTAGTCAGACTTCCAGGAAAAGCATAGCAGGCTCCTGAGGGACACTGTAACAGGGCATTGAGGATTCTGTCAGGGTCCAAGGAACCTTAAAATGGGGCCCAGGGGCTGCTGGAATAGTGTCCTGAAGACATTACATGATCCCAAGGAAACTAGAGGGGACAGCTAAGGACAGGGCAGTTGCCTCAGGGTATTTTGGGGAAGAGCTGAGGGTGCTGTAATTAGGATTCTTAAGAAATTAAAGCAGGTGGCCAGGCGCAGTGGCTCACACCTGTAATTCCCAGCACTTTGGGAGGCCGAGTCGGGCGGATCACGAGGTCAGGAGATCGAGACCATCCTGGCTAACACGGTGAAACCCTGTCTCTACTAAAAATATAAAAATTAGCCAGGCGTGGTGGCAGGCTCACGTAGTCCCAGTTACTCGGGAGGCTGAGGCAGGAGAATGGCGTGAACCTGGGAGGCGCAGCTTGCAGTGAGCCGAGACTGCACCACTGCCCTCCAGCCTGGGCGACAGAGCAAGACTCTGTCTCAAAAAATAAAAAAAAGAAAAGAAAAGAAGAAAAGAAGAAGTTAAAGCAGGTTCTTTCTGTCTCTTAGGAGTGGACCTTGGGATGGGTGTCACTGGATCTCCCTTCTAGTAGGACACAGGGAGAATCAGGTAGGACACAGTAGGACACAGGCAGAATGAGAAAAATGAAGACATTCTGGACAAGGAGAACAGAGATTTACCTGGTTAATTTTATGTGTCAATTTGGCTGAGCCACAGTGAGTGAAGAGATATTCGGTCAACATTATTCTGGATGTCTCTATGAGGGTGTTTTAGGATGAGATTTACATATATATTTGTGAGACAGGGTCTTGCTGCTGCCCAGGCTGGAGTGCAGTGGCGCCATCACGGCTCACTGCAGCCTCCAACTCTTGGGCTCAAGGGGTCCCCCAGCTTCAGCCTCTTGAGTAGCTGGGACCACAAGTGCGCACCACCACACCCGGCTAATATTTTAATTTTTTGTAGAGATAAGCTCTCTCTGTTACTCAGGCTGGTCCTTGAACTCAAGCGATCCTCCTGCCTTGGCCTACCAAAGTGCTGGGATTACAGGCATGAGCCACTGTGCCCAGCTGAGATTTATGTTTAGATTGTTAGGCTTTGAGTAAAGGAGGTTCCCCTTCCTGAATTGAGGGAGGCTCATCCAACCACTTGAAACCCTGAATAGAAGAAAAGTCTCGGCTGGGTGCGGTGGCTCACGCCTATAATCCCAGCACTTTGGAAGGCTGAGGCGGGCAGATCACGAGGTCAAGAGATCGAGGCCATCCTGGCCAACATGGTGAAATCCCCGTCTCTACTAAAAATACAAAAATTAACCGGGTGTGGTGGCAGGTGCCTGTAATCCCAGCTACTTGGGAGGCTGAGGCAGGAGAATCGCTTGAACCCGGGAGGCGGAGGTTGCAGTGAGCCAAGATCGGGCCATTGCGCTCCAGCCTGATGGCAGAGCGAGACTGCGTCTCAAAAAAAAAAAAAAGAAGAAAAGTCTGCCCAGAGGGAGAGGGAGTCCTGCTAGGCAATTGTGTCTCCCACCTGCTGGCTCCCCCATTAGACTTTGGGGTTTCTTTCTTTCTTTCTTTCTTTTTTTTGAGATGGAGTCTTGCTCTGTCGCCCAGGCTGGAGGGCAGTGGCGGGATCTCAGCTCACTGCAAGCTCCGCCTCCCGGGTTCACGCCATTCTCTTGCCTCAGCCTCCTGAGTAACTGGGACTACAGGCGCCTGCCACCATGCCTCGCTAATTTTTTTATATTTTTAGTAGGGATGGGGTTTCACCATGACCTCGTGATCTGCCCGCCTTGGCCTCCCAAAGTGCTGGGATTACAGGCTTGAGCCACCGCGTCCAACATTTTTGAAATTTTTTTTAAAAATAGAGACAGGGTCTCCCTATGTTGGCCAGGTTGGTCTCAAACTCCTGGACTCAAGCGATCCTCCCAACTTGGCCTCCCAAAGTGCTGGGATGACAGGCATGCACCACCACACCTGGCCCCCGCATCAGACTCTGAACCAGCTGAACGTCCACTAATCCTGGAAGCCAATTCCTCAAATGAATCTCTTTCTGTGTATGCATATACACATTCTGTGGATTCTGTTTCTCTAGAGAACCTGAACTACCTGACCAGCAGTTCCACTCCCAGATGTATGCTCAATAGAGCTGAAAACAGGCCAGGCATGGGTGTCTTGCACCTGTCATCCCAGTGCTTTGGGAGGCCAAGGTGGGAGGCTGTCTTGAGCCCAGCAGTTTGAGACCAGCCTGGGAAACATAGCAAGACACTATCTCTGCAAAAATACAAAAATTAGCTGGGCCTGGTGGCAAGTGTGTGTAATTCCAGCTCCTTGAGAGGCTAAGGCAGGTGGAGTGCTTGAGCTTGGGAGGTTGAGGCTGCAGTGAGCCATGATCGCTCCACGGCATTCTAGCTTGAGTGACAGAGCCAGACCCTGTCAAAAAAAAGGAAAGGAAGGAAGGAAGGAAGGAAGGAAGGAAGGAAGGAAGGAAGGAAGGAAGGAGGCAAGGAAGGAAGGAGGCAAGGAAGGAAGGAAGGAAGGAGGCAAGGAAGGAAGGAAGGAAAGACTTCATATTATATGATTCAATTTCTTTGAAATGTGCAGAATAGGCAAATCTATCAAGACAGAAAGCAGATGAATGGTTGCCAGGGGTCTGGGAGCAGCGGCTGTTTAACGGGGACAGACCTTCTGTTTGGGGTGATAAAAAAGCTCTGGAACTCGGATAGAGGTGACAGTTGCACAGCACTGTAAATGTGTTAAATGACAGTAAGGGTAAATATTTTGAATATTTTACCACAATGAAATAAGTGTATGGGAAGCTTTGTAGCAGGAGTGTGGGCGGGGGCTGGTGCCTGGAGGGGCCTTCGAGTGAGGCAGCATTGTATGGGGACCATGTGGTCACTGAAGTCCTAGCAGAAGGATGTGGTTTTTTTTTTTTTTTGAGACGGAGTCTCGCTCTGTTGCCAGTCTGGAGTGCAGTGGTGCAATCTCGGCTCACTGCGACCTCCACCTCCCGGGTTCAAGCAATTCTCCTGTCTCAGCCTCCCGAGTAGCTGGGACCACAGGCCCACCACCACGCTCAGCTAATTTTTGTATTATTAGTAGAGACGGGGGTGTCACCATATTGGCCAGGCTGGTCTCGAACTCCTGACCTCGTGATCCGCCCGCCTTGGCCTCCCAAAGTGCTGGGATTACAGGCGTGAGTCACTGCGCCCGGCCCGCAGAAGGATATTAAAGAGCACCTGCAGGAATTTTTTAAGGGGATGCCGGGGGAAGGGCTTGAAGGAGGAACTAAGGAGGCTTCCAGAAGATTTTGATTAACAGCGAGCGCTAGGGAAGGCCACGGGGATACAGAGGGGTAGGAGGAGGATCCAGAGACCTCCAAGTTGTGGACTCCGGAGGCATCGAGTTCCTTTCCCAGTTTTGTCAAGAATTCCCTGAGCGGCAGACACCCTCAAAGTAAAAAACGGGAACCACAGAGAAGGAAAAAGAAGAACCACAAGCGTTTTGAGAAACAAACAGGCTGGGCCTAGGGCCTGGGGTGTGCCCTGCAACTGGGGGGTGGGGCTGGATGTTCTTGGAGTCAGGGAGCAGCAGCCTCCCACAGGATGTGAGAGAGGAACTGGGGTCTCCAGTCACGGGAGCCAGGAGCCGGCCAGGGCCGCAGGCAGGAAGGGAGCGAGGCTGAAGGGAACGTGAGCCGACCAGGGCCCGACTGAGGGAGGAGGGGCTGGGGGCCTGGAACCCTGGGTCTGAGGGAGGAGTGGCTGGGGGTCTCGACACTGGGTCTGAGGGAGGAGGGGTGGGGGCCTGGATTCCTGGGTCTGAGAGAGGAGGGACTGGGGGTCTGGACGCTGGGTCTGAGGGAGGAGGGAGGAGGGGCCGGGGGGGCCTGGACTCCTGGGTCCGAGGGAGGAGGGGTTGGGGGCCCGGACTCCTGGGTCCGAGGGTAGAGCGGTTGGGGGCCCGGACTCCTGGGTCCGAGGGTAGAGCGGTTGGGGGCCCGGACTCCTGGGTCCGAGGGAAGAGCGGTTGGGGGCCTGGACTCCGGGGTCTGAGGGAGGAGGGGCTGGGGCCTGAGGGGGGCGGAAGGGGCGTGGCGGAGCTCGGGGCCGGGACTCTCAGCCTATCAAGTGTCTGTAATTAATTAACCAACTGAGATCCAGTTCAGGGGTGAAAGTTCTTCAGGTACGAGGAGGGCATTGTTGTCAGTCTGGACCGAGCCCGCAGAGCCCCTCCTCGGCGTCCTGGTCCCGGCCGTGCCCGCGGTGTCCCGGGAGGAAGGGGCGGGCCGGGGGTCGGGAGGAGTCACGTGCCCCCTCCCGCCCCAGGTCGTCCTCTCAGCATGGGGGTCCCGCGGCCTCAGCCCTGGGCGCTGGGGCTCCTGCTCTTTCTCCTTCCTGGGAGCCTGGGCGCAGGTGAGGGCCGCTCCGGGCCAGGGCCCTGCTGCAGGCGGGCGGCGGGAGGCGGCCCCAGGCAGGCAGGGGCGAAGCCAGCGGGACCCGAGTTCCCCGCGAGCCCCTGGCGCTGCCTTCTCCGCTCAATTAACTTTCTCAACGTCTCCTGCTGGGCCTGAGGCTGGGAACCACCTGTCGCCTCTTGTGTCTGTTTCCCTCTCTCTCTCTGGGTCTCTGTCCCCCTCTCTTTCTGGGTCTCTTGTCTCTCTCTCTCTGGGTCTCTGTCCCCCCCCCCCCGGGTTTCTGTCCCCTCTCTCTGAATCTGTCCCCCTCCCTCCATAATAGATTCTTCTCCCTCCCTGGGTATCTGTCCCACTGCAGTCTAGTTCCCCGCCCGTGTGCTCCCTTCAGCTCTGTTTCTGTCTGCAGAAAGCCACCTCTCCCTCCTGTACCACCTTACCGCGGTGTCCTCGCCTGCCCCGGGGACTCCTGCCTTCTGGGTGTCCGGCTGGCTGGGCCCGCAGCAGTACCTGAGCTACAATAGCCTGCGGGGCGAGGCGGAGCCCTGTGGAGCTTGGGTCTGGGAAAACCAGGTGTCCTGGTATTGGGAGAAAGAGACCACAGATCTGAGGATCAAGGAGAAGCTCTTTCTGGAAGCTTTCAAAGCTTTGGGGGGAAAAGGTGAGATTCCGGTCTGGAGGGGCAAGGGGCCGGGTCCATGCTCCGGGGCCCCGCTTACCTGTGTTTGGGCGCCCCAGGTCCCTACACTCTGCAGGGCCTGCTGGGCTGTGAACTGGGCCCTGACAACACCTCGGTGCCCACCGCCAAGTTCGCCCTGAACGGCGAGGAGTTCATGAATTTCGACCTCAAGCAGGGCACCTGGGGTGGGGACTGGCCCGAGGCCCTGGCTATCAGTCAGCGGTGGCAGCAGCAGGACAAGGCGGCCAACAAGGAGCTCACCTTCCTGCTATTCTCCTGCCCGCACCGCCTGCGGGAGCACCTGGAGAGGGGCCGCGGAAACCTGGAGTGGAAGGGTGAGCCGGATCTGCAGCCGCAGGCTGTTCTGTCCTCTCTCCCGTCATGCCCACCTGCCTCAGTTCCCCTGCCAGGACCCTCCATCAGCCTCCCACTGCAGCCCACGCTCTGCCCCCCCATTCCTCAGGGGTCCTTCTACACTCAGCCCTCCCATGGCTCCCCAGCGCCCCCCAGGACAAACTCCTGGCTTCCTTCCTTGCCTTCTTTTTTTTTTTTTTTTTGTGAGACGGAGTTTCGCTCTTGTTGCCCAGGCTGGAGTGTAATGGCGCGATCTCGGCTCACCACAACCTCCGCCTCCCGGGTTCAAGTGATCTCCTGCCTCAGCCTCCCGAGTGGCTGGGATTACAGGCATGCACCACCATGCCCGGCTAATTTTGTATTTTTAGTAGAGACGGGGTTTCTTCATGTTGGTCAGGCTGGTCTCAAACCCCTGACCTCAGGTGATCCGCCCACCTCAGCCTCCCAAAGTGCTGGGATTACAGGCATGAGCTACTGCTCCTGGCTCCCCCCTTTTTTTTTTTTTTGAGACAGATTCTCGCTCTGTCACCCCAGGCTGGAATGTGGTGGCACCATCTCGGCTCACTGCAGCCTGAACCTCCCAGGCTCAAGCAGTCCTCCCACCTCAGCCAACCAAGTAGCTGGGACCACAGCCCAGCATCATCACACCTGGCTAACTTTATATTTTGTAGACACGGTGTCTCACTATGTTGCCCAGGCTGGTCTTGAACTCCTAGGCTCCAGCGATTCTCCTGCTTTGGTCTCCTGAGTAGCTGAGATTACAGGTGCATACCACCATAACTGGCTAATTTTTTTTTTTCCGCACAATCTCTGTTGCCCAGGCTAGTGTGAAGCAGGGTGATCTCAGCTCGCTGCAACCTCCGCCTCCTGGGTTTAAGGGATTCCGCTGCTTCAGCCTCATGAGTAGCTGGCACTATAGGCACATCCACCATGTCTGGCTAATTTTTATACTTTTAGTAGAGATGGGGTTTCGTCATGGTAGCTAGGCTGGTCTCAAACTCTTGACCTCAAGTGATCCACCCACCTCCGCCTCCCAAAGTGCTGGGATTACAGGAGTGAGCTACCGCGTCTGGCCATACCTGGCTAATTTTTAAAATTTGTTGTAGAGGTGGCATCTCACTATGCTGCCCAGGCCAGACTCAAACTCCTGGCCTCAAGTGATTCTCTCACTTTGGCCTCCCAGGGTGCTGGGATGACAGGTGTGAGCCACTGTGCTTGGCCTTCCTTGCCTTAATGTCCTCATCAGACCCACGCAGCAGCACTTGTCTCTACGCAGCCATCAGAGTCTACGCTCCAGCCACCCAACATAAGCAATCTCCTCCCTCTGGGCATTTGCTCATCCAGTTTCCCCTGGCACCTCTCTGTTCCACCCTTCCCCCTCTCTGCATATACTCCAGCCCTCCTTATTCTTCAAGGTCAGGGCTGGATATCACTTCCTCTGAGAAGCCTTTCCTCAGCTCTGTAGGGCAGAGTTCACTGTTTCCTCCCCGGAGGCCCCCAGATCCCCACTCATTCAACTGTTGGCCAAGAGCATTTGCACTGCCAGGCGCTGCTCTGGGCCTTGAGCAAAGAGGGAAGTGACACACATTCACCCTCTGTGGCTCCCAGGCTGCTGGACAAAGATAGATACCAGCTGGGGATGTGCACAGATATTCATTCCAAGTGCCACAAAGGAGAAGTTGAGACTCAACCAGGTAGTTTTTCTTTAATTGTCTTCTTTCTTTCCTAAGTAGGGAAAATTTCTTTCTTTTTTTGAGACAGAGTTTCGCTCTTGTCGCCCAGGCTGGAGTGCAATGGCGCGATCTCGGCTCACTGCAACCTCCGCCTCCCAGGTTCAAGTGATTCTCCTGCCTCAGCCTCCCGAGTAGCTGGGACTACAGGCGTGCACCACCACGCCTGGCTAATTTTTGTTTGTTTTTTTTTTTTTAGTAAAGACAGGGTTTTACCATGTTGGCCGGGATGGTCTCGATCTTTTGACCTCGTGATCTGCCTGCCTCGGCCTCCCAAAGTGCTGGAATTACAGACGTGAGCCACTGCTCCTGGCCTTTGTTGTTGTTGTTGTTGTTTTTGAGACAGACTCTTGCACTGTCGCCCAGACTGCAGTACTGTGGCGCAATCTTGGCTCACTGCAACCTCCGCCTCCCAGGTTCAAGCAATTCTCCTACCTCAGCCTCCCGAGTAGCTGGGATTACAGGCACACACCACCATGCCTGGCTAATTTTTGTATTTTTAGTAGAGACGGGGGCTTCACCATGCTGGCCAGGCTGGTCTCGAACTCCTGATCTCGTGATCTGCCTACCTTGGCCTCCCAAAGTGCTGGGATTACAGGCATGAGCCACCACTCCTGGCTTAAGGAGGGAAAGTTTCAAACCACACTTAAGTAGAAACAATAGTATAAAACGGACCAGACACGGTGGCTCACGCCTATAATCCCAGAACTTTGGGAGGCCGAGGCAGGTGGATTGCTTGATCCCAGGAGTTCAAGACCAGCCTGGGCAACATAGTAAGACCGCATCTCTACTAAAAACTCAAAAAATTAGCCTGGCATGGTGGTATGTGCCTCTAGTCCCAGCCACTGGGGAGGCTATGGCAGGAGGATCGCTTGAGCTCAGGAGTTTGAGGCTGTAGTGAACTGATTGCAACTCTGCACTCCAGCCCAGATGACAGAGCCAGACCCTGTCTCAAAAAGAAAAAAAATATGGTGGCCAGGTGCAGTGGCTCACGCCTGTAATTCCAACACTTTGGGAGGCCGAGGTGGGCAGATCACTTAAGGTCAGGAGTTTGAGATAAGCCTGGCCAACAGAGTGAAACCCCATCTCTACTAAACATACAAAAATTAGCCGGGTGCGGTGGTGGGTGCTTGTAATTCCAGCTATTCGGGAGGCTGAGGCAGGAGAATCACTTGATCCCGGGAAGCAGAGGTTGCAGTGAGCCGAGATCAAGCCACTGCACTCCAGCCTGGGCAACAAAGCAAGACTCTGTCTCAAAGAAAGAAGGAAAGAAAGAGAGAGGAGAGGGAGAGAGAAAGAGGAAGGAAAGGAAGGAAGGAAGGAAGGAAGCGAGCATCCCATCACTGAGACTTAATAATTATCAACCCATGGTTTTTTGAATTTCACGCACATCCTCACTCACTTCCCCACCCCACTTCACATCAAGCTTTGGTAAATCTCAGACATCACAGTGTTTTTTTCTTTGTTTGTTTGTATTTTGAGATGGAGTCTCACTCTGTCATGCGGGAGTGTAGTGGCTCAGTCTCGGCTCACTGCAAGCTTCGCCTCCCAGGTTCAAACAATTCTCCTGCCTCAGCCTCCTGAGTAGCTGGGATTACAGGTGCCCGCCACCTCGCCCAGCCAATTTTTGTATTTTTAGTAGAGATGAGGTTTCACCATATTGGCCAGGCTGGTCTTGAACTCCTGACCTCGTGATCCACCCACCTTGGCCTCCCAAAGTGCTGGGATTACAGGCATAAGCCACCGCGCCTGGCCAATTTTTGTATTTTTAGTAGAGACGGGATTTCACTATGTTGGCCAGGCTGGTCTCGAACCCTCCACCTCAAGTGATCTGCCCTCCTCAGCCTCCCAAAGTGCGGGAGTCACCGTGCCCAGCCAGACTGTTTTGTTGATAAGTCCTTTAGTATGTAACTCTACTAGGTAAGGGCATTTAAAAAAAATTAATACCAAAACCATCATCACACCTACAACCAATTAACTCTTTAATGGCATCAGATGTCCAGTTTTTGTTCCCATATTCCTGACTGTAAATGTTTTTTAAAGTTTGAATCAGCATCCAGCAAGGTCCACACATTTTGTTGTCTTTTCAGTGTCTTTTTCTGATTGTTGAATTTTTCTTTCTTTCTTTTTTTTTTTTTTTTTCCTTTTTGAGACAGGGTCTTGCTCTGTCACCAGACTGGAGTCCAGTGGTGCAATCATAGCTCACTGCAGTCTGAACTTCCTGGGCTCAAGTAATTCTCCCACTTCAGCCTCCCCAGTAGGTAGGACCACAGGTGCACGCCATCAGGCCTAGCTATTTTTGTTTGTTTGTTTTTTGAGACAAAGTCTTACTCTGTCGCCCAGACTGGAGTGCAGAGGCACGAACTCGGCTCACTGCAACTTCTGCCTCCCGGGTTCAAGCAATTCTCCTGCCTCAGCGTCCCAAGTAGCTGGGATTACAGGCGCAAGCCACCACGCCCTGCTAATTTTTTGTATCTTTAGTAGAGACAGAGTTTCACCATGTTGGCCAGGCTGGTTTCGAACTCCCGACCCCAGGTGATCCACCCACCTCGGCCTCCCAAAGTGCTGGGATTACAGGCGTGAGCCACCGCGCTCGGCCGTATTTTTGTTTTTTTCTTTTTTTTGGAGACGGAGTCTCGCTCTGTCACCCAGGCTGGGGTGCAGTGGCGCGATCTCAGCTCATTGCAACCTCCACCTCCCAAGTTGCACCAATTCTCCTGCCTCAGCCTCCCGAGTGGCTGGGACTACAGGCGCCCACCACCACGCCCGGCTAATTTTTTGTATTTTTAGTAGAGACAGAGTTTCACTGTGTTAGGCAGGATGGTCTCGATCTCCTGACCTCCTGATCCGCCTGCCTCAGCCTCCCAAAGTACTGGGATTACAGGCTTGAGCCACCGCGCCCGGCCGGATTCCAATTTTTTACCAGATAGGTGTTTTGCAAATATTTCTTCCACTCTCTAGGTTGTCTTTTCATTGTTTTAACTGTGCCTTTCACAAAGCAAAAGTTTTTAACTTTGATGAAATCCAGTTTATTCTTTTTTTTTTTTCTATCGTGGATTATGCTTTTGGTGTTTAATCTCAGAAGTAATCACCAAACCCAAAGTCAGCTAGATCTTCTCCTGTGTATTTTAAGAGTTTTAAAGTTTTGCATTTTACAGTTAGGTCTGTGATTCATTTTCAGGTAATTTGAGTTACTTGTGATCTTGAGTGTCTTTTGATTTACAGGTTTCCCATTTTCTTTTTGTTTTTTTTCCCCCTGTAATTGTGGTTTGAAGAAAGTCAGTTTATGTCCTATTGAGTTTCTCCTAGACTGGATTTTGCCCTTTGCATCCTGTGATGTTGCTGGAAATAGTCCTCCTTCTCTTCTTTAAAGGAGCAGCTCCATCTAGAAGCTTGGTCAGATTCTGGTTCAATTTTTATGGCAAGAAAACTTTCTGGGTAGTTGGTGCGTATGTCTGTGTGCATAGGCTGCAAACATCTGCTTGCTTCTGTGCTGTTCTGTGGACCACTGGATTCGGGTGTTGTTATGAAGTTCTTTGTCAGGTTTTCTCCTGATGGTTTTAGCGGATAGCAATGGCCATTGCCTTAATCTTTTTTTTTTTTTTTTTTTTTTGAGATGGAGTCTTGCTCTGTCGCCCAGGCTGGAGTGCAGTGTTGCGATCTTGGCTCACTGCAACCTCCGCCTCCCAGGTTCAAGCGATTCTGCTGCCTCAGCCTCCTGAGTAGCTGGGATTACAGGTGCGTGCCACCATGCCTGGCTAATTTTTGTATTTTTTTTGGAGAGATGGGGTTTCACTATGTTGGGCAGGCTGGTCTTGAACTCCTGACCTTGTGATCCACTTGCCTCGGCCTCCCAAAGTGCTGGGATTACAGGCGTGAGCCACCGCGCCCGGGCTTTTTTTTTTTTTTTTTTGAGAGGGCGTCTCCCTCTGTCACCAGGCTGGAGTGCAGTAGCACGATCTCGGCTCACTGCAACCTCCACCTCCCAGGTTCAAGTGATCCTCCTGCCTCAGCCTCCTTAGTAGCTGGAATTACAGGCACACACCACCACACCCAGCTAATTTTTGTATTTTTAGTACAGACAGGGTTTCACCATGTTGGCCAGGATGGATTTTTTTTTTTTTTTTGAGATGGAGTTTCACTCTTATTGCGCAGGCTGGAGTACAATGGCATGATCTCAGCTCACTGCAACCTCCGCCTCCTGGATTCAAGTGATCCTCCTGCCTCAGCCTCCAGGGTAGCTGGGACTACAGGCATGCGCTGCCATGCCTAGCTAATTTTTATATGTTTAGTAGAGATGGAGTTTCACCATGTTGGCGAAGCTGGTCTTGAACTCCTGACATCAGGTGATCTGCCTGCCTCAGCCTCCCAAAGTGCTGGGGTTACAGACGTGAGCCACCATGCCTGACCTGGTTTGGTATTTTGTTAAACAGAACCAAAGGCCAGACAGATTTTCTGTGCTTGGATTTAGTCTATATTGGAAGTACCTTGAGGCTGAAGGCACGTGGCTGTGAGCACGACACAGGAAGATACAGATTTGCTGAAAAGAATAGTGAACATAAAGCAGAAGCCAGAACTGCTGATGGCCGTCAGCCCGGTCCCTCCATTCCACCTGACGGTGCAGCAAATTCTGCCGACTTGCCAGAGAGGCAGCTCCAGGAGGGAGAAGCTGCTGTGCTTTCCTGAAGCAGCAAATGTGTTTTCTGCTGAGCAACCAAAACCAAGATCCCAGCCAAGACCCACGATTGCCCAGATCCACCCTCCCTGAAAGGAACTTGGGCAGTAATGCCCAGTCCTAGGCAGTTGCTGAAATCTTTGCCTTTTATTTTCTTTTTTGAGCTGGGATCTTGCTCTGTCGCCCAGACTGGAGTGGAGTGCAGTGGCACAGTCATAGCGCCATGTAGCCTTGGACTCCCAAGCTCAAGAGATCCTCCCGCCTCAGCCTTACAAGTAGCTGGGACTATAGGTACACGTCACCATGCCTGGCTAACATTTTCTATTTTTTGTAGAGATGGGGTATTTGTTGCCAAGGCTGGTCTAGAAGTCCTGGGCTTGGCCGGGCACAGTGACTCACGCCTGTAATCCCAGCACTTTGGGAGGCTGAGGCAGGCGGATCACGAGGTCAGGAGTTCAAGACCAGCCTGGCCAATATGGTGAAACCCTGTTTCTACTAAAAATAGAAAAATTAGCTGGGCGTGGTGGTGTGCGCCTGTAATCCCAGCTACTCTGGAGGCTGAGGCAGGAGAATCGCTTGACCCCAGGAGGCGGAGGTTGCAGTGACCCAAGATTGTGCCACTGTACTCCAGCCTGGGCGACAGAGACTCCGTCTCAAAAAAAAAAAAAAAAAAAGGAAAAGAAAGCCTGGGCGTAAGGATCCTTCTGCCTTGACCTCCCAAGTGCTGGAATTGCAGGCATGAGCCATTGCACCCGGCTTTTTTTTTTTTTTTTCTTTGAGACAGGCACTTGCACTGTTGCCTAGACTGGAGTGCAGTAGCGGGATTAGAGTTCACTGCAGCCTCAACCTCCCAAGCTCAAGCGATCCTCCCACCTTACCCTTCCTGAATGGATGGGGCCACAGGTGTGTACCATCACACGTAGTTAATTTTTAAACTTTTTCAGAGACGGGGTTTCTCCATGTTGCCCAGGCTGGTCTTGAACTCCCGGCTTCCAGTGATCCTCCTGCCTCAGCTTCCCAAAGTGCTGGGATTACAGGCATGAACCACTGCACCCAACCTTTTTTCATTCCCTTAACGAAACCTTTGGATGAACAAAAATTCTTAATTTCAGTGAAGTTCAGTTTATCGACTTCAATTTATACATTTTATAAAGTTTATGAATTTTTTTTTTTTTTTTTAGACGGAGTCTTGCTCTGTCGCCCAGGCTGGAGTGCAGTGGCTATACCCAGGTGTGATCATAACTCACTCCAGCCTCAAACTCCTGGGCTCAAGGATTCCTCCTGCCTCAGTCTCCAGAGTAGGTGGGACCACAGGCACATCCACCACACTGGCTAATTTTTTTTATTTGTAGTGGAGACTACGTCTTACTGTTTGCCCAGGCTGGTCTCCAACTCCTGGGTTCAAGTGATCCACCTCATTCTCCCAAAGCGCTGGGATTGTAGGAGTGAGCCACTGCACCCAGCCTGTCTGCTAATATTATGTTTAAGAGTTCTGAATCTTTTTTTAAATTTTTTAAAATTTTTAATTTTTTATTTTTTTTGAGACAGTCTTGCTCTGTCGCCCAGGCTGGAGTGCAATGGTGCAATCTTGGCTCAATGCAACCTCCGCCTTCTGGGTTCAAGCGATTCTCCTGCCTTAGCCTCCTGAGTAGCTGGGATTACAGGTACACGCCACCATGCCTGGCTAATTTTTTTGTATTTTTAGTAGAGATGGGATTTCACCATGTTGGTCAGGCTGGTCTCGACCTCCTGACCTCGTGATCCTCCTGCCTCCACCCCCCAAAGCGCCAGGATTCTAGGTGTGAGCCACCACACCTGTCCTGAATCTATATTTATGAGAGACATTGGCCTTAAGCTCTCTTTTTTTTTTTTTTTTTTTTTTTTTGAGATGGAGTCTCGCTCTGTCACCCAGGCTGGAGTGCAGTGGCGCAATCTCGGCTCACTGCAAGCTCCGCCTCCCGGGTTCACGCCATTCTCCTGCCTCAGCCTCCCAAGTGGCTGGGACTACAGGCGCCGGCCACCACGCCCGGCTAATTTTTTGTATTTTTAGTAGAGATGGGGTTTCACCGTGTTAGCCGGGATAGTCTCAATCTCCTGACCTCGTGATCCGCCTGCCTCGGCCTCCCAAAGTGCTGGGATTACAGGCGTGAGCCACCGCGCCTGGCCAAGTTCTCTTTCTTATAATGTGCTTTGTTGTCAAGATGATGCTGACCTCATAAAATATGCTGGGAGAGTGTTTCCTCTGTTTTATGGCCTGAAGAGTTAGTGTAGGAATAGAATCATTTCTACATTGGAAGAATTCACTAATTGATGTCTTCTGGACCTGGAATTTTAGTTTTTGGAAAGTTTTAAACTATGGATTAAAAATTTTAAATAGGCCGGGTGTGGTGCATCATGCCTGTAATCCCAGCACTTTGGGAGGCTGAGGCAGGTAGATCACAATGTCAGGAATTTGAGACCAGCCTGGCCAATATGGTGAAACACCGTCTCTACTAAAAATAAAAAAATTACCCGGCATGGTGGTGCATGCACCTGTAGTCCCAGCCACTCGGGAGGCTGTGGAAGAAGAAACTCTTGAACCCAGGAAGTGGGGGTTGCAGTGAGTCGAGATCGTGCCACTGCACTCCAGCCTGGGTGACAGAGCGAGACTCTTATCTCAAAAACAAAAGGCTAGGCGTGGTGGCTCACACCTGTAATCCCAACACTTTGGGAGGCCCAGGCGGATGGATCATGAGGTCAGGAGATTGAGACCATCCTGGCTAAGACGGTGAAACCCCGTCTCTACTAAAAATACAAAAAATTAGCCAAGTGTGGTGGTGGGCACCTATAGTCCCAGCTACTCAGGAGGCTGAGGCAGGAGAATGGCGTGAACCCAGGAGGCGGAGCTTGCAGTGAGCCGAGATCGCGCCACTGCACTCCAGCCTGGGAGACAGAGCAAGATTCCATCTCAAAAAAAAAAAAAAAATTTAAATAGTTATAGGACTACAGACGTTTTAAATTTCCTCTTGTGTCAGTTTAGAAGGTTGTATTTATCAGGAATGTGTTCAGTTCATCTAAATTTTCAAATGTGTTGCTGTGGAATTTTTCATAATTATCCTCTATCTTTTTTTTTTTTTCTTTTTTTCTGAGACGGGGTCTCACTCTGTCGCCCAGGCTGGAGTGCAGTGGCACGATCCTGGCTCACTGCAACATCTGCCTCCCAGGTTCAAGCAATTCTCCTGCCTCAGCCTCCTGAGTAGCTGGGACTACAGGTGCCCGGCTAATTTTTGTATTTTTAGTAGAGATGGGGTTTCACCATGTTGGCCAGTGTGGTCTCGAACTCCTGACCTCAGGTGATCCACCCACTTTGGCCTCCCAAAGTGTTGCGATTACAGGCGTGAGCCAACATGCCCAGCCCAAGGAGGTGACATCTTGAGGGGACACCTTCGGGGTGGACAGGTTGAGTCTCTGTCACCTAGGAAGTGCCTCCCCTTTTACCACTGTATTATCTGCGGTTAGCACAGTGCAAACATGGAGGCCTCTTTCTGTCCCTATCCAGCCCTGGCTCTGGGAGTGGTGGGCTCGCGACTTAGGCCTGTCTGCCTGATTTCCTGCAGAGCCCCCCTCCATGCGCCTGAAGGCCCGACCCAGCAGCCCTGGCTTTTCCGTGCTTACCTGCAGCGCCTTCTCCTTCTACCCTCCGGAGCTGCAACTTCGGTTCCTGCGGAATGGGCTGGCCGCTGGCACCGGCCAGGGTGACTTCGGCCCCAACAGTGACGGATCCTTCCACGCCTCGTCGTCACTAACAGTCAAAAGTGGCGATGAGCACCACTACTGCTGCATTGTGCAGCACGCGGGGCTGGCGCAGCCCCTCAGGGTGGAGCTGGGTGAGGTCCCGCCAGGTGGTGATGCTCCTGGTTTCCCGTTGCCTTGTCTCACTGCTGCGCCGGTCCTTCCTGAGTCTGACCTTCCTCCCCACTGCTGCCACCTCCTTGAATCTGACTGCCTTGAACCTCACGCCTGTCAGTGCCCCCAAAACCTGATGGCTTGTCCTTCCCAAGGCCAACTGCCTTCCGTCTCCTGCTGCTTCTGGCCTCACTGAGTCTGAAGAGCTGTTAACTACCATGGCCAGTCCTCCCTGAGTCTGACCATCTTCCATCCTGCTGCTGCTGCTGCTGCTGCTGCGGGTCTTCCTGGAATCTGACCATTCGTTGTCTGCTATGCCCGTCCTCACCAAGACTGACTGCCTGCTGCTTTGCTACTGCCCGGGCCCATGAGACTGACTTCCCACTGCTCTGCCTGCCTCTCCCCACTGCACTGGCACAGCCCCGCCTTGCCGCTGCTGATCCATTGCCGGTGTGACCGCGGCCGCTCGTGCTGTAGCTGGTTCTTACGTCCAACCTGGGGGCAGTCTGCCCAGATCGCCTGCCTGGCCTCGCCTCTGCCCATCAGACACTTGGTGCTGGAATCTCCGAGGCTGGGAGGGACTGGGAGCGCCCCAGTTCTGTGTCCTGACTGGGTGGGGTGGAGGGGCTGCTCCACATCTCACAGCGTTCTCTGGCTGCAGAATCTCCAGCCAAGTCCTCCGTGCTCGTGGTGGGAATCGTCATCGGTGTCTTGCTACTCACGGCAGCGGCTGTAGGAGGAGCTCTGTTGTGGAGAAGGATGAGGAGTGGGCTGCCAGGTGGGGGGCAGCGGGAGGAAGAGCCTCTGAGAGAGGGACAGAGACCCCAAGAGAGGGGCACACAGACCTGGGAGGACAGAGACCCAGAGAGGGGGGACAGAGATCAGAGAGAGGTGGAGACAGAAACCCAGAGATGGGAGAACAGAGGTGCAGAGAGAGGGGGACGGAGACAGAGACCCAGAGACGGGGGAACAGAGACCCAGAGGGGACAGAGAGAGGTGCGGACAGAGGGAGGGGGAGACAGACCCAGAGGAGGGAGGCAAAGATGTAGAAAGAGGGGGGACGGAAAATTGGGAGAAGGGGAGACAAAGGCCCAGAAGGAAGGGGATAGAGACTGAGGAAGAGTGTGTGAGACACACACACAAATGGGGGACGCCAGTCAGACCCAGAGCGCCTCAGAGATTCTGATGACCTCTCCCTCTCTCTCTCTCCTCAGCCCCTTGGATCTCCCTTCGTGGAGACGACACCGGGGTCCTCCTGCCCACCCCAGGGGAGGCCCAGGATGCTGATTTGAAGGATGTAAATGTGATTCCAGCCACCGCCTGACCATCCGCCATTCCGACTGCTAAAAGCGAATGTAGTCAGGCCCCTTTCATGCTGTGAGACCTCCTGGAACACTGGCATCTCTGAGCCTCCAGAAGGGGTTCTGGGCCTAGTTGTCCTCCCTCTGGAGCCCCGTCCTGTGGTCTGCCTCAGTTTCCCCTCCTAATACATATGGCTGTTTTCCACCTCGATAATATAACACGAGTTTGGGCCCGAATCAGTGTGTTCTCATCATTTTTCAGGCAGGGGAGGTAAGGGAATAAGTCGGGGGACTGAATGGCGGCTGGGCCTCGGATCTCTCCTACAGGTAACATGCTGCCACAGGGGAACCTGCCAGTTTTATACATCAGGTCATGTATTTTCTTTTTCTTTTTCTTTTTTCTTTTTTTTTAGACGGAGTCTTGCTCTGTTGCTCAGTCCGGAGTCCTGTGGCGCGATCTCGGCTCACTGTAAGCTCCGCCTCCCTGGGTTCACGCCATTCTCCTGCCTCAGGCTCCCGAGTAGCTGGGACTACAGGCGCCTGCCACCATGCCTGGCTAATTTTTTGTATTTTTAGTACAGACGGGGTTTCACCATGTTAGCCAGGATGGTCTCGATCTCCTGACCTCATGATCCACCCGCCTCTGCCTCCCAAAGGGGTGGGATTACAAGTGTGAGCCACCGCGCCCGGCCTAAGGTCACTTTTTTTTTTTTTTTTTAAGACAGAGTTTTGCTCTTGTTGCTCAGACTGGAGTACAATTGCGTGATCTCAGCTCACTGCAACCTCCGCCTCCCAGGTTCAAGCAATTCTCCTGCCTCCCAAGTAGCTGGGATTACAGGCATGCACCACCACACCCGGCTAATTTTTTGTATTTAGTAGAGACGGGGTTTCACCATGTTGGTCAGGCTGGTCTGGAACTCCTGACCTCAGGTGATCCACCTGCCTCAGCTTCCCAAAGTTCTGGGATTACAGGCATTGAGCTACTGTGCTCAACCTGAGGTCATGTATTTTTAATTCATAACTTTTACAAATATTTACTGGATGACTGCCATGCCAGGCATTTTGAGGAATTCTTGGCTACTGTCTGACCACCTGAATCCTTGGAGCCGAAGAGGAGCGAGGAGCAGTGTTCACTCTTGGAGGAAATGGGATATTTCCTCCGGCCCCTTGATTCTGCTCTCCCTTTTCTTTTCTTTTCTTTTCTTTCTTTTTTTTTTTGAGACGGAGTTTCGCTCTTGTTGCCCAGGCTGGAATGCAATGGTGCGATCTCGGCTCACCACAACCTCCGCCTCCCAGGTTCAAGCAATTCTCCTGCCTCAGCCTCCCAAAGTAGCTGGGATTAAAGACATGCGCCACCACACCCGGCTAATTTTGTATGTTTAGTAGAGATGGGGTTTCTCCGTGTTGATCAGGCTGGTCTCGAACTCCCGACCTCAGGCGATCCGCCCGCCTCGGCCTCCCAAAGTTCTGGGATTACAGGCGTGAGCCACCGCGCCCGGCCTTTTTTCTTTTCTTTCGTTCTTTTTGTTTATTTTTGTTTTGTTTTGTTTTGTTTGGTATAGAAGTGTTGGAACGTACACCTCTTTCTTAAACCATCCTGACAAAGGGAAAGGGAAAAATACATTTCCCGTGAGGCGTTGTGACTAGAACAGCTGGAGGTGGACGGCAGAGTGCCGCGACGACTGCCAGGAGTTGTAGTTCTCCCCGGCCGCGTCACTGCGGTGTCGCCCACCCTTCTTCCCCGGGCAGGCCGCGGTTTCCTTTGTGGACGTGGCGAGGAGTGCCCGCGGCACCCCGTGCACTCATTGGCCCCGCCCCGTGAGACGCTCGTGCGAGCTCATTGGGCGGGGGGCGGGGCTCTGCGCTGCCAGAGGCGGGGCCTGACTGGAGAGCGGCCGAATTGGGCACATTTGCGGGAACGCAGAGCGGAGCGTGGAGAGCGGAGCGAAGCTGGATAACAGGGTAAAGGGAGTGGGTGGGGGGCCTCTGTCCAGGGAGGGCGGCTCGGGTCGAGGACCAGGGTCCGGACTGGGAGCAATGACGGGGAGCCTGCCTGACCTCTCGCTGGCCACAACTATGCCCTGCACCTTGCGTGGGATGTGCGCCACGTCTGTCTCTGTAATTCCCCCTGGCAGGTCTGGGACCCCCCTGAGACTCCGTCAGAAGATTCGGTCCTCCCCATAGGTGGCTTTACCTCTAAGCATCCCGCCCTCTTTTCCCCCATCGCCCGCCCTTTTTGAGCCCGAAAGCTTGCAGCCAACTTCCAACTCCCTGTCCTGTCCTAGGTAACCCCTCCACCCCGCCATTCTCCTATCCCGTGTCTGTCCCCATCCCTGTGACCCCTGACCCCTGGCCTTTGCCACTCCCCAGGGACCGATGATGTGGCGACCATCAGTTCTGCTGCTTCTGTTGCTACTGAGGCACGGGGCCCAGGGGAAGCCATCCCCAGACGCAGGCCCTCATGGCCAGGGGAGGGTGCACCAGGCGGCCCCCCTGAGCGACGCTCCCCATGATGACGCCCACGGGAACTTCCAGTACGACCATGAGGCTTTCCTGGGACGGGAAGTGGCCAAGGAATTCGACCAACTCACCCCAGAGGAAAGCCAGGCCCGTCTGGGGTAAGAGAGACATTCGGTTGGGGCGTGTCCAGAGGTGGGGCTTAGGAGAGAGACGCGGGGGTATCGACAGGGGTCAGAGAAATGGCGTGGACTGAACTTCATTTCTTTGTGAGAAATGAAATTCTACCTTCTATCCTTGGGAAAAAGAAATTAAGTTAAAATTGAGGCCTAAAGAGGACCTTTGAGACCGGGCGTGGTGGCTCATGCCTGTAATCCCAGCACTTTGGGAGGCCAAGGCAGGCCGATCACTTGAGGTCAGGAGTTCGAGAACAGCCTGGCCAACATGGTGAAATCCCGTCTCTACTAAAAATACAAAATTAGGCAGGCGTGGTGGTGGGCACCTGTAATCCCAGCTACTCGGGAGGCTGAGGCAGGAGAATCGCTTGAACCTGGGAGGTGGAGGTTGCAGTGAGCCAAAATTGCACCACTGCCCTCCAGTCAGGGCGACAAAGTGAGACTCCGTCTAAAAAACAACAACAACAATAAAAAAGAGGACCTTTGAGGGCAGCAAAATCTGGGTTAGATTCTGCCCCCTAAGCGCTCCTTATTCTTTTGTCCCAGACATCTCCCCTCCCCAAGCCTCAGTTTCCTGCTCTGTAAATGGCAGGGACTGGTGTGGAAAATGAGGTTTGGCCTTTAAGGAGCCCGGCCAGTGCAGGAGAGTGGCAGAGCCCTGAGTTTCAGGGTGAGCTGGGTGGAATGGAGCCCTGTCCACCCTCTCCGTCCAGGCCTGAGCGCAGGGGGGCGCGATGGGAGCAGCCGCCTTCTTCTGTGCATCCTCCTGACACTGATTGAGCCTGCAAAGGTTTATCGAGCACCTGCTATGTGCCAGGCACTGCTCTAGGTGCTGAAGTCACAACAGCTAACACATCTGTCCTCCTGAAGTTTACACTGTGGTGAGGGAAACAGCAAGAAGTCAATAAGTAGAAAGTGGATCAAATAGAGATAAATGCATCCAAGAAAGATAAAGCAAGAGAGTCAGAAAGTGTGGAGGGGAGAGGTTGTTGGTGGGGGGGAGTTGCAATTTTTATTTATTTATTTATTTATTTATTTACTTATTGAGATGGAGTCTCGCTCTGTCACCCAGGCTGGAGTGCAGTGGTGCGATCTCGGCTCACTGCAACCTCCACCTCCTGGGCTCAAGCAATTGTCCTGTCTCAGCCTCCCAAGTAGCTGGGATTACAGGCGCTAGCCACCACGCCCAGCTAATTTTGTATTTTTATTTTTTATTTTTATTTTTGTTGTTGTTGTTTTTGAGATGGAGTCTCGCTCTGTCACCCAGGCTGGAGTGCAGTGACGTGATCTCGGCTCAGTGGAACCTCCGCCTCCCGGGTTCAACCAGTTGTTCTGCCTCGTACTCCCTAGTAGCTAGAGTCCTAGCTACAAGTGAACGCTACAAGTCCTAGCTACAAGTGAACGCCTCCACATCCAGCAAAGTTTTTTTTCTTTCCTTTTTTTTTTTTGGAGACAGAGTGAGACTCTGTCTCCCGGGCTAGAGTGCAGTGGCGTGATCTCAGCTCATGCAACCTCTGCCTCCCAGGTTCAAGCAATTCTCCTGCCTCAGCCTTCCGAGTAGCTGGGACTATGGGTGCACGCCCACACGCCCAGCTAATTTTTTTTTTTTTTTTTGTATTTTAGTAGAGATGGGGTTTCACTGTGTTGCCCAGGCTGGTCTCGAGCTCCTGAGCTCAGGCAATCCGCCCGCCTTGGCCTCCCAAAGTGCTGGAATTAATGCGTGAGCCACAGCACCCAGCCCAGGCCCAGGTAATTTTTCTTTTTTTTCTTTTTTTTTTTTTTTTGAGACGGAGTTTTGCTCTTGTTGCCCAGGCTGGAGTGCAGTGGCGCAATCTCGGCTCACCACAACCTCCGCCTCCTGGGTTCAAGTGATTCTCCTGCCTCAGCCTTCCGAGTAGCTGGGATTACAGGCATGCACCACCATGCCCGGCTAATTTTGTATTTTTAGTAGAGATGGGGTTTCTCCATGTTGGTCAGGCTGGTATCGACCTCCTGACCTCAGGTGATCTGCCCACCTCGGCCTCCCGAAGTGCTGGGATTATAGGCATGAGCCACCGCACCCGGCTGGAGCTGCAATTTTAAACAGGGAACTTGGACAAGGCCTCCATGAGAAGGTGGTATGTGGTATTTGAGCCATGTGGGTATCGGAGTGAATAGCATTCCAGGCAGACAGAACAGTTAAGTGCAAAGGCCCTGAGGCAGGAGTGGGCTTGGAGTGTCAGAGCAACAGTTCTGAGGCCCGTGTGGCTGGAACTCAGTGAGAAAGGGGAGAGAGTGGGAGGTGAGGGCAGAGAAGGAGCAAAGGGGTTCAGCATGGTGGTTCATGTGTGTGATCCCAGCACTTTGGGAGGCCAAGGCTGGGGGATCACTTGAGCCCAGGAGTTCAAGACCAGCCTGGGCAACATAGTGATACCCCGCCTCTACAAAACAAATACAAAAATTAGCCCAGCATGGTGGCGTGCTCCTGTAGTCCCAGATACTAGGGAGGCTGAGGAGGGAGGATCACTTGGGCCTGGGAGGTCAAGGCTGCAGTGAGCCAAAATCATGCCGCTGCACTCCAGCCTAAGCAACAGAGCAAGACTTTGTCTCAAAAAGAGAGAGGGCCAGGTGCAGTGGCTCACGCCTGCAATCCCAGCACTTTGGGAGTCCAAAGCGGGCGGATTGCCTGAGACCATGCAAAGGGGGTCAGATCATGCAATGCAAAGCCTTTTAGGCCACGATGAAGATTTAGGCTTTTCTCCAATTGAGAGTAGAACTGAGGGAGGGCATGAGCTGACTTAGGTTTTGAGAGAATCCTGCTGGCTGCGAGGTGGGGAACAGACTGTAGGGAGCAAGAAGCAGGGAGCCCAGTGAGGAAGCGACTGCGATAGTCCAGGTGGAAGACAAGACAAGATGGTGGTCAGATCAGGGTGGAGACAGTGGCAGTGGTCCCCAGGACTGCTGGCTGGGAGATTGTGCTTGGATGGGCATGCATGAAGGAGAAATGGAGGAAGAAGGGCAGTGACAGGTTAGCACATTTAGCTTAGCACTAATGGCAATGCCAGGCATTGTCCTAAGTGCTTTATTATTGTTATTATTATTATTATTTTGAGACGCAGTCTCGCTCTGTCTCCCAGTCTGGAGTGCAGTGGCGTGATCTCGGCTCACTGCAAGCTCCACCTCCCGGGTTCATGCCATTCTCCTGCCTCAGCCTCCCGAGTAGCTGGGACTACAGGCGCCCACCACCACGCCCAGCTAATTTTTTTGTATTTTTAGTAGAGACGGGGTTTCGCCGTGTTAGCCAGGATGGTCTAGATCTGCTGACCTCGTGATCCACCCACCTCGGCCTCCCAAAGCACTGGGATTACAGGCGTGAGCCATGGCGCCTGGCCTTTTTTTTTTTTTTTTTTTTTTTGAGACAGAGTCTCACTCTGTCATCCAGGCTGGAGTGCAACGGCGCGATCTCGGCTCACTGCAAGCTGCGCCTCCCAGGTTCACGCCATTCTCCTGCCTCAGCCTCCCGAGTAGCTGGGACTACAGGCACCTGCCACCACGCCCGGCTAATTTTTTGTATTTTTAGTAGAGACGGGGTTTCACCATGTTAGCCAGGATGGTCTCGATCTCCTGACCTTGTGATCCGCCCTCCTCGGCCTCCAAAGTGTTTTTTGTTTGTTTGTTTGTTTTTGAGACAAGGTCTTACTCTGTTGCCCAGGCTGGAGTGCAGTGGCACGATCTCGGCTCACTGCAACCTACGCCTCCTGGGTTCAAGCAATTCTCCTGCCTCAGCCTCCCGAGTAGTGGATATTACAGGCATCCACCACTGTGCCCGGCTACTTTTTGTATTTTTAGTAGAGACGGTTTCACCATGTTGGCCAGGCTGGTCTGGAACTCCTCACCTCAGGTGATCTGCCCACTTCGGCCTCCCAAAGTGCTGGGATTACAGGCGTGAGCCACCGTGCCCGGCCTATTATTGTTATTATTATTTGAGACGGAGTCTCGCTCTGTTGCCCAGGCTGGAGTGCAGTGGTACTATCTCGGCTCACTGCAACCTCCACCTCCCAGATTCAACCAATTCTCCCGCGTCAGCCTCCAGAGTAGCTGGGATTTCAGGTGCGTGCCACCATGCCCTGCTAATTTTTGTATTTTTAGTAGAGACAAGGTTTCACCATGTGGACCAGGCTGGTCTGGAACGTCTGATCTCAAGTGATTCGCCTGTCTTGGCTTCCCAAAGTGCTGGGATTACAGGCGTGAGCCACCGCGCCTGTCCTGTCCTAAGTGCTTTACATGGCCTAACTCATTTATTCCCCACAACCGCCCTTTTGGGGTAGGTACCGTTTTTTCTTCCTCCGTTTTACAGAGGGGTAACTGAGACACAGAGAGGTTAAGTCACTTGCCCACAGTCACACAGCCAGTAAGAGGAAGTGGCTGGATTTGGACCTAAAATGTCTGGCTGTGGAGCCCAAGCGCTTAACAACACCAGGAACCTCAGAGAAGGGTGTGATTCCGGGGACAGAGTGGGGCCCTAGACAGACTGGAGCAGAGACCGCCTGGTGCGGGAGGTGGGGCGGTGACTCAGGCAGGCCTGGAGAGGGCTCTGCTGTCTCGGATTTTCGACTTTAGGGAGGGGGCCGCGGGGGCCTAGGGACGGTGACAGGGAGGAGGGCTCCAGGTAGTCTCTGTTAATTAGAGATTGGGAGAGGACCGGCCTGGCAAGGCGTCACCAAGGGAGAGGAGAGGGGCCCGAGAGCTGATAGGCGTGGCCCAAGAGAAGGGGAGAGATGGAACCTAAAGTGGCTTGACATGCGACAGGGAGGGGCACAGGAGCCCGGAGGAGCATGGGGAGGGGCAGAGGGAGACTGAGCCCCCGGGGTTGCGGGTGATGGTCCTCAGGCAGTGCCTGATTCAGCCGGGAGCAGGCAGGGGAAAGCCACGGGGCTCAGCACAGGGCAGGGCTGGAGGGAGAGGAGCCTGAAATTGACACGCGCAGCCTGGTAAGGGGGAGGGGCATGGGGCGGGTCGGGGCCTGAGACAGCGGGGGATCGGGGGTGTGGCCGTGGCTGTCTGGGTTCAGAGTCAATCTTGCAACAGGGCCCCCTTGGCAAGGGTCACAGTGCGACGCCGCGCTCCCCTTCACCACCCCAGCTCGGCCCAGCGAGAGGTGCAGCACGTGCAGGCCGAGGGCGGGGCCGGCGCGGAGAGGGTGGCCCTGCATCGTAGTAGGTCCCTCCCCCGCAGTGCTCCCAGCAGGCCCGCTCGTTCTGGAGAAGGGCGTGACTCGACCTGGGGGTGGACCCTAGGCTGAGGGGTAGGGTCCTCCGGTGGGCTTGGTCCCGAAATTGACCCGCGCCCCTCCCCAGTTAGCCCGCGGACCGTGGACTGTATTTTCAGCCCCGGATCCGAAGTGTCCCAGGGGGCGTGGCCCGTGCGAGGGGCGGGGCCTGGGGGCGGGACCAGAGCCTGACGTGTGCCCGCCCCGGCTTCTAGGCGGATCGTGGACCGCATGGACCGCGCGGGGGACGGCGACGGCTGGGTGTCGCTGGCCGAGCTTCGCGCGTGGATCGCGCACACGCAGCAGCGGCACATACGGGACTCGGTGAGCGCGGCCTGGGACACGTACGACACGGACCGCGACGGGCGTGTGGGTTGGGAGGAGCTGCGCAACGCCACCTATGGCCACTACGCGCCCGGTACGCGGCGAGCCCCCGACCCTGCTCCCCATACACCGTGACCCTGACCTTCTGGACCGCCTCATTCTGAGAACCCTGAACCCATTTACCCGGAGTCCCTGGCCCCTAACCAGGCTCTACCCACTTTTAGGAGCCCATAACTGTGAGATCTTCAGTTTCTCACCTCTGGCTTCTCTTTTTTGTTTTTCGTCTGCTTATTTTTCTGGTATTTAGCTGCATGCTAAAAACGATCTTTTTTTCAAACATGAAGTCACAATTAGGTGCTAAAAGCCACTGAACGCACCCAAACAGGGACTTGAAACCTGGGCCCTCAAATTAAAAGTCCAATGCTCTACCAACTAAGCTACCCAGGTTCCCTTCAGGGCTTTCATTCTGGGACTCACCACCTCTGTGACAATATGACTAGGGTACTTGAGATCCCTGGCCAAGGACACCTACTTTCCATGCCTTGTCATCCTGACCCCTAACTTCTGTGACCTCTCATCCTGAGAACCCCAAAGCCAGTTACTCAGCCCCTGACTCTCAGATCCCTCCTTTCTGTCCCAAGTCCCAGCCTCAGTGCCCCACACCCTGCCACACACACAGCCCTCATTCTCTCCCTCCTCTCCTCTCTGTCCCTGGCCCCAGCCTCCCCGTCCAGTCTGTCCTCCACAGGGCTCCGGGGGCGGGGTTCTTCATGCCCAGCACTGACTCTGCCCCTCCCTCCCCCTCCTGGGCCCCCAGGAGACGGTCCCACTCCCCAGCCGGGACGTTTCCTCCTGTGGCTTTGTTTTTCTGCATTTTCTGCACCAAATGGATTTTCTGTGGTTTTCCTGAACTCACCACACTCTTCAAACCTCTACCTTCTGCCCATATTGTTCCCTCCAGTTACAATGCCCGTCCCCTCCTCTCAGTCAAGCCATCTCAGTCCCTGTAAGCTACCCCATCACAGCCTTAGTCTGGGGCCAAAAGGCCCACTGTCAACTCATAGTGGGCCATTCCTGTCTCCACACGCTTGGATCAGTTATTTCTTCTCTCTGAGAATCAATTTTTGCATTCAGAAAGTAGAATACATGGAAAAACCCACTGTATGTGCTTTTTTGTGATGATTAAATGCAATATTGTGCATAAAGAGCTTAGCATATAATCTCTCACAAGTTAGCTAATTTATTGGGTGGATATAATATGTTACATAGCCTGGGTGCCATGGCTCACGCCTGTAATCCCAGCACTTTGGGAGGCCGAGGTGGGTGGATCACGTGAGATCAGAAGTTAGAGACCAGCCTGGCCAATGTGGCAAAACCCCGTCTTACCACAAAAAAATACTTAGCTGGGCGTGATGGTGTGCACCTGTGATCACAGCTACTCTGGAGGGTGAGGCAAGAGAATCACTTGAACCCAGGAGGCAGAAGTTGCAGTGAGCCGAGATCACATCACTGCACTCTGGCCTTGGCGACAGAGTGAGACTCTGTCTCAAAAAAAAAAAAATATATATATATATAGATAGATAGATAGATAGATAGATATAGATATACACACACATACTAATAATATGTTATATAACATATTATATACTTAAATATATATACAAATTATATATAAAGTATCAATATATGCTTTTTTTTTTTTGTGAGGGAGTTTTGCTCTTGTTGCCCAGGCTGGAGTGCAGTGGCGTGGTCTCGGCTCACTGCAACCTCCGCCTCCCGGGTTCAAGCGATTTTCCTGCCTCAGCCTCCCAAGTAGCTGGGATTACAGGCATGCGCCACCACGCCTGGCTAATTTTGTATTTTTAGTAGAGATGGGGTTTCTCCATGTTGGTCAGGCTGGTCTCGAACTCCCAACCTCAGGTGATCTGCCCACCTCGGCCTCCCAAAGTGCTGTGATTACAGGTTTGAGCCACCGCACCCGGCCTACTTTTTTTTTTTTTTTTTTTTTTTTGAGATGGAATGGAGTTTCACTCTTGTTGGCCAGGCTGCAGTGCAATGGCAAGGTCTCGGCTTACTACAACCTCATCCTCCTGGGTTCAAGCAATTCTCCTGCCTCAGCCTCACGAGTAGCTAGGACTACAGGCGCCCACCACCATGCCAGGCAAATTTTTGTATTTTTAGTAGAGAAGGAGTTTCACCATGTTGACCAGGCTGGTCTCGAACTCCTGACCTCAGGCGATCCACCCACCTCGGCCTCCCAAAGTGCTGGGATTACAGGTGTGAGCCACTGTGCCAGGCTTCTAAAATTTTTTTTTTTTTTTTTTTGAGACATAGCCTCCCTCTGTCGCCCAGGCTGGAAAGCAGTGGTGCAGTCTCAGCTCACGGCAACCTCCGCTTCCTGGGTTCAATCGACTCTTGTGCCTCAGACTCCCGAGTAGCTGGGATTACAGGCGTGCCCCACCATGCCCGGCTAAGTATTTTTTTGGTAGAGATGGGGTTTCGCCATGTTGGCCAGGCTGGTCTCAAACTCCTGACCTCAAGTGATCTGCCAGCTTCAGCCTCCCAAAGTGCTGCTATTACAGGCGTGAGCCACTGCATCCAGCCTACTGATATATACTTATTAACTCCACAGAAATCTTTGTACCCCAGTAGGATTTACTTTGTCTTTGTTTTAACCTGCTTGGCGTTTCCTCCATTAAAGCTCATCTCACTGAGACCTGTCCTTCCCCAGGTGAAGAATTTCATGACGTGGAGGATGCAGAGACCTACAAAAAGATGCTGGCTCGGGACGAGCGGCGTTTCCGGGTGGCCGACCAGGATGGGGACTCGATGGCCACTCGAGAGGAGCTGACAGCCTTCCTGCACCCCGAGGAGTTCCCTCACATGCGGGACATCGTGATTGCTGTGAGTGGCGGCTGGGGAACCCTGTCCCCCACACCCTTCCGGGGACCCAGGCTTCCGGTTCAGGTCCTGCTTCCCAGCACCGACCTGGGGGCAGGCAGTCACCTGGTTCTCCAGCATCTTGCCGGGGAAGCCAGGCCGCAAACACAGGTCAGAGGACGGTGACCTTTCCCACCTCCACTCTCAGTCCCCTGGGGTCTGATCTCTCCTCGTCTGGCCTTCCCCTCCCTGTGCTCGCATTTGGGGTCCAGGCCCCCAGCCTTCCCTCAGACAGCCACTGTGCCCCACCTTATACAATTTCTTTTCTTTCTTTTTTTTTTTTGAGACATAGTCTCCCTCGGTTGCCCAGGCTGGAAAGCAGTGGTGCGATCTCAGCTCACTGCAACCTCCGCCTCCCGGGTTCAAGCAATTCTCCTGCCTCAGCGTCCCGAGTAGCTGGGATTACAGGGGCGCACCACCACACCTGGCTAATTTTTAGTAGAGACAGGGTTTCTTCATGTTGGTTAGGCTGGTCTCAAACTTTTGACCTCAGGTGATCCGCCCGCCTCAGCCTCCCAAAGTGCTAGGATTATAGGCATGAGCCACCGTGCCCGGCCAATTTTTAATTTTTTTTTCTAGTAGAGATGGGATTTCACCATGTTGGCCAGGCTGGTCTTGAACTCCGGACCTCAGGTGATCTGCCCACCTTGGCCTCCCAAAGTGCTGGGATTACAGGCATGAGCCACCGTGCCTGGCCCCAAAATGTGCTTTGTTCTATAGAAGAAGGCTTTTTTTTTCTTTCCTTCCTCTTTTTTTTTTTTAGTTTTTGAGACAGGGCCTAACTCTGTTACCCAGACCGGAGGGCAGTGGCTCAATCTCAGCTCACTGCAACCTCAAACTCTTGGGCTCAAGTAATCCTCCCACCTCCGCCTTCTGAGAAGCTGAGGCCACCAGGCACAAGCCACCATGTCTGGCTAATGTTTTTTTTTTTTTTTTTTTCAGACGGAGTCTCGCTCTGTCGCCCATGCTGGAGTGCAGTGATGCGATCTCGGCTCACTGCAAGCTCTGCCTCCCGGGTTCACTCCATTCTTCTGCCTCAGCCTCCCGAGTGGCTGGGACTACAGGCGCATGCCGCCATGCCCGGCTAATTTTTTTTTTTTTTTTTTTAGTAGAGACGGGGTTTCACTGTGTTAGCCAGGATGGTCTCGATCTCCTGACCTCGTGATCCACCCACCTCGGCCTTCCAAAGTGCTGGGATTACAGTTGTGAGCCACCACGCCCGGCCATGCCTGGCTAATTTTTAAATTTTGTGTAGAGACAGGGTCTCGCCATGTTGCCCAGGCTAGTCTCAAAATCCTGGGCTCAATCGATCCTCCCGCCTCGGCCTCCCAAAGTGCTGGGATTACAGGTGTGAGCCACCGTGCCCAGCCCACAGTCTTATAGTGAATGAGTTTGGATATAAATTGGGGAACAAAAGTCGTTTTGCTCCAGAAGGGCACAAAAACAAGGAGCGGAGGTGTCCAGTGTGTCAGAAGAAGCCCCAAAGTGCACCATGTTCACACATAAAGCAGAGGTAGGTTCTAGGCTCTGCTAAACATAAAGGAGCTTCTCCCCTTGGAGGGTGTTTGCTGGGGCTTGAGCAAGTTATTAGGGACCCAGGACAGCTCCCCTTGTGAGCAACAAACCTGTGCACTGCTGGACATTAGGGCCTCTGGGCTCTGGCCCCGTAAATGCAGGTGGTGCCTGTTTGATGATAACATCCCAGAAAGCCCGCAAATTTCCCACATGCCACCTGTTGAGACTGCTCTACTGCCTGCCTCCCACAGCTGCCCGGAGCTAAATTTCCAAGAGAACCTCTCACTCTTACCCCAGGGGTCCAGCCTCCCCCAGGAGCCAGGGTCATCGGCCCCCAGCCTCAATGCCCCTTTCTCCTCCAGGAAACCCTGGAGGACCTGGACAGAAACAAAGATGGCTATGTCCAGGTGGAGGAGTACATCGGTGAGTGGGCCCCAATTTCTTCTTGGGATGCCTGTCCTCTCTCAGGCATGGGCAGGGTTGGTGGGGGTAGCCGGAGGTACATCACCCATCATCAGAGAACAGTGGCCCTCAGACATGGGGGCAGGGGCACTCACTGCTTGAGTTCATTTAGCCACCCAACATTTATTGAGCACCTACTCTATACCAGACACAAAAAGCATCTATTGAGCACCTGCTGTGTGTCACGCCCAGGATACACTTACTGAGCACCTACTGCATATGGGTGGTTGCGCCTACAGCAGACAATAACACAGACAAATCCCTTCTTGGGGGTCTGGAGTTTCTACAAAATCAAGGCTCAGGGGCTATGTTTAGTTGAGAATGGGGGTCAGGAAGCTGGTCTTGAACCTGCGCCTGCACAGCAAACACTGTTTCCTGTTACATGGGATGTTGGGGGATCCTCACAATACCCCCTGAGTTCTGAGTTCTCCCTGGGCCCCTGCCACTGTCCCTGCCCCTAGCGGGCAAAAAATTTAGTCAAGGAGAACGCTAACAAGGAATTTTTTTTTTTTTTTTTTTTTTTTGAGACAGTTTTTTTCTGTTGCTCAGGCTGGAGCGCGGTGGCGTGGTATCGGCTCTCTGCAACCTCCGCCTCCCGGGCTCAAGAGATTCTTCTGCCTCAGCCTCCTGAGTAGCTGGGATTACTGGTGCCTGCCACCACGCCTGGCTAATTTTTGTATTTTTAGTGGAGATGGGATTTCACCATGTTGGCCAGGCTGGTCTAGAACTCCCAACCTCAGGTGATCTGCTCATCTTGGCCTCCCAAAGTGGTGGGATTACAGGCGTGAGCAACCACGCCCGGCCAGGAATTTTTTTTTAAGTTTGAAAACATTGTTTATTCTTTTATTTTTTTCTGACCACATCCTACATGAGAAAACATTTTTCTTTCTTTCCTTCTCTCACTTTCTTTCTTTCTGTCACTCTTTCTTTCTATCTGTCTGTCTGTGTGTGTGTGTGTCTCTCTCTTTATTAAATAGAGATGGGTTCTCACTATATTGTCCAGGCTGGTCTAGAACTCCTGGGCTCAAGCAATCTTCCCACCTTGGCCTCCCAAAGAGCTGAGATTACAGGCATGAATCACCACACCTGGCTGAGAGAACATTTTTATATTTTTTTCTTAAGAGATGGGGTTGGGCCAGGCGCAGTGGCTCATACCTGTAATCCCAGCACTTTGGGAGGCTGAGATGGATGGATCATGAAGTCAGGAGTTCGAGACCAGCCTGGCCAAGATGGTGTACTAAAAATACAAAAATTAGCCGGGCCTGTTGGCAGGAGCCTGTAATCCCAGTTACTCTGGGGACTGAGGCAAGAGAATCTCTGGAACCCGGGAGGCAAAGGTTGCAGTGAGCTGTAATCGCGCCATTGCACTTCAGTCTGGGCAACAAGAGCGAAACTCCATCTTAAAAAAAAAAAAAAAAGATGGGGTCTTGCCCTGTCGCCCAGGCTGGAGTGCAGTGGGGTGATCTTGGCTCACTGCAGCCTTGACCTCCTGGGCTCAAGGGATCCTCCCACCTCAGCCTCCCAAGTAGCTGAGACTCCAGGCACAGTGCGGCCTCTGGAGATACTTCTGGTTGTCACTTCTAGAGGGGTGAGGATGCTACTGACGTCTCCTGGATAGAGCCCAGAGATGCTCCTTAGCATTCTCCGGTGCACAGGACAGGCCCTGACAACAAGGAGGTCACAGGCCCCAGATGCCAGCAGCTGTCCCCATCTCTTTTTTTTTTTTTTTGAGACAGAGTCTCGCTATTGTCGCCCAGGCTGGAGTGCAGTGGCATGATCTCGGCTCACTGCAACCTCCGCCTCCCAGGTTCAAGCAATTCTCTTGTTTCAGCCTCCTGAGTAGGTGGGATTATGGGCGTGCACTACCACGCCTGGCTAATTTTGTATTTTTAGTAGAGACGGGGTTTCACCATTTTGGTCAGGCTGGTCTTGAACTCTTGACCTCAGGTTATCCACCTGCCTCGGCCTCCCAAAGTGCTGGGATTACAGGCGCGAACCACCGCACCCAGCCTATCTTCTCAATTACTTCATCCCATTAAGACTTCATCTTCCATTCCTCAGCTCTACCAGGCAGACACTGTCACTATCCTCCATTATATAGATGACACCTGAGGCCCAGGGGGGTTGAAGGGATCTGCTGAAGACAATGGGAAGAGGCAGGGCTAGGATTTGAACCTTGGTGTTTGGGCTCTGGCACCTATTTCTTAACTCCTCCCCAACCAGTAACATATCAAAATGTATAAAATTGGGGTGGGTGCCATGGCTCACGCCTGTATTCCCAGCACTTTAGGAGGCCAAGGTGGGTGGATCACTTGAGGTCAAGAGTTCAAGACCAGCCTGGCCAACATGATGAAACCCTGTCTCTACTAAAACTAGAAAAATTAGCTGGGCGTGGTGGCGGGTACCTGTAATCCCAGCTACTTGGGAGGCTGAGGCAGGAGAATCACTTGAACCCAGAAGGTGCAGGTTGCAGTGAGCTGAGATTGTGTCACTGCACTCCAGCCTGTAATCCCAGCACTTTGGGAGACTGAGGCAGGTGGATCATGGGGTCAGGAGTTTGAGAGCAGCCTGGCCAAGATGGTGAAACCCCGCCTCTACTAAAAATATAAAAATTAGCTGGGTGTGGTGGCACGCACCTGTAATCCCAGCTACTTGGGAGGCTGAGGCAGGAGAATCGCTTGAACCTGGGAGGCAGAGGTTGCAGTGAGCTGAGATTGCGCCATTGCACTACAGCCTGGGCAACAAGAGCGAAACTCCATCTTAAAAAAAAAAAGGGGGTGGGGTCTTGCCCTGTTGCCCAGGCTGGAGTGCAGTGGGGTAATCACAGCGAGACTCCATCTCAAAAAAAAAAAAAAAAATTTGTAGAAACAGGGTCTTGCTATGTTGCCCAGGTTGGTCTTGAATCTTGGCCTCAAATGACCCTCCTGCCTGGGTCTCCCAAAGTGTTGGATTACAGTCATCACTGCACCTGGCATCTCTGTCACCTGCTAACTGGCCAGAAACATCCTCGCACGTTCCTCCTGCATAGACATTGCTTACTATGTGCCAGGCACTGCCTTGCCCATTGCACACACTACTTCACGTGTGTGTCAATGAAATCAATCAATCATGCAATCAACCAATCAAATGAATTTCACCTGTAACACAAATGATTGCTTATAAGTCAGGTTTTGTTACTAATTCCATCGAAACAGAAGAGGACGCTGAGGCGAGAGAGAGGGTAGTGAGTTGCTCAAGGGCCTGGTTCAGGAAGTATCAGAGCCAGGATCAGCCCCCAGCTCCACTAGACCCCCAGAGCTGCCCCTGACCTTGTCCCCTCTGTCCCGGCCCCCAGCGGATCTGTACTCAGCCGAGCCTGGGGAGGAGGAGCCGGCGTGGGTGCAGACGGAGAGGCAGCAGTTCCGGGACTTCCGGGATCTGAACAAGGATGGGCACCTGGATGGGAGTGAGGTGGGCCACTGGGTGCTGCCCCCTGCCCAGGACCAGCCCCTGGTGGAAGCCAACCACCTGCTGCACGAGAGCGACACGGACAAGGTGCAGTGACGGGGCCTCGGCAGGAGCGAGGAGCGGGTGGGCATTGCGGGCCAGACTCCAGAAAGGAGCAAGACCTGGGCCTGGAGCTCAGGGTCCCTTTTAGGTGGGATAAAAAAAGAGGGACAGAGAGAGGGAGGAAAAGAGAGGGCACGGAGCCCCAGAAAGAGAGGGGGACAGAGACCCAGAGACCCAAAGAGAGAAGGACAGGGACCAAGACGGGGACAGATTCAGAGAGAAAGGGACAGAGGCCCAGAGAACAAGGGTCCCAGAGACTTCGGGACACGCTTGGATGCAGGGAGGGCTTTTGAAAGCAGGGCCGTGTTGTCCCCTCTGAACCCTGACCCTCCCTCCAGGATGGGCGGCTGAGCAAAGCGGAAATCCTGGGTAATTGGAACATGTTTGTGGGCAGTCAGGCCACCAACTATGGCGAGGACCTGACCCGGCACCACGATGAGCTGTGAGCACCGCGCACCTGCCACAGCCTCAGAGGCCCGCACAATGACCGGAGGAGGGGCCGCTGTGGTCTGGCCCCCTCCCTGTCCAGGCCCCGCAGGAGGCAGATGCAGTCCCAGGCATCCTCCTGCCCCTGGGCTCTCAGGGACCCCCTGGGTCGGCTTCTGTCCCTGTCACACCCCCAACCCCAGGGAGGGGCTGTCATAGTCCCAGAGGATAAGCAATACCTATTTCTGACTGAGTCTCCCAGCCCAGACCCAGGGACCCTTGGCCCCAAGCTCAGCTCTAAGAACCGCCCCAACCCCTCCAGCTCCAAATCTGAGCCTCCACCACATAGACTGAAACTCCCCTGGCCCCAGCCCTCTCCTGCCTGGCCTGGCCTGGGACACCTCCTCTCTGCCAGGAGGCAATAAAAGCCAGCGCCGGGACCTTGTGTGTCTGTCTGTTGTCTGCCTGTCTCTATGAAGGGTAAGGGGGCCCTGGAGATGGTTTGGGGGCTGTGACTGGGAGTTGGGGGCTGAGACATGCAATAGGGGACCAGGCATTTGAAGGAGGGGTGCTGGGTGTTGGAGGGATTGGAGGGCGTTCCTCAGTATAAAACAAACAAACAAAAAAAATTGGGCCAGGCCCGGTGGCTCACGCCTGTAAGCCCAGCAATTTGGGAGGCTGAGGCGGGTAGATCACGAGGTCGGGGGTCCTAGACCAGCCTGGCCAACATGGTGAAACCCCGTCTCTACTAGAAATACAAAAATTAACCAGGCCTGGTGATGGGCACCTATAATCCCAGCTACTCTGGAGGCTGAAGCAGAATCGCTTGAACCCGGGAGGTGGAGGTTGTCGTGAGCCGAAATGGCGCCACTGCACTCCAGCCTGGGTGACAGAGGGAGACTCTGTCTCAAAAAAAAAAGGGAAAAAAAGCCTGGACTCTGCAGCGCACAAACCAGACAGGAAGCCCTGCCCTCTCAGAGCTCCAGTTCTGTAAGGAAGAGACACAGCGACCTAAAATATGGCACGGCGCAACAGATGCTGTGAAGCAGGGGAAGCGTGTAGCAGTGTGGCAATGTTCTGATGACTGAGAGGCTGGGAAAGGTCTCAATGGTAAATGGAGTGAAGGAGGGAGCCACGGAGAGATCTGGAGGGAGAGCATTCCAGGGAGAGAGAAGAGCAAGTAAAATGGCCCTGAGGCAGGAGTGGGCCTGGTGTGGCAGCATCAGCAAGGAGGCTAGAGTGGCTGGAAGGGAATGAGCCAGTGGAAGAGGGTCAGAGCTGAGAGCAGATGGGGCAAGTGGCCAGACTGTGCAGGCCCCTGCAGGCAGGTCATGGTGGTCCCTGTTTGGTGGCACAAGACAGGGATGGACAGAGACCCAGAGAGAAGGGGTGGGGAGTCAGAGAGAGAGGGACAGAGACCCAGAGAGAGAGGGGAACAGAGACCCAGAGAGAGAGGGACAGAGACCCAGAGAGAGAGGGGAACAGAGACCCAGAGAGAGAGGGGAACAGAGACCCAGAGAGAGAGAGGGGAACAGAGACCCAGAGAGAGGGAGACAGAAACTCAGAGAGAGGGAAACAGAGACCCAGAGAGTGGGGGACAGAGATCCAAAGAGAATGGGGATAGAGACCCAGAGAGACACAGAATTTATTCTGAGTGACATGAGAGTCGCTGGAGTGTCATGAGCAGAGGAGGGATTATAAACTGCTTTGAGTTATTTAAGAGTCGGGTTGGGCGCAGTGGTTCACGCCTGTAATCCCAAGGATTAATCAAGGATTGCTTGAGGCCAGGAGTTCAAGACCAGTCTGGGATGATCTTTTATAAAGATGGCATCTCTTTTTTTTTTTCTTTCTTTTTTTTTGAGACGGAGTCTCGCTCTGTCGCCCAGGCTGGAGTGCAGTGGCGCACTCTCACCTCACTGCAAGCTCCACCTCCCGGGCTCACGCCATTTATAGAGACCATATCTCTATTTAAAAATTAGTTTATGGCCGGGCACGGTGGTTCACGCCTGTAATCCCAGCTCTTTCAGAGGCCGAGGCAGGCAGATCACGAGGTCAGTAGATCGAGACCATCCTGGCTAACACGGTGAAACCCCGCCTCTACTAAAAAATACAAAAAATTAGCCAGGCATGGTGGCGGGCGCCTGTAGTCCCAGCTACTCGGGAGGCTGAGGCAGGAGAATGGCCTGAACCCGGGAGGCGGAGCTTGTAGTGAGCCGAGATCGCGCCACTGCACTCCAGCCTGGGAGACAGAGCGAGACTCTGTCTCAAAAAAAAAAATTAACTTACTAAAAAAATTAATTTACTAATTAATTTTTAAAAAGGAAATTCAAGAACAGGCAAAACTAATCTGGGGGTTAGAACTCAGGATGTTGTTCACCCTTGCGGGGGAGGGACCAGAATGGACCTCATGGGCTTCTTATCGGGAGAGGGAGGCTGGAAAATAGCCTATTCTTGATCTAGGTACTGCTTCCCAGGGGTGGTCAGATTATGAAAATTCATTCAGTTCTCCACATGTGATGTATGCCCTTTTATGCATGATAGAATTCAATTCAAAATTTACTTTTTTTTTTTTTTTTTTTTTGAGACAGAGTTTTGCTCTTGTTGCCCAGGCTGGAGTGCAATGGCACAATCTCGGCTCACTGCAACCTCCACCTCCCAGGTTCAAGCGATTCTCCTGCCTCAGCCTCCTGAGTAGCTGGGATTACAGGCATGCACCACCACGCCTGGCTAATTTTGTATTTTTAGTAGAGACAGGGTTTCTCCATGTTGGTCAGGCTGGTATCGAACTCCTGACCTCAGGTGATCCACCTGCCTCAGCCTCCCAAAGTGCTGGGATTACAGGCTTGAGCCATTGTGCCTGGCCGATAGCTATTTTTTTTTTTTTTTTTTTTTTTTTTTTTTGAGATGGAGTCTTGCTCTTGTCATCCTGGCTGGAGTGCAATGGCATGATCTTGACTCACTGCAACCTCCACCTCCCGGGCTGAAGTGATTCTCCTGTCTCAGCCTCCCGAGTAGCTGGGATTACTGGCATGGACCACCACGCCCGGCTAATTTTTGTATTTTTATTAGAGACGGGGTTTCACCATGTTGGCCAGGCTGGTCTCGAACTCCCGACCTCAGGTGATCCGCCCTCCCCGACCTCCCAAATTTCTGGGATCACAGGCATGAGCCACCGTGCCTGGCCAGTTCGGTTTTTTTTTTTAGGTTTACCTGGGCTTTTTGGAGTGTACCCATGCAGCCAGGTGTGGTTCAGGGTCAGCTAGATATTTGAGTAGAGTTGGGCCGTGTGCGGTGACTCACGCCTGTAATCCCAACACTTTGGGAGGCCGAGGCAGGCGGATCATGAGGTCAGGAGATCGAGAGCATCCTGGCTAACACGGTGAAACCCCGTCTCTACTAAAAATATTTAAAAAATTAGCCTGGGCGTGGTGTTGGGGGCCTGTAGTCCCAGCTACTCGGGAGGCTGAGGCAGGAGAATGGCGTGAACCCGGTAGGCGGAGTTTGCACCACTGCCCTCCAACCTGGGCGACAGAGGGAGACTCCGTCTCAAAAAAAAAAAAAAAAAAAAAAAAAAAAAAGATACTTGAGTAGAGTTTATAGAAACCATTCCAGGTACCCTCTCTCCAGCTTTTCTTTTCCAGGATTTATCTCCTCACCTTCCTTTTGCTGTAGTTCTTCAAGCTAGGAAGACTGGATTTCCCTCTGGTGTTTTAGCTGCCAGTCATGGTATGAACTAGAACTCACCCCCAAGTAAAAGCTGTACAAATAAGAAACTCGCCTTTCTTTTTTCTGAGTGTCAAGTTCCCTCCAGTTGCTCTGTCTGCTTTTGTTTACCTTCCAGTGCCTTGCCTTTGGGTAATTGTTTTCCACGTTTTTTCCAGGGTTTATAGCTGTTGTCTGTGTGGGAGGGCTGGAATTTGAATCCAAGCGCGTCTGACTCCAAGCGTTTTCGTATGATAACATACTGCCCTCTAGTGGCTGGATGTGGAGAACTGGTTTATGTGGGAGGAAGGGCATATTGGTAAATCTCTGAGGGCTGCATGTTTGGAAACATTGTTTATCGAAAACAATACCCACACATAGCAACAAATTACTTGCACAGAACAGTTTATGGTGAAAAACTGCCTAGCATCTTGTCACACTTACTGCTTCTCTCCAGAATTTTTTTAGTTTTAAAATATTCTTGCATATTTTATTTTAAAATAATGGCCATACTCTCACAGGATACAAAACCCGAAATATACAGGATGCTACAAGCTAAAAACAACGCCTTCCACTAAGTTCAACTCTTCACAGACAGCCAGTGTTTCCTACCATGGAGAATCTACACAGATTTAAGCAAATATGTACAAATAGTCTTTATTTTTTTTTGGAAGACGAATCTCGATTTGTCTCCCAGGCTGGAGTGCAGTGGTGCAATCTTGTCTCACTGCAACCTCCGCCTCCCAGGTTCAAGCGATACTCCTGCCTCAGCCTCCCGAGTAACTGGGATAACGGGCACGGGCCACCATGCCAGCTAATTTTTTGTGTGTTTTTTTGTTTTTTTGTTTTTTTTGAGACGGAGTCTCGCTCTGTCGCCCAGGCTGGAGTGCAGTGGCGCGATATCGGCTCACTGCAAGCTCCGCCTCCCGGGTTCACGCCATTCTCCTGCCTCAACCTCCCAAGTAGCTGGGACTACAAGCGCCCGCCACCACTGCCCGGCTAATTTTTTTGTTTTTTAGTAGAGACGAGTTTCACTGTGTTAGCCAGGATGGTCTCGATCTCCTGACCTCGTGATCCGCCCCACCTCGGCCTCCCAAAGTGCTGGGATTAGAGGGGTGAGCCACCGCGCCCAGCCATTTTTTGTATTCTTAATAGAGACGGAGTTTCGCCATGTTGGCCAGGCTGGTCTCGAACTCCTGATCTCAGGTGATCCGGCTGCCTCGGCCTCCCAAGTGCTGAGATTACAGGCGTGAACCACCATGTCTTGCTAATTTTTGTATTTTTAGCAGAGAGGGGGTTTCACCATGTTGGTCAGGCTGGTCTTGAACTCCTGACCTCGAGATCTGCCCTCCTCAGCCCCCCAAAGTGCTGGGATTACAGGTGTCACCCACCGCTTCCGGCCGCGTTTTTTGGTTTGTTTGTTTTGTGTGTGTGTTTTTTGTTTTGTTTTGTTTTGTTTTTTGAGATGGAGTCTTGCTGTGTCGCCCAGGCTGGAGAGCAGCGGCTCAATCTCAGCTCACTGCAACTTCCGCCTCCTGGGTTCAAGAGATTCTCCTGCCTCAGTCTTCCTAGTAGTTGAGATTACTGGTGCCGGCCACCGTGGCTGGCTACTTTTTGCGTTTTTAGTAGAGACAGGGTTTCACCATGTTCGCCAGGCTGGTCTCGAACTCCTGACCTCAGGTGATCCACCCACCTCAGCCTCCCAAAGTGCTGGGATTACAAGTATGAGCCACCACGCCTGGCCCTGGCCTGCGTTTTTTAAGACATAATCTTGCTCTGCCACCTAGGCCAGAGTACTGTGGCACTCCAGTTGCAGAGAGCCAACATTGTGCCATTGCACTCCACTGATCTCAGCTCACTGATCTCAGCCAGCTGCAAGCGATTCTCGTGCTTCAGCCTCCCTAGTAGCTGGGATTACAGGCGTGTAACACCACGCCCAGCTAATTTTTGTATTTTTAATAGAGATGGAGTTTCACCATGTTGTCCAGGCTGGTCTCAAACTCCTAAGCTCAAGCAATCTTCCTACCCCAGTCCCACAAAGTGCTGAAATCATGGGCAGGAGCCACTGCGCCCAGCCATTCTAGCTCGTGTTTTGCTGAGCATCGTCGCATGTCTTTGGGGTACACACACAGGAGTGAGGTAGTGGAGCACCGGCTAGGCGCATTTTTAGCGTTAATCGATATTGCCAATTCATTTCCCCAGTTTACGTGCCCACCAGCGTTGTAGACAAGTTCCAGTTTCTCCACATCCTGACCAACGCTTATTAGAATAAACTTTTGAACTGTTTTTGCTTTTAGTTCTTCCGTTGGTGACCTCCCCACTTGCAGATCAGCAGATCAAATCCCCATGCTGTTGACAACACGCTGGGAGCAAAGAGCCAGGTGGAGCTTCTAACGAAGTCAGATCTTCTGATATTTTAAAAGCTGAGATAAAATTCACAGGCCATAAAATTAACCCTTGGTCGGGCGTGGTGGCTACGCCTGTAATCCTAGCACTTCAGGAGGCCAAGGTGGGCAGATCACTTGAGGCCAGGAGTTCAAGACCAGCCTGGACAACATGACGAAACTCTATCTCTATTAAAAATACAAAAATTAGCCGGGCGTGGTGGCACATGCCTGTAATCCCAGCTACTCAGGAGGCTGGGACAAGAGAATCGATTGAACCCGGGAGGCGGAGGTTGCAGTGAGCCAAGATCGTGCCACTGCACTCCAGCCTGGGTGACAGAACCAGACTTTGTCTCAAAAAAAAAAAAAAAAAAAAAAAAAACCCACACCCCATCAGCAGTCACTATCCCCTCTCTCTCTGCACTCCCAGCCCCGGACAGCCACTAACTACTTTCTTTTGCTATGGATTTGCCTATTCTGGGCATCTCATTATAAATGCAATCGTACGTGTGACCTTTCGTGCTGGGCTTCTTTCAGCATGTTTTCCAGATCCATCCACACTGTAGCCCGTGTCAGGACGTCATTGCTTTTTTTTTTTTTTTTTTTTTTGAGATGGAGTCTCACTCTGTTGCCCAGGCTGGAGTGCAGTGGCGCGATCTCGGCTCACTGCAAGCTCCACTTCCCGGGTTCATGCCATTCTCCTGCCTCAGCCTGCCGAGTAGCTGGGACTACAGGTGCCCACCATCACACCCGGCTAATTTTTTGTATTTTTAGTAGAGATGGGGTTTCACCGTGTTAGCCAAGATGGTCTCGATCTCCTGACCTCATGATCTGCCCGTCTCGGCCTCCCGAAGTGCTGGGATTACAGGCATGAGCCACTGCGCCCGGCCCAACGTCATTCCTTTTTAGGGCTGAGTAATATTCCATGGCACGGGCTAGACCACATTTTGTCTCCACTCATCAGCTGACGGGCTTTTGGGTTGTTTCCACTTCTGGGCTATGGTGAATGGTGCTGTTAGGGTCATTCATGTGCATTTGTTTTGCCTCAGCCTCCCAAGTAGCTGGGATTAAAGGTGTCTGCCACCACGCCTGGCTAATTTTTGTATTTTTGGTAGAGATAGGGTTTCACCATGCTGGCCAGGCTGGTCTCGAACTCATGACCTCGTGATCCGCCCACCTCGGCCTCCCAGATCACGTACATATTTTTGTGTGGACCTGTTTTCAGTTTCTTGGGTAGATAACTAGGAGGGGAATTGTGAAGCTGATTTTTCCTTTTATACATGTCTCACTCTGTCACCCAGGCTGGAATACAGAGGTGGGATCACAGCTGGACCTCCTGGGCTCACACCATCTTCTGGCTTCGGTCTCCCATGCAGCTGGGACTACAGGTGGGCACCACCATGCCCAGCTAATGTATTCTTTTTTGTAGAGATGGGGTCTTGCTACAATGGCCAGGCTGGTCGCCAACTCCTGGGTTCAAGCAATCCTCCTGACTCGGCCTCCCAAAGTGTTGGGATTACAGGCGTGAACCACCTTGCTTGGGCTGATTTTTTTTTTTTAGATGGAGTCTCGCTCTGTCTCCAGGCTGCAATGCAGTGGCACGATCTCAGCTCACTGCAACCTCCACCTCCCAGGTTCAAGCGATTCTCCTGCCTCAGCCTCCCGAGTAGCTGGGACTACAGGCTGTGCCACCACGTCCAGTTAATTTTTGTATTTTTAGTAGAGACGGGGTTTCACCATGTTGGCCAGGATGGTCTCTATCTCTTGACCTAGTGATCCGCTCCCGCCTCAGCCCCCCAAAGTGCTGGGATTACAGGCGTGAGCCACCGCACCTGGCCATGCATTTCTCTTTAAAAAGAGAAATGGGGCCTGTAATCCCAGCACTTTGGGAGGCCGAGGCAGGTGGATCACTTGAGGTCAGGAGTTCAAGACCAGCCTGGCCAATGTGGTGAGATCCCTTCCCTACTTAAAAAATACAAAAATTATCCAGGCACAGTGGCTCACGCCTGTAATCTCAGCACTTTGGGAGGCCGAGGCGGGCGGATCACGAGGTCAAGAGTTCAAGATCAGCCTGGCCAACATAAGTGAAACCCCGTCTCTACTAAAAATACAAAAAAATTTAGCCGGGCGTGGTGGTGGGCGCCTGTAGTCTCAGTTCCGTGGGAGGCTGAGGCAGGAGAATTGCTTGAACCCAGGAGGCAGAGGTTGCAGTGAGCCGAAATCAGGCCACTGCACTCCAGCCTGGGCGACAGGGCGAGACTCCGTCTCAAAAACAAAAAAAGAGAAATGGAAATCTAGTTTTTCACATGAAATCTCCCAGCTCCTTTTTTGCATTTGAAAACTTCATACAGTAAAATCCACTCCTTTTGGTGAACAGTTCTGAATTCTGATAAACCAGAGTCATGTAACCACCACAGTCAAAATCCGGAACTGTTCCTTCACACCCCCCCAGAATCTCTCTTGCTACTCCCCACTTTGGGGTCAACTCCTTCCCCTACTCTGGCAACGAAAGCTTTGTTCCTGGTTCGTATAGTTTTGCCTTTGCAGTGTCAGAATAAATCTTCCTGTTTTTATTTTCTATTGTTTTGATATGGGGTCTCGCTCTGTAGCTCAGACTGGAGTGCAGTGGTGCTATCGCAGCTCACTGCAGCCTCCACCTCCTGGGTTCAAGCGATTCTCCTGCCTCAGCCTCCTGAGTAGCTGGGATTACAGGGGTGCTCCACCACACCCAGCTAATTTTTGTATTTTTAGTAGAGACAGGGATTCACCATGTGGACCAGGCTGGTCTCCAACTCCTGACCTGAGGCAATCCACCTGCTTTGGCCTCCCAAAGTGCTGGGATTACAGGTGTGAGCTACCAGGCCCAGCCATCTTCCTGTTTTTAATTTTTTTTTTGAGATGGAGTTTTGCTCATGCTGCCCAGGCTGGAGTGCAGTGGTGCGATCTCGGCTCACTGCAACCTCCATCTCCCGGGTTCAAGCAATTCTCCTGCTTCAGCCTCCCAAGTAGCTGGGATTACAGGCCTGTGCCACCACACCCGATTAAGTTTGTATTTTTTTTTAGTAGAGATGAGGTTTCACCGTGTTGGCCAGGCTGGTCCCAAATACCTGACCTCAAGTGATCCACCCACCTTGGCCTCCCAAAATGCTGGGATTACAAGTGTGAGCCACTGCGCCTGGCCCGTTTTTATTTTTTTATTTTTATTTTTATTTTTATTTTTATTTTGGGACAGAGTCTCACTCTGTCGCCCAGGCTGGAGTGCAGTGGCGCGATCTTGGCTCACTGCAACGTCTGCCTCAGGTTCAAGCAATTCTCCTGCCTCAGCCTCCTGAGTAGCTGGGACTACGGACGCATGCCACGACGCCCGGCTAATTTTTTATATTTTCAGTAAAGACAGGGTTTTACCCTGTTAGCCAGGATGGTCTCAATCTCCTGACCTCATGATCTGCCCGCCTCAGCCTCCCAAAGTGTTGGGATTATAGGTGTGAGCCACCACGCCTGGCCCGTTTTTAAATCTTTACAAGTAACTGTAATTTTCTGGACGCGCTGCCTGTGAGCTTCTTGAAACTGGAGCCCTCGGCAGGCACGCCTGCCATCAGCGCCACCAAGCCCAGGTCTTGCTCTAAACTTTAGACCAGTGTCTAAGGAAACTCTGCTCAAAAAAGACAAGATTTGTCTCACTTCCCGTCTCTTTCTTCTGCTACGGCTGAAGCTGTGGTTCTGCTCTTGCTTCCTCTCCAAGTACTTTAGAACCTTAAATGACAGAACAGGGTGAGGTGACTCAAATGTGTAATCCCAGCACTTTGGGAATCTGAGGCGGGTGGATCACTTGAGGTCAGGAGTTGAAGACCAGCCTAGATAGCCGGGTGCGGTGGCTCACGCCTGTAATCCCAGCACTTTGGGAGGCCGAGGCGGGCGGATCACGAGGTCGGGAGATCGAGACCATCCTGGCTAACACGGTGAAACCCTGTCTCCACTAAAAATACAAAAAAGAATTAGCCAGGCATGGTGGTGGTCGCCTGTAGTCCCAACTACTCGGGAGGCTGAGGCAGGAGAATGGCGTAAACCCGGGAGGCAGAGCTTGCAGTGAGCCGAGATAGCGCCACTGCACTCCAGCCTGGGCAAAAGAGCGAGACTCCGTCTCAAAAAAAAAAAAAAAAAAAAAAAAAAACCCAGCCTGGCCAACATGGCGAAACTACATCTCTACTAAAATACTAAAAATACAAAACAAACAAACAAAAACCAGCTGGCTGTGCTGGCAGCACCTGTAGTCCCAGCTACCCAGGAGGCTGAGGCAGGAGCCAGGATCACGCAAGTGCACTCCAGCCTGGGCAATAGAGCAAGGCTCCATCTCAAAACAAAAAAAAAAATGACAGAACAGATTGGAGCCAGGACTTTGACCTCCCCACCCTGCACTGCACAAAGAGTCTGTGAACAGAGTGGTGTTTGAGTTCCTTTGGGAAAACACAGGTGCAAGATTAGAAACCCTTCAGGTTATTACTGGGGGCACCGGTGATCTGTTCAACATATGAACAAGACTGGGGTTCTTAGATGGCTGAGAAAGCTGGAAGGACTCGGGTGGTTGAGAGGTCTTGAGAAAGAGGACAAGGATTAGGGATGTGGAAGGAAAGGGTATGACATGGAACTCTGGGTATGGAGGGATGGGGTGGGAGCTTGTGGAGGTGGAGAGGCCAGTGGGTCTCTAGGGGAGGGAGGACATGAAGGATGGGGGAAGTCCAGGACAAAGTCTGGGGGCGTCTCAGAGGAAACTGGCTCCTGGGGGAACCTGGCTTCCGTCACTCCCTCGAGCACGTGTGACTTTGCTCAAGTTGTGCCTTCTCGATCATGCCATTGCACTCCAGCCTGGGGAGTGGAAAAGTATTACTCACTGAACAGGATGGTGCATGCACTGTGATTCACTTTGGTTGAAACCTCATGTGTACTCACATAAAGAACAGGAAGGACAGAACCTAGGTGGCATTGCTCTGCGAGGCAGGAATGCTGTGTTTTTTGTTGTTGGTGTTGTTATTGTTGTTTTTTGAGACAGAGTCTCACTTTGTCGCCCAGGCTGGAGTGCAGTGGCACGATCTCAGCTCACTGCAACCTCCGCCTCCCGGGTTCAAGCAATTCTCCCGCCTCAGCCTCCCGAGTAGCTAGGATTACAGGCGCCGGCCACCACACCCGGCTCATTTTTGTATTTTTAGTAGAGATGGGGGTTTCACCATGTTGGCCAGGCTGGTCTTGAACTCCTGACCTCGTGATCCACCCGCCTCGGCCTCCCAAAGTGCTGGGATTACAGGCGTGAGCCACCGCACCCGGCTATCTAGGCTGGTCTTGAACTCCTGACCTCAAGTGATCCACCCGCCTCAGATTCCCAAAGTGCTGGGATTACAGGCGTGAGCCACCGCACCCGGCCTGTCTTGTTTTAATCTTTGCTTGTCTCCGTGCTGTTTTTCACACTGCCCAGCAGCTGCTTTTGTGACTCAATGGTTATTAAACACAAGGCCTTAAGGACAGCCCCTACATTCCCAGTCAAGTCTGACGCCACCGGGCTGGTTCCTGGTCCCCGCTCTGCCCTGGCTCCCTCACTCTCCCCTGTACGCCCTCTGCTCCTTAAATCTGCAAAGTGCGTTGCTGCCTCTGGGCCTTTGCACTCGCGGTTTCCTCTTCCTTTCCCCCTCAGGCTGCCACAGGTGGGGGCGTGATGCTCCTGACCGCCTTTCCTAGTCCGGGTGCTGCGCACTTTTTCACAGAACTGCACTTCCTTTGTGGGTCTAATCACACTGCAGCCCGGAAGACACGTTCCTGGGCATTTCCTGTTCTTCAAACCTGGCAAAAATCCGGGAACCCTAACAAAGAACTCGAGAAATTTCTATGTAGCTCATTAAAGTGGCGCACTCACACGGTCTTGGCTTAGACTTGGACTTCCGGCCACTCAACCAATTTTAATGCTGTGCATTTGCGTTCTATTCAGGTTTTTTTTTTTTTTTCTTCTTTGAGATGGAGTCTCGCTCTGTTGCCCAGGCTGAAGTGCAATGGTGCGATCTTGGCTCACTGCAACCTCCGCCTCCTGGGTTCAAGCGATTCTCCTGCCTCAGCCTCTGGAGTAGCTGGGAATACAAGTGCGCACCACCATGCCCGGCTAATTTTTGTATTTTTAGTAGAGACAAGGTTTCACCATGTTGGCCAGGCTGGTCTCGAACTCCTGACCTCAAGTGATACGCTAGCCTCGGCCTCCGAAAGTGCTGGGATTACAGGCGTGAGCCACCGTGCCTGGCCAGATTTTGTTCTTAATGTGAGACCACATTCAATATGCTTAGCCCGCTCTTTCAAACTCCAGCGTGCGCTGTAGGAGCACTGTTTGCACGGCCCTGCATCCTCGCCTGCCCTGTCCCCGGGGCGCCCACGCCGCGAATGAAGGCGCCACGTCGTTGCGCACCCAAGCCGGTTTATTTGGTCTCCCGCACACACTCAGGCCTGCATCACCGGCCGTGATTTCTCCGCTTGCAGCTTCACTCCGGAGCCCGCGAAGCCGGTACCGCCCTGGGGGAGGTAGAGAGAAGGACGAGGTAGAGGCCGGCCCGGGGGTGACCAGTGGGGCTCCAGGTGGTAGTGGGGATTCCTAAGCGGGTCAAGGTGAAGCGGGTTGCTGGCTAAGGAGTAGGAGTTGGGGAGGGGGCGAGGCGACCGCAGTGGGTACGGATGGACAGGGCGCAGGGCGCAGAGAAGAGGGTAGAGAGTGGCAGGGGAGGAGCCTTGGGAGGGAGCGTGTGGAGGGGGTGGAGCCGTGGAGGGCTGGAGGCAGGGAAGGGGCGGGGCCTTGAAAAGGAAGGAGGAGGCGGGGCCTAGGAGAGCGGAGGGGGGGAAGGGCGGGGCCTTGCAGGAGAAAGCGGGGGGGGGGGGCGGCCTTACAGAGCAGAGAAGAAGGCGGGGCCTTGGAGAGTTGGGGGAAGGGGAGGGGACGAAGCCTTGGAGGGGGTGAAGGGGAGGGGCGGGGCCTTGGAGTGCTGGGGGAAGGGGAGGGGTGGGACTCTTACCCGCTGCAGCACGATGATGTCGCGGTCTGTGAGTTTGTCTCCAGTCACAGGGTCCACCATGTCCTTCCGAATCAGCTTCTCCACGCATTCGAGGGTGACCACAGCCCCACTACGGTGAGGCCGAAGGCGGGAGACTCTGATCAGGGGCCTTCCTGGGGACCTACTGGCCCCAAAGCCGGACCGCCCCGCAGGTTCCCGAGTGGTCCCTTCCCTCCCCTCCCAGGTGACTCACGAGGGCCGCAGCACAGCGCAGGGGGTGGCGTTGCTCAGGCTGTCGCGGGTCACGGCACACACGTAGCGCTCGCTGCGGGTGATGAGCCCCACGCGGTCCACGGAGCTGTCTAGCGGTGTGAAGTGCACGGGCGTCAGGTCCGACATGCGCAGGGGCTTCCCTGACATGGGGCAGGTCACCGTGCGGGACTGCAAGGGGCAGAGAGAGGCGGGCTCAGTAGGCAGGGCTGGCGCAGGTGGAGAGCGCGTGGTCCCTGTGCGTGAGGAGGACGGTGGGGAACCCTGGCGCCCTGGCACCGTGCGTGCCGGGGCGCTGTGGGGGCTCACCGGCTTCTCCAGCTTGGTGGCCTTGGCTTCGGGCGTCAGCGACGGGATCCAGAAGCTGGGCAGCACTTTGTCCTTGTCCTTACTTGGAGGACCCACACTGGGCCCAGGTTGGACATCATCTGTGGGGGAAGGAAGGGACTCAGATGCCGCCCCCTGGGCCCGCCCAGCCCGCGGCGCCCCGCCCCCCAACCCACAAGAAGCCCAACCTGAGTCACCTGGGCTGGTGCCCGAGAGGGCCTTGGCTGTGAAAGGGTTGAGGGGCCGGCTCACGATAGCCGACTCCTTCTCCAGGAAGCCCCGCACATGGTCCTGCGAGGCCGCCCGCTGAAGCTCCTTCTGCTCCTCGCGCCGGGTGCCCCGCTGCTTCTCGTAGGCCTGCGTCGGGGAAAGTGGGCTGAGCATCTGCCCGTGGGGCTGGGGGTATCTTCCTCCCATTTCACAGGTAGGTAAACTGAGGCCCACAAAGGGGACCCTCTGATGGAGGCACTATGTGGCAGAGGGTGGTAACTGCCACCCTGGGTGGGTGTGAACCTTACTGCGTTGTATAGCCAGACTGCCAGGGCTCAAAGCCCATCTCTGTCACTCTGTGGCCTAAGTGAGCACTATGACCTCTCCTGGCCTCAGTTTCTTCATCTGTAAAACAGCCTAACAGTGGTTACCCACCTCAGCGGCTCACTGAAGGGTTACATAAGGTGAGTGTTTACAGCATGGAGAGCCTCACCTGGCACTCAGCTAAGCATTTAATTAATGTCACCTGCTGGCCAATTAAGTTTTCTATACAGTGCATGCCCCAGCCCGTGTTTGGGACGGGGGATGTAGACTTCAGATCTAAGGGAATGCTGAGGAGCCCATGTCTATGGACGGACAGTGAGTGAGGACGGGAGAAGTGAAGCCATGACCTGAGCTCAGCCCTGCCTGGCGCACAGCAGTTGCCTGGGCGGTGCTGCAGTTCCAGACCACCCTGGGCCACCCAGCTGAGTGAGGAGGTAACAGTGACAGTGATGGATGCTCATGAGGGCCTCCGACATGACCACCAGGCTGTGTGGAGGACATGGGCACAGGGGGAGCCACCTGCTTGGGACAAAAAGCCCAATAAGCATGTGACCTGTAGTGTTTCCTGAGCGCCAGCAACCAGGCAGGGGAAGAGGGGGACAGACCCACTGTGCCTCAAACAGGGCCCCTCCTACCCATCAAATGGCTTTGTCCATGGAAGGCCAGGCCGGGTTCCCAGTAACACGCCTTGAGAATGCTCATCTGCGTGTACCTCCCAGGTGCCCTGCTGTGTCCTCTGATTTGGCCGTCAGCCCGTTTTACAGACGATGAAACTGAGGCCCAGAAAAAATGAGGTGATGTCAATTCACGTAGCACATCTTTTTTTTTTTTTTTTTTTTTGAAACAGAATCTCGCTCGGTTACCCAGGCTGAAGTGCAGCGGTGCCATCTCAGCTCACTGCGACCTCTACCTCATGGGTTCAAGCGATTCTCCTGCCTCAGCTTCCTGAGTAGCTGGGATTACAGGCGCCCGCCATGCCCGGCTCAATTTTTTTTTTTATTTTTTTATTTTTAGTACAGACAGGGTTTCACCATGTTGGCCAGGCTGGCCTCTAACTGTTGACCTCAAGTGATCCGCCTGCCTCGGCCTCCCAAAGTCCTGGGATTACAGGTGTGAGCCACCACCCCCGACCCATTTAGCATATCTTTACTAAGGACCTAAGCTACAGGGTGGGAAAACTCGAAGTCCATAAGGGAAAGTGGGCATGTGTCAGACAGCCACATGTACAGCTACAACTATGCTAAGTGCTAAGAGAAGAGGTGACTGGGGCAGATCCTGGGGACTGGCAGGAGCTCAGAGGAGGCAGCATCTGGGCTGAAATCGGTGAGAAGGATTTGGCCGGAAGCAGGGGAGGGGAATGGTGTACCAGGCAGAGGGAACTGAGATCAGAGGGCTCTGAGTGGCTCTGCCTGTGAGCTCAGACTCAAAAGCTCCTGCCTCCGTGTGCCGCCTCCTCCCCATCCCCATCACCTTCATCTGCCGGGCAATCTCCTTCTTCTGGTGCAGAATGTACTCCAGGATGGCCTCACGCTCATACAGGTAGCCATCTGGGCTGCAAAGACAGGGTGCAATGAGAAAGAAAGAAAGTGATCCTCCCGCCTCGGCCTCCCGAAGTGCTGGGATTATAGGCAGAAGTCATCATGATCAGTCCCAAGTTCAATTATTTGCTAGAATTCACAGAACTCAGCAAAGCTGTTATACTCATGGTGATAGTTTACTGCAGTGAAAGGATGCAGATTAAAATCAGCAAAGGAAAAAGGCACATGGGGCAGAATCTAGTAGAGACTAGATTTGAGCTTCCAGCTGTCCTCTCCCAATAGAGCTGCAGGGAAAGTGCTTCATTCTCTCAGCAACAATGTGTGCCACATATTGTTGCAGCCACGAGTTCGAGACCAGCCTGGGCAACAAAGTGAGCTCCCCTCTCTACAAAAAACAAACAAAAACGCCAGGTGTGGTAGTGCACACCCGTGGTTCCAGCTACTCGTGGGGGCTGAGGCAGGAGGATCACCTGAGCCTGGGATATCAGTGAGCCAAGATGTCCCCATTGCACTCCAGCCTGGGCAACAAAGTGAAGACTCTGTCTCAAAAAAAAAAAAGAAACCTGAAGGTGGCCTTGGGGGCCCTGATCATTAATTACTGTCTTCTACAAAATATACCACTAATTGAGCACGTATTTAGTGCCTGGACTCAGCACCTGTTAAGCCTTTGCCCTACCATCAGAGGTAGGTCATGGGAAGTGTCCAAAGGTGAGCTGCTCCGATGGCCTCGGCAATGCTCTGAGAGCCCTACACCCCATTAGAAGTATGTTCCTTTCCATATGTTCCACACTATGAAACAGATGCTAGGATCATGCCCATGTCCCATGTGAGAATACAGAGGCTCTGAGGATAAACTGCTCATCCAGGGTTCCCTGGCTGTGCAGGTGGCCAGACCCACGCACACAGCCTCCTCCTGGCGGTTCCCTTGCTCTCCCCACCCAGACCTACCCATCCCTGTTCCCAGCTCACGTGACAACAGGATCGTGGCAAGGCTGCAGGGAGAGACAACAGCAGTCGAAGTCCTTCACGGCATCCCGGCTCAGTCGAATGTTCTGGGTCCCATAGCCCGAGGCCGCTGGGGACAGAGATGGGCAGAGTGATGGAGGGGCGGAGCAACAGGAGACATGTCCGTCTCCAAAGCCCCAGAGAGAGGCACAGAGACAACGCGGTGGTGGGGGTGGGGGACTCAGAGAGAAACAGGCAGTTGGGAGCCGCTGCCTGTGTGCTGGGGCCACGGGCTGAACCCACAGGGAGTTGTCAACCCTGGAGGGTGAGAGGCAGACAGGCCTGGTCACTGAGTGGCAGCTTGGTGGAGGGGCTGACGGCTGACTCCCCTCCACCCTTCTGACTGTGACCAAGCTCAAGTGCCTGTCCCTCTTTGGGCCTCAGTTTCTTCCTCTGGAACATGGGGTAACAAGAGCACCCTCCCTGACACTCTGTTGGGAGGAGTGAGTTCATGCGCAGAAGGCAGAGAACACAGTGCCGGGCCACATGGGGTCATGGGATCACCCAGCTGTTGTTTACATGGTCATGGCCATCAGTGTATATCGGGGGCGGGAGAGAGACAGGGACAGAGGAAGCAAAACCTGGGGCACGAGGGGAGAGGGTGACTCCAAGACACAGCCATGTCCCGCCTCTTCCCACCCCAGCCCTGCACCTGTGTCCTTCTTCTTCTCGTGGTAGGTGTAGACGGCCCCTGCGGTGCAGTTCTTGCCATGCCGCGTCATCCTAGGGAGGAAGGGACAGTGGCAGGACTGTGGTTACCGGAGGCAGGCAGCACAGGGAAGACCTCTGCAGCCCTCAGAGCTGATCTGCCCCCCTTGATGGGAAAGCGGAGGCGGAGAAGGGGGGTGAGGTGGAAGAGAGGGAGGGCATGTGGTCGCCAGGCCTCCTCCAGGAAGTCCTCCTTCCAGACTCACCTAGACTCATTTATATGTGAAAATAGCACCTTTAACAACAAAACTCTTTGTTTGGAGGTAAGAGGGTGAGAGACCAGAGTTCAAATTCTAGCCACTACTTCAGATTAGCTAGGGTGGTGGCTGTGCCATTTAATGGAGGGGAAAAAAAAAGACACCAAGGGGGCCACTATTGTTGATGAATCCACTCCACCTTCCCTTCCCCTCTCATATCTGTAAGCTCTGACTGAGGCCAAGGCGTGGACCAGCCCAGTGATTGGCTCAAGGCTGGGCACTTAGCTAAGGCTTGACACTTAGCTAAGGCTTGACCCAATCGCTGCCTGCCAGTCCACTAGCGACTGGATCTAGCAGCTGTGATTATGTCTCAGATCGACCGATCAGAGGGCAGGTCAGAGTAGGGCTCTGTGTCTAGGGGAAGAGCTACCTCCACTCCCACTGCAGGTAAAGGAGGAAGAGAAGACCCCAGAACCCTGGAGCTCAATTCAAAAAGCAAAGCTTTTTTTATTCTGTAAGTTTTCAAACACATACAAAACCAGAATAGTATAAGGAACCCCCATGATGTACCCATGTCCTGCGGTCCAGCAGCTGTCAACATTTTGCCACCTTACTTTGATACCTTTGATCATTCCCCATACTTAAGGGCAACCCCCACCCTTTTAAATGACTTTATTGAGACACAATTCACATACCATAAAATTAACCCTTTTAAAGTGGTTTCAGACCAGGTGTAGTGGCTCACGCCTGTAATCTCAGCACTTTGGGAGGCTGAGTCAGGTGGATCACTTGAGTTCAGGAGTTCAAGATCAGCCTGGCCAACATGGTGAAACCCCGTCTCTACTAAAAATACAAAAATTAGCTGGGCGTGGTGGCACACGCCAGTAATCCCAACTACTCGGGAGGCTGAGGCACTGAGAATCACTTGAGCCCAGGAGGCAGGGGTTGCAGTGAGCCGACATCATGCCACTGCACTCCAACCTAGACAGAGCAAGGCTCTGTCACAATTAAAAAAAAAAAAAAAAAGACATTGCCTAAGCCAAGATAATGCACATTTATTCCTATGTTTTCTTCTAGGGGTTTGATCATTTTAACTTTTACTTTTTGAGTTAATTTTTGTGTATGGTGTGAGGAAGGGAGCCCCCTACTTTTCTGGAGTTCATTTGTAAAAGGAGAAGCCCTGAACCCACAGAGGCTGGGCAGCTTTCACCAAGACTGCTTGGCCAGTAAACAGCCTGCATGCCTGTTTGTTTGTTTGTTTTTTGAGACGGAGTTTCACTCTTGTTGCCCAGACTGGAATGCAATAGCATGATCTTGGCTCACTGAAACCTCTGCCTCCCAAGTTAAAGCGATTCTCCTGCCTCAGCTTCCCAAATAGCAGGGATTACAGGTGCCTGCCACCACGCCTGGCTAATTTTTTTGTATTTTTAGTAGAGACGGGGTTTCACCGTGTTGGCCAGGCTGGTCTTGAGCTCCTGACCTCAGGTGATCCACCTGCCTCAGCCTCCCAAAGTGCTGGGATTACAGGCGTGAGTCACTGTGCCTGGCCCCTGCAGGCTTTTTTATCCCTTAAAATGATTTAGAGCCAGGCTCAGGGCTCACGCCTGTAATCCCAAAACTTTGGGAGGCTGAAGCAAGAGGACTGTTGAGCCCAGGAGATGGAGATGAGCCTAGGCAACACAGCAAGATCCATCTCTATTAAATTTAAAAACAAAGAAGTTGATGGCCAGGTGCAGTGGCTGATGCCTGTAATCCCAGCACTTTGGGAAGCCGAGGCGGGGGCGGATCACGAGATCAAGAGATCGAGACCATCCTGGCCAACATGGTGAAACCCTGTCTCTACTAAAAATACAAAAATTAGCTGGGTGTGATGGCACATGCCTGTAGTCCCAGCTACTCGGGAGGCTGAAACAGGAGACTCATTGAACCTGGGAGGTGCAGGTTGCAGGGAGTGGAGATTGCACCACTACACTCCAGCCTGGTGACAGACAGAGACTCTGTCAAAAGAAAAAGAAGAGAAGAGAGAAGATCTAGTAACATTATATACTTGTCTCACTCATCTCTAAGTTGCCACCTAAAAATTCTCCCAAGCTTAAACAGTTGCAAAGGATACAATTTCCAGCAACGTAAATGTGTAGCTGATGGAATCTAAATACTGTAATAATTTGAGACCATTTGAAAAATGCAAGAAAAAGCTGTTTCAACAGCAGAAAATTATACATGTCCTGTTTTTCTCTTTGAACTTGTATTTCCGTTCCACTTCCCTCTCTGCCACCCATTTTTAATCTAACATCGTTTTTTCTTTTTGTTTTTTTTTTTGAGACAGGGACTCACTCTGTTGTCCAGGCTGGAGTGCAGTGGTACAATCACAGCTCACTGCAGCCTTGACCTCCTGGGCTCAAGTGATTCTCCTGCCTCAGCCTCTCGAGTAGCTGGGACTACAGGCATGTGCCACCACGCCCAGCTAATTTTTATATTTTTAGTAGAGATGGGGTTTTGCCATGTTGCCCAGGTTGGCCTTGAACTCCTGGACTCAAGTGAACTCCTGGCCTCCCAAAGTGTTGGGATTACAGGTGTGAGCCACTGCACCTGGCACATCATATCTTTTGTGCTTGAAAATTCTTTTTTTTTTTTTTGAGATCGAGTTTTGCTCTTGTTGCCCAAGCTGGAGTGCAATGGCACGATCTCAGCTCACTACAACCTCCGCCTCTTGGGTTCAAGCAATTCTCCTGCCTCAGCCTCCTAAGTAGCTGGGATTACAGGTGCATGCCACCATACCCAGCTAATTTTTTGTATTTTTAGTAGAAACAGGGTTTTACCATATTGGCTAGGCTGGCCTTGAACTCCTGACCTCAGGTGATCCACCCGCCTCGGCCTCCCAAAGTGCTGGGATTACAGGTGTGAGCCACTGTGCCCAGCCTGAAAATACTTGCTTTAGTGATCACCCTGTTATATGTCTCTGCAAGAAATAAAAAATATGGATAGGAAATCCTTTTAAACATTTCCCATTGTTCCTAGGCTATAAGAGTCCAATACTCTTCTAGATCAGTGGTTCTCAAAGTGTGGGTCCTAGGACCCTGTGGTCCCCCAACACATTTCTAGACAGTCTGCAAGGTCAAAACTGTTGTCTTAATAATACTAAGACATTATTTGCCTTTCTGATTCTCATTCTCTCACAAGTACACCAGAGGCTCCATGAGGTGTGACACTGCAACACTAAATTAGTAGTAATTTGTTACAACAATGATAGGAAACTAATATAGTCACCAGGGAAACGCACATTAAAACTTCACTGAAGGCCGAGCACCGTGGCTTACACCTGTAATCCCAGCACTTTGGAGGCTGAAGCGGGCAGATCACTTGAGGTCAGGAGTTCAAGTCCAGCCTGGCCAACATGGCAAAACCCCATCTGTACTAAAAATACAAAAAGTTAGCTGGTCGTGGTGGTGTGCGCCTGTAATCCCAGCTACTGGGGAGGCTGAGGCATGAGAATCGCTTGAACCTGGGAGGCGGAGGTTGCAGTGAGCCAAGATCACGCCACGGCACTCTAGCCTAGGGGACAGAGCGAGACTCCATCTCAAAAAAAAAAAAAAAAAAAAAAACAAAATAAAACTTCATTGAGATACCTCCCCACACGCACCACAAGGGTTGCAATTAGACAGAGGGGTGCAGGCGAGGACATGGAGCTACTAGAACCCTCGTGCACTGCTCAGGGGAGTGCAGACCAGCACAACCACTTTGGAAAGCAACTGTCAGTATCTACTGAAGCCAGGCATATGCCAGTCCTATGAGCCAGCAATTCGTCTCCCACGTATACACCTAACAGAAGGGTACACCTGTTTACAAGACACATACACTGCCCTATTCACAATGGCTCATAAACTGGAAACTACCCCATGCCTGTCAGCACAGAGTAGATAAAGAAACTGGGCCATATCACATAATGGAAACACCCAGCAATGAGACACAACAGCCTACTGTCATACCCATAGTATAGCTGAATCTCACAGACACCACGCAGGCGAGACACCAGACACGCAAAAGAAAACTTACTGTATGATCCCATTCATGTGACGTTCAAAAACTCACAAAGTAATTACTACACCAGAAGTTATGTGTGGGTGGGTGTGGTGGCTCACACCTGTAATATGAACACTTGGGGAGGCCAAGGCAGGAGGATTGTTTGAGCCCAGGAGTTTGAGACCAGCCTGAGCAACATAGCAAAACCTTGTCACTACAAAACATAGAAAAATTAGCTGGGCATGGTGGTGCATGCCTGTAGTCGCAGCTACTTGGGAGTCTGAGATGGATCACCTGAGCCCAGGGAGGTCAAGGCTGCAGTGAGCCATGATTGGGCCACTGCACTCCAGCCTGGGAGTCAGAGTGAGACCCTGTCTCAAAAAAAAAAAAGTCAGGTGCCTTTGGGAGGCAGAAGGTGGGGGTGACTAGGAGGGGCACAGGTAGCATCTGGGAGGCTGGGAATGTTGTTTCTTGATCTGGGTGCTGGTTACATGGGTGTGTTTGCTCTGAAAGTCGCTGGGTTAGACAGTTATGCTTTCTGTACTTCTCTGTACATGTTATAAAAAGAAATTGGCTGGGTGCCATGGTGCACGCCTGTAATCTCAGCACTTCGGGAGGCTGAAGCTGGAAGATCACTTGAGCTCAGGAGTTTGAGACTAGTCTGGGCAACATATTGAGACCCCATCTCTACAAAAAAATATATATATATAAAAATTTGCTGGGTGTGGTGGCACACGCCTGTAATCCCAGCTACTCAGGAGGCTGAAGCAGGAGGACTGCTTGAGCCTGGGAGGTGAAGGCTGCAGTGAGCCAAGATGGAGCCACTGCTCTCCAGCCTGGGCAATAGAGTGAGAACCTGTCTCAAAAGAAAAAAAAAAGAAAGAAAGAAAGAAATTAATGGCGGGGGAACCCCCACTCCATCTTGGACATCATTCCCCATCAGCCCACCAGGCACGTCCTTGGTCTTTATGTGGCTACAGATTCATCCCTGAATGAACACAACTCTTGGATTTGACACCTGTGGACAGACATCCTTGTCCACTATGACAAAGCAGTTTGGTACCCAATGTCTAGCACGTGTCCAAGGATGTTTTTCAGATAAATTCTTTTTTTCTTTCTTTCTTTTCTTCTTCTTTTTTTTTTTTGAGACAGTCTCGCTCTGTCGTCCAGGCTGGAGTGCAGTGGCGCAATCTCGGCTCAGTGCAACCTCTGCCACCCGGGTTCACGCCATTCTCCTGCCTCAGCCTCCCGAGTAGCTGGCACTACAGGCGCTCGCCACCACGCCTGGCTAATTTTTTGTATTTTTTAGTGAAAACGGGGTTTCACCGTGTTAGCCAGGATGGTCTCGATCTCCTGACCTCGTGATCCGCCCACCTCGGCTTCCCAAAGTGCTGGGATTACAGGCGTGAGCCACTGCGCCCGGCCTTTTCTTTAAGACAGGGTCTCACTCTGTCATCTAGGCTGAATACAGTGGTACAATCATAGCTCGCTGCAGCCTCAAACTCCTGGGCTCAAGTGATCCTCCCACCATAGCTTCCCAAGTAGCTGGGAATACAGGCATGCACCACCATGCCCAGCTAATTTTTTATCCAGGCAGGGTCTTGCTATGTTGTCCAGGTTGGTCTTGAACTCCTGGGCTCAAGTGGTCCTCCTGCTTTGGCCTCCCAAAGTGCTAGGATGAAGGGTATGAGCTACTGCACCCAACCCTGCTTTTAAGATAAATTTTAAAAGTGGAATAACTGATTCAAAGGGTGTGTGCATTTAAAATGTGGTTAGAGGCTGGGCTGAGTGCAGCAATGTTTACAACTAATTGATCACAACCAGCTACAGATTTCTTTGTTCCTTTCCACTTCCACTCCTTCACTTGACCAGCCTTAAAAATATAAATACATATACATACATATATATATATACACACATACTATTTTTTTTTTTTTTTTGAGACAGAGTCTCGCTGTCGCCCAGGCTGGAGTGCAGCGGCATGATCTTGGCTCACTGCAACCTCTGCCTCCCAGGTTCAAGCAAATTCTCCTGCCTCAGCCTCCTGAGTAGCTGGGATTACAGGCGCGCACCACCATGCCCAGCTAATTGTTGTATTTTTAGTAGAGATGGGGTTTCGCCATGTTGGCCAGGCTGGTCTTGAACTCCTGACCTCAGGTGGTCCACCTGCCTCGGCCTCCCAAAGTGCTGGGATTATAGGCATGAGCCACCGTGCCCAGCCAAAAAACTTTTTTTTTTTTTTTTTTGAGACGGAGTCTCGCTCTGTCTCCCAGGCTGGAGTGCAGTGGCGCGATCTCGGCTCACTGCAAGCTCCACCTCCCGGGTTCACGCCATTCTCCTGCCTCAGCCTCCCGAGTAGCTGGGACTACAGGCACCCGCCACCACACCGTATAATTTTTTGTATTTTTAGTGGAAACGGGTTTTCACTGTGTTAGCCAGGATGGTCTCGATCTCCTGACCTCGTGATCCGCCCGCCTCGGCCTCCCAAAGTGCTGGGATTACAGGCGTGAGCCACCGTGCCCGGCCCCAAAAATTTTTTTGTTAGAATTTACTAGTTGCTCTCCATACAGACTGCACAGGTCTATATACCTCCAACAACATGAGAGAGCCACTCCTCACAACTTTGCCCCAGGGCTTCCTGGGACTGGCTCTGAGCTGTGCCTGGGTCAGCAAGGAACCTCCTGCACCATGCTGTGGAAAATGTGCCATCAGTGAGAGACTGGGAGAAGATACTTGTAATGCCTACAATCAACAAGGGACTAATATCATTTTCATTTTTATTTTATTTATTTTGAGACAGAATCTTGCTCTGTCGCCCAGGTTGGAGTGTAGTAGCATGATCTCGGCTCACTGCAACCTCTCTGCCTCCTGTGTTCAAGCGATTCTCCTGCCTCAGCCTCCCCAGCAGCTGAGATGATAGGTGTCTGCCACCAGGCCCGGCTAATTTTTTTGCATTTTTTTTTTAGTAGAGACAGGGTTCACCACGTTGGCCAGGCTGATCTCGAACTCCTGACCTCAGGTAATCTGGCCACCTTGGCTTCTCAAAGTGCTGGGATTACAGGCATGAGCCACCACACCCAACCAACAAGGGACTAATATGTAGAATAGTCAGTTCTACTATAAGGCATGCATTCATAGAAATCACAGCAATATGCAAAATCCTGCAGTCAAAAACCACAAGGCTTACAGAGAAAACAGGATTGTGTCACAATCCTCGTAAACTTTGTCGGTGATGCTTAAAGAAAAAGATAAGAACAGAATACAAAAGGAGAGAACAGTTTCACACGGGCTAGGTGGTTAAGACATACCAACATACTCCAAAAATATGGCAGTTGACCTTGACAAAGACTTGAAGTTTGTTGTGGCAATGGGTGTGGGGTGGAGGGAGCGCCTTGTGAATTACTGTGATGTGGTGGAAAGAGGGTTATTTGAGATCTGATGGAAAGTCCTAGTACCAGATGTGGATGGGTGTGGCTCCTAACACCCGGGGAACTGCGGTGGTGGTATTTGTTTGAAGTGCCGTGTATGTGTGCTTTGTGTATTCCCACACACACACTTATAGCAGAGTGCAGTTTCCTGGATTCACCTTGGATGCACATAAGCAAATGTGAAATTGGTGTTATGCTCAAATTGTTCCCTGATATATCAACTGCATTGGAATAAATTCACATTTTCAAAATAAGCATTATAGCAGAACTGATGGTACATGAAACTCCAGCAAATCAAGAAGAAAATTACAGCCACTCCAATAGAAAGATGAGTAAAAGAGGCTGGGTGCCGTGGCTCATGCCTGTAATCCCAACACTTTGGGAAACCAAGGCAGGAAGATTGCTTAAGGCCAGGAGTTCAAGACCAGCCTGGGCAATATAGCTAGACCCCATCTCTAAAAAAAAAAAAAAAATAGTTTGTTTGTTTGTTTTTTTTTTTGAGACAGAGTCTTGCTCTGTCACCAGGCTGGAGTGCAGTGGCGCAATCTCGGCTCACTGCAACCTCCGCCTCCCAGGTTCAAGCGATTCTCCTGCCTCAGCCTCCTGAGTAGCTGGGACTACAGGCCTGCACCACCACGCCTGGCTAATTTTTGTATTTTTAGCAGAGATGGGCTTTCACCACGTTGGTCACGATGGTCTCGAACTCCTGACCTCGTGATCTGCCCGCCTTGGCCTCCCAGAGTGCTGGGATTACAGGTGTGAGCCCACTGCGCCCGGCCTGGGAGGATCTTTAAATCATAATGCTTAGTGAGAAAAGAGTAAAACAAGAGCTCAATACCATGTAGGCACAGGAAATCTACTGTGCATACAATGATACTTTTTTTTTTTTTTTTTGAGACGTTATCTCGCTCTTTCACCCAGGCTGGAGCGCAGTGGCACAATCTCACTGCAAGCTCCACCTCCCAGGTTCACACCATTCTCCTGCCTCAGCCTCCTGAGTAGCTGGGACTACAGGCACCTGCCACCACACCCAGCTAATTTTTTTTATTTTTTTTTTAGTAGAGATGGGGTTTCACCATGTTAGCCAGGATGGTCTTGATCTCCTGACCTCGTGATCTGCCCGCCTCGGCCTTCCAAAGTGCTGGGATTACAGGTGTGAGCCACCGTGCCTGGCCTACAATGATACATTTTAAAGAACATTTGGCCGGGCACGGTGGCTCACACCTGTAATCCCAGCACTTTAGGAGGCCGAGGTGGGCGGATCACTTGAGGTCAGGAGTTTTGAGACCAGCCTGGCCAACATGGTGAAACCACGTCTCTACTAAAAATACAAAAATTAGCCGGGCGAGGTGGCAGGCGCCTGTAATCTCAGCTACTCAGGAGGCTGAGGCAAGAGAATTGCTTGAACCCGGGAGGTGGAGGTTGCAGTGAGCCAAGATCGCGCCATCGCACTCCAGCCTGGGGGACAAGAGTGAGACTTTGTCTCAAAAAACAAAAACAACAACAACAACAACAAAAAAGAACACTTGCAGGTGGGGCGAGGTGGCTCATGCCTGAGGTGAGCAGATCACCTGAGGTCAGGAGTTCAAGACCAGCCTGGTCAACATGGTAAAACCCTGTCTCTACCAAAAATACAAAAATGAGCCAGTCGTGGTGGCCACCTGTAATCCCAGCTACTTGGGAGGCTGAGGCACAAGAATCGCTTGAACCCAGGAGGCGGAGGTTGCAGTGAGCCGAGACTGTGCCAATGCACTCCAGCCTGGGTGACAGACACTCATCTCAAAAAATAAAGAAAGAATAAAATATAAAGAACTCTTGCAGACAAAAGGCTCCACATGACACATATTAGTTGCATTCAGGAAAGATTGTCTCCTGCTCTCAAGTAGCCTGCAAGTAGGATCCAGAAGTTGGGGTGGGGAGCACAACCAAGGGTCCCACCGATGTAAAAAGCAACTTCATCTCTATCGCCCCCTTCTGGTTGCTTTGAAAAACTTGCCTTTCCCATTCAAAACTTGAAACACAAACCTCTGGGAGCTATGGAGCTCTCTCTCCCCCTACTGGCGTCTTCTCAGAAGCCACTCTTTGGGTTTTAGGTATATTTACACAGAATCAAAGCAAAGACCTTTACAGTTGGATGCGATCTGACAAATGTATACACCCTTGTGACCACGACCCTATGGAGATACAGAACCTTCCTATCACGCTAAATACCCCCTCACGCCCCTTCCCGATCAATGTGCCCCCTGAGGCAGCCAGGGCTGCTTGCAGAAGGGCGACCTTGATCAAACACCCCAACTTGACCCAGGGTCCCCTCCACATGCCAGGCTCCTCCTCCGACTTCCCCCTGACCCCCAAGCTTCTCAGTGAACGTCCAACACCTGTTGCCTCCCCTCACCTGCCATCCGCTCCCCAGCCCCCACAACTGCCACTCATGAAGGTCACGGTGACCTTTTCATGGACACATTCCCCACTCTATTCTTAGTTGTCAACTCCCTTGACCCTCTGCAGTATTTGGCTCTGGGCACCTCGGCTTTCCCAGAGATGAGCTTGCTTGCTGTTTTGTGGCCAAGAACTGAGGTTTCTACATAGATGGGGACATTTTCCCTCCAAAAATAGGAGGAACACCTATAGAGGGAGCATTTAAACTTTTTTTAATTTAATTTGTTTTTTTTGAGATGGAGTCTTGCTCTGTTGCCGAAGCTGGAGTGCAGTGGTGTGATCTCGGCTCACTGCAACCTCCACCTCCTGGGTTCAAGCAATTCTCCTGCCTCAGACTCCCAAGTAGCTGAGATAACAGGCGCCCACGCCCAGCTAATTTTTTTTTTTTTTTTTTTGTATTTTTTAGTAGAGACAGGGTTTCACCATGTTGGCCAGGCTAGTTCTGAACTCCTGATCTCAAGTGATCCGCCCACCTCAGCCTCCCAAAGTGCAAGGATTACGGGCATGAACCACTGCACCCGGCAAACTCTTTGATTTTTAAAACTCAGTGATTTTTAAGATCCTGAGACCAGAAAGCGTGAGCGCCTCCAACCAAGGGTGGAAGAATAGCCAGTTTCAGGATTTACAAACTCTGAAAGCTGAGCTCTCCTGCCCCACACTATATTGTCTCTTTGGTAGGTCCAATTTCAAACTACAAAGCAGACTGCTGCCATCTGCTGTCACCAGCATTTCAGAGAGGAAACAGGCAAAGAGCAGGAGCGACCGATGTCAGCATAATCCCTACCTCACAGCACAGGAAACAGGCTCACAGCATGTCCCAGCTGGGAAATGGCAGAGCTGGGACTCAGACCCAGGCAGCCAGGCTCTGGAGCCATTCCTTTTAACTAGGTGACAACTGTCAGTTTTCCTAGGAAAGTCACAATCTCAGAAAAAAGGCCAATCAGGCTGGCCACGGTGGCTTAAACCTGTAATGCCAGCACTCTGGGAGGCTGAGACGGGTGGATCACAAGGTCAAGATGTTGAGACCATCCAGGCCAACATGGTGAAACCCCATCTCTACTAAAAATACAAAAATTAGCTGGGTGTGTTGGTGCGCGCCTGTGGTCCCAGCTGCTCGGGAGGCTGAGGCAGAAGAATCGCTTGAACCCAGGAGGTGGAGGTTGCAGTGAGCCCAGATCGCACCACTGCACTTCAGCCTGGCGACAGAGTGAGACTCTGTCTCAAAAAAAAAAAAAAAAAAAAGCCAATCCATTCCTTTATTTGTAGCCTTTGAAATCCAGAATGTATTTTACTCTTTCAGCACATCTCAGTAATTTCAGTAATTCAGATGCTAAATTTTCTTTTTTTTTTCTTTTTTTTTTGAGATGGAGTTTCGCTTTTATCACCTAGGGTGGAGTGCAGTGGTGTGATCTCGGCTCACTGCAACCTTCACCTCCCCGATTCAAGTGATTCTCCTGCCTCAGCCTTCCAGGTAGCTGGGATTACAGGCACCCGCCACCATGCCTGGCTAATTTTTTGTATTTTTAGTAGAGATGGGGTTTCGCCATGTTGGGCAGGCTGGTCTCGAACTCCTGACCTCAGGTGATCCACCCGCCTCAGCCTCCCAAAGTGCTAGGATTACAAGCATGAGTCACTGCACCCAGCCTTTTTTTTTTTTTTTTTTTTTTGAGACAGAGTCTCGCTCTGTTGCCCAGTCTGGAGTGCAAAATAGTGCAATCTTGGCTCACTGCAACCTCCACCTCCAGGGCTCAAGCCATTCTCCTGCCTCAGCCTCCCAAGTAACTGGAATTCCAGGCGTGTGCCACCATGCCCAGCTCATTTTTGTATTTTTATATTTGTATTTTTAGCACAGATGGGGTTTCACCACATTGGCCTGGCCATCAGATGCTAAATTTTCATTGGAGATACTTTAAAATATATATATATATATGGCTGGGAGCAGTGGCTCACGCCTGTAATCCCAGCACTTTGGGAGCCCAAGGCGGGCAGATCACCTGAGGTCAGGAGTTCAAGACCAGCCTGGCCAATGTGGCGAAACCCTGTCTCTACTAAAAATGCAAAAATTGGCTGGGTGTGGTGGCAGGTGCCTGTAGTCCCAGCTACTCGGGAGGCTGAGGCAGGAGAATCGCTTGAACCTGGGGGCAGAGGTTGCAGTGAGCCAAGATCGGGCCACTGCACTCCAGCCTGGCCAACAGATCAAGACTGTGTCTCAAAAAAAAAAAAAAAAAAAAAGCCCGGCTCTGAAGCAGACCCTGGCTCTAAGCATTTTACTGAATATCATAACACCTCAAACGGTCGAATATCACAACACTCCACTGAATATCACAGCACCTCAAATAGTTGCTATAAATGAAGAGAGGCACAGAGGCGGTGCCCTAGGTTATGCAGCTAGTGAGTCCTACAGCTGTGTTTGATCCAAGCACCTGTGGCTTTGACCATCCACTGTGCCAGCTGGCTGCAGGCGGCCTCAGGCACTGTGCTGAACTCTGGGAGTGGATCAGACAGCTAGTGTGTGTCTTGTCCTCCCCTGAAATCCTGTCTCCTTTCTCCTCCAGAGCACTGCCAAGGTTTGCCTCCTCCAAGAAGCCTGCCTCTCCGGGATCAGTTAGGTTCTCCTTGCACTTGACCGTGCCCTGAGCTACCTCCGTTACAGCCCGTCCCTCGGTATTTCGGCTCCAGAGTAGGGGCCCTGGTTGGTGGGGCCTGGGTTGAACTTCAGCCTGGGTCCCAGCATTGCCTGGCACCTGGGAGGTCTCAGAGATGTCATGATAGAATCAATGAACCACCTCCAATCCTAGGGCCAGGGGAGGTGGGTTAGCAATGAACTAACCATGCAGCCATGACATCATGCCATTAATACACTAATAATTCATTAGTAACATGTGAATCACAGAAGCACTGGAAGAACAGAAGTAATCATCACATCCTTCAACCCCTTAAGAATCAGACCTTGTGGGAAGCACTTTCCACATGTGAACACATTCGGTCCTCATGACAACCTCCCCACGTTCTGCCCATTTATTTTATTTTATGTATGTATGTATGTATGTATGTATTTATTTTGGAGACAGTCTCACTGTCACCAGGACTGAAGTATTTTTTTTTTTTTTTTTTTGGAGACGGAGTCTCACTCTGTCACCCGGACTGGAGTGCAGTGGCACGATCTTGACTCACTGCAACCTCCACCTCCCAGGTTCAAGTGATTCTCCTGCCTCAGCCTCCCAAGTAGCTGGGATTACAAGCACACACCACCATGCCTAGATACTTTTTTTGTATTTTTAGTAGAGACGGGGTTTCACCATGTTGGCCAGGCTGGGTCTTGAACTCCTGACCTCAGGTGATCTACTACCTCGGCCTCCCAAAGTGCTGGGATTACAGGCATGAGCTACCGCGCCCAGTCTTGCTCATTTAATAGGTAGGAAAATTGAAGCTTGGAGAAATTGGCCTCTTCCTCAGTCTATTCCTTGACAAACCAGCCTCAGGGGGGCTTTTCAGAATGGAAGTTTGATTAAGTCACTCTCTTCAACTGCTTCTTGGACATGACTCAAGACAAAAACCAAATTATTCAGACTAAGTGTAAGAGAAATGGGAGAATAGGAAAACTGCCATTTTGCAACCTCTGGTGAAATAGCTGACTCAGGCAATGATTGTTGATGGATGGCATTAAAGGAGAGGCTGATGGGGCCTGGATAGTCACAGGATGCTAATTCTTGCTACTGGAAAATACACAGTTGTAGCTTTACAATGCGGTTTTCGATGGCTGCCACCTGTCTCAGTCTGCTCCAGCTGCCATAACAAAACACCACTCTGGGTGGCTTAAACAACAGACCTATTTTCTCCAGTTCCTGAGGCTGGAAGTCTAAGTTCAGGCTACCAGCATTGTGGGGTTCTGGTGACACCCTCTTCCTGGTTTGCAGATGGCTATCTTCAGTGGCAGAGAGAAAGCTCTCTGGTGTCTCCTTCTGTTTTTTGGGAGGAGTCTCACTTTGTCACCTAGGTTGGAGTGCAGCGGCGGATCTCGCCTCCCAGGCCCAAGTGAATCTCCTGCTTCAGCCTCCTAAGTAGCTGGGATTACAGGCGTCCACCACCATGCCTGGCTAATTTTTTTTTTTTTTTTTTGAGACGGAGTTTCGCTCTGTCACCCAGGCTGGAGTGCAGTGGCGTGATCTCGGCTCACTGCAAGCTCTGCCTCCAGGGTTCATGCCATTCTCCTGCCTCAGCCTCCCGAGTAGCTGGGACTACAGGCGCCCGCCACCATGCCCGGCTAATTTTTTTGTATTTTTAGTAGAGAGGGGGTTTCACCACGTTAGCCAGGATGGTCTCTATCTCCTGACTTCGTGATCTGCCCACCTCGGCCTCCCAAAGTGCTGGGATTACAGGCGTGAGCCACTGCGCCCGGCCTCATTTTTGTATTTTTAGTAGAGACAGAGTTTCACCATGTTGGCCAGGCTGGTCTTGAACTCCTGATCTCATGTGATCCACCTGCCTTGGCCTCCCACAGTGCTGGGATTATAGGCATGAGCCACCATGCGCAGCCTCCTCCTATTATAAGGACACCAATCCATCAGATTAGGGCCCCACTCTTTCACCTTAATTATCTCCACAAAGGCCCTACCTCCAAATATAATCACCTTGGGGAATTAGGGCTTCAATATACGAATCTGGGGGGGACATTCAGTCTATAATGCTGCCTGAGCCTGAATGAATTTCACTACCCCTGAAAATGGGGCACCCAGGCAGTATGCAACATGAAGCGACCAGCTCTGAAGTAATCACCTGACAGCTGAATGGAAATTTAATCAAGTCTTTACATTCAATTTCCTGATTCTAGGAAGTCAGAGGATATAGCAGGGAATAACAAAAAAGGGCCAGAGAGTAAATGTTTTGAACTTTGCAGGCCAAACAGCCCCTGTAAGTACTCCACTCAGCCCCTGTAGCATAAAAGCAGCCACAGACACACAAACGGGCATGGCTGTGTTCCAATAAAACTTTACTTTTAGACTCTGACACGGAATCACATATAATTGTCATAGGTCACCAAATTCATTCTTTTGGTTTTTTCCAGTTATGTAAAAACGTTAAAAACCAGGCCAGGCGCAGTGGCTCACGCCTGTAATCCCAGCACTTTGGGAGGCCAAGGCGGGCAGATCGTGAGGTCAGGAGATTGAGACCATCCTGACTAACACGGTGAAACCCCGTCTCTACTAATAATACAAAAACAAAATTAGCCGGGCGTGGTGGCGGGCGCCTGTAGTCCCAGCTACTCCGGAAGCTGAGGCAGGAGAATGGCATGAACCCGGGAGGTGGAGCTTGCAGTGAGCGGAGATCACGCCACTGCACTCCAGCCTGAGCGACAGAGCGAGACTCCATCTTATAAAAAAAAAATGTTAAAAACCATTTTTAGTTTGCAGGCTGAACAAAAACAGGTAGCAGTTACAAAAGTCAGATATCTCCTGGCTGTTGTGGCTCATACCTGGATAGGGTGCTTTGGGAGGCAAAGGCAGGAGGATCACTTGAACTCACGAGTTCAAGACCAGCCTGAGCAACATGCCAAAACCCTGTCTCTACCAAAAAAAAGCAGCAGCAGCATGGTTTTTGAGACCAGACTTGAACTTGCTATGGGCAACATAGCAAGACTCCATCTCCACAAAACAAAATTTAAAAAATTAGCCGGGCATAGTGGCATGCGCCTGTGGTCCCAGCTACTTGGGAGGCTGAGGCAGGAGGATCACTTGATCCCAGGAGGTTGAGGCTGCAGTGAGTTATGATCGTGCCACTGCACCACTGCACTCCAGACTGAGTGACAGAGTGAGACCTTGTCTCTGGGGAAAAAAAAAAAAATGCCAGGTGAGGTGGCTCACACCTGTAATCCCAGCACTTTGGGAGGCCGAGGTGGGCGGATCACCTGAGGTTGGGAATTCGAGACCAGCCTGACCAACATGGAGAAACCCCATCTCTACTAAAAATACAAAATTAGCTGGGCGTGGTGGTGCATACCTGTAATCCCAGCTACTCGGGAGGCTGAAATGGGACAATCACTTGAACCTGGGAGGCGAAGGTCGTGATGAGCCAAGATCGCACCATTGCACTCCAGCCTAGGCAACAAGAGTGAAACTCTGTCTCAAAAAAAAAAAAAAAAAAAAAAAAATCAGGATATCTGATAAGGGAATTGCAGTGAGAATATATTAAAAACTTACAACTCAATAATGAAAGGACACCTAACACAATTTGAAAATGGGTAAAGGATTGGAATAGACAGTTCTTCAAAGATCTACAAATGGCCAATAAGCATGTTAAAAGACACCAGTTCACACCCCCTAGAATGACTATAATCAAAAAGATAAATAATAAGTGCTGGTGTGGATATGGAGAAACTGGAACCCTTATACATTGGTGGTAGAAATGTAAAATGGTACAGCCATTCTGGAAAAGTCACAGTTTCTCAAAAGGTTAAATAGTCACCTTTTGACCCAGCAATTCCACTGCCAATAGAAATAAAAACATACATCCATGCAGGCGGGGCGCGGTGGCTCATGCCTGTAATCCCAGCACTTTGGGAGGCCAAAGCGGGCGGATCATGAGGTCAAGAAATCGAGACCATCCTGGCCAACATGGCGAAACCCCATCTCTACTAAAAATACAAAAATTAGCTAGGCGTGGTAGCGCATGCCTGTAGCCCCAGCTAGTCGGGAGGCTGAGGCAGGAGAGTCGCTCAAACCTGGGAGCCGAGATCACGCCACTGCACTCCAGCCTGGGTGACAGAGCAAGACTCTGTCTCAAAAAAAGAAAAAAAAAGAAAAGAAGTATATCTTGGGTAAAGGAATATTATCCAGCCATAAAAAGAATAAAGTAGCTGGCTGGGCGCCGATGGCTCACACCTGTAATCCCAGTACTTTGGGAGGCCAAGGCAGGAGGATCACTTGAACCCAGGAGGTTGAGGCTGCAGTGAGCCATGATCGAACCACTGCACTCCAGCCTGGGTAACAGAGCAAGGCCGTGTCTCGGGAAAAAAAAAAAAAAAAAGAAGTATTGATACATGCCACAACATAGGTGAACCTTGAAAACATGCTAAATGAAAGAAGGAAGGCAGTCACAATAATATTTTATGGTTTCATTTGTGCAAAATACCCAGATTAGGCAAATCCACAGATATAGCAGAGTAGTGGCTGCCAAAGACTGGGGTGGGAAGGATTGGGAGGAAATAGGGAATGACTGCTAATGAGTACCAGGGTTTCTTTTTGGGTGATGAAAATATTCTTAAAATGATAGTGTTGATGGTTGCACAACTCTGTCAACGTACTAAACACCACTGAATTGTATATTTTCAATGGGTGAACTATATGTTAGGTAAATCATATCCCACTAATGCTTTTTTTTTTTGAGAGGGAGTTATGCTCTTTTGCCCAGGCTGGAGTGAAGTGGCATGATCTCAGCTCACTGCAACCTCTGTCCCTAGGGTTCAAGCAATTCTCCTGCCTCAGCCTCCTGAGTAGCTGGGATTATAGGTGCCAGCCACCATGACCAGCCAATTTTTGTATTTTTAGTAGAGATGAGGTTTTACCATGTTGGCCAGGCTGGTTTCGAACTCCTGACCTCAGATGATCCACCTGCCTTCACCTCCCAAAGTGCAAGGATTACAGGCATGAGCCACTGTGCCTGCCCAATGGGGATTTTTAAAACAGGTAGCTGGCAGGATTTGAGTTTGGTCTGTAGAACATAATTAGCTGATCCCTGGCATGAGGAAACAAGTAAAATGAGGCCGGGCTCAATGGCTCACACCTGTAATCTAAGCACAGCACTTTGGGAGGCCAAGGCAGGAGGATCGCTTAAGCCCAGGAGTTTGAGACCAGCCTGGGCAACATAGTGACACCTTGTCTCTATCTATTTTTTCTTTTTTTTTTTTGAGACAGAGTCTCACTCTGTCGCCCAGGCTAGAGTGCAGTGGCGTGATCTCGGCTCACTGCAAGCTCTGCCTCCCGGGTTCACGCAATTCTCCTGCCTCAGCCTCCTGAGTAGCTGGGACTACAGGTGCCTGCCATCATGCCCGGCTAAGGGGTTTCACCGTGTTAGCCAGGATGGTCTTGATCTCCTGATCTCATGATCCGCCCGCCTTGGCCTCCCAAAGTGCTGGGATTACAGGCATGAGCCACTGTGTCTGGCCTATTTTTAAATACTTAAAAAAAAAAAGAAAGAAAACAGAAGCAGGTAAAATGAGACCACAAAAAAGCAAACGGGACAAATTCAGATGGTGGGATGATCAACTGAACTAGAATTAGTTTCTTCAATGAATCGATTACACCAAGAAATAACCAAAGTGGAGTGGAAGGGGGAACAGTTCTAAATTAAGAGAGATGTAAAAGACGATAGCAATTACTTAACTATATCCTGATTCCAACAAACCCACAGTTACACTGGACTTGACTCTGCACCACGTAATGGATAGTAGTCTAGAATTACGGTTGTTCTTTTAAAGTGTGATGATGGTATTGTGGTCATATCAGCAATGTTTCTGGTTTTTACACACGCACCCTGTTAGATAAAATTTATAGAAGGTCATTGGTTTGGATTGAGCTCCTGCACTAGGTTCAACAGACCAAACCAAAATGGAGACACTCATGCTAAAGTTCCATGCTTCCAAGCCAAAACTAAGTTGATATCTGATCTTCTGAGATATCAGGAGAGAGATAATAGCCAAATCCCCAAACAACCCAGTTTTAGCCCACCTGATAAAGGAAGTCCCCTCTACTTTAACCTTTAACTTAGAAATTTAATCAAGTTAATCAATTTAATCAACTAGCTTTTTGTTTTCCGTTTCTGATTTTCTCAGCCCTTTGTCTCTGAAAACAACCTCTGCTCAGCTCATCGGAACACTCACGCTATTTTCCATAATTAGATGTTGTTTGATTGTAGATTCACGAATAAATGCCAATTAAGATCTTCTCACTAAATGTGTTGCAATTTTGTCTTTTGACAATCCTTAAGTGTCATGATGCCTACGATTTGTTTTAATCTCTTTAAGTTTAAAAAAATACAGCAAGTATGGCAAAAATAATCATTGGTGATTTGGGTGACAGGAATTCCTGTATTCTTCTCTCACTTTTATATAAGTTTGAACATTTTCGTAAGAAAACATTAACATCAAACTGCCTCAAGGACCGTTCAAGCCCCAAGTTCACAGAATTAGCAGCACAATCAGAATGGGAATCCATGACTGCCTGACCCCGAAGCTCCACACAAGAAAACGTGAATCCCTGCACCAACCCCGAAAGGGAAGGGGCTGTCAAAAAGGTGAAGAGAAGGTGGCGATGGATGACTGCACAATCTAGTATCGCCCGCCGTCCCACCACAGTCTGAGAAACTGAGGCCAGGAAAGGAGTTCTCCCTCCTCAACTCCCACTCCTTAGACCCCCAGCAATCCCAGTCCACTCCTTCCCTTGGGACCACCAGCAAATAGCCATCATCTACAGCAGAACTGTAACTCTCAGGAGAACTGGCCGATGCTAGCTACCACTTGACTGAGTTTATAGTGAGAGAGAGAGACAAAGAGAGAGAGAACTGCCCGATGGACGGTTGGCCACCTCCAGCAGAGTGTAGTTCAGCTTCAAACTTGGGGCGCCCGGACAGCTGTATTAATAATGATTGACAGGGAATCGGGAATCCAAAATCTTGCCCCAGTCTCCCTCAAGACCCCAGGCCTCTAGCCCGCAGGAAAGCGATCCCAGCAACACTCTTCCTGCACCGCCTCGAACTCACCTCACTAACGACTCCCAGTCCCTCGGTCGCTTCTTCAACTGTGCCCCGACACCGGAAAGGAGCACTATTTTCCCCCTCCGCTCCGCCCACTTCCGCCCAGCAGAAGGCACCGGAAGTAGAGCTGCCCCTAGTTGCGGAAGTGCCTCGCCTGGCTTGCTCAAGTCCTCTCTTCTCTTTCTCTCTCCGGAAACGTGAGTAGCTAATCGAAAGTTCCGGATATTGAAACTGGTGGGAATATGGGGAACGCTTACTATGTACGAGGCATTTCCCAGGGAGATCGTTTTTTCCTGCTTGGTTCCCAGGTTTTGAGTCTCTCCAAGCCCAAATTTAAGGACTAATCACTTCCCCTAGAGATCGGGAAGCCCACTTTCCCAAATATATCATCCACTTTTCTTGCTGCATCTTAAAACAATTGAGAAGAGACAACTACGCTCCCATTTTACAGACAGAGCCATTGGGAAATTGAAAATCAAAGCCGTTCAAGTCGCTCTCAGGAAACAGGGATTTACTGCGGCACTGCCCAGCTGTCCCAGGGACTAAGGCATATCGTTCCCGCTAGTTTCTAGATACCTAGAGACCTAGATATTAATTTTTCTAGCTCGGACAGACGAACTCCCAGGGGAGAGCCAGAGCGGGTAGGGGTCGGGAGGGAGGAGGAGGGTCGAATCTAATCCCCCAGGTATCCCATGGTATTCGACACCTTGGCTTCCTCATGGAGCTCTGGCCTTTAAGTCCTTTATCCCAAGGTCCCTTTAAATACTTTGTCCCTTACCTGAGTCCCGCCCAGGGCAGGTAATGGCAAGTTCCGCCCACCTGCCAGAAACGGGGATCAGGCCTGGTTACCGGGAGTGGGGCGCCCCTCCTCCTTATCCCCTCCCCTCTTCCCTGTCCCCTTTCACAGCTGGCTGTAGCTGGCCAAGGAGTTCTCGATTAAAGAGGAAGGGGCAGTGCTCACATTTCTGGGCAGGTAAGTGAATGTCCCTGGAGGAAGAGCCTGGCTTGGGGACCCAGGCATCCTGGCTCCCCGCCCCTCCGAGACCCAGAAGTTTGGGGCTCCTAGGCCCAGGAGTCCAGGGCCCCTGCCCACTTAGGTCCCTAGACCCAATAATATAACTAATCCCCTGCCTCTGCCTCTCTCGTAATCTTTGTTGTCTGTGGGTGGATGTGACAATGAGCACAGAAAGAGGCACAAGTGGAAATTACCAGGAAGGGAAGACTCCAGATCACCAGTGGACATGTTTATAAGCATCTGTGTCAGGTGCTGTAGACACAGTGGGGAAAGAAAGATAAGCTGCCTGCTCCTTGCTTTCTTCTCTGGCGGACACTGCCTTCACTGAAATCCTGGCTCTCACACTTGCACACTGTGTGACCTTCGGCAAGCTATATTACCTCTCTGTGCCTCAGTTTCCTGTTCTCTATACTGGGGATAATAATAGGACTCCTGGTCGGGCGCAGTGGCTCACACCTGTAATCCCAGCACTTTGGGAGGCCGAGGCGGGTGGATCACTTGAGGTCAGGAGTTTGAGACCAGCCTGGCCAACATGGTGAAACCCCATCTCTACTAAAAATACAAAAAATTAGCCAGGCGTGGTGGTGCGCACCTGTAATCTCAACTACCCGGGAGGCTGAGTCAGGAGAATCGCTTGAACCCAGGAGGCAGAGGTCACAGTGAGCTGAGATAGCGCCACTGCACTCCAGCCTGGGTGACAGAGCGAGACTCTGTCTAAAAAAAAAAAAAAAAAAAAACTCCTGTGAAAAGTTTTGTTTTGTTTTGTTTTTGACATGGAATCTCGCTCTGTCACCCAGGCTGGAGTGCAGTGGCACAGTCTCGGCTCACTGCAACCTCTGTCTCCCCTTTCAAGTGATTATTCTGGCTCAGCCTCCCAAGTAGTTGGGATTACAGGCGCCCACAACCACGCCTGGCTAATTTTTGTATGACTCCTGTGAAAAGTAAAATGAGTTGAGGCCGGGCACAGTGGCTCACGCCTGTAATCCCAGCACCAGCACTTTGGGAGGCTGAGGCAGGCAGATCACTTGAGGTCAGGAATTCAAGACCAGCCTGGCCAACATGGTGAAACCCCATCTCTACTAAAAATATGAAAATTCACTTTGGGAGGCTGAGGCGGGCAGATCACGAGGTCAGGAGATCGAGACCATCCTGACTAACACAGTGAAACCCCATCTCTACTAAAAATACAAAAAAATTAGCCGGGCATGGTGGCCGGCACCTGTAGTCCCAGCTACTCGGGAGGCTGAGGCAGGAGAATGGCATGAACCTGGGGGGTGGAGTGTGCAGTGAGCGGAGATCACACCAATGCACTCTAGCCTGGGTGACAGAGCGAGACTCTGTCTCAAAAAAAAAAGAAAATTAGCGGGTGTGGTGGCGCATGCCTGTAATCCCAGCTACTTGGTAGGCTGAGGCACGAGAATCGCTTGAACCCAGGACACAGAGGTTGCAGTGAGCTGAGACTGTGCCACTGCACTCCAGCCTGGCTGACAGAGCGAGACTCCATGTCAAAAAAAAAAAAAAGTAAAATGAGTTTATATAGGTAAACAGTATCTGGCACAGAATACAGGCTGTGTAAGTGGCTGCTATTATTGCCATTCGTGGACCACAGAGGCCAGTCAGAGAGGCACTGCCTCATTACCCAGGGACTAAGGCCCTTGTCAGCTGTAACAAACCTGGTTCTAGGTGTCTGGAAAATATGAGGGGCCACCCCTCTCTGCTGCTGCTATATATGGCATTAACCACCTGCCTGGATACTTCACCCAGTGAGGAGACAGACCAAGGTGAGTGTTTGGGGGAAGTGGCATCCAGACACTTGGCGTTGGCCTCCCCCTGACTCAGGAATGTTTCTAGTCCTTCCTCTTCCAGGAGTCCAGGACCCAGCCCCTTCCTCCTTCAGACCCAGGAATCTGGATTCCCAGCCCCTGCTCCTTCCTCCAGGACCCCACTGCTTTCCATCCCCCTATGACTCCAGCCCTAGGGACCCTCCATTTTTCTGTCCCTCATGTCTTTGGGTCCAGAAGTCTTCCTGGGTCCCCCAGAGGCCCAGAGCTTCCTGAGTAGCCATACCCGGATTCCAAGAGCCAACCACTGGGACCTGGAGCTGCTCACACCAGGGAACCTGGAACGGGAGTGTCTGGAAGAGAGGTGTTCCTGGGAAGAGGCCAGGGAGTATTTTGAGGACAACACTCTCACGGTGAGGGCCTCGAGACCCTGGAGTTTCGGGCCCTCTCTCTTCTCTATACCTGTGGGGAGGTTGCAGGGGTAGGTTCTGGCCTTCAGCTCCCTCCTCCTTGGTGTCTCAGAAATCAGGATGGGCTAGTTTGGGGGTGTGAACCTCCCAGCTGAATTCCTGCTTTTTCCCCTTCTTTTCCACTCCTTCCCCCTCAAGGAGCGCTTTTGGGAGAGCTACATCTACAATGGCAAAGGAGGTGAGTGAGGGGCTGAAGCCATCTTGTTCTGTGCAGCTAAGGTAGTCCCTTCCCAGCGAGGCCAAACCAACGTCCTCCACCCCAAATTAGGTACAAGAATCGTCTGCCCCCCAATTCTGTGCTCTCTGAAGCTGGCTGCTAAAGGAGTTCCCTCCCTTAAGACCCCAGCTTGCCTGAGGAGCCCCCCACACCTTATTTTATTTTTAAATATTTATTTTTGCTTTTTTTTTTTTTTTGAGACAGAGTCTCGCTCTGTTGCCCAGGCCGGAGTGCAATGGTGCGATCTCGGCTCACTGCAAGCTCCGCCTCCCGGGTTCACGCCATTCTCCTGCCTCAGCCTCCCGAGTAGCTGGGACTACAGGCACCCACCACCACACCCGGCTAATTTTTTGTATTTTTAGTAGAGACGGGGTTTCACCGTGTTAGCCAGGATGGTGTTGATCTCCTGGCATCGTGATCTGCCCGCCTCGGCCTCCCAAAGTGCTGGGATTACAGGCGTGAGCCACCGCGCCAGGCCTTTAATTATTTATTTTTGAGACAGGGTCTCGCTGTGTCACCCAGGCTGGAGTGCTGTGGTACAATCTTGGCTCACTGCAGCCTCAACCTCCCGGGCTCAAGCGATCTTCCCACCTCAGCCTCCTGAGTAATTGGGACTCCAGGCACACATTACCATGGTAATTTTTGTAGTTTTTGTACAGACGGGGTCTCACTATGTGGCCCAGGCTGGTCTTGAATGCCTGGCCTCAAGCAATCCTTCTGCTTCAGTGTCCCAGACTGCTGAGATTATAGGTGCCAGGCCCCCCACCACATCTTATTGGACGCAAGTCCTGTGTCCCTAGGAAGGGAAAAGTGTCAGTGGAGGGAAAGGTTAGAGCTGTGGGGCCCGTCAGGCCTTAGGCTCAGAGGGGCAGGCCCACCTGAACCCTTCCCTGGTGTCCAGAGTAAGTGGAAAGACCAGCCCCTCCGGCAGCTTGATTGCTGGGGACACAGCCCTCTAGCAACACGACCAAGGGAGGAAGCCTGCCCATCCTCACCTGCCCATTTTGCCCCCAAGAACCCCTTCTCTGAGGGGTTGCCATCTTGTTCCCATCTTGTTGCCAGCCTTGTTGCTAAGGGGGGCTGCTCCTTAGCAACGGGGCCTGGCCAGGCCAGACCAGACGAAGAAGCCTGAAGCAGTACCTGGCTGATTTCCCCTCCCCCACAGCCCCATCCCAGCAGCTGCCTGGTTGCTAAGGAGGCCTTCTCCCTAGCAACCACACCTAGCCAGGCTCCAGGACCCAAGGCCTTCTGCCCACTGGAGGACCACCCTCCGGGCCTCCGATGCCCCACCCCCTTGTGGCCCGGTTGCTAGGGGTAGCTGCACCTTAGCAACAGGCCTAGGTCTGGGCTGGAGTCTCACATTGGAGCCTGGTTGCTAGGGGAGGTAACTCTTTCCTGACAGGCCTAGCGAGGCGTAGTGGCTCCTCGAATCTACCTGAAGGTGCCCAATTCAGGAGGACCTGCCTTCTGAAGCTGCACTTGCGCCTTTTGCTAAAGGGGCTCAAAAGTCTGGGGGTTTACTGTGGTCAGATGTGGTGGCTCATGCCTGTAATCTCAGCACTTTGGGAGGCCAAGGCAGGCGGATCACCTGAGGTTCAGGAGTTCGAGATCAGCCTGGCCAACATGGTGAAACCCATCTCTACTAAAAATACAAAAATTAGCCAGGTGTGGTGATGTGTGCCTATAATTCCAGCTACTCAGGCGGCTGAGGCACAAGAATCGCTGCAGCTGGGAGGCAGAGTTTGCAGTGAGCAGAGATCGCACCATTGCACTCCAGCCTGGGAGATGTCTCAAAAACAAACAAATGGCTGGGCGCGGTGGCTCACACCTGTAATCCAAGCACTTTGGGAGGCCGAGGCAAGCAGATCACCTGAGTTCAGGAGTTTGAGACCAGTCTGGTCAACATGGTGAAACCCCATCTCTACTAAAGATACAGAAATTAGCTGGGCATGGTGGCACGTGGCTGTAATCCCAGCTATTGGGGAGGCTGAGGCAGGAGAATCGTTTGAACCCAGGAGCTGGAGGTTGCAGTGAGCCAAGATCACACCACTGCTCTCCAGCCTGGGCAACAGAGTGTCTCCAAAAAAAAAAAAAAAAAAAAAAAAACAAGGAAATGGGGTCATTTTGTCACCCAAGCTGGAGTGCAGTGGCACGATGACGACTCACTGCAGCCTCGACCTCCTAGGCTCAAGTGATCCTCCCACCTAAGCCTCCTGAGTAGCTGGGATTACAGGCATGCACCACCACGCCCAGATACTTAAAATTTTTTTTGTAGAGATGGGGGTCTCACTGTGCTGTGTTGTCTACGCTGCTCTCGACCTCCTAGGCTCCAGTGATCCTCCTGCCTTGGCCTCCAAAGTGCTGGAATTACAAGTGTGAGCCACCAAGCCCGGCCATTTTTTTTTTTTTTTTTTTAGAGACAGGGTCCAGTCACCCAGGCTGGAGTATAGTGGAGTGATCCTGGCTCACTGTAGCCTTGACCTCCTTGGGTCAAGTGACTCTTCTTCCTCAGCCTCCCAAGTAGCTGGGACTACAGGTACCTGTAGCACCACACCCAGCTATTAAAAACATTTTTTTCCAGCTGGGTGAGGTGGCTCACGCCTGTAATCCCAGCACTTTGGGAGGCCAAGGCGGGTGGATCACGAGGTCAAGAGATCGAGATCATCCTGGCCAACATAGTGAAACCCCGTCTCTACTAAAAATATAAAAATTAGCTGGATGTGGTGGTGCACACCTGTAGTCCCAGCTACTTGGGAGGCTGAGGCAGGAGAATTGCTTGAACCTGGGAGGCGGAGGTTGCGGTGAGCCGAGATTGCGCCACTGCACGCCAGCCTGGTGACAGAGCAAGACTCCGTCTCAAAACAAAACAAAAAACCAACATTTTTTCCCCAGGCTCAGTGATGGCTCATGCCTGTAATCCCAGAACTTTGGGAGGTAGAGATTGGTGGATTGCTTGAGCCTAGGAGTTTGAGGCCAACCTGGGCAAAAAATACAAAAAATTACAAAAACACAAAAATTAGCCAGGCATGGTGGCACACACCTGTGGTCCCAGCTACTCAGGAGGCAGAGGTGGGAGGATCGCCTGAACCCTGGAGACCAAGTGGCAGTAAGCCGCGATTGTGCCACTGCACTCCATACAGAGTCAGACCCTGTCTCAAAAAAAAAAAAATTTTCTTTTTTTTTTTGGTAGAGCCTCCCTATGTTGCCCAGGCTGGGCTCAAGTGATCTTCCTGCCTTAGCCTCCCAAAGTTCTGAAATTACAGCTGTGAGCCACTGTGCCTAGCTACAATGAATAATTTTAAAAGCGTATTCCAAGTAGTACATGTGACATCCTTTTTTTTTTTTTTTTTTTTGAGGGCGACAGAGTCTCTCTCTGTCATCCAGCCTGGAGGGCAGTGAGTGGCACAATCTCCCCGGCTCAAGCGATCCTCCTGCCTCATCCTTCCGAGTAGCTGGGACTACAGGCAAGAACCACCAAGCCTGGTTAATTTTTTTTTTTTTTTTTTTTTTTGAGACAGAGTTTCACTCTTGTTGCCCAGGCTGGAGTGCAATAGCGCAATCTCGGCTCACTAAAACATCTGCCTCCTGGGTTCAAGTCATTCGCCTGCCTCAGCCTCCCAAGTAGCTGGAATTATAGGCATGCGCCACCGTGCCTGGATAATTTTGTATTTTTAGTAGAGACAGGGTTTCTCCATGTTGGCCAGGCTGGTCTCGAACTCCTGACCTCAGGTGACCCACCCACCTCGGCCTCCCAAAGTGCTGGGATTACAGGCGTGAGCCACCGCGCCTGGCTAATTTTGTAATTTTTGTAGAGATGGGGTTTCACCACATTGGCCGGGCTGGTCTCAAACTCCTGACCTCAAGTGATCTGCCTGCCTCAGCCTCCCAATGTTCTGGGATTATAGGCATGAGCTACCACACCTGGCCAGGACATAGTTTTGTTTTTTTGGTTTTTGTTTGTTTGTTTGTTTTGTTTTTTTTTATTTTGAGATGAAGTCTCACTCTTGTTGCCCTGGCTGGAGAGCAATGGCTCAATCTCGGCTCACTAAAACATCCACCTCCTGAGTTCAAGCGATTCTCCTGTGTCAGCCTCCCAGATAACTGGGATTACAGGCATATACCACCATGCCTGGCTAATTTTTTTGTATTTTTAGTAGAGACAGGGTTTCACCATGTTGGCCAGGCTGGTCTTGAGCTCCTGACCTCAAACGATCCACCTGCCTAGGCCTCCCAAGTGCTGGGATTACAGGCATGAGCCACTACATCCAGCCTAATCTCATTAGGTTTTTACAGTGGGGTAGGGGTTATGGTTCCCATTTTACAGAACTGGCAGTGGAGGGTCAGAGAAAGGAATGAGGTGAATTTCCTGAGGTCACAGGGCTAGGAAGGGACCCCAGCTCTGCCTGCTTCCGGGTCCATTCTCTTCCCTCAGTGGGAAGGAATTTTGATGTTGGGGTGGGTGGCAGTCCCCGAGACAGTGTCTCCCCTTCCCTACTTTCCTGCAGGGCGTGGACGAGTGGATGTGGCCAGCCTGGCTGTGGGGCTGACAGGTGGCATCCTGCTCATTGTCCTGGCCGGCCTGGGAGCCTTTTGGTATCTGCGCTGGCGACAGCACCGAGGCCAGCAGCCCTGTCCCCAAGAGTAAGGGGGCTTCAGCGAGGAGGGGGTGGTGGTGGAGAGCAGGGGAGGGAGGAAGCATTGACCTAAAGGGATGTGCTAAGGATTGGGGGCAGGCAGGCACTGATGAAAGACCTAAGGACACAGTCATTTGGAGAGTGAGTCTGTGAGCTGGCTTGTGTCTGGTTTTGGCGACTGTCGCTCTGTCTGGATCCTCAGTACCTGGCCCGCAGTAGGAGCTCTGACCACTTTTGCTGCCAGCCTGTCTTTGCGGTACTGAGATTACCAGTATCCGTGGAATTACGACTCTGGATATTGTATCTGGTGAGGCTGCGACGGTGCAGCCTGTGGTGTCTTGGTGTCTGTGGTATGTCAGTTTCAGTGGTAACAGGTGCAGCACCTGAGTGGGTGTGGGAAATTGGTGAGGAGTGCGTCTGTGTTGTGTTCCTGTCTATATGGATGGGCTGAGTTCTGTCTGTTTGGTGTGTGTTGGCCTGCCTCTCTACAGGGCTGTCTTTTTTTTTTTTTTTTTTTTTGAGATGGAGTTTCACTCTCATTGCCCAGGCTGGAGTGCAATGGCATGATCTTGGCTCACTGCAACCTCTGCCTCCCGGGTTCAAGTGATTCTCCTGCCTCAGCCTCCAGTGTAGCTGGGATTATAGGCGCACTCCACTACGCCCAGCTAATTTTGTATTTTTAGTAGAGATGGGTTTCTCTATGTTGGTCAGGCTGGTTTCGAACTCCTGACCTCAGGTGATCTGCCCGCCTTGGCCTCCCAAAGTGCTGGGATTACAGGTGTGAGCCACCACGCCTGGCCCTTTTTTTTTTTTTTTTTTTTAAAAAAAGACAAAGTCTCACTCTGTTGCCCATGTTGGAGTGCAGTGGCCGGTTCACAGTTCACTGCAGCCTCAATTTCCTGGGCTCAAGAAATCCTCCCACCTCAGCCTCCTGAGGAACTAGAGCTACAGGTGTGCGCCATGCACCCGGCAGGGCTGTCTTTTTCTCTATTGCTCTGCCTGTATCTGGTGCACATGAGTGTGTCTGAATAAGAGTGTGTCTCTGTGGTTGCTGATTTCTGTGTCTACCTGTCTGTGTGCAGCTGCCTGTCATTTGAGGCGCTTTTCTGTGTGTAAGGCTAGGCTGAAGGTGACCCTCCTTTTCTGAAGTCCACCTCCCTTCCAGCTCTGTCCCAGTGTCACCCTGAGTCTCCGTCTCCTAGATCCCCTCTCTTCCTCCCTAGTCTAGGTATCCTGTAAGTTGCCTCTGCTAACTGTACCTTTGCTGTCCCCAGGGCCGGGCTCATTAGCCCTCTGAGTCCTTTGAACCCTCTGGGCCCACCGACGCCCCTGCCTCCACCCCCACCCCCACCCCCAGGCCTCCCCACCTATGAGCAGGCGCTGGCAGCCTCTGGGGTACACGACGCACCTCCACCCCCCTACACCAGGTATGGGGCGTGGCTTCTGCCCGGGGGCGGGGCGCAGAGGGGTGGGCACGTTGGAGGAGGAACCTGGGCTCAGGGGCGGGACTTGGAATTTGGGCCTTCTTACCTGGGGCGGGGCTTGGAGTGCGGGGGCGGGGCCCCATGCAATGGTCTAGGGGCGTGGCCCAGCGTTGTATGTGTGGAGCCGTATAGGAGGGTGGGGCCTGTGCCCAGAGGGTCCTGGATTGGCTGAGACGCCAAGGGCGGTCGGAGTGGTCCTGGTTGAAGGGGGGAGAAAAACAGCCAGATCTTTGACTCCCTAGTGTGCCTTTCCTCTTGCAGCCTCAGGAGGCCTCACTGAAGAGCTGCTTTCGAGACCCGGCTCTCCGAACCGTGCCCCTGATTCATACCGGATTCCGGAAGCCGCTAGGCCTCATAGACGCCGAAGCTGGACTTGGAGTGGGGAATGGTGGGAGTAGGGGTCATCCGGCCCGAGGCCTGCCCTGGCACACGCGTTTCCGCCGCGTATGGATATACACATGTTTTCGGCAACGTGTTCCCGTGTCCTGGCCCCTCACGGGCCCCCACACTCTCCTGACCGTGAGGGCACTGGTCAGTTCCGCCCCCGTGGTAGGCAGACGCGCGGGGAAATTCGGACCCAGGAGCCCAGCCCCGGCTGTGCCATCTTGTGTATGGGCAGATATGACCTGACAGCCCCCTCCAGTGCCACAGGGTACGCACACGCAGAGCCCCGCCTGTGCACACGCGTGTCTTCGTGCACTCCCCGTGCGGTACAGGGGCACTTCGTAACCCAGGGAAAGGGCGGGGGGCATATTTGCAAGCGCGCTCGGTGCGGGCAGGCTCGCATTGCACCCAGGGAGCTGGAGTTGAGCTGTTCCCCTAAATAAAAACCCTTCGGAAAGGAGACCAAAAAAAGCAGAAATAATGCAAAAAATAATAATGAAATGAACTGCGATCCCGGGCGCATCGGAACTGGTTTTCTGTGCAAACGCGCCCTACACCCCCAGGCCCTGCTCGCGCTCAGTCTCTCTCTCACTCTCCCTTTTTTTTTTTTTTTTTTTGCATTTGCACGGGATTGTGGGAGGAAGCGGAGCGCAGCCAGACACCCCGCCGCCCGCCCCCCCTTCCCCTCCCCCCTCCCCCAGCCGCCTTGTGCAAAGATGGCTGCACCGTGAGCGCAGAGGAGGAGGAGGCGGCGGCGGCGGCGGCGAGAGAGCGAGCACCCAGCGCCTGCACCCACCCCGGGGCCGCCCGGGACGCCCCCTCCCGAGCGCGCGCCCCCCCTTTTCTCTCGCAAGCGCCGGGGCAAAGGCGGAGACAGCGGGGTCCCTCCTCCCCCCTTCCCTCCTCTAGGGGGAACCCCCCTTCCCCCTTCCTTGGCTCAGCGACTGCACCCCCTCCCTTGCCCGCCCCTCCGCCCCTGCCCCCTCCCTCCCCCGCCCGGGGCCTTCCCGGGCCTTCGGCGGCTGCAAAGAAAAAAAGAGAGAGAGAAAAGGGGGGAAAAAAAAGCAGCAGCGGAGGGAGCGGCGGCGGAGGAGAGCGCGCGCGCGCCCCCTCCCTCCCTCCCTCCCTCCCCCTCCCCCCAATTTCCACCGCGGCCAATTCATGGACAGGAACTACCCCAGCGCCGGCTTCGGGGACCCGCTCGGCGCCGGGGCGGGATGGAGTTACGAGAGGTCAGCGAAAGCTAGGTAAGGAGCTGAGGGTGGCCTAGAGAAGGGGGCCAAGGGGTGGGAGCCCAGCCGGGCCGGGCCGGGCCGGGCCGGGCCCGCCCGGCGACGCGTGCATCGCAAACTCCCCTCCGGCTTGCAAGGGAGCGGCCTTCCTCGGTTTGTAACAACGCCGCCGCCCCAGTTTGCAAATTGCAAACTCCGCCAAAGCCAGCTCCGGCATGCAAAGGGAGAATTGCAGCGGGAAAATGGGGGTGCAAAACAATTTCGGACGGGAAGGCCTTGGGAAGGTGGGAGGGACTGGCGAAGCAAGGCCTGGACTTCCCCCCATCCTTGGATTCCCGGCTTGGTGACCCCTCCCCCCCGCGCCCCAGGCACTGCTCTTGCAAAGGTGGGAAGAAGAGAAGAATTAGAACGCAGATCTGGGGGGCGCGAACCCCCTCTCAGGTCCTATTGTTCCGGGACTGTGCGAGGCCGCGCCACTAGGCGCCCCCCCAAGAATTCCGCGCGCAGAGTGGGCACGGGGCCCCGCCCCCTTCCTAAGCTGGGGTTGTGTGTGTGTAAGGGAGGGGGTCAGGCGTCTGGGACACGCCCCCTTTAATGCCCCCACCCCCAAAGGCAGAGAATCCTAGTTGATCGCAAGGAGTGGAGCGTTTGCCCTCTTGAGTCTGGCCACGGACTGGTGCCGTTGCATGGGAAGAGTCGGATGTTTCCCGGGTGTGTGTTTGTGTGTCTGAGCGTGGGCCCTGTGCGTGCGTGGCTGGCAGCGTGTTCACCTGTGAATCTGCCCCTTTCCTGTTGCTTATTGGTGTGGCGCCCTCACACTTCACCTATCCCCAGCACCTCCCCCCCAACACACCTGGATTTCCCAGCAGGGCATAACCCCAAGTGTGTCAGGATTTTCCGTGTGGGATTCCTCCGTCTATATCTTTTCTTCCCCACGGGTGAGTTGGATACCCGTTTGCACACATACCTGGCATTGCATGGGCCCATGCATTTGAACCTCAACCCCCGGGGATGGTCGGTGTTCTTGTTCACACTTGTACCTGGTACTTTCCCCAGGTCTTATTCCCTCTTCTCTCCACCCCCCAAACCGTTGCCGCTTGGGAACCGATCTTCCTCCTGCTCCCAACTTGTTCTGCACCACCCCATGAAGTTCAGGGCCTATGTGTTCCCGTGTGTCTACGGAAGAGGAGGCGTCCATGTGGACCTCTGGCGTTGGCCCCATAGCCTGTGTCGCCGGAACGGGGGCTGGGGGGGGTTTGTGGGGTCGACGGGGGAGGGCTCTCATTTGCAAATCAAGACGCTTGCTCTGCCTTGGACCCTCTTCTGTGTGTTAGTCTCGTCTCTGAGCATGCCTGTTTGTAAACGTGAGACTATCCGGGCTCTCTTTATTCGGGCTCTGGAGTGGGGGCCATTTCTGTGGCTCTTTAGTTGAGCACCCCGATTCCCTTGTGTTCTCCCCTTTAGGGCCTACGGTTCCTTAGCTTAACACCCCCCACCCCGGTCAGCTGGAAGGGTCCCCCCAACTCCCCGGGGGGTTTTCTGAGCTTCCTTCTCAGAAGGCAGCTTGGAAGAACCCCCTGACGTCTCCCCTTTCCCCCCAGCTTGGTTTATGGCAGCTCCAGGACCTCGCACCCCGAGACGGACATCTTACACCGCCAGGCCTATGCGGCCCCCCACCCACTGCAAAGCTATGCCACCAACCACCACCCGGCAGGTACGGCCCCCATCCCGCCCCGCTTTGGGCTGGCCCTCCCCCTCCCCCCGAGGCAGCTGATTGGCTGTTGAAAGTTCCGCCCCTCCTAATTGGCCGTGGCCCGTGCCGTGGCCCGCCCCTTGCTGTGTCTCCTCTGATTGGTTGCCTTTGAGGCTGCTGGTCGCTGCTTCATTTCTCGCCGGATTCGTCCGCCCCTGCCTCGCCCCTCCCCTTTCGCTCCAATTGGCCCTGTTACCATCAGCCCCCAAATCCCACCTTCTCTTCCAGGCTTTTCCGCCTCTCCCCAACCCACCCCAATTCTTTCCCTCTGGGTTTGCCCTATTCTTTTGGCTCTTTGGAACTCTGAATTCTTTCTTCCTGATTCCCTTTCTTCCTGATTGGCTCTAATTCTCTGGCCCGCCCTGTTTTATCTTATTTTGCCCCATTGCCTTATTCTACCCACCTTGCCTTTGCCTCCAAGGTTTCTGATTGGTTCCCTCTTCCTAGGGGTACTGGTAATGACATGATGCTGTCCAGTTTGACCCTTGACCCTCCTGATTGGCTCCTTCCCTTTTTCCCTCCCCATCTTTTTTTCTGAACCCTCCCACTTAGCTCAATCCTTTCTGACACGTTCTCTGGTCTTTCTTAGACTTCATTGTCCCATCCTTTCCTCTTCCTTGCTGGAAATATCCAAATTTGGTCTCCCTCCCAGCCTTACTGAGGACTCTGTTCTTTTGCTCCTGGCTCTTTCGCTTCTAGATTTTTCTACACTTTTGTCTACCATTTCCTACCTGGGCCCCCTGTCCTTATGACTGGATTGCCCCTTGTCTTGCTTTACTGTCTCACCTTTCCCCCTTCCCTCCCCTCATTCATGTCTCATTAGCTTGGTTCTATCCATCTTGTTTTTGAATTTGCCCTTTTCTCTCCCATCCCCTCCTTTTCCTGATCCAACTTGCTTTTGGCCTCTTCCCTTTCTCTCTTGACTGTATCCTACCCACCCCCACCTGGCTGACTATAACCCCTGTCCCCGGCCAGGCCTCTCTGGACTCTTCGACACTGGCCTCCACCACGCGGGCTCAGCAGGGCCCGACGCCTCCGTCATGAACCTTATCTCGGCCCTGGAATCCCGGGGCCCCCAGCCTGGCCCCTCCGCCTCCTCTCTCCTCTCCCAGTTCCGCAGTCCTTCCTGGCAAACAGGTAAGCCCAGCGCCGGCCCTGCAGGGCCAGGGTGGGACTGGCTCGCTGTTCTCTCTGACGCGCGGTCTTCCTCATCTCCAGCCATGCACACGCCAGGCCCCACGGAGCTCTTCATCTCGGGTGCCCTGCCGGGTTCCAGCACCTTTCCGTCCTCATCTGCCCTGTCGGCTTACCAACACCCGGCTTCCTTCGGCAGCCGCCCCTTCCCAGTGCCCTCGTCCCTCAGCCTCCAGGACCCCCCATTCAGCCCTCCAGCTAACGGGCTCCTGTCCCCTCATGACGTGCTGCACCTGAAGCCCTCGCAGGCACCCACGGTGCCCTCTTCACTGGGCTTCGAGCGCCTGGCAGGGGGCGGTGTCTTGGGGCCAGCTGGTCTCGGTCCAGCCCAGACCCCCCCTTACCGCCCTGGCCCCCCAGACCCACCACCACCTCCTCGCCACCTCCCAACTCAGTTCAACCTGCTGGCTTCCTCTTCCGCTGCCGCCGCCGCTGCCGAGCAGTCCTCCCCACAGCTCTATAACTTCTCGGGTGCTGCCCCGGGCCCACCGCCGCCTGAGCGGGCCCTGCCACGCCAGGACACGGTCATCAAGCACTACCAGCGGCCAGCCAGTGCCCAGCCCCCACCACCCCCGCCACCAGCCCATGCGCTCCAGCACTATCTGAGCTGTGGAGGCAGCTACCCCTCCATGGGCCACCGGGCCAACCTGGCCTGCAGCCCCCTGGGTGGTGGGGAGCCCTCCCCGGGTGCTGGGGAGCCTAGCAAGGCTGGTCCCAGCGGAGCCACGGCTGGGGCATCTGGCCGGGCCACGGGCCCTGAGGCAGCAGGGGGCGGTGGGGCTGGGGGTGGTGGTGGAGGTTACCGCCCCATCATTCAGTCGCCTGGGTACAAGACGGGCAAAGGTGGTTATGGAGCAGCTGCCGGGGGTGCCACCAGGCCCCCCCCACCCCGTTCGACCGCCACCCCCAAATGTCAGAGCCTGGGTGGGCCAGCAGCCGCCTATGCCACTGGGAAGGCCTCTGGGGCTGGAGGGGCAGGGGGCCAGGCTTATTCCCCCGGTCAGCCTCAAGGGCTTCTGGGACCCCAGGCCTACGGGCAAGGGTTTGGAGGGGGGCAGGCACAGGACTTGAGCAAAGCCCCCAGCTACTCAGGGGGCCCCCCACAGCCCCCCAGCGGCCCCCCTCCTCCTGGCCTGGCCACATGTCAGAGCTACTCCCCGGACCAGCTGCAGGGGCAGCTGTATGGGGTGCAGGGCGAGCCATACCCAGGGCCAGCCGCCCACTCCCAGGGGCTGCCCACAGCCAGCCCCTCGCTCAGCTACAGTACCGGCCATTCCCCAGCGCTCTCGGGCCATGGGGGTGGCTGGGGACCCAGCTCCCTGGGAGGCGGCGGTGAGGCCAGCCCATCTCACATCATTCGTCCGCTCCAGTCACCGCCTGCCACCGGCCGTCCACCTGGAGTCGGCTCTCCAGGAGCCCCTGGCAAATACCTGAGCTCAGTCTTGGCCTCAGCGCCTTTCCTGGCACCTCCGGGAGCTGGCAGCTATGCAGCCGGAGCAGGTGGCTACAAGGGCAAGGGGGATGGCTCGGAGCTGCTGGCGGGCCCAGGTGGGCCTCCTGCGGAGCGCACAGAGGATGAGGAGTTCCTTATCCAGCACCTCTTGCAGGCGCCCAGCCCTCCTCGGACCTCAGGGGCGGACGGCTTGGTGGGCGAGGACGGGGCAGCAGATGCCTCTAAGGGACTTGGGGGGAGTGGCGGGGCCGGGGGACCACCGGGTACACCCTACGAGTTGGCCAAGGAAGACCCCCAGAGGTACCACCTGCAGAGTGTCATCCGCACCAGTGCCAGCCTGGATGAGGGTGCCACTGCGGCACTGGAGCTGGGCCTGGGGAGGCTGAAGGAGAAGAAGAAAGGGCCAGAGCGGGGTGGCGAGACCCCCGAGGGGCTGGCCACCTCTGTTGTCCACTACGGGGCAGGCGCCAAGGAGCTGGGGGCCTTCTTGCAAAAGAGCCCTCCGCCCCCACCTCCCACGGCCCAGTCTACCCAGCCCACTCCCCATGGCCTCCTTCTGGAGGCCGGGGGCCCTGACCTCCCACTGGTGCTGCCTCCGCCTCCCCCCCAGCTGCTCCCCTCGGTCCTCAGCCATGCCCCCAGTCCCTCTCCCAGCGCCTCCAAAGTCGGCGTCCACCTCCTTGAGCCAGCCACCCGCGATGGGGCACCCCAGCCACCTCCACCGCCACCCCCGCCTCCACCACCCATGCCCCTGCAGCTCGAGGCCCACCTCCGCAGCCATGGCCTGGAGCCCGCGGCCCCCAGCCCCCGCCTGCGACCCGAGGAGAGCCTGGATCCGCCAGGCGCCATGCAGGAATTGCTCGGGGCTCTGGAGCCGCTGCCCCCGGCGCCTGGGGATACTGGCGTAGGCCCACCAAACTCGGAGGGCAAGGATCCCGCAGGCGCCTACCGCAGCCCCAGCCCGCAAGGCACCAAGGCGCCGCGTTTCGTGCCGCTCACCTCCATCTGCTTCCCTGACTCCTTGCTCCAAGACGAGGAGCGCAGCTTCTTCCCCACCATGGAGGAGATGTTCGGTGGAGGGGCCGCGGACGACTACGGCAAGGCCGGGCCACCTGAGGACGAGGGGGACCCCAAGGCTGGCGCTGGGCCACCCCCCGGCCCCCCTGCTTATGATCCCTATGGGCCCTACTGTCCTGGCCGGGCGTCGGGAGCCGGGCCCGAGACACCGGGCCTGGGCCTGGACCCCAACAAACCGCCTGAACTGCCCTCCACGGTCAACGCCGAGCCGCTGGGCCTGATCCAGAGTGGCCCCCACCAGGCGGCGCCACCACCCCCGCCTCCGCCACCGCCGCCTCCCGCGCCGGCCTCCGAACCCAAGGGTGGCCTCACCTCGCCCATCTTCTGCTCTACCAAGCCAAAGAAGCTGCTCAAGACATCCTCCTTCCACCTGCTGCGGCGCCGCGACCCACCCTTCCAGACCCCCAAGAAGCTGTACGCCCAGGAGTACGAGTTCGAGGCGGACGAGGACAAGGCCGATGTTCCCGCCGACATCCGCCTCAACCCCCGGCGCTTGCCTGACCTGGTCTCCAGCTGCCGCTCCCGTCCGGCCCTCTCGCCACTGGGGGACATCGACTTCTGCCCACCCAACCCAGGACCCGATGGCCCCCGGCGCCGTGGCCGCAAGCCCACGAAGGCGAAACGTGATGGGCCACCCCGGCCACGGGGGAGGCCCCGGATCCGCCCCCTGGAGGTCCCGACCACTGCGGGGCCCGCCTCGGCCTCCACGCCCACCGATGGCGCCAAGAAACCCCGGGGCCGGGGCCGAGGCCGGGGTCGAAAGGCTGAGGAGGCAGGGGGCACCCGGTTGGAGCCCCTGAAGCCACTTAAGGTGAGGGGAAATGGGGTCTTGTAGGGGATAGGGGAGGAGGAGCTGTGTCCGATGTTTGAGTCTTTTTTTTTTTTTTTTGAGACAGAGTCTCGCTCTGTCGTCCAGGCTGGAGTGCAGTGGCACGATCTCGGTTCACTGCAAGCTCCGCCTCCCGGGTTCACGCCATTCTCCTGCCTCAGCCTCCCGAGTAGCTGGGACTACAGTTGCCCGCCACCACGCCCGGCTAGTTTTTTTGTATTTTTAGTAGAGACGGGGTTTCACCGTATTAGTCAGGATGGTCTCGATCTCCTGGCCTCGTGATCCACCCGCCTCGGCCTCCCAAAGTGCTGGGATTACAGACCTGAGCCACCGCGCCCGGCCTCCCGATGTTTTGAGTCTTAAAGGACAGGTTTATGGCCGCACCTTGGCATTTTTGGGGCAGGGGGATAATAAGGTTTACATTTCTAAAATCTGTGAGGAAGTTAGCGTGAGGAATTTCAGGGTCTCACTGACAGAAAGACCTAAGAATTGAAATTCTGAATCTAGGCTGGGCAGTGTGGTTCATGCCTGTAATCCCAGCGCTTTGGGAGACTGAGGCGGGAGGATCTCTTGAACCCAGATGTTCGAGACCAGCCTGGTCAGCGTAGTGAGACCCTGGTCTCTATTAAAAACACAAAAATTTAGCCAGGTGTGGCTGCGTGTACCTACAGTCCCAGCTACTCAAGAGGTTGAGGTGGGAGGATCTCTTGAGCCCAGGAGTTCAAGGCTGCAGGGAGCTATGATTGCATCACTGTGGCCTGGGCCACAGAGTGAGACCCTGTCTCAAGAGATAAAGGAAATTCTGGGTTTAGGGAGAGAGGCAGGAGGTTGGAGCTTACGCTGGTTTGAAACTCCTGACCTCAAGTGATTTGCCTGCCTCAGTCTCCCAAGGTGCTGGGATTACAGGCACGAGCCACCTCACCCGGTCTGCTTGCTTTTAGTTTCTATATCCCAAAGGATGGGCATTCAGGGATCCTACATTCCTGGGTCTCATGGGAAGCGGGTCTAGGGACCTGAACTGGGCTGTAAGTGAAGAGGCTCAGTGAGTCCAAGTTCCTGGTCTTCTGAGGGAGGAACTCCAGTCTTGTCCTCCTAGAATCTAAGACAAGGGGTCTGCAGGTTTGAATTCTATAAATTCACAGGCTGAGCACCTGTAAATTTGGATTTTTGGGGGCTGAGGGAGGATGGGACTGGGGGCCCAGGCTACTGGGCCCTCACGGCCCGCCACTCCCATGTCTAGATCAAGCTGTCTGTGCCCAAGGCTGGCGAGGGTCTGGGAACCTCATCGGGTGATGCCATATCAGGCACTGACCACAACAGCCTGGACTCGAGCCTGACTCGGGAGAAGATCGAGGCCAAGATTAAGGAGGTGGAGGAGAAGCAGCCGGAGATGAAGTCGGGTTTCATGGCCTCCTTCTTGGACTTCCTCAAGTCAGGCAAGCGCCACCCACCACTCTACCAGGCGGGCCTGACGCCTCCGCTCAGCCCTCCCAAGAGTGTGCCACCCTCTGTGCCAGCCCGAGGCCTGCAGCCCCAGCCCCCTGCCACCCCTGCTGTGCCACATCCCCCACCTTCCGGAGCCTTTGGGCTTGGGGGCGCCCTGGAGGCTGCAGAGAGTGAGGGTCTGGGGCTTGGCTGCCCTTCACCCTGCAAGCGGCTTGATGAGGAGCTGAAGCGGAACCTCGAGACGCTGCCCTCCTTCTCCTCGGATGAGGAAGACTCTGTCGCCAAGAACCGAGACCTGCAGGAGAGCATCTCCTCCGCCATCTCTGCCCTCGATGACCCACCCCTTGCTGGGCCAAAAGACACTTCCACCCCAGATGGGCCGCCCTTGGCCCCCGCGGCTGCAGTTCCAGGGCCACCCCCTCTTCCGGGGCTCCCCAGTGCCAACAGCAATGGCACTCCCGGTGAGCTCTGGGCAGGTGGTCTGGGAGTAGAGCTTAAAGGTTATTATGATCACTAGGTAACAGTTGTGCAGGTTACGCACTGTTTAAGAGACACCATTCACATACATGGTGTAAGCTTGCGTGTTTATGAAGGGACTTTCCTGATTACACAAGCATTTTGAGGAAGGTCTATCTTTTTCTAATTCACTCAGAGGTGCTAAGTGGACTAGGAGGGGCCCCAAGGCAGACACTGGAGAATGCAGGGAGACAGGGCAGGTGATAAGTTACAGGGACAGGACAGGGGCTACTCAGGTTCTGAATGGTGGGAGGTGTGGGAACTGAGGAGGGCTCTGAGTCAACTGTGTGTGAAGGTACAGAAAGATGTCTGGGGGCAGAGAAAGACTTGGGGATGGGGGTGGGCGGTGGAAGGGAAGGCTAGGGGCATAGGAAGGGTTTAGGTTGTGCTCTGGTTTTGGACACAGTTTAAGGAGTGTAATGTCAGAAACAGAGGCATTGGGAAATGAGAGGTGGGAGCTTACAGGAGGGCACAGAGGGGAGTGTTCAAAAAAAAAAAAAAACCATGACAGGCCGGGCATGGTGGACCACACCTGTAATCCTAGCACACTTTGGGAGGCTGAGACAGGAGGATCGCTTGAGCCCAGGAGGTTGAGGCTGCAGTGAGCCATGATTGAGCCACTGTACTCCAGCCTGGGTGACAGAGCAAGACCCTGTCTTAAACAAAAAACCCCAAAAACAAAACAAAAAGACCCTATAACGTTCTTTTTTTTTTTTCTTGAGACAGGGTCTCTCTATGTCACCCAGGCTGGAGTGTGGAGTGCAGTGGTGCGATCTTGGCTCACTGCAACCTCTGCCTTCCGCTCACCGCAACCTCTGCCTTCCAGGTTCAAGTGATTCTCCTGCCTCAGCCTCCCGAGTAGCTGGGACTACAGGCGCGCACCACCATGCCCAGCTAATTTTTGTATTTTTAGTAGAGACGGGGTTTCACCATGTTGGCCAGACTGGTCTCGAACTCCTGACCTCAAGTGATCCACCCACCTCAGCCTCCCAAAGTGCTGGGATTACAGGCATGAGCCACCATGCCTGCCCTCTGTGAGGTTCTTAAAAAGCCTGAAGAAGGGAGCTGGCAGACAGGGGAGAGGTTAGCAGTCTGCATACTGGTGAGCAGGCCAAGGAAAGGACAAAGATGGTCCTGGAGGGAGGAGGATGAGGCCTTGGAGGAAGAGGAGGTGAGGAAGTAGAGTTAGGGAGGTGATGATTTAGGAGTTGGGAGGGTCATTCAGGAAGAGGAGTTAAGAACCAGACAAGGGCTTTAAGACCACAAAGAGACATTCCAGGACTGAGAAGGGGATTAGGGATAGGAGACAGGTCTCCTTTGCAGCCGCAGGAGCCAGAGTAGGTCTCTGGAGAGACTCTGATAGGGTAGAAGGGACACTGGGAGCTGAGTGGTAGTTACAGAGGGGCTTTTGGTATAGAAAGCAGTGTTTAAAGGACAAGAGGAAAGGTGCCAGGAATGATGAATAACATCCAGGCCTGATGTCCCTGTCTCCCCCAGAGCCCCCGCTGCTGGAGGAGAAACCCCCACCCACTCCACCTCCTGCCCCGACTCCTCAGCCTCAGCCTCCGCCACCCCCTCCGCCGCCACAGCCAGCCCTGCCCTCGCCACCCCCGCTGGTGGCCCCCACGCCCAGCTCACCACCGCCACCGCCGCTGCCGCCGCCACCTCCACCAGCCATGCCCTCGCCTCCACCACCACCCCCACCAGCCGCTGCCCCACTGGCTGCTCCTCCTGAGGAGCCCGCCGCCCCGTCTCCCGAAGACCCCGAGCTGCCGGACACCCGGCCCCTGCATCTGGCCAAAAAGCAGGAGACGGCGGCAGTGTGTGGGGAGACGGACGAGGAGGCCGGCGAGAGTGGCGGAGAGGGCATCTTCCGGGAACGGGACGAGTTCGTCATCCGTGCTGAGGACATCCCTTCCCTCAAGGTGAGTCCCAGCCTTCTCCAGAAACTGGGCCTGATGGGTTTGGTCACCTGTTTGTTGAGTGCCCGCTGGATGACAGGCTTGTGCTGAGACCTGCAGATCCAGTCGTGGCCGGGCCGCCCTGGAATTTGCAGTCCTATGGGGCTGATAGAGGTGTCGAGGACCTGCGGGCCTCAGAGGTGTTATTTGCGTTTGTGTCTGTACATGCATTACCTGTATATAAGGTAAAGCGATTGTTAACGCGTATGTGTCTATATGTGCGTTACCTGTATATAAGGTGAACCGCTTGTTAATGTTTATGCAGATACCCTGCTGTGGGTGGTAGAGGACCAGTACTGTACAAGCAGATGAGGCTCTGGCCCTAGGGAGCTTCTAGTTTAATGGAACCAGCCAGAGAGGCGGGCTGCTTTGCCATTTATGGCACAATGGTGGAAATGTGTCATTGACATAGACTACCTGCAGATACACACTTATGTAACCTGTAAATATAATCATGAATTGGGCCGGACGCGGCAGCTTACACCTGTAATCTCAGCACTTTGGGAGTTTGAGACCAGCCTAGGCAACATAATGAAACCTTTTCTCTCAAACAAACAAAAAAAGTGAATCATTTAGGAATGGTTATTGTGTGTCAGGCCATATCTTTTTGTTTTTTTGAGATGGAGTTTCGCTCTTGTCCAGGCTGGAGTGCGATGGCTCAATCTCGGCTCACTGCAGCCTCTGCCTCCCAGGTTCAAGCGATTCTCTTGACTTGGCCTCCCAACTATCTGGGACTACAGGCGCAGGCCACCACACCCGGCTGATTTTTGTGTTTTTAGTAGAAATGGGGTTTCACTGTGTTGGCCAGGCTGGTCTCGAACTCCTGACCTCAGATGACCCACCTGCCTTGGCCTCCCAAAGTGCTGGGATTACAGGTGTGAGCCACTGTGCCTGGCTGGCCATAGCTTCAATATTTACCTTAAATACTTAAATACGTAAATGCAGACCAACAGCCTGTTCACTGCTTCCAGTTTGTCTACCGCAGGAGCTTGAAAACTATGGCCCCTAGGCCAAATCCAGCCCACTGCTTGTTTTTGCAAATAAAGTTTTATTGGCACACAACCATGCCCATTCATTTACATGTTGTCTATGGCTGTTTTTCCCATATGGCAGAGAGCTGGGTAGTTAGCTGGCCCTCAATGGCAAAAAATATCTCTGGCTCATCATGAATAAAGTTTGCTGGCCTCTACTGTACTGGGTTCACTGGACAAATAGAGTTGGATCAGAGGATTAATGTGCAAGGCACTTGACAGGGGTAGGTGTTACCAGGTGCCCATGGAGTGCTCTGCACAGGGCATGCGGCTGAGCAGGTGCTCAGGAGGTCAGCCCATTCTCACCCTGATGGTGGCATGGACGCCAAGGCCATTCTCCATGTCAATCATTGTCATTGATTGTACTGATTATGATACAGGATTATTGTTTGGCCCTTCGTGTACAGTGTGACATTTAATCTTGGCGGGGCATGGCGGTTCACGCCTGTAATCCCAGCACTTCGGGAGGCCAAGGCAGGTGGATCACTTGAGGTCAGGAGCTTGAGACCAGCCTGGCCAACATGGTGAAACCCCGTCTTTACTAAAAATACAAAAAATTAACTGGGCGTGGTAGGGCGCACCTGTGATCCCATCTACTCGGGAGGCTGAGGAAGGAGGATCACTTGAACTCTGGGGTGGAGGGGGGAGGTTGCAGTGAGCTGAGATTGTGCCACTGCACTCCAACCTGGGCACCAGAGCAAGACTCCATCTCGAAAAAATAATAATAATAATAATTTAGTCCTGGATGTTGTTTTAATTTAATCTTCGATGTGACATGGAGAAATTATGGGAAGAATTAATTATTAATTATAAGGATAATAACTATCATTACACTTTTTTCTTTTCTTTTCTTTTCTTTTTTTGAGACGGAGTCGCCCAGGCTGGAGTGCAGTGACGCAATCTCGGCTTACTGCAACCTCTGCTGCCCGGGTTCAAGCGATTCTCCTGCCTCAGCCTCCTGAGTAGCTGGGATTACCAGCAAGTGCCACCACACCTGGCTAATTTTTGTATTTTTAGTAGAGAAGGGGTTTCAGCATCTTGGCCAGGCTGCTCTTGAACTCCTTACCTTGTGATCCACCCATCTCGGCCTCCCAAAGTGCTGGGATTACAGGCATGAACCACCGCGCCCGGCCTTACACTTTCTTCTTAAGTGTGTTTTTTGAGGCAAACTCAAATGTATTTTTTCCTGTGTTATTTCAATCTATTTCATTGTGGGAAAAGTAAATAATAGAGCAGGCCGGGAGTGGTGGCTCACACCTGTGATCCCAGAACTTTGAGAGACTGAGGTGAGAGGCTCACTTGAGGCCAGGAGTTTGAGACCAGCTAGGCAAATAGCAAGACCTCACATCTACCAAAAACAAGGGAGCGAGACTGTCTCAAAAAAAAAAAAAAAAGGATATTGACATCGTAGGCCAGGTGCGGTAGCTCACACCTGTAATTGCAGCACTTTGGGAGGCCAAGACGGGCAGATCACCTGAGGTCAAGAGTTCAAGACCAGCCTGGCCAACATGATGAAAGCCCATCTCTACTAAAAATACAACAATTAGCCGGGCATGGTGGCAGGCGCCTGTAGTCCCAGCTACTCAGGAGGTTGAGGCAGGAGAATTGCTTGAACCTGGGAGGCGGAAGTTGCAGAGAGCCAACATCACGCCACTGCACTCCAGCCTGGGCCAAAAGAACAAAACTCTGTCTCAAAAAAATAAAGAAAAAAAGAATATTGACATTGTTAAATGACCGTCACCACCATCCATCTCCAAGTTTTATCTTTTTATATAAAATAAACTTGATTATAGAGACTACTAGTAGCGTTTTACAGGGATGGAAACTGAGGCTCACACAGGTTAAAAAGTCCTTCTGATTGGGGATTTCTATGCCCGTTTTTTCTGAGACAGGGTCTCCCTTGTTGTCCAGGCTGGAATGCAGTGACGTGATCTCAGCTCACTGCAACTTCTACCTCCCTGGTTCAAGCAATTCTCATAACTCAGCCTCTCGAGTAGCTGGGACTACAGAGGATCCCACCATGGTTGGCTAAATTTTGTATTTTTAGTAGAGATGGGGTTTCACCATGTTGGCCAGGCTGGTCTCAAACTCCTGACCTCGGGTGATCCACCCGCCTCGGCCTCCCAAAGTGCTGGGATTACAGGAATGAGCCACTGTGCCTGGCCTATTCTCATTTCATAGAGAAAGAAACCAAGGCACAGAGAGATAAAGTAGCCTTCCCAGGCTTTTGTAGCTTGGGATCCACACCCAGCCCTGCTGGCCCTAGGAATCCGTATTCTTTTTTTTGTTTGTTTGAGATAGTGTTTCGCTCTTGTTGCCCAGGCTGGAGTACAATGGTGCGATCTCGGCTCACCGCAACCTCCACCTCCCGGGTTCAAGCGATTCTCCTGCCTCAGCCTCCCGAGTAGCTGGGATTACAGGCATGTGCCACCATGCCTGGCTAATTTTGTATTTTTAGTAGAGATGGGATTTCTCCATGTTGGCCAGGCTGCTCTCGAACTCCTGACCTCAGGTGATCTGCCTGCCTCAGCCTCCCAAAGTGCTGGGATTATAGGCATGAGCCACTGCGCCCAGCCAGGAACCCATATTCTTATCCCCGACTCAGCCATGCACCGTGTACGTTCTAGTCAAACGCAGCTGAGCCAGCATTGGGTCAAATGAACAGGGCCCTGGGGCAGGGACTTTGACCATCCCCATTTTACAGATGGGGAAGTTCACGTTCAGAGAAAGGGAGTCAGTCGCCTGGCCAGTGCCAACCTGGGATTGGAGCCAGGGCCACCTGACACCACCTCCCAGCTGGCACGGGGCAGGGGAGGGGGCCAGGCGAGGACTCAGATGCTTAAAATACAACTTGAGTGTGCATTATAATGGGGGCAAAGCCCCACGCCTTTGCCAAATGTACAGACCTTGGGGACTCATTTGTGGGCCTAGAGATGGGGCAGGCTGCTGGCATAGTTAAGAGCCCAGCTTTGGTTTAACCTGACTGACTCAAATCTCTGCCACTTATTATTATTTTTTTTGTGTGTGTTTTTGAGACAGGGCCTCACTCTTATCACCCAGGCTGGTGTACAGTGGCATGATCATGGCTCACTGAGGCCTCAAACTCCTGGGCTCAAGCGATCCTCCCACCTCAGCCTCCCAAGTAACTAGGACTACAAGCATACAACACCATGCCTGGCAAATTTTTTTATTCCTTAAGTAGAGACTGGGGTCTCACTCTGTTGTCCTGGCTGGTCTTGAACTCTTGGGCTCAAGCAGTCCTCCCGTCTCAGCCTCCCAAAGTGCTGAGATTGCCGGTGTGAGCCACTGTGTCTGGACTTTTTTTTCTTCTTTTTTTTTTTTTTGAGACAGAGTCTCAGTCTGTCTCCCAGGGTGGAGTGCAGTGGCGCAATCTTGGCTCACTGCAACCCTCGCCTCCCACATTCAAGCGATTCTTCTGCCTCAGCCTCCTGAGTAGCTGGGATTACAGGCGCGTGCCACCACGTCAGGCTAATTTTTGTATTTTTAGGAGTTTCACTGTGTTGGTCAGGCTGGTCTCGAACTCCTGACCTCGTGATTTGCGCCGCCTCCCCCGCCCCCCAACCTTGGCCTCCCAAAGTGCTGGGATTACAGGCATGAGCCACTGTGCCCAGCCCATTTTTTTCTTTTATACCATCTCTCTTTTTTTTTTTTTTTTTTTGAGATGGAGTCTCGCTTTGTCTCCCAGGCTGGAGTGCGGTGGCACAATCTCAGCTCACTGCAACCTCCACCTCCTGGGTTCAAGTGATTCTCCTGCCTCACCCTCCTGAGTAGCTGGGATTACAGGCACCTGCCACCATGCCTGGCTAATTTTTGTATTTTTAGTAGAGATGGGGTTTCACCATGTTGGTCAGGCTGGTAGAAACCACTCTTAAAGCCCCTACAAAAACAAGCCATAGACCATTGTTTATTCCAGAAAAACAGCAATCCAATATAAATATCACCTGAGCCATATATGTGATTTTAAATGTTTTCATTCCTGGTTTATAAAGATAAAAAAGATAGGTGAAATTAGCCATAGGTGGCCAAAGTGCTGTAATCTCAGCACTTTGGGAGGACGAGGCAGGATTGTTTGAGCCCAGGAGTTGCAGACCAGGCTGGGCAACATTGTGAGCCCCCGCCTTTAAGGAAAAAAAAAAGAAAGAAAGAAATTAGCCATAGGAATGCATTTTATTTAACCTAACATATTGAAAGTATTATTTCGGCTACATGCGGTGGCTCACACCTGTAATCCCAGCAGTTTGGGATGTTGAGGTGGGAGGATCACTTGAGCCCGGATGTCGAGGCTACAGTGAGCTATGATTGCACCACTGCACTCCAGCCTGGGCAGCAGAGTGAGCCTCTGTCATGTACGTGTGCACACACACACACACACACAGAGTTTCAGCTTGTAATTAATAAAAACTATTAATGATGTTTTTGCCAGGCGTGGTGGATCATGCCTGTAATCTCAGCACTTTGGGAGTCCAAGGTGGGTGGATTGCTTGAGGTCAGGAGTTCAAGACCAGCTTGGGCAACATGGCAAAACGCCCCCCCTACAAAAAAATAAGAAAAATTAGCCGGATATAGTGGCATGTGCTTGTTGTCCCAGCTACCTGAGAGGCTCAGGTGGGAGAATCGCTTCAGCCTGGGAGGTGGAGGTTGCAGTGAGCCGAGATCGTAGCACTGCACTCCAATCTGGGTGACAGAGCGAGACCCTGTCTCAAAAAGAAAAAAAAAAAAGAAAAGCTGTTGGCCAAGCGTGGTGGCTCACGCCTGTAATCGCAGCACTTTGGGAGGCTAAAGCAGGTGAGTCACCTGAGGTCCGGAGTTCAAGACCAGCCTGGTCAACATAGTGAAACACCATCTCTACTAGAAATATAAAAATTAGCCGGGCGTGGGGGTGGGCACCTGTAATCCCAGCTACTCAGGAGGCTGAGACAGGAGAATCACTTGAACCTTGGAGGCGGAGGTTGCAGTGAGCCGAAATGACGCCATTGCACTCAAGCCTGGGCAACAAGCGTGAAACTGAGGCTCAAAAAAAGTAAAAGAAAAACTGTTAATGATGTTTTAATATTATTAAATGGGGTATTACTAAAATGAAAAGTTAAGAGGTTTTACATTCTTTTTTGCATACCAAGACTTCAAAATCCTGTGAATACTTTGTACTCGTTGAACACATCCATTGGACCAGCCACATTTGAAGTGCTCTAGCCGACATGTCACCCCAGTCATGGTGGCTCAAACCTGCAATCCCAGCACTTCGGGAGGCTGAGGCCGGCAGATCACTTGAGCCCAGGAGTTTGAGACCAGCCTGGGCAACATAGTGAGACCCTGTCTCTACACAAAATTCTTTTTTTTTAAAATTTTTTATTTTTTGAGATGGAGTCTCGCTCTGTCACCAGGCTGGAGTGCAATGACGCGATCTCTGCTCACTGCACCTCCACCTCCCGGGTTCAAGCGATTCTTCTCCTTAGCCTCCCGAGTAGCTGGGACTCCTGCCTCAGCCTCCCGAGTAGCGCAGACTACAGGCAAGTGCCACCACACCCAGCTAATTTCTGTATTTTTAGTAGAGACGGGGTTTCACCATGTTGGCCAGGGTGGTCTCGATCTCTTGACCTCGTGATCCGCCCGACTTAGCCTCCCAAAGTACTGGGATTACAGGTGTGAGCCACCGCGCCCGGCCTCTACACAAAATTCAAAAAAACTTAACCAGACATGGTGGTGCCCACCTGTAGTCCCGGCTACTGGAGAGGCTGACGTGGGAGAATCACCTGAGCCCAGGAAGTTGATGTTGTAGTGAGCCATGATTACACCACTGCACTCCAGCCTGGGTGACAGTGAATGTGACCCTGTCTCAAAAAAAAAAACAAAAAAAACAAATCAATCTCAAAAGCTCAAGAACCACTTGTGGGAACGAGCTGCTGAATTGACAGGGCCAGGCTAGCCCATTCTCCTTCCCCCGTCTGTCAACTGGGACTGTTGTTGGGGTTGTCATAAGGGCTGGGCAGCGTGTATACTCCAAGCATGTAAGAGTTCACTGGGTGGAGACTGGGCACAGTGGCTCCTGCCTGGAATCCCAGCACTTTGGGAGGCTGAGGTGGGTGAATCGCTTGCGCTCAGGAGTTCAACACCAGCCTAGTCAACATGGCGAAATCCTGTCTGTACTAAAAATACAAAAAATTAGCCAGGTGTGGTGGCACATGCCTATATTCCCAGCTACCCTAGAGGCTGATCACCGGAGTTTGAGAGGTCAAGGCTGCAGTGAGCCAAGATTGCTCGATTGCACTCCCACCTGGGCAACCGGAGTGAGACCGTCTCAAAAAAGAAAAAGTTGTCTGGGCATGGTGGTTCGCATCTGTAATCCCAGCACTTTCGGAGGTCAAGGTGGGTGGATCACTTGAAGTCAGGAGGTTAAGATCAGCCTGGACAACATGGTGCAATCCCGTCTCTACTAAGAATACAAAAATTAGCCGGACATGGTGGCGGGTCCCTGTAATCCCAGCTACTCAGGAGGCTGAGGTAGGAGAATCACTTGAATTCAGGAGGCGGAGGTTTCAGTGAGCCGAGATCATGCTGCTGCACTCCAGCCTGGGCCACAGAGTGAGACTGTCTCAAAAAAAAAAAAAAAAAAAATTTGTTGGATGGAGAAGAGTATGGTGTTGGGGTTGTCCAGGCAGAGGAAACAGCTGTGCAAAGGCCCTGTGGTGAGGGAAAGCACGCTGTGTTTGAGGTGTACAGGGATGCAAGGTGTTGAATGGCTGGACAGTGAATGCTGAGGCTGGGCTGGTGGGCTGGGCCCAGCCATGTTGGACTTGGGTGCAGGGGTGAGTTCCATGGGTGCTGATGAAGACATTAGGCTCTGTGCCGTTTAGAGCCCCTGGCCAGTAGGGAAGTGACTGGGGAGTTGTTCAAGCCTGGATAGTACTCTGTCCACAGCCTCTGTCCTGGGACGGACTCCCCTGTCAATGGGACCCTGCAGTTTTCTTTTTCTTTCTTTTTTTTTTTTGAGACGAAGTCTCGCTCTTGTCCCCCAGACTGGAGTGCGATGGCGCGATCTCGGCTCACTGCAACTTCTGCCTCCCAGGTTCAAGCGATTCTCCTGCCTCAGCCTCCCGAGTAGCTGGGATTACAGGCGCCTGCCACCACACCTGGCTAATTTTTGTATTTTTAGTAGAGACAAGGTTTCACCATGTCGGCCAGGCTGGTCTCGAACTCCCGACCTCAGGTGATCCGCCTGCCTCGGCCTCCCAAAGTGCTGGGATTACAGATGCGAGCCACCCCGCACCCAGCCTGGGACCCTGCAGTTTTCTCATTAATATCGAGTCTGAGTGTCTGTAGCTCAGTGGCTTACATCCGCACTGCTTACACCACATGTCTTAGCTTGTCGCAGTTCAGTTTCTCAGAAGAAAATCTGATTGGTTCTGCTCAGCCTATAGGGCCAAGATGAGGTCAGTGGCTGAGTGCAGTGGCCCACGCCTGTAATCCCAACACATTGCGGCCTGAGGTGGGAGGTTTGCACGAACCTGGGAGTTGGGCATGCCATGGTAAAACCCTGTTCCTATTTTTTTTTTTTTTGAGATGGAGTCTCGCTCTGTTGCCCAAGCTGGAGTGCTGTGGCGCGATCTCAGCTCACTACAAGCTCCGCCTCTGGGTTCACGCCATTCTCCTGCCTCAGCCTCTCAAGTAGCTAGGACCACAGGCGCCCGCCACCACGTCCGTCTAATTTTTTGTGTATTTTTAGTAGAGACGGGGTTTCACCATGTTAGCCAGGATGATCTCGATCTCCTGACCTCGTGATCCGCCCGCCTTGGCCTCCCAAAGTGCTGGGATTACAGATGTGAGCCACTGCGCCCGGCCTTTTTTTTGTTTTGTTTTTTGAGACGGAGTTTCACTCTGTCTCCCAGGCTGGAGTGCAGTGGCACAATCTTGGCTCGCTGCAACCTCTGCCTCCCAGGTTCAAGTGATTGTCCCCTCAGCCTCCCGAGTAGCTGGGACTACAGGCATGCACCATCATGCCCGGCTAATTTTTGTATTTTTGTAGAGACGGGGTTTCACCATGTTGGCCAAGCTGGTCTTGAACTACTGACCTCAGGTGATCCATCTGCCTCGGCCTTCCAAAGCGTTGGGATTACAGGCATGAGCCACTGCGCCTGGCCATGAAACCCCATTGCCACAAAAAATACAAAAATTATCCAGGAGTGGTGGCGCATACCTGTAGTCCCAGCTACTTGGTGGGTAGGTGGCTGAGGCAGGAGGATCACTTGAGCCTAGGAGGCCATAGGTAAGCTATGGTCATGGTTGTGCCACTGCACTCCAGCCTGGGTAACGGACTGAGAGGGTCTCACAAAAACAAAGAACAAAACAAAAAAGGCCAGGCACAGTGGCTCACGCTTGTAATCTCAGCACTTTGGGAGGCCGAGGCAGGTGGATCACCTGAGGTCAGCGGTTTGAGACCAGCCTTGCCAACCTGGTAAAACCCTGCCTCTACTAAAACTACAAAAGATTAGCTGGCCCTAGTGGCAGGTGCCTGTAATCCCAGCTACTTGGGAGGCTGAGGCAGGACAATCACTTGAACCCAGGAGGCAGAGATTTCAGTGAGCTGAAATCACGTCACTGTACTCCACCCTAGGCGAAACTCTATCTAAAAAAAAAAAAAGGCCGGGCGCGGTGGCTCACGCCTGTAATCCCAGCACTTTGGGAGGCAGAGGCGGGCGGATCATGAGGTCAGGAGATCGAGACCATCCTGGCTAACGCGGTGAAACCCCGCCTCTACTAAAAATACAAAAAAATAGCCGGGCGTGGTGGCGGGCGCCTGTGGTCCCGGCTACTCGGGAGGCTGAGGCAGGAGAATGGCGTGAACCCGGGAGGCGGAGCTTGCAGTGAGCCGAGGTCGCGCCACTGCACTCCAGCCTGGGCGACAGAGCGAGACTCCGTCTCAAAAAAAAAAAAAAAAAAAAAAAAAACAGGCCGGGCACAGTGGCTCACCCCTGTAATCCCAGCACTTTGGGAGGCCCAGGCGGGCGGATCATGAGGTCAAGAGATCGAGACCATCCTGGCCAACATGGTGAAACCCCGTCTCCACTAAAAATACAAAAATTAGCTGAGCGTGGTGGCATGTGCCTCTAGTCCCAGCTATTCGGGAGGCTGAGGCAGGAAATCACTTGAACTCAGGAGATGGAGGTTGCAGTGAGCCGAGATTGCGCCACTGCACTCCAGCCTGGCGACAGAGCAAGACTCTGTCTCAAAAAAAAAAAAAAAAAAAGCTTGCTAGTGAGCTCCCCAGGTCAAGTCTCCAATCAGCTGTGGGTATGGAACCATTGAGTAGGAGGCTGTGGGCCAGGCCACTTTTCTAGTAATCGGCAGTTGGCATGGTCAGTGATATGAGTGACATGATGAGAGGCAGGATGGGTGGGGCTTGGGGATTGACTGGCCCTGTTTGGGGAACGGGCAAGGCTGAAGTCAGGGTGAGGCCTGATGACTGGGTGTGGGGTGGGGATGCTGGGAGGAAAAGTGGTTTGATGGAAGGTACCAAGCCCAGTGAGAATGTGCTAGCCAGAGGGTCTGATCCCAGCTACAGTGTCAACAGCTTCCTGAGAGGTCACCAACACCGGGAGTGGGAGGGGGCAGAGGTAGGGGTGGTCTCCTTGGGCTGACAAGATGCTCCAATGGCTTCCTCAAGCTGCTGCTTTTTCTTTTTGAGACAGGGTCTTGCTCTGTTGCCCAGGCCAGAGTGCAGTGCTGTGATCTCAGCTCACTGCAACCTCCACCTCCCGGGTTCAAGTGATTCTCCTTCCTTAGCCTCCCAAGTAGCTGGGAGTACAGGCACGCACTACCACACCTGGCTAATTTTTGTATTTTAGTAGAGGTGGGGTTTCACCATGTAGGCTGGGCTGGTCTCAAACTCCCGACCTCAAGTGATCCCACCTCGGCCTCCCAAAATGTTGGGATTAAAGGTGTGAGCCACTGCACTCAGCCTGGCCCCCCTTTTAAAGACATGTTCCTTCCAGGGACTCTTTTTGGCATCCGTCACCTATTCCAGGAAGCATTCTTGGATTCAGTTTAAATTTGAGGACAAGCGCGGTGGCTCATGCCTATAATCCCAGCACTTTGGGAGGCCGAGGCAGGTGGATCACCTGAGGTCAGGAGTTCAAGACCAGCCCGGCCAACATGGCAAAAACCCCTTCTCTACTAAAAATACAAAAATTAGCCTGGTATCGTAGGTGCCTATAATCCCAGCTACTAAGGAGGCTGAGGCAGGAGAGTCATTTGAACCCAGGAGGCGCAGGTTGCAGTGAGCCGAGATTGCGCCCCTGCACTCTAGCCTGGCTGACTGAGGCTCCATCTCAAAAAAAAAAAAAAAAAAAAAATCTGAGGCCCCTCCTCTAGGCTTCTGTAGTGTCCAGGGAATTGGCATTAGGACATTTATGACTTGTACTATTATTTCTTGTGTCCATATTTCGCGCCTCTGCTGCCCTTTTAGTCCTCAAGGTCACATGCTCAGTGTGACTCACGTCCATCAGTTGCCATCGCCCAGCTGGGGCACACACAAACTGCAGGGTGGTGGTGGTTGGTGTTCAGGTGTTTGTGGGGCAGGGGGAGCAGAGATAGGGAGCCTTCCTGTTGCTCTGTCTTCCCTGCTGTGGACATGCTGGTGAAATGGTCTCAGGTAACCTCACCTGCCTGTTCTTGGCACAGGCCACAAACTCACCCTGTTTTGTTTATTTGCTTGTCTGTCTCATTACCTCTGTTATTACCTGAGAAGGCTTTTTCAGTGTCTTAGACTCCTCAGGTTGCTATACCAGAATACCATAGACTGGGTGGCTTATAAGCAACAGAGATTTGGCTGGGCTTGGTGGATCACGCCTCTAATCCTAGCACTTTGGGAGGCCGAGCCGGGTGGATCACCTGAGGTCGGGAGTTCAAGACCAGCCCGACCAACATGGAGAAACCCCGTCTCTACTAAAAATACAAAATTAGTCGGGTGTGGTGGCGCATGCCTGTAATTCCAGTGTCTCAGGAGGCTGAGGCAGAAGAATCGGCTTGAACCCGGGAGGCGGAGGTCGCAGTGAGCTGAGATTGCGCCACTGCACTCCAACCTGGGCAACAAGAGCAAAACTCCGTCTCAAAAAAAGAAAAAGTAAAAAGAGAATTATGTGGGGGGACAGTCAGACCACAACAGGACGTCTTGCTCACAACCGTACTCTCCTGTCCAGCACAGTAAATAGCAGGCGGTGTTCAAAGATTGTCATTACTCTGAGTCACACAGGAAGTTTTGGGCTTTCACCCCGTAAAGCAATAGTGACTCAAACTCTACAGCCTGAGAACGAGCAGCCCAATCCAGGGTACTGGGTGGGCAGGAGGCGACAGGGTCAAGTTCAAGCTGTACACAGAGCTGAACACATCATGGGGGTAGAAGATATTTGTTGTTGACGTGTCTGCCTTTTCTCTAAGGGGATGGTGAGGGAAGCCAGTGGGCCAGGGCGTAGGGGCAGTAGGTCTAGGAATGAGGGCTGACCCTGCTGGCCTCACCACACCCCTCCTCCTCAGCTGGCGTTGCAGACGGGGCGTGAACCCCCACCCATCTGGCGAGTCCAGAAGGCCCTTCTGCAGAAATTCACTCCGGAGATCAAGGACGGCCAGAGGCAGTTTTGTGCCACCAGTAATGTAAGCCTGCAAAGGGGACCAAGGACTTGGGGGCCCCGGGGCGTGGTATCTAGGAGCTGGGGTTCCCCTTAGTGTGGCTGTGACTCACTCCACAGTGTATCTGGAAGGGGGCCCCCTGCTGCCGGCAGGCTCCAAGCAGCTGCCATGGTGGCCCAGGGCACGGGGGTGTTGGCCATCTGGCTGGGCAGTGTGAAGAATTTCCTCATGTGCCTCTTTCTCCCCATAGTATTTGGGGTATTTTGGGGATGCAAAAAATCGGTACCAGCGCCTCTATGTAAAGTTCCTGGAAAATGTCAATAAGAAGGACTACGTGAGGGTCTGTGCTCGGAAACCCTGGCATCGGCCCCCAGTGCCAGTCAGGTACCAACCATGGGGGACACAGGGGCAGGTAGTATGTAGCGCCGACAGGCATGGGGATGCGGCATGCAAGAGAGAAGGCTGGAGAGTGGGGGGTGGGGACAGAGAGAGGAGACAGAGCCCAGAGAGAGAGGGGGACAGAGACCCGGAGAGAAATAGGGACAGAGACCCAGAGAAGGGGGGATAGAGACCCAGAGACAGGAGGGGAACAGAGACCCAGAGGTGGGGGGACAGAGACCCAGAGATGGGAGAACAGAGAACCAGACGCATGAGGGAGACGGAGACTCAGAAGGAGACAGAGACCCAGAGAAAAAGAGGGACAGAGATGGGGGAGGACAAAGATCCAGAGACAGGGAGACAGAGACCCAGAGACGGGAGGGGACAGAGACTCACAGAAGGCTACAGAGACCTGGGGTGGACAGAGACCCAGAAAGAGGGGGATAGAGACCCAGAGAGGGAGGGGAATAGAGACCCAGAGAGGGAGGGGGTCAGAGACCCAGAGAGGGAGGGGGTCAGAGACCCAGAGAGGGAGGGGGTCAGAGTCCCAGAGAGGGAGGGGGTCAGAGTCCCAGAGAGGGAGGGGGTCAGAGTCCCAGAGAGGGAGGGGAACAGAGACCAGAGAGAGGAGGGGACAGTATGAGAGAAGCTATTCCTGTGCCTAGGGCACTGAGCAGGGACCCTGAGGAGAATTTGGATTATTGGGGGCTGCTGACTACAGTCCCTTCTCTGTTCCCTTCTAGACGCTCTGGGCAGGCCAAGAACCCCGTATCTGCTGGGGGTAGCTCTGCACCTCCCCCTAAGGCCCCAGCACCACCTCCCAAGCCTGAGACCCCTGAAAAGACGACATCTGAGAAGCCCCCAGAGCAGACTCCTGAGACGGCCATGCCTGAGCCCCCTGCCCCCGAGAAGCCCTCCCTCCTGCGGCCTGTTGAGAAGGAAAAGGAGAAGGAGAAGGTGACACGTGGAGAGCGGCCATTGCGGGGTGAGCGGGCCACCAGCGGACGGCAGACACGGCCAGAGCGGAGTCTCGCCACGGGACAACCTGCCACATCCCGGCTGCCCAAAGCCCGGCCTACCAAGGTGAAGGCTGAACCGCCCCCTAAGAAGAGGAAGAAATGGCTGAAGGAGGCAGGCGGCAACGCTACAGCAGGCGGGGGCCCACCAGGCAGCTCCTCGGACTCGGAGTCCTCCCCTGGAGCCCCCAGCGAGGACGGTGAGGCCCTAGGCAGCCTCAGGGCTGCAGGGGTGGGTGGGGAAGGGACACAGGTGAGGGCTGTCCAGAGGGCTCCAGGTAGCCTTGGCAGGACAGTAAGAACCAGTATGTTACAGATAATGGCAGTAGCTCACAGTCACGGGGCATCTCACTACACGACAGGCTGCCTCCTGAGAAGCTGATGGATGTTAACTTGTGTAATTTTCACCCATCCTAGTAGGTAGATACTGTTATCCTCATCTACAGATGAGGAAGCTGAGGCTCCAAGAGAGGGCAGCACAGTCTGTGTTGGGTGCCCAGCAGAGTTGCAACTGAGCCCAGGGTGCCTCGGACTCTGTTCTTCAGTGCTGCGTTCTGCCTCATAATAGGCAAGATTTGAGGGCTGAGGAAGATGTGGGACTAGGCAGCTGTCCTGGAGGCTCTGTGATGGTGGGGTTTCCTGTGAGGCCCTGGGTGACCCTGAGAAAGAGGCATAACCTCTTGTGCCTTAGTGACCTCACCTGTAAAATGGGTTCATAATAGACGAAGCTCATAGGAGAGTGCCAATCTTTAGTAGACACTACCTGTCTACTCCATGTCTGCCCAGCACACTGCCACATCCTCAGTGCTTATGATGATGTCTGGTTAGGCCGGGCACAGTGGCTCGCGCCTGTAATCCCAACACTTTGGGAGGCCAAGGTGGGCGGATCAGCTGAGGTCAGGAGTTCAAGACCAGCCTGACCAACATGGTGAAATCCCGGCTTTACTAAAAAATACAAAAATTAGCCCAGCATGGTGGCGTGTGCCTGTAATCCCAGCTACTCAACGAGGCTGAGGCAGGAGAATCACTTGAACCCGGGAGGCAGAGGTTACGGTGAGCTGAGATCAGGCCACTGCACTCCAGCCTAGATGACAGAACAAGACTCCGTCTCAAAAAAAAAAAAAAAAGTCTGGTTAGTGATGACAATAACAACAACAAAAATAAATATATATTCACATATGTACAGTAAGGGTAACAGCTGATTTTTGTTGAGTGTTTACTATGTACCAGAAATCATTTTAAACATTTGCACACAGGCTTACTTGACCTTTACCTAATAAACCCCGTGAGATAGCTTGGTAGAATTATCCTCATTTTAAAGATGGGGGCTGGGTGTGGTGGCTCGCACCGGTAATCCCTTCACTTTGGGAGGCTGAGGTGGTAGACTCACTTGAGCTCAAGAGTTCGAGATGAGCCTGGGCAACATAGTGAGACCCCGTCTCTACGAACAAATTTTTAAAAATTAGCTGGGCTTGGTGGTGAATGCCTGTAGTCCCAGCTACTCAGGAGGCTGAGGCAGAAGGATCACTTGAGCCCATGAGTTCAAGGCTATGGTGAGGTATGATTACACCACTGCTTTCCAGCCAGGGTGACAGAATTAGACCCTGTCTCTAAGGATAACTTCTTAAATAAATAAAAGATGAAGAAACTGAGGCACCAAGAGGTGATGGTACCTGGTCAGGGCCACACAGTACAGGGGTAGCTGTTTTAACAGAGATTAGAATTAGCGAGTCAAATGAGGAAGGCGGAATTGTCTTTCCATCAAAGCCCTGATATAGCAGGGAGATGTATAGAAAATAAAAGCGGCCGGGCACAGTGGCTGATGCCCAGCACTTTGAGAGGCCGAAGCGGGCAAATCACCTTAGGTCAGGAGCTCGAGACCAGCCTGGTCAACATGGAGAAACCCCGTCTCTACTAAAAATAAAAAAATTAGCCGGGTGTGGTGGTGCATGCCTATAATCACAGCGACTCGGGAGGCGGAGCCAGGAGAATCACTTGAACCTGGGAGGCAGAGGTTGCAGTGAGCTGAGATTGCGCCATTGCATTCCAGCCTGGGCAACAGAGGGAAACTCGGTCTCAATAAATGAATGAACGAACGAATGAATGAATGGCTCTTTTTCAGGGTTGTCCAGGGTCCCAGTTTCCTTCTCTCTTGTTGACCGGCTGTTTGCCTTGTTGCTGGGGTCATGACCCCTTTCCAGTGAGCCCAAGCCCTGTTTCTGCCCCTGGCCACCCCACAGACCTTCCCCAACACCCCCAAATCCCATCAAGCTCTGTGTCCTGGCTTCCCCATCTTAGGGACCGGACCTCTGGCTACACAGTCACCTGACCAGACTTCCCAGGAGCCATCCTCACCTCTTTTCCTTTTCTTTTCTTTTTTTTTTGAGACAGAGCCTCACTCTGTCACCCAGGTTGAAGTGCAAAGTGGTGTAATTTCAGTTCACTGAAACCTCCACCTCCTGGGTTCAAGTGATCCTCCTTCTTCAGCCTCCCAAGTAGCTGGGACTATAGATGTGTGCCACCATGCCCGGCTAATTTGTGTATTTTTAGTAGAGATGAGGTTTCACCATGTTGGCCCAGGATGGTCTCGAACTCCTGACCTCAGGCGATCCTCTCGCCTCAGTCTCACAAAGTGCTGGGATCACAGGCATGAGCCACTGCACCCGGCCTTCCTCTTTTCTTTTTCTACCTGTCGCCCCCACAGCTGGGCAGCTCCCAGCCCTGTCCGCCCCCATCCCCTCCACCCTTTCCCAGGCCTGCCCAGCTCAGCCTCGTCCTCTGCTTCCAGCCCTGCCCCACCTTCATTCGTTCCTACCTGGTCCATCAGCCTGGACTTCAGCCTCACTCCTCCAGTCTGTCCCCTGCTTGGCTTAGGAGGGATCTTTCTACGCTTACACTCACCCCTTCCCTGCTCTCAGCTCTCTCATGGCTCCCTAGTACCCACCAGAAAAAGCCCTTGCCCTTTCTGCCTGGTGTTGGAGGCCCAGTGTGGTCTGGCCTGCACTGACCTGTGCAATGCCAGCTCCCATCTCGTCCCTCAGCCTTGCCCCTTTATGATCTGACCTCCCTGGATACCCTCTTTTGGAAACCAACAATGCTGCTGCTTTAGACTTACGTGAAGCCACAATTAAGTGCTCTGAGCTATCACTCAAGGCTCAGCCTTTGTTTGATCTTGAACAAGGGTGAGTCTGATGCCTCCTGTGAGTTTTTTTTTTTTTTTTTTTTTTTTTGAGACAGTCTTGCTCTCGTTGCCCAGGCTTATTGCCAGTGCAGTTGTGCGATCTCAGCTCACCGCAACCTCTGCCTCCCGGGTTCAAGCGATTCTCCTGCCTCAGCCTCCCGAGTCGCTGTGATTACAGGCACGCACCACCACACCCGGCTAATTTTGTATTTTTAGTAGAGACAGGGTTTCTCCATGTTGGTCAGGCTGGTCTCGAACTCCCGACCTCAGGTGATCCACTTGCCTTGGCCTCCCAAAGTGGTGGGATTACAGGTGTGAGCCACCATGCCCAGCCCTTTTTTTTTTTTTTTTTTTTTTTGAGACGGAGTTTCGCTCTTGTTGTCCAGGCTGGGGTACAATTGTGCGATCTCGGCTCACCGCAACCTCCGCCTCCCAGGTTCAAGGGATTCTCCTGCCTCAGCCTCCCGAGTGGCTGGGATTACAGGCATGCACCACCATGCCCGGCTAATTTTGTATTTCTTAGTAGAGACGGGGTTTCTCCATGTTGGTCAGGCTGGTCTCCAATTCCCGACCTCAGGTGATCTGCCTGCCTCGGCCTCCCAAAGTGCTGGGATTGCAGGCCACAGCACTTTATGGGCTACAATGCCTGGCTTTTTTTTTTTTTTTTTTTTTTTTTGGAGACGAGTTTCACTCTGTCACCCAGGCTGTGCAATGGCACAATCTTGGCTCACTGCAACCTCCGCCTCCTGGGTTCAAGCCGTCCTACCTCAGCCTTCCGAGTAGCTGGGATTACAGGCGTGTGCCACCACGCCTGGATAATTTTTGTATTTTTAGTAGAGACAGGGTTTTGCCACGCTGGCCAGGCTGGTATCAAACTCCTGACCTTAGGTGATCTGCCTCGGCCTCCCAAAGTGCTGGGATGACAGGCGTGAGCCACTGTGCCTGGCCTTCTCTGAGCTTCTTGCAGTCCCTGTGATTCTGCCACAAGAGCACGTGGCACTGGCGCTTGCCTGTCAATCTTCCCTAGCGGACTTGGACCTCCCAAAAGCAGGGATTTCTCTTCCGGTCCCCAGTGTTGAGAACAGTGTCTGCCACACAGGTGGTCTCAGAGGAAATTGGGATAACGAGCCTGCGTCCTGTCTTTTCTGCAGAGCGGGCAGTACCTGGGCGTCTGCTCAAAACCAGGGCGATGCGGGAGATGTACCGGAGCTACGTGGAGATGTTGGTGAGCACAGCACTTGACCCAGACATGATCCAGGCCCTGGAGGACACGCATGGTGAGCTGAGGCCTGGGGAGGAGGGGGGGGGGCTGACTCGGTCTGAGGGAGCAGGTGCTGAGGGCTTGGACGTGATGTGAGAGAGGAGAGGTTTGGGGTCGGGACTCCTGAGTCTGAGGGAAGAGGAGCTGAGGCCTGGACCTGGGTCTGAGAGAGGAGGGGCTGGGGCCTGGAGTCCTGGGTCTGAGGGAGGAGGTCCCTGGGTCCTAGGGAGAAGAGGCTGGGGGCCTGGACTCCTGGGTCTGAGGGAGAAGAGGCTGGGGGCCTGGACTCCTGGGTCTGAGGGAGGAAGGGCTGGGGGCCTGGACTCCTGGGTCTGAGGGAGGAGGGGCTGGGGGCCTGGACTCCTGGGTTTGAGGGAGGAGGCGCTGGGGGCCTAGACTCCTGGTTCTGAGGGAGGAGAGGCTGGACCTGGACTCCCAGGTCTGAGGAAGGAGGGACTGGACTCCCGGGTCTGAGGAAGGAGGGACTGGGGCCTGGACTCCTGGGTCTGAGGGAGGAGGGACTGGGGCCTGGACTCCTGGGTCTGAGGGAGGAGGGGCTGGGGTCTGGACTCCTGGGTCTGAGGGAGGAGGGGCTGGGGCCTGGACTCCTGGGTCTGAGGGAGGAGGGACTGGGGCCTGGACTCCTGGGTCTGAGGGAGGAGGGGCTGGGGGTCGAGGGCCTGGGGGTCTGGACTCCTGGGTCTGAGGGAGGAGGGGCTGGGGCCTGGACTCCTGGGTCTGAGGGAGGAGGGGCTGGGGGTCTGGACTCTTGGGTCAGAGAGAGGAGGGGCTGGGGGTCTGGACTCCTGGGTCTGAGGGAGGAGCGGCTGGGGGTCTGGACTCCTGGGTCTGAGGGAGGAGCGGCTGGGGGTCTGGACTCCTGGGTCTGAGGGAGGAGGGAGCTGGGGCCTGGACTCCTGGGTCCGAAGGAGGAGGGGGCTGGGGCCTGTACTTTTGTCTCTGAGTGGGAAGGGGATTTGGGGACCCAGACTCCATGACCCCACCTTGGCCCCAGTGCTTTGTGAGGCTGTGGCCTTCCTGATACCATGTCCTCGTCCATCAGACGAGCTGTACCTGCCCCCCATGCGGAAGATAGACGGCCTGCTGAATGAGCACAAGAAGAAAGTCCTGAAGCGGCTGTCGCTAAGCCCAGCCCTGCAGGTGCCTGGGGGTCTGGGCAGGGGGTGTCTGGGGCCCAGGGTCCACATGGAGAAGACATGTACGTGTCGGCCGCTGTTGGCGGGGGTGATCCTTGGAAGGAGATCGTCCTTCTGGGCTCAGATGGGAGAAAAGTTGAGGGCAGGACTGTCAGGAGATCTCTGGGTTCTCAACAGCCATGAAGCCCATGTGGGGAGGAGCTGTGGGCCTTGGGGCAGCAGAGGGGTGGTTGTGAAAGGCTGGGCTGTTGTTTCGGAGAACAAGTGTGCAGCCAAACATAGACTAGGCCTGCACCCAAAGCGGGCACTGGACCGATGGCTTCTTTGTGAGTCCAATGCAGGCTATTAGGATCCCAGGCTTCAGTGTTAAGTCATCTGTATGATTTCCCTTCTGGGATATTCTGGGATGGAATATCAGGGCTCTGAAATCCAGTGTTAAACTGGCTCTGAGGATTCTGGTTGGGATGTTAGTGTGGCACTGAGAATTCCGGGATAGAATGTTAGGGTAACTGAGACTTCTGGAATCGAATGTTATTCTGGCTTTGAGAATTCTGGAAGACTTGCAGTGATTCTGAGAATTCTGGGATGGATTCTAGGCTGGTACTAAGAATTCTGGGATAGGCTATTAGGCTGGTGCTGAGATGGCTGGTGGGAAGTTAGTCTTAGAAAATACGCAGGAAGGCCGGGCACAGTGGCTCACGCCTGTGATCCTAGCACTTTGGGAAGCCAAGGCCGGTAGATGGCCTGAGGTCAAGAGTTCGAGACCACCCTGGCTCTCTCAAAATAAAAAAAAGTGAAACCCCGTCTCTACTCAAAATAAAAAATTAGCTGGGCGTGGTGGTGGGCACCTGTAGTCTTAGCTTCCCTGGAGGCTGAGGCAGGAGAATCAGTTGAACCCAGGAGGTGGAGCTTGCAGTGAGCCAAGATGGTACCACTGCACTCCAGCCTGGGCGACAGAGCAAGACTGTCTCCAAAAAAGAAAAAAAAAACAGGCCAGGCGCGGTGGCTCACGCCTGTAATCCCAGCAGTTTGGGAGGCCAAGACGGATGGATCACGAGGTCAGGAGATCGAGACCATCCTGACTAACACAGTGAAACCCCGTCTCTACTGAAAATACAAAAAAATTAGCTGGGCGTGGTGGCGGGCGCCTGTAGTCCCAGCTACTCAGGAGGCTGAGGCAGGAGAAAGGCGTGAACCCGGGAGGCGGAGCTTGCAGTGAGGCGAGATCGTGCCACTGCACTCCAGCCTGGGCGACAGAGCGAGACTCTGTCTCAAAAAAAAAACAAAAACATATATATATATATATATATAGAGAGAGAGAGAGAGAGAGAGAGAGAGAAAGAGAGAGAGAGAGAGATATTAATATGACTGAGAATTTTGAGTGAGATAGTAGTTTTCTCAGAATGATGGGTGGGACGTTGGGATGACCGAGAATTCTGGAATGGATTCTTAGACTGGTGTGGAGAAATCTAAGCTGGAATGTTATGCTGACTCTGAAAATTCGTGGGTAGAGTGCTGGGTGGGTTGGAAAATTCTGGGTAGCATTAGGTTATAAAAACTCTGGAGGATATGAATCTAGTCTACAAATTCTGAGATGGATTGTTAGGCTGGCACTGAGGATTGTGGGTGAGATGTTACACTAGGGTAGATAATCCCAGTGTAGGATATTAGAGTAGGTCTGAGAAGTATGTGTTATTAGTCGGGAGTTAGAATTCTGGGATAGATGGCTGGGCGCGGAGGCTCATGTTGGTAATCCCAGCACTCTAGGAGGCTAAGGGAGGTGGATCACGAGGTCAGGAGACCAATAACAACCCATCCTGGCTAACATGGTGAAACCCCGTCTCTACTAAAAATACACAAAAAATTAGCCGGGTGTGGTGGTGGGTGCCTGTAGTCCCAGCTACTCGCGAGGCTGAGGCAGAATAATGGTGTGAACCCGGGAGGCGGAGCTTGCAGTGAGCCAAGGTCGCGCCACTGCACTCCAGCCTGGGCGACAGAGCGAGACTTTGTCTTAAAAAAAAAAAAAAAAGAATTCTGGGGTAGATGGGATGGTTAGGATAGGGCTGAGAATTCTGGGATAGATGGTTAGGATGGGGCCAATAATTCTGGGATAGATGGTTAGGATGGGGCCGAGAATTCTGGGGTAGGTGGTTAGGATGGGGCCGAGAATTCTGGGGTAGATGGTTAGGATGGGGCTGGGAATTCTGGGATAGCTGGTTAGGATGGGGCTGGGAATTCTGGGGTAGGTGGTTAGGATGGGGCTGGGAATTCTGGGATAGCTGGTTAGGATGGGGCTGGGAATTCTGGGGTAGGTGGTTAGGATGGGGCTGGGAATTCTGGGGTGGGTGGTTAGGATGGGGCCAGGAATTCTGGGGTGGGTGGTTAGGATGAGACCGAGAATTCTGGGGTAGGTGGTTAGGATGGGACTGAGAATTCTGAGGTAGGTGGTTAGGATGGGGCCAAGAATTCTGGGGTAGGTGGTTAGGATGGGACCGAGAATTCTGGGGTAGGTGGTTAGGATGGGACCGAGAATTCTGGGGTAGGTGGTTACGATGGGGCTGAGAATTCTGGGATAGGATAGGTGGTTAGGATGAGACTGAGAATTCTGGGGTAGGTGGTTAGGATGGGGCCGAGCATTCAGGGATAGGTGGTTAGGATGGGGCTGAGAATTCTGGGGTAGGTGGTTAGGATGGTGCTGAGAATTCTGGGGTAGGTGGTTAGGATGGTGCTGAGAATTCTGGGATAGGTGGTTAGGATGGGGCTGAGAATTCTGGGATAGATAGTTAGGATGGGGCTGAGAATTCTGGGGTAGGTGGTTAGGATGGTGCTGAAAATTTTGGGGTAGGTGGTTAGGATGGGGCTGGGAATTCTGGGGTAGGTGGTTAGGATGGGGCTGAGAATTCTGGGATAGATGGTTAGGATGGGGCTGGGAATTCTGGGATAGATGGTTAGGATGGGGCTGGGAATTCTGGGGTAGATGGTTAGGATGGGGCTGGGAATTCTGGGGTAGAATTTTGGGTGACATTGAGAATCTGAGCCAGGCCAGAAGGCACAGTGGAAGCATCACTGGTCAGGCCCAGCCTCCTCTGTCCTTTGAGGAGACTCTAGTTGTCTCTCCTGATCTGCAGCCTGGGGGAAACTGAGGCACAGATCTGAGACCTGGCTGTTGGGTTTGGGGTTTATGGATCCAGGGCAGCATCCAGCTGACCCATTGGCTTCCCGCAGGATGCTCTGCACACGTTCCCACAGCTGCAAGTGGAGCAGAGTGGGGAGGGCTCTCCGGAAGAGGGGGCTGTGCGGCTGCGGCCTGCTGGGGAACCCTACAACCGCAAGACGCTCAGCAAGCTCAAGAGGAGCGTGGTCAGAGCCCAGGTGGGCACTGGGGCTGGGGCTGGGAGTGGGGAGTGCTGGCGGTATGTGGGAAGGGAGGAGAGGGGCTGCCAAGTGCCGGGCTGGAGGGGCTGAGGCATCTCCACTCCTACCCAGGAGTTCAAGGTTGAGCTGGAAAAGTCGGGATACTATACACTCTACCATTCGCTCCACCACTATAAATACCACACCTTCCTGCGCTGCCGGGACCAGGTGAGCCCCACCCACAGCACCCATCGCCCTGGGATTCCAACCTTTCTGACTTCCTCTTGGGATCTGAGGGTCCAAGCCCAGCCCCATCCTGCCTCAGACCCAAGAGTTCAGGTCCTTCTGTCTTGGACTTAAGAATGCAGCCCCCAGCCCTGGTCTCCCTGGGACACTGACATCTGACACCCCAGGCCCCATGCCCCAGCCCCTTCCCTCCCCAGAGGCCGGTGTGCCACCCTCCCCAGTGCCATGTTTGACCCCTGCAGACCCTGGCCATCGAGGGCGGCGCCGAGGACCTGGGCCAGGAGGAGGTGGTCCAGCAGTGCATGCGGAACCAGCCGTGGCTGGAACAGCTCTTTGACTCCTTCAGTGACCTGCTGGCCCAAGCACAGGCCCACAGCCGCTGCGGGTGACCCCGCCCCAGCTTGTGAGGGGGGCGCCTCCTCCATGAACCGAGAATTGGGACAGAACCGTGTCCTCAGGAGCTAACACCTGGGCTCCATCGCCGGGGAAAGGGGGTCATGGGTCAGGGTGTGTCTGTGCTGCCCCCTCCAGGGCAGGGTTCAAAGTCCGACTCCCCCCCTCTCCCAAGCCCCCTCCACTCCCTCCCCATTCCTCCCACTGTTCGGTGTACAGAGAAATTATTTATATATATGTATAAATGTCTATTTAGTAACGGTTTCCCTCTCCCCTTGCCCCGACCCCCCCTCCACAGCCACAGCCCCCGCCCCCTCCACCTTGTACATAATGTATAGGAAAAGTCTATGTATGGCTGGGGGGGGTGGGGTGGCTTCAGAGAGCTGGGGGACCCCTTCCCCCCAAGTCCCCCCTGCAGGCCAAGATCTTTGCTAAAGGCCATTCCCTCCGCAGGGCATTTGGCGTCGGGTGGGAGGGGAAAACGCATCTTGTTAATTATTTTTAATCTTATTTATTGTACATACCTGGGGCAGGGGCTTGGGGAGGTGGAGGGGGGAGAAGGGTCCCCTCTCTCTGCCCCTCCCACTCCTTTTCTACGGCGATTTGTCTGTGTCTGGCCCCCACCCACTGCCCATCCCCCATTGTTGTCTGGATGTGGTTCTATTTTTTATCGGTCTCCTTTCCCCTCCTCCCCGTTCTCGCCCCCGCCCCACCCCCTGCTCCCACTACCCTTTGTCTCTTGCTCTTTCTTGGGCTTCTGTACAACTCAACTTGTATACACTGTGTACACACAACCAGCCAAACGAAAACCCAACGGCAAACACTTTACCGGCAGGCTGGAGTGCCTCTGTCCTGCGGCGCTGGAGTGGGTGGCAGTGGTAGCAGGGGCAGAGGTTCTGGAACGGGACTTTCCCAGAGCCCTGGGCAGTGGGGGGCCTGAGGCTGGCATATGTTCTGTGTCCCCGCACAGCAGAGTATCCCACCCTGAAATTTAATGACTTCAGACAACAAATATTTATCACTGGGGGGTTTCTTTTGTTTTTTAGCTAAAGACAGGGTCTCGCTCTGTCACCTAGGCTGGAGTGCAGTGGCATGATCATAGCTCACTGCAGCCTCCAACTCCCTGGCTCAAGCGATCCTCCTGCCTCAGCCTCCCAAAGTGACGGGATTACAGGCAAGTGCCACTGTGCCTGGCCCTGTGTTCTTTATGTTACCCAGGCTGGCCTTGAACTTCTGGGCTTAAAAGATCCTCCTGCCCCAGTCTCAAGTAGTTGGCATTACGGGTGCATGCCACTACACCCAGTTCAAATCCTGTAGTGTTTTGTTTTGGTTTTTTTTTTTGAGACAGAGTCTCGCTCTGTCACCCAGCCTGGAGTGCAGTGGTTCGATCTTGGCTCATGCAACCTCAGCCTCCCCGGTTCAAGCGATTCTCCTGCCTCAGCCTCCCAAGTAGCTGGGATTACAGGGGCCTACCACTACATCCAGCAAATTTTTGTATTTTTAGTAGAAACCAGGTTTCACCATGTCGGCCAGGCTGGTCTCGAACTCCTGACCTCAAGTGATCCGCCAGCCTCAGCCTTCCAAAGAGATTACAGGTGTGAGCCACTGCGCCCGGCCTCAAGTCCTGTATTCTTGAATCCAAGTGAGTGGTCCATGGTACAGCACTCTTGGAGTTCCCCAAGCACTTGTATAAATGTAGAATCGGCACAGGCAGCAGACGAGGAGAGGGCAGGTTGAATAGGGCTGTTTCTCCTCCTCCCACCCTTAAAGGAAAAGATGTAGAATCTCAGGCTGTTGCTCTGGTCTACTTGATCAGAACCCACTTTTTAGTAAAATGCCGAGAGGATTCTCAAGCACATTCAAGTTTGAAGAACCGTGTTCTAGAACAAGAATGTTAAAAATGTGCAGGTTGGCTGGGCACGGTGGCTCACGGCTATAATCCCAGCACTGTGGGAGGCCGGGGCGGGGGGATCACTTGAGGTCAGGAGTTCGAGACCGGCCTGACCAACATGGTGAAACCCCGTCTCTACTAAAAATACAAAAATCAGCCAGGCGTGGTGGCGTGCGTCTATAATCCCAGCTACATGGGAGGCTGAGGCTGAGGCAGGAGAATCGCTTGAATCCAGGGGGCGGAGGTTGCAGTGAGTTGAGATCGTGCCATTGCACCACTCCAGCCTGGCTGACAGAGCGAGACTCCATCTCAAAAAATAAAAAATGTGGAGGTCAACTGGCAATATTTTAGAACCCAGTCTATGAAGCAGTGAACAGGCTGTTGTCATTCTAGAGCCTGGATGGATGGACCACTGGTGTTCCAGAACCCTGGCTTAGTCCGTGGGTAGGGACCCAGTGTGAGATTTGAGGGTGGAACATCAGCATTCCAGATGCCCTTTTAGGTGAGATTCAGGGAGAACCCTCATCGTTCTAGAACCTTGAGTATTGTTCCAGGGGTGTCCAAGGAGAGAATACAGTCATGGGTTCTTAGTTTCTGTTGTACCAGTAAAGCCCCTTCCTCATCCCTCTTTTTTGTTTATTACTAGAGACAGAAACTAAAAACCATGGCTTCAGGCTGCTAAAAGCCTAAAACAAAACAGAACAACAACAAAATAAGGTGGGTTGGACAAATCTGGACTCTAGACCATCACATGTTACAGATTTTTTTTTTTTTTTTTTTTTTTTTGACGGAATCTCGATCTGTTGCCCAGGCTGGAGTGCAGTGGCGCAATCTCGGCTCACTGCAAGCTCCGCGTCCAGGGTTCCTGCCATTCTCCTGCCTCAGCCTCCCAAGTAGCTGGGACTACAGGCGCCCACCACCATGCCCGACTAATTTTTTTTTTTTTGTATTTTTAGTAGAGATGGGGTTTCACTGTGTTAGCCAGGATGGTCTCAATCTCCTGACCTCGTGATCCGCCTGCCTCGGCCTCCCAAAGTGCTGGGATTACAGGCAAGAGCCATCGTGCCTGGCCACATGTTACAGATTTTAGATCCTGGTTTCAGACTAGAGGATGGATAGTAGCATTTGAGAACCATAATGGGTGAGTCAACAATAGACCATGAAGCCAGGCGTGGTGGCTCACGGTTGTAATCCCAGCACTTTGGGAGGTGGAGATGAGCGGATCACCTGAGGTCAGGAGTTTGAGACCGGCCTGGCCAGCATGGTAAAAACCTTCTTTTTTTTTTTTTTGAGACGGAGTCTCCCTCTGTTTCCCAGGCTGGAGTGCAGTGGCACTATCTTGACTCACTGCAACCTCCGCCTCCCAAGTTCAAGCGATTGTCCTGCCTCTGCCTTGTGAGTAGCTGGGATAACAGGTGCATGCCACCACTCCCGGCTAATTTTTGTATTTTTAGTAGAGACAGGGTTTCACCATGTTGATCAGGCTGGTCTCGAACTCCTGACCTCATGATCTGCCCTTCTTGGCCTCCCAAAGTGCTGGGATTACAGGCATGAGCCACTGTGCCCAGCCAACCCTATCTCTCTTAAAATTACAGAAATTAGCCAGGCATAGTGGCTTGTGCCTGCTACTCAGGAGGCTGAGGCAGGAGACTCGCTTGAACCCGGGAGGCTGAGGTTGCAGTGAGCCCAGATCGCGCCACTGCACTCCAGCCTGGGCAACAGAGTGAGACTCCATCTCAAAAAATTTTAAAAAGGATCATGAACTTTCTAGAATCATTGAGTTAAGAGGGCTGAGTACAAACCATTATTGTGCTTGAACTGTGGCCTATAGCATGTGGGGGTGCAGCCTTTGATGGAAAGCCATACATTCAAGGTCCTGGACTAGACTGTCAAACTGAGGCCAAATGCCAGGTGACAGTGGCTCATGCCTATAATCCCAGCACTCTGGGAGGCCAAGGCAGGAGGATTGCTTGAGTCCAGCCTGGGCAACATGGCGAGATCCTCATGTCTCCAGAAAAAAAAAAAAGCTAAAATTGAGGCCAAAGGATTGGCATTGTCCCAGGTCAGAGTTCCAGGATGGAAAACGGGTGGAGTATTCTTTTTCTTTTTTCTTTTTGAGACAGAGTCTCGCTTTGTTACCCAAGCTTGGGTGCAGTGGCATGATCTTGGCTCACTGCAACCTCCGCCTCCTGGGTTCAAGCCATTCTTCTGCCTCAAGCTTCCTGAGTAACTGGGACTACAGGCACGTGCCACCAGGTCCAATTAATTTTTGTGTTTTTAGTAGTGACGGGATTTCACCATGTTGGCCAGGATGGTCTCTAACTCCTGATCTCAGGTACTCCACCCGCCCTGGCCTCCCAAAGTGCTGGGATTGATTAGAGGTATGAGCCACCGCGCTCGGCCGGGAGTGGAGTGTTGTGAGCGTGGACAGTGAGGTCAGGAATCATCCCTTTAGGGACAGAATCACCTTGTGGTTGGCCTTTGGCATCCAGCTGCCCAGATTAGAATCCCAGCTGCAGCACTAACCAGGCAGATTGGGTAACAGACCCCATCTTCACCTTTGCCATCCATTAAATGGGCTTTTGTCAAAATGAAGGAAGACAACCGGTTTGGAGCACCTGGCCTGCAGCTCCTGTGACCTGTAGCAGGAGATCTAGAGAAGCTTAACAGAGGTCCACAACATGACAGAAAACAAAGAGACACAGAGAAAGATAAAGATGGGGACATTGGCCGGGCGTGGTGGCTCACACCTGTAATCCCAGCACTTTGGGAGGCCAACGTGGATGGATCACCTGAGGTCAGGATTTCGAGACCAGCCTGGCCAGCATGGTGAAACCCTGCCTCTACTAAAAATACAAAAATTTGTCGGGTATGGCCGGGCACAGTGGCTTATGCCTGTAATCCCAGCAAATTGGGAGGCCAAGGTGGGACGATCATCTGAGGTCGGAAGTTCAAGACCAGCCTGACCAACATGGAGAAACCCCGTCTCTACTGAAAATACAAAATCAGCCGGGGTGGTGCGCATGCCTGTAATCCCAGCTACTCAGGAGGCTGAGGCAGGAGAATCGCTTGAACCCGGGAGGCGGAGGTTGCGGTGAGCCGAGATCGCGCCATTGCACTGCAGCCTGGGCAACAAGAGTGAAACACTGTCTCAAAAAAAAAAAAAAAAAAAAATTTAGTCGGGCATGCTTGCCGGTGCCTGTCATCCCAGCTACTTGGGAGGCTGAGGCAGAAGAATTGCTTGAGTCTGGGAGATGGAAGTTGCAGTGAGCCAAGATCACGCCACTGCACTCCAGCCTGAGCGGCAGAGTGAGACTCCGTCTTGAAAAAAAAAAAAAAAGATGGGGACATCAAAACCTGGAAAGCTTTAGAATCGTTGCTAGGGCCTGCCAGAGCTCAGGGGAGGGGAGGAACCGAATACATAATTTCTGGCACTAACAGTACCTAGGGAGATGCCAGCCTTTTTGCTGTTGTGTGTTGATCTTTGGGACACTGGTGGCTGTAAACCTTCCAAAAATGGTCTGCCAGTTGTCTTGAGCATTTGGGGGGCAAGCGGTAACTTTAATCACCTTCTCAAAGTGCATCTTGGTCCTACTAGAAGCAGGGTGCCCCAGCCAAGAAGTTGGCCCCATCGGGCAGTGCAGGAAAGACTCTGATCCTCTGCAGGGGGCATGTGGATGGTGAGATCTGGGAAGAGAGATGTTGGCACAGGACTCCTTCCTGTTGGGGGCTCAGTACCCGCAGCTGGGGCTTAGGTGGAAGTGTCAGAGCTTGTTTGGAAACTGATCAAAACATTGCCCACCCTCTTGCCCCACCACTCCCCATCCAGCAGGGGTGGACCCCTGGTGTGCAGAGTTCCTAGCAGGGAAGAGAGCCAACATGTGACAGTACATCCGAGCTGTACTTTTTCCCAGGGCAGAAGGTTGAGAACAGGCCAAAGATTCTGTGATAATAGAACCCGGAAAGGGATATTTAGCTAATCAGTTTTTTTTTTTTTTTTTTTTTTTTTGAGACAGAGTGTCGCTCTTGTTGCCCAGGCTGGAGTGCAACGGCACGATCTCAGCTCACTGCAACCTCTGCCTCCCGAGTTCAAGCGATTCTCATGCCTCACCCTCCCAAGTAGCTGGGATTACAGGCGCCCGCCACCACACCCGGCTAATTTTTGTAGTTTTAGTAGAGAGGGGGGTTTCACCATGTTGGCAAGGCTGCTCTCGAATTCCTGACCTTAGGTGATTCGCCCGCCTTGCCCTACCAAAGTGCTGGGATTACAGGCGTGAGCCACTGCGCCCAGCCTGCTAATCCGTGTTCTAATCCGGGATACAGAGGGACATTCATGGTTCTGGGGCAGAATGGAGACATGTCAGCCACAGTCATTGATGGTGAGCACTTAGTATGCGCCGGGCTCATTCCTCCTCTGCAATCGTCTCCTTTAGTCTCGTGCTCACCCTGTGAAGTAGCTTTGTACTTACCCCCATTTTACAGATGAGACTGAGGTGGCAGAGCTGGATTTGAATTCAGGCATCCCGGTCACGCAAAGGCCATGCTCCACCCTAGGACTAGGAAGCAGGTTCCAGGGTGGGTGCGAGTAGAGCATTCAGGGATCAGGGGCCTGGGTATAGGGAGCAGATGTTTGACTGCTGATAGGTTTCAGGTGGAGCCTCAAGTTCAGGGCATCGGGACATCTCGGTTGAGGTGTTTTGTTTTGTTTTTGTTTTTTTTGAGATGGACTCTCGCTCTGTCGTCCAGGCTAGAGTGCAGTGGCGCAATCTCGGCTCACTGCAACTCCACCTCCTGGGTTCACACCATTCTTCTGCCTCAGTCTCCTGAGTAGCTGGGACTATAGGCGCCTGCCACCATGCCCAGCTAATTTTTTGTATTTTTAGTAGAGACGGGGTTTCACTGTGTTAGCCAGGATGGTCTCGATCTCCTGACCTTGTGATCCACCCGCCTCAGCCTCCCAAAGTGCTGGGATTACAAGCATGAGCCACCGCGCCCGGCCGGTTGAGGTTTTTAGCCTGGTGTGTTGGGTAGATTTGGGGCTTTAAAGATGGCCGGTCACACAGGCTTGGGAGGTGGGTGGACAGTGGTCTCCAGTTGGCTTCAGCCTTCCAGGGTAGCAAATAGTGGGCAGGACTGCTCCTCCCCCAACCAGAGCTTAGGTTGGATGTGGGAGAGTCCTAAGTGTCCCCAGGCTGGGCATGGTGGATCATGCCTGTAAATCCCAGAGCTTTGGGAGGCCGAGGCAGGAGGATTGCTTAAAGGGAGGAGTTCAAGACCAGCCTGGGCCACATAGCGAGACCCCATCTCTACAACAAAATGAAAAATTAGCCAAGTGTGCACTCGTAGTCCCAGCTACTTGGGAGGCTGAGGCAGGAGGATTGCTTGAGCCCAGGAGGTTGAGGCTACAGAGTTGTGATCACGCGACTGCACTCCAGCCTGGGCAACACAGTGACACCCTGTCTCAAATAAATAAATAAAATGTAAAAAACGAAGTGTTCCTAGGACACAGATGGGCTTTGGGTATCCAGACTGAAGTGTGTCATCCATTTACCCACTGTGGCCTTAAGACACCCAACACTTCTGCTTCTCCCAGGACAGAATAGGGGGTTGGATGGGGGATGTCCACACTGACCCCAAATTGGATTAAGTGTTTAGATTCAGATTTCAGTGCTACTGGGAACTTTCTGAAAATGAGGACTTGCCAGACGGCTGCTTGGACACCATTCCACCCACCTGTCCCTTCTCGATATACATTGAAGGTGAGAGTGGGACAGGCAGGGTTTGTAGCAGTTGCTCCCTGTCTCTATTTTTGTAGACAGAGTCTAGCTCTTGCCCAGGCTGGTCTCAAACTCCTGGCCTCAAGTGATCCACCCATTTCGGTCTCCCAAAGTACTGGGCTTACAAGCGTGAGCTACCACACCCAGCTGAGTTGCTGCCTGTCTCCAATGTCCTAGAACGTTCTATTGGAATGTTCTAGAAAGCACTATCCAATAGCCCACTCAGCAATGATAGGAATGTTGTCTATCTGCCCTATCTATTAAGATAGCCACTAGAGGCTGGGTGCGGTGGCTCACGCCTGTAATCCCAGCCCTTTGGGAGGCCGAGGTGGGCAGATCACTTGAGGCCAGGAGTTCCAGACCAGTCTGGCCAACGTGGCGAAACCCCGTCTCTACCAAAAATACAAAAATTAGCCGGGCATGGTGGCATGCGCCTGTAGTCCCAGGTACTCAGGAGGTTGAGGCAGGAGAATCACTTGAGCCCAGGAAACAGAGGTTGCAGCAACTGGAGATCCTGCCACTGCACTCCAGCCTGGGTGACAGAGCGAGACTCTTGTCTAAAAAAAAAAAAAGTCACTAGCCACATGTGACAACTGAGGTCTTGAAATGTTGATTTGACTGAGGAACTAAGTTTTATTAAAATATTTTTTATTTTGTTGTTGTTGTTGTATTTGAGACGGAGTCTCGCTCTGTTGCACAGGCTAGAGTGCAATGGCACAATCTCGGCTCTCTGCAAACTCCACCTCCCGGGTTCAAGCTATTCTCATGTCTCAGCCTCCTGAGAAGCTGGGATTACAGGCGCCCACCAATGCGCCCGGCTAATTTTCGTATTTTTAATAGAGACAGGGTTTCACCATGTTGGTCAGGTTGGTCTTGAACTCCCGACCTCAGGTGATCCATCCGCGTGGGCCTCCCAAAGTGCTGGGATTACAGGCGTGAGCCATCGCGCCTGGCCTTTATTTTTATTTTTTTTATTTTTTATTTATTTATTTTTTGAGACAGTCTTGCTGTCGCCCAGGCTGGAGTACAGTGGCATCACCTTGGCTCACTGCAATTTCTGTCTCCCAGGCTCAAGCGATCCTCCTACCTCAGCCTCCTGAGTAGCTGGGACTACAGGCATGTGCCACCACACCCAGCTAATTTTTGTATTTTTGGTAGAGATGGGGGCGGGGGGGGGTCTCACTTTATTGCCCAGGCTGGTCTCGAACTCCTGAGATTAAGCGATCTGCCCACCTCAGCCTCCCAAAATGCTGGGATTACAGGCATAACCCACTGCATCCAGCCAAATTTTATTTAATTTTAATTTAAATAGCCACATGTAGCTTCTGCCTACCATATTGAAGAGCGCATTCTATAACTTTCTAGGAAAAAAAATTCCTTCATCAGATGTTCAAAGTTTATCCCAAGAAAATACCCATAAGGTCAAGAGATTGAGACCATCCTGGCTAACATGGTAAAACCCCGCCTCTACTAAAAATACAAAAAATAAATTAGCTGGGGGCGTGGTGGCATGCGCCTGTAGTCCCAGCTACTCGGGAGGCTGAGGCAGGAGAATGGCATGAACCCAAGAGGCGGAGGTTGCAGTGAGCTGAGATCACACCACTGCACTCTAGCCTGGCTACAGAGTGAGACTCCATCTCAGAAAAACACACACACACACACACACACAAACAGAAAAGGGTAGAATCGCCCTGTTGAAGGGAAAGTGGGGGGTCTAGGCACTTGGTTATGCTTTATAAACTTCTTCTGCTCCTCCCCAAGCAATAGGTTCTAGATGCGAGGGTTCTAGGTGGAGGGAGGCCTTAGAACATGTGTGCCCTGAATTCGTTCACCTTCCCAGAGTTCATTCCCCCACCCTTTTTTTTTAAGAGATGGGGGTCTCGCTATGCTGCCCAGGCTGGTCAAAAACTCCTGGACTCAAGCGGTCCTCCCGCATTGGCCTCCCAAAATGCTGCGATTACAGGAGTGAGCCACAGTGCCCGACCCTCATTACCTTTTTAGAAAGCACCTCCTGACGTTGGCAGTGACATTTATTTTTCTGGGGGAGGGGAGTTATATACAGCAGTGACCCGGAGCCCCTCACCCCCACCAGGCTTAGGTGGGGACAGGAGGCGTTGGCAGAAGGCACACAGTGGCAGTAGCCCAGAAGAGGCCAGGAAGTAAGGGTGGGTATGTGATGTGTCCTGGGAGACCCAGATGAGGAAATTGAGGCTCAGTGAGGGCCTCAGGTCACACAGCAAGGTGCGAAGGCAGCTAGTCCCGAGAGCTTGTGGTGGTTGCTTCTCTCTTGCCTGGGCTACAGGAGGACGCAGGGGCAGCCCCCGCCCTTCTTCCTGGGGGCACTGGGAGGGCTCGGTGGGAGCTCTTGTTCCTGGTATTTCCTGTGGGAAAACGCCAGTGAGTTTGGAGTGGAAGGGCTGGGGACAAGGACGACAGGAAGGGGACTTGGCTCACCGGACAGCCCGCACCAGCTGCTCAAAAGCCTCGTCCACGTTGAGACGCAGTTTGGCCGAGGCCTCAAAGTAGGCCACGTGGTGGGAGGCGCCGAAGGCAGAGGCTTCTGATCGGGGGACCTGGGGGTAGGGGGGACACGGGGGAGTCAGGTCCCTGCACTCAGGGTGACCGCAGCCAGAGAGACAGACAGGCAGGCTGGATACTCTAGGAGAGGTGACCCACTGTGAGAACTCAAAGAGGAAGAGCTCCTGAGAGATTATGGAGGGAGATGCCGCAGGGGCTTGGTGTCTTCTAAGTAAGGGATGGGGGCAGGCTTCGTGGGCACTTGCCCTGCTATGCCTTAGATAACCAGGAGTGGGCAGGCAGGGAAGTCAGGGTGTTCCCGGCAGAGGCAGGCGGAACCCCAAAGCCTGGAAATCCCCAGAGCCTTTGCCAGATGGATGAGTTCTGTGTGGAAATCGTTGTGGGGGAAGTGATGGGAGCAGGGAAAGGAGGGGCGCAACTGTGCGGGGCATCTGGCACCTGGGGAGGAACTGGGGAGCCATGGAGGGGGCCGGCCATGAGCAGGGGAGGTGCTGGGGCTGGTGGGAGGTTGGCTGGAAGGGAGGAATGCGAGGAAGGGGCAAAGAGAGCTGGCGGACGGGGGGTGAATGTCCTTTGTTCCGTCCAGCAGCCTCTCCTGAGGACACTTGCATGCTAGGCCCTCTGCTCGGTGATGCCGGGGACCCTGAAGGTCCAGTTTGGGGGTAACCCATCTAGGTGAGCTGTGTGACAGTGGCAGTCGCAGCACTGCAGGAACAGAGGAGGATGCTGATGGGGGACAGGTGTGCTGGAAGGAGCCTCCCAGACTGAGATGGGGTCCCCAGAAAGAGGGGTGTCCCGAACCTGGCGCTGTGACTCCAGATCTGCCTTGTTCCCGACCAACACAACGGGGAAGTCGTCGCGGTCCTTGACCCGCAGAATCTGCGTGAAGAGCTTGCCCACCTCGTTGAAACTGCGAGTGAAGCCGGAGGCATGAGGTCCAGCCAGCTGCAGAGCCCAGGTCCTCCCCACACCCACCCACTGCTCCGCCACCAGCAACCCCTGTCACCTCTGCCGGTCGTTAATGGCGAACACCAGCAGGAAGCCGTGGCCAGCACGCATGTACTGCTCTCTCATGGCCCCGAACTCTTCCTGGCCCGCGGTGTCCAGGACTGCAGAGACAGGGAGAGGGGCCATCGTGGGGACCAGGCTCCCCGCAGTCACCCCCAAGAGCCCTCAGCCCCCACTGACACCACCCCCATCCATCATCCATCCTTGCCGCCCTCACTGTCCAGCCGGGCTGGGATGCCATCCACACTGCAGATCTTCGTGTAGGAGTCCTCAATAGTGGGGTCGTAGTCAGACACGAAGTAGGACTGGCGGGGTGGGGAGAGGATAGTTACTGCAGTGCCCCGGCAGACAGGACGAAGCCCTGCCCTTGGGATGCCTCTCTCAGTCTCTGTCCCTCTCTCTCTAAATGTCTGTCCCTGTTGCTGGGTCTCTGCCCCCTTTTCTCTGGGTCTCTGTCCCGTCTGTCTCTCTGAGTCTTTTTTTTTTTTTTTTTTTTTTGAGACGGAGTTTCGCTCTTGTTGCACAGGCTGGAGTGCAATGGCGAGATCTCGGCTCACTGCAACCTCCGCCTCCTGGGTTCAAGAGATTCTCCTGCCTCAGCCTCCCAAGTAGCTGGGATTACAGGCATGCGCCACCACACCTGGCTAATTTTGTATTTTTAGTAGAGATGTGTTGGTCAGGCTGTGTTGGTCAGGCTGGTCTCGAACTCCTGACCTCAGGTGATCCGCCCGCCTGGGTCTCCCAAAGTGCTGGGATTACAGATGTGAGCCACTGCGCCCTGCCCTGTCCTTCTCTCTCTCTCCAGATGTCTGTCCTTGTTGCTGGGTCTCTGCCCCCTTTTCTCTGGGTCTCTGTCCCCTCTGTCTCTCTGAGTCTCTATTACTCTCTCTCTCTGGGTCTCTGTCCCCTTCTCTTTGGGTAGCTGCTCCCCTGCCCCCCTTTCCCTGCCCCCCACCCCTCCTACCAGTCTTCTTCTCTCTGAGTCACTCCTGGTCCTCTCTTTCTGGTATAAGGTACATGTCCCACATCGTGATTACATCCTAGCTGTGTGACACTGAACAAATCACTTCCCCTCTCTGAGCCTCAGTTTCCTCATTTGAAAAAGGAGGCTAAGAACAGCACTACACTCCATCCAGCACTGGCAAGATTCGGAGCAAAACCCCATTAAATATTGAATGTATCAGTTATCGGAGGCGTTGTTGTCCAGACTGCCTGTTTATATCTCTCCCTCCTCTTCTGCTTCCTCCCTCTCTTCCTCCTCCCCCGTCTCCTCCTCCCCCGTCTCCTTCTCCTGCTCAGGCGGCCTCCAGCGTCTCCTCCCAGGGGAAGGTCCCGGTTCCAATCCGGCTGCGGAGAGGCTGCCCCACCCTCGGGCCCCAGCCCCTCCCTTCCTGCCTGGGTCCTGCCCGCTGCCAGCCAAGCCTTTGGCCAGCTCTGGGACTGCCTCTGGGTGCAAGGGGCCCAGGGCTGGGGCCTTTCTCTACACAAGCAGGGCTTCCTCCCAGGCCCTTGAAGGGGTCTCTTGGTGGGGGTGAGGGGGGTGTCCTGGGGCCCCGGGGCCTCTGCGGTAGCATGTCAGGCCAAGACACTTTTCTAGGATTTCTTTGAAGCTGGGAGGACCTCCCTCAGGAATGGGGAGGAGGTTTCCTGGGCTGGGGTGGAATTTCAGGAAAGGGGGTGATGTGGAGGCTAGGGGTCTGAAGGCTGCATCTGTCGGTTAGAGGGGTGCTTGGTGAGGGGCTTGTCCTGGAGGGAGGCTGTAAGGATCAAGCCCTGGGAGGGATTGTGGCTCTGGGGGTAGTTAGGGGCGTGACCTCAGAGCACAGCGTGAGAAGCTCAGGGCTGAGAACTGGGAGCCAGCCCGGAGGTGGCTCAGGGGTTTTGGGAGGTTATAGTATATACAGTCTTAGAAACATTGAGTTCATTTATGGGGTCAGAGAAACTCCCAAGGAATAGATCTTTCTGGGGGTGCCAAGAATCTGGGGGCTTCTTCCATGGAGATGATTTGAGAGCTATTCAGGGTTTCTGAGAGGGGCTCAGGGAGTTGCAGCGGAGAAAGCATGGGATGGAGGAGGGGCTGGTTTTCCTTGGGGGTGGGGTGGGAGAGTGGAGGTTTGGGCCTCCGGGAATGGGGGATTGTCAGGACTTGGGGTCTTGGAGATTTCTGGAATGGCCAAGGGGCAGGATGTCTTTTTAAATCTCGGGTCGGAGAGCAGGACTCTCTTAGGACTGGGTAGTCCCAGAAGAGTCTCAGGGCCAGGGTCTGGGTAGAATTTCTAGATTCTGGGGGCAGTCATGGAAGGGGCTAAGAATCAAACGTGGGGCCGGGCACGGTGGCTCATGCCTGTAATCCCAGCACTTTGGGAGTCCAAGGCAGGCCGATCACGAGGTCAGGAGTTCGAGACCAGTCCAATATGGTGAAACCCCGTCTCTACTAAAAAATACAAAAATTAGCCAGGCATGGTGGCACTCGCCTGTAGTCTCAGCTACTTGGGAGGCTGAGGCAGGAGAATTGCTTGAATCCAGGAGGCAGAGGTTGCAGTGAGCCAACATCGCACCACTGCACTCCACCGCACTCCAGCCTGGGTGACAGAGTGAGTGAGACTCTGTCTCAAAAAAAAAAAAAAAGAAAAAAAAGAATCGAACGTGGTGGAATCTCAAAGGTGCTGGGCACTGGCATTCTCCCAGGAAGGCTCTCAATGGCTTAGAGGGGAAGTTGGGGACTGGGATTTGGGGGAGATAGGGCTCAGGGTGGTGGAAGGTGGCACCAAGGGCGTGGTGGGGGTCCTGGGAGTGCTTAGGGTCCGAATGGGGTGAGTATTTTGTATTTAGCATGCTCCCAGGAGGTGCTCAAAGCCAGGTCAGCAGGTAAGCGGGGTCTTAGGCACTGGGAGAGGGAATAGTGGGTCTCGGGATGCGAGTGCAGAAGGAAGGGTCCCCCGTGCAGGGGATGGAGGCTCTCCAAGAGTTTAGGTTACAATCTGTGGGGATCTTTTAAGATTAGAGGGCCTTATAGGAGGGTCTCAGTGATGGGTCAAGGGGGAAAAGGGGTCTCGGGGATCCCCCCAAGGGCTCAGTTCTGGGTCCCGGGGGACACCCTCCCGGGTGAGGGCCCACTACCTGGATGAACTGGATGGTCAGCGCGCTCTTGCCCACGCCGCCGCCGCCCACGACCACCAGCTTGTGTGTCTCGCTGGGCGGGGGGTCCCCGGGCCCAGGTCCCCCGCCCCGGGGCCGCCCCCGCCCTGTCCCGGACGCCGCCCCGCTGCTCATGTCGCCACCGCTGCTGCTGCCTTCGCTACCGCCTGCGGGGGAGCCGGGCGGGACCCGGGGGGGCGGGCTACGCTAATGAGGCTACTGCATAATCATGAGCTCTGGCAAGGAGGGCTCGCGTCTCCGGACACTTAAGGAGGGGGACGGGCCAAAGAAAGGGAGGAGCTATGTTAATAAGGGAAAGGGAACGGCGTTCGCTGCGAAGGGGAATTCCGAATGAGGCGGGGCTATGCTAATGAGAGACCTGTGCTTTGCCCTGAGCGGCGCCACGCGCTCTCAGCGGGAGGGCGGTCTGTGGGCGTGGCTATGCTAATAAGAATTTATTCTTTCAGCAGACGGGGCGGAAAGTTCCTCAGGGGAGGGGCTATGCAAATAAGGACCCCTGTGACACTGCTGCTTGGGGCATCGTCTCCGAGGCCTTAGTATGGTAGGCGGAGCTCGTCGACTCGCGCGCGCGGCCGTATATAGGGCGCTCCGAGGAAGCAGCAGGTTTTGAGGAGTAGCTCCACCTCCCTCCTGGGATCCTAGCCAAGCTTTCGACCCCGGCGTCTGGGTTAGAAGCTAGAGTCTCCGCCCGCTAAGGGACCCAGGCTTCCGGTTCCCGCTGTCCCAGCCAAGCGGAAGACAGACTGGGAGGAGAGTGGGGCCCTAGAGGGGGACAGCAGGGTAACGGGGCAGGGAGGGGCCGTGAGATCACTGCATTCCTAATCCATGAGCCAGCTCGCCCAAGTAGGGATGCCTGGGTCATGAAGAGCCTGGGGCCAGGATTTCTGGGTCTTGAAGGAGAAGGAAGCAGAGGGCCCAGACTCCTGGGTCCTTAGGAGAAAATGGGGCTGGAGATGTGGACTCCTGGGTCCTGGGGAGGAGGGTGTCAGGGAGGAAGGTAGACAGGTTCCTTCGTACTAGGTTCGGTAAAGGAGGGAGCCGGGGGCCTGGACTCTTAGGTCCAGGAATTGGAGAGGCTGGGGACCCAGGATTCTGGATCCGAGCGAGGGCACTGGCTTGGGGGGACCCGAATTCGTATGTGAGAGCTTGAGACCAGGACTAGTCTGGGAGACCGACTCTTGGATCCGAGGAAGGAAGAATCAGACTCCTGAGTCGGAGGGAGGAGGGAAATAGGAGTCTGGACACTGCTCTGAGTGAGAGGATTCGGAATTCAGACTTCTCTGTACTGAACGAGGCGGCTATGGGGTCGGGCTTCTAGGTTCTAAGTTTATTTTTATTTGTTTATTTTTGAGACGGAGTTTCCGTCTTGTAGCCCATGCTGGAGTGCAATGGCGCGATCTTGGCCCACTGCAACCTCCGCTTCCCGGGTTCAAGCGATTCTCCTACCTCAGCCTCCCGAGTAGCTGGGATTACAGGCGTTAGCCACCACGCCAGGCTAATTTTTGTATTTTTAGTAGAGACTGGGTTTCACCATGTTGGTCAGGCTGGTCTTGAACTCCTGATATCAGATGATCCGCCTGCTTCGGCCTCCCAAAGTGCTGGGATTACAGACGTGAGCCACCGCGCCTGGCCTATTTTTATTTTTTTAGAGGCGGGGTCTCCCTATATTGCCTAGGCTGGCTTCTAACTTCTAGGCTCAAGCCATCCTTCCGCCTCAGTCTCCCGAGTGGGACTACGGTGTGCGCCACTGCATCCCGTCTGGTTCTAAATTTAGGGGGGCCTAGAGGATCTGGATTCTGAGAGCCCCAGAATGTGGGCAGCACAACATCCAGCAAGTCGTGCTCACTCCGCCGGACTACAATTCCCTTGCGTCTGTTCTGCCTGGCGCCTCTTACGTCACCTCCTGTTCCGCCACCCTTTCCGCGCGCGCGCAGGGCACTGTGGGGCGTCATCGCGGGCTACCGCGGCCCCGCCCACTTCACCTCTCACCCCATTAGCTGTCCCCGCGCGACAGAGGCGGTGCGCGGACTACGCCTCCCGGCGTGCATCGCGCGGACCCCGCCCCATGTGTCCCATTGGCTTCTGGGAAACCGAGTGCGGTTGCCTTCCCGCCGGCCTTCACGTCGCCGTGCTCGGTACTTGAAATCCCGGCAAGCTCGGCGGCGCTTTAGCTCCGCCTCTCTCCTCCTTTGCTCACGAACCCCGCCCCAGCCCGCCCCGCCCCGCGCCGGGGCCGGAGCCGCAGCCCGAGCGGCGGGGTAAGATGGCGGCGGCAGTCCGGGCCGCGGGGCTCGGGCCTATTGGGGTGGGCGGGGCGGAGTTGGGTCGCTAGTTGTCCCGGGGTCCTCCCCACAAGCCACGGGTCCTAGAGGGCTTCTCGGGGCGGTCTCGGGCCCGGCAGCTGCGGCGAAACCTGGCGCCGAGAGGGGGGCCTTCTCAGGGCCCCGGGACGCATCCGTGGGTTCCTGGGGGCGTCTATGGGGCGTCTCCGAGAGGACTTGGGGCGTCTCTGGGCCTAGACCGAGCCTAAGGCCTGCCCTCCATCACACAGCTGGCCTGGATCGTGTCTGTAGACACTGTAGATTGTCTTTTTGGGCTGACCGGAGGCTAGGGTCTGGTTAGAGGGTTCTGGGGCCATCTTGAGATCTTGAGATATGTCCCAGGGGTGAAGGAGGGTCTGCAAGACCTGAAGAGTATCTTCAGAGCCATCTAGAGGCCTGGGGTATGTCTTTTAGGGCTGGAAAGTGTCTGCATGGGCTGGCCTGAGGATGCAACTGGTCTGCATAAGTCTGGGGCCATTTATCAGGCCTAGAAGGAGTGTTCAAGGGCTAAGAAGTCATTTAGGGCCCCCTAGGGGGTTGGGTTATGCCCACCAGGGAAGGGCGCCAAATATTGAGATGTACTGAGGGTCTGGGGTCTCCAAGGTATGGGTAGTGTCTAATAATGGGTGACAGGAGGCTGGGGGCAGTTAGAAGGACCTGGAACCATCTAGATGGCTTTAATGTGACTGCAGGAATGCAGTTTTGATGCCTGGAGCAAATTCGAATGCCTTTGGGGTCAGAGCAGCTTGTGGCGAATAATAATACGGAAAGAGAATGAGGAAATTTTGCCCAGCTTAGATATACTTGCCCTTCAGACAGTAATTCAAATGAAAAATGTTTTAAGATTCTGCATTACCCTGGGGGTTATTGAGAGAGTTAGAATTAATCTACATTAGTCTGGAAGAGTCTGGAGGGTCATCTAGACCCACTATTACAGTGCTTTTCAAGGGGAAACCTGGGCCATGTTGACCGTGATCTGCATTAAGATACATTTTTTCATTGAGACCTGGTACAGACAGTCATAATGTATTTAACATTATATAACATAATGTATTAACATTAACTCACCTTCCACGAATTGACATTTCCACTTACTACTTGTGCTGTGCTGTGAAGAACTATTTTGTTCTATTTACTTTTTAAAACAAGCTATTTGTGAAGCACTAAACTGGTATATGACCCTGTTGTTGGGGAAACCACTGATCCAGATAGGACCTAGCAGTATCTGCAGAGCATTCTTCTGTTCAGAAGATCTCAGTAGCTGAGGGTGTGTCTGCGAAGCCTGGTGCTTTCTAAATGAGCAAGCAAGCATCTTTGTATACTGCAGAGGGTTTGGGGATCCCTCAGCCTGTAGTCAGCAGATGTTGATTAAGCTTCTGATATGTGACAGTCACTGTTGTAGGTAGCATGTGCTTCCCCGGGAGGTGCTGGAGAGCAGTTCCAGGGCCAGGAACTGGGGCTGAGCTTATTGAGTATTGGTGAAAGAGGCTGGGATGTAATAGACTATCAGGGTTGGGTGTGTCTTAGGAAGTTAGGAATTAGGTGGAGCTGGGAGGCTGAATATGGAGGCTTGGCATGGTTTGAAAATCTATATGGGATCTAGAACAGGACCAGGGCCTTGTCTTTGCAGGCATGCTGTGGGGGAAGCGAGGAGACAGATGTAGGGGAAACCTGGGCGTTAAGGGCTAATAGTGTCATTCCTCTTCATCCGTATTGAGCACTTGAGGTGCTCTAAATGTGTGGCAGAAGTCAGGCTTTGAGTATTCACAGCCATTCTCTGAGATAGATGCTCCTATTTCGTGCATTTACAATTAAGCATACTGAGTTGTGGGTTAGGGATTTTGAAGCTTTCTAGGAATTTTGAGATTGGATATTGTCTTATGAGTAGCAGATTTGACAGTCATGGGGAAGCTTACAGCTGAAATATTCATATTTTTCTGAAGCCCTAATCAAGACATCCACCTGTTTGATGGATGATCTTTCAACTGCCTGACTGGGGAATCATATCAAAGAATTTCCATGACATTGCAAAGGCTTTGTGCAGATGGCGATAGGTAAATGCCTCCTGTGAAGTTTTCCTTCGGCATGTCTTTCTGAAGTTTAGCGTTTTCATTTTAAAAATGGCATACTGGTTTTGCAGATCACTCAATGAAGTTTCCAACTTAGGTGTATAAATACAATTTGGGGGTGGTCCTCACCATCGAGGACAGTTGATGCTCTAGGAAGCCGTGTGGTGTTTAAGGCATGGTGTTGAATATTGCCCAGCACATTGGCCTTGGGAAAGGTGGGTTTATAGGACTGTGGAACACACCCTTTGAAATCACAGTGCAGCACACACAAAAAACCTTGGTGTTGGCTTTGCCTCTTAGGAGGCCAGGGAATGAGGTCTTGAAGTTTGGATAGGTTGTTGGGGAAGCTGCGGGAATTGAGGAGTGAGATGTTAAAAGCGGAGGCCAGGGAGGCCTCCCTTTGACATAAGAGGCACCTGAGACCCAGAAAAAAGGAAGAGAATTGCTCCTAGTCCCTGGGGTGTCTGTGCTGGGTCCAGCGCCCACCCAAGCACAGGGTGGAGTGGGAGGAGGTGGAGGAGAGGAGGGGTGCCAGAGGGGATGCTGAGGGAGATAGTGTGGGGCCCTTGAGGTCTTCATGTCTATCCTCTACTTCCATCCTTTCTCCCGGGACCTCCACTCCAAACTCTCCCCCCTGGACCCCCAGGTGACCATGGAGGAAGAAGATGAGTCTCGAGGGAAGACAGAGGAGTCGGGGGAGGATCGGGGCGATGGTCCGCCAGACAGAGACCCCACGCTTTCTCCTTCTGCCTTTATCCTGGTGAGGCTGCTGGGCTCCTGGCACTGAGGGATGGAGGAGCTGGGCATCCACACTCCAGGGGCCTGACTCCAGGGCCTGAGGCAGGGGCGCTGGACTCTTGGCTCCCTTGAAGCACTTGAGTCTAGCTGTCAGTGTCTGGGATGTCTGTCTCCCAAGGGGCAGAGGTTGCAAAGCATCTGCCTGGGTCCTCTGACGCTTGGTTCTTCCCCCCTTCCCCAGCGAGCCATCCAGCAGGCTGTGGGAAGCTCCCTGCAGGGGGACCTGCCCAATGATAAAGGTATGGCGGCTTCCGGTTCCTTTTAGCCCCTGCCCCCTCTCTGCATTCTTTATCCTAATGTCATTCATACAAGCTTTTCTGAAGCCTCCTGGGTGCCACCCTTGTGCTGGCATGGGGAGCCAAAAATGGGCAGACACCCTGTAGCTGCCTTGGAAGGGCCTAGTGTGCAGTGGAAGGGAGACAGGCACAGTGCTGGGAGAGGGCAGGAGGCCCACTTGAGCTAGCATGGTGGGAGACGGGTCAGGGCACCTTCCCCGAGCAGGGACAGTGAACGGCTCTCTAAGGACCTAGAAGAGTCTAAGGACCTAGGATTAGAGGGAAGCCTGATCAGCTGCAGCAGGCCTACAGCACGGGTGCAGCGGCGAGGGGCTGCGCTGGGCTTCCTTGGGGCTGGCATGCAGGAGGGTGTGAGTGGGGTTGGGGGAGGCAGGAGAGGTCTGTGGGGACTGGATCCCAGCAAGGCCTGAATGCCAGGTTGAGGTGTCTGAGGGCAGACAGGAGGACGAATGGCTGAGCGTCGCAGCCTCTGAAGTGGGTGCTGGGAAGTCCTCCTGGGAGGTGGCGCATGGAGGCCTGGAGAGCATGCGGGAGGCTGGTTCCGCTGTCAGGAACTAGATCAAGCTCCTCTTTCCTCTACCCCGCAAGTCTCTGCAGCAAGTCCCCTGTGTCCAATCCCCCATGCAAATCTCTCACCAGATGGCTCTCGGTGTCATGGCCTTCGATGGCGGCGCTGCCGGAGTCCACGGTCAGAGCCCCGTTCCCAGGAATCAGGGGGCACTGACACGGCTACTGTGAGTAAGAAGAGGGGGCTGGGGGCCTGGCTCACGGGTATCAGGGAGGAAGGGATGGGGGCCTGAGTCTGGGGGAATGGGGTTTGGGGACCTGGACTCCTGGCTCTGCGATGCTGACCAGGGGCAATGTTGGAGAGTCTGGGGGCCTGATCTGTGGGCCTGAGCTTTGAGTGTTGATGGCAGTCAGGCTATAGGAATTAGATCCTCAGTTTTCTTGGGGATCTTAGATGTCTGGGTTCCTGAGAGGTTAGGGAGTGGGGAAGCAGGATTTGCCAGTCTTCATGTGACCAGGGACGGCGTAGAGCCTCTCTGGCCTCTTCCAGGTGTTGGACATGGCCACGGACAGCTTCCTCGCAGGGCTGGTGAGTGTCCTGGATCCCCCGGATACCTGGGTTCCCAGCCGCCTGGACCTGCGGCCTGGCGAGTGAGTAGCTGGGCAGCTGGAGTGGGAGAGGCCTCAGCGTGAGAGCCAGAAGCACCCCTGAGGCTCACCCACCCCTTCCGCCTTGCAGAAGTGAGGACATGCTGGAGCTGGTGGCTGAGGTCCGAATCGGGGACAGAGATCCCATCCCTCTGCCTGTGCCCAGCCTGCTGCCCCGTCTCAGGGCCTGGAGGACGGGCAAAACGGGTATGTGGGGCCAGGGCGGAGCTGGGCAGGTGGTCGTGGAGTTGTGTGGGGATCGGCTGTTTTTGGTAGTGATGGTAGCGGTGATCATGTTATTTAGACAAAACCTTTCCCTTCTCTTCGTATTAGACGTGATTAAGGCTGTAGGCGCATACAGATGTACATAAAGTAAAAACTGATGTGCTGGGGCTATGTGGGAGTGGTCAGCGTGTGTGACAACTGGTTTCGGCACGCTAAGTATTAGTGTCACTGCACTGGGCGTTCATCTCCCCAGGAGGGGGACTCTTCGAATCTCTATCTTCAGAGAAGCAGACAGCCTGAAAAAGGGCAGGCACTTGCCCAAGGGCGCACAGCCAGATGCTCCGTGGGGTGCCTGGGCCTTGAGCCCTGGTGTGTCTGAGTCTGAAGCCCAAGTTTTTGATGTCTGAGATGTGCGCTGCCCAAGGAGGAATCTCTTCCTCCAACCCCACACACAACGGTAACCCTGTGAGCCCTTTAGACCAAACGCGAACGCACATCTCAGTTGCAAGGAGGACTTGTTACTATGCACATCACTGGGCCCACTCCCAAGAGTTCTGATTCTGCAGGTCTGGGGTGGGACCTGGGAATTTTCATTTTAAACAATACATGCTGCTGAGCCCTGGACTCTGTTGAGAACCCTGGGTTTAGGCCTTCCTTCTACGTGAACATCTGTATTTGGAGGAGGGGTTGGAGGGAGAGGAGAAGAAGGTGCAGTCAGCTATGGGCACCAGCTGTGAGCCGTGAGCACCAGTTCTGTGGTAGAGCAGGCACACCACTCTGTGCCAGGTCATGTTTACCTTGTTTACCTTGTTTCGCTGTGTCGCCCAGGCTGGAGTGCAGTGGCATAATCTCAGCTCACTGCAACCTCCACTTCCCGAGTACAAGCGATTCTCCTGCCTCAGCCTCCTGAGTAGCTGGGACTACAAGGTGCATGCCACCACACCCAGCTAATTTTCGTAGTTTTAGTAGAGATGGGGTTTCACCATGCTGGCCAGGATGGCCTTGATCTCTTGACCTCAAGTGATCCGCCCGCCTCAGCCTCCCACAGTGCTGGGATTACAGGCGTGAGCCACTGTGCCCTGCTACCTTGTTTGTTTTTTTTGAGACAGGGTCTCACTGCGTCCCCCAGGCTAGAGTGCAGTGGCACAGTCACAGCTCACTGCAGCCTCAAATTCCCCGGTTCAAGTTATCCTGTTGTCTCAGTCTCTGGAGTAGCTGGGACTACAGGTGCATGCCACCATGCCTGGCTAGTTTTTTTTTTTCTTTTTTCTTTTTTTGAGATGGAGTCTTACTGTGTCACCTAGGCCGGAGTGCAGTAGTGGGGTCTAGTCTCTCTGCAACCTCCGTCTCCCGGGTTCAAGTGATTCTCTCCTGCCTCAGCCTCCTGAGTAGCAGGGATTATAGGTGCGCATGCCACCACATTGAGCTAATTTTTGTATTTTTAGTAGAGGTAGGGTTTCACTGTGTTGGCCAGGCTGGTCTCAAACTCCTGACCTGAAGTGATCCGCCTGCCTCAACCTCCCAAACTGCTGGGATTATGGGCGTGAGCCACCACGCCCAGCCTTTATTTTTTATTTTTTTAAAATTTTTAATAGAGATGAGGTCTTGATATGTTGCGCAGGCTGGTCTTAAACTCCAGAGCTCAAGCAATCCTCCTGCCTTGGCCTCTCAAACTGCTGAGATCACAGGCATGAGCCACCATGCCTGCCACACCCCCCCCCCTTTTTTTTTAACAGCTGGAAATGATTTATCCATTAAGTACAGTGATATGGTGCCTAGGACTTATGACATTCTTAGGGGCCCACAAAAGTGTTTCAATTTCTTTAAAATCAGAAGCTGTAGGGCTGGGCACGGTGGCTCACGCCTGTAATCCCAGCACTTTGGGAGGCCAATGTGAGCGGATCATGAGGTCAAGAGATTGAGACCATCCTGGCCAACATGGTGAAACCCTGTCTCCATTAAAAATACAAAAATTAGCTGGGCATGGTGGCACACGCCTCTAGTCCCAGCTACTCGGGAGGCTGAGGCAGGAGAATTGCTTGAACCAGGAGATGGAGGTTGCAGTGAGCTGAGATCGTGCCACTGCACTCCAGCCTGGGTAACAGAGTGAGACTCCCTCTCAAAAAAAAAAAAAAAAAAAATCAGAAGCTGCAGAGGATAAGTAAACAAATGGGTCAGGCAACGTTCCTCTAAAACTTGATTTAGGAAAACAGGTGGTATGCTGGATTTGACCCCTGGGCCTTAAGAGTGATAAGGGTGTATCCGGAAGCTAATAGTAGTTGTTTTCAGGGGGACTCTGAGGTTATGTTTTCTTTGCTTATTCCAGGTAGCTTTAAAAAGAAAAGAAAGTTCACCCATAATCCTGTCCCATACAGAAATTTATATAAAGCTGTGGATCTCGCGTGTTTGCAGAGCGCTCTAGTCTGTGGAGAGTATTTTGTGCTTAAGGTGCTGGGAATAGCAATGAGGCTAGGAAAAGCTGAGGCTCAGACTGTCCTCACCCAGCAGCAGGTGCAGCCTGGCTCTTTCTGCGCACTCATCTATTCCTCCGCTTATCCTGGGAAGTAAATGCTGTCATCATCACCCCTGTTTCATCTTCCCCTAAGCCCTTGGCAGCTGAGGGACCGTACACTCCACTCATTGATATTTTTTTTGTTTGTTTTTGAGATGAAGTTTTGGTCTTGTTGCCCAGGTTGGAGTGCAGTGGTACGATCTCGGCTCACTGCAACCTCTGCCTCCTGGTTTCGAGTGATTCTTCTGCCTCAGCCTCCCGAGTAGTTGGGATTACAGGCATGTGCCACCACACCCGGCTAATTTGGTATTTTTAGTAGAGATGGGCTTTCTCCATGTTGGTCAGGCTGGTCTCGAACTCCCAACCTCAGGTGATCCATCCACCTCGGCCTCCCAAAGTTCTGGGATTACAGGCATGAGCCACCCCACCCGGCCATAAAGGGTGTTGGATGAATGAACATACCCCCATTTTATAGATGAGGAAACTGAAGTAAGACACATTGATCCACTTGCCTGTGGTCATGTGGCTGGTGAGGGCCAGCCCCTGGATCAAGGGGTGGCTCTGGTGCTGCCCTCTTGACCCCTCTCCTTCCCTGGCACTGTCCTCACACCACTCTGCTGGCATCCTTGCCTGTGGTGTGGCCTCTGTCAGCCATCTCCATCGTGTGACTGTGGCATCATGACTGTAGTACTTAGCACAGTGCAGCGGGCTCTTTGGGGGCGAATGAGGTGACATACGAAGCACCATGCCTGGTTTGGAGGAAGAGGCAAACCTTTGTCATTGCCACTGTCACTGGTCAGTGGTGTCTTTGAGTCCTGAGCAGATGTAATTCCTTGGGTGGGGACTCAGCACAGAGTGAAGAGCTTGGGGTGAAGACCAGCCTTCCTGGGCTCCCCAGCTCTGCCATTTCCTGGCTCTGCACTGGAATCTCACCCTCTACCAAACGGGAGAAACTCCCACGAGAGGCAGCTGGCGCAGCAGGCCAGAGCTTGTTTTTGTCTTGGAGGGGGACTTAGGTTTGAATCCCAGCTCTCCCCCTGCAGCCTGTTTTCCTGTTTCTTCTCCCCCCAGGATGGAGTGTGGTGTTGTGGTCATAGCTCACTGCAGCCTCCACCTCCTCCTGGGATGGGTCGCCGGCACTGGTCAAGATAGTTCCTAGTTTCAAGGCCAGGGTACATTGCCCAGGGTCAGGCCAGTGCTGTCTCAGGATATGGGAGTGCAGGTTCGGGGCCGCACTGACTGAGTTTACACCCTGACTGCTGCCTTCTCTCTGTGTGCCCTTGGGGAGGATACTGCAGCCCTCTGCCTCAGTTTCCTCCTGTGACCTTTGGGTTAAGAACCATGGTGTGCAGTTGTTGGGAGCATCCTACGGCTGGCTCCTGTGAAGCACTTGGGGCTTCCTGGGCAGGACCTGGTGGCCCAGGGAGTGTCCACGGCTGGGCCAGCAAGCAGGCACCAGGAGGGAGGCAAAGGCCCTGACCGCCTCTCTCTCCCTGTTCCTTTGCAGTTTCTCCACAGTCGAACTCCTCTAGGCCCACCTGTGCCCGTCACCTCACCTTGGGCACGGGAGACGGGGGCCCTGCCCCACCCCCTGCCCCCTCCTCTGCATCCTCCTCCCCTTCCCCTTCTCCCTCATCTTCCTCCCCTTCCCCTCCCCCACCCCCACCGCCCCCTGCACCCCCAGCCCCACCTGCCCCCCGATTCGATATCTATGACCCCTTCCACCCCACCGACGAGGCCTACTCTCCACCGCCTGCTCCGGAGCAAAAGTACGACCCTTTTGAGCCCACCGGCTCCAACCCCAGCTCATCAGCGGGGACCCCCTCACCTGAGGAGGAAGAGGAGGAGGAAGAGGAAGAAGAAGAGGAAGAGGAAGACGAGGAGGAGGAGGAAGGCCTGTCCCAGAGCATCAGCCGCATCTCGGAGACCCTGGCGGGCATCTACGATGACAACAGCCTGAGCCAGGACTTCCCAGGTGACGAGAGCCCCCGCCCGGACGCGCAGCCCACACAGCCGACTCCCGCCCCTGGAACGCCGCCCCAGGTGGACTCCACCCGGGCTGATGGAGCCATGCGCCGGCGGGTCTTCGTGGTGGGGACCGAGGCAGAGGCTTGTCGGGAAGGCAAGGTCTCGGTGGAGGTGGTGACCGCTGGTGGAGCCGCCCTCCCGCCGCCCCTGCTGCCGCCCGGCGACTCGGAGATCGAGGAAGGGGAGATCGTCCAGCCGGAGGAGGAGCCCAGGCTGGCGCTGTCCCTCTTCCGCCCCGGCGGCCGGGCCGCCCGGCCTACACCGGCCGCCTCGGCCACCCCCACGGCCCAGCCCCTTCCTCAGCCTCCCGCTCCGCGGGCCCCCGAGGGGGACGACTTCTTGTCCCTGCATGCGGAGTCGGACGGCGAGGGCGCCCTGCAGGTGGACCTAGGGGAGCCGGCTCCCGCGCCGCCCGCCGCCGACTCGCGCTGGGGCGGCCTGGACCTGCGCCGCAAGATCCTGACCCAACGGCGGGAGCGCTACCGCCAGCGCTCGCCCTCCCCGGCGCCCGCGCCCGCCCCGGCCGCCGCTGCTGGTCCGCCCACGCGCAAGAAGTCCAGGCGGGAACGCAAGCGCAGCGGCGAGGCCAAGGAGGCCGCCTCGTCCTCGTCGGGCACCCAGCCAGCGCCGCCCGCCCCGGCCTCGCCCTGGGACTCCAAGAAGCACCGCTCGCGGGACCGCAAGCCCGGCTCCCACGCCTCGTCGTCCGCCCGCCGCCGCTCCCGCTCCCGCTCCCGCTCCCGCTCCACCCGCCGCCGCTCGCGCAGCACCGACCGCCGCCGCGGGGGCAGCCGCAGGTCGCGGTCCCGGGAGAAGCGGCGACGGCGGCGGCGCTCCGCCTCCCCGCCCCCGGCCACTTCCTCATCGTCGTCCTCGAGGCGCGAGCGGCACCGCGGGAAACACCGGGACGGTGGCGGCAGCAAGAAGAAGAAGAAGCGGTCGCGGTCCCGGGGTGAGAAGCGGTCTGGGGATGGCAGCGAGAAGGCCCCGGCGCCCGCCCCGCCGCCCTCTGGCTCCACCTCGTGTGGTGACCGCGACAGCCGCCGCCGGGGGGCCGTGCCACCCTCCATCCAGGACCTCACGGACCACGACCTCTTCGCCATCAAGCGGACCATCACGGTGGGCCGGCTTGACAAGTCCGACCCCCGAGGACCCTCTCCTGCTCCGGCCTCCTCACCTAAGCGGGAGGTCCTGTACGACTCCGAGGGACTGAGCGGCGAGGAGCGGGGCGGCAAGAGCAGCCAGAAGGATCGGCGCCGCTCGGGGGCCGCCTCCTCCTCCTCCTCTTCCCGGGAGAAGGGGTCTCGTCGGAAGGCGCTGGACGGGGGTGACCGGGATCGGGACAGGGACAGAGATAGGGACAGGGACAGGTCATCCAAGAAGGCCCGGCCCCCCAAGGAGTCGGCGCCTTCCTCAGGGCCCCCGCCAAAGCCACCAGTCAGCAGCGGCTCAGGCTCTTCATCCTCGTCGTCCTCCTGTTCTTCCCGGAAGGTGAAGCTGCAGTCCAAGGTGGCGGTGCTGATCCGCGAGGGTGTCAGCAGCACCACCCCGGCCAAGGATGCCGCGTCAGCCGGCCTGGGCTCCATTGGCGTCAAATTCAGCCGTGACCGCGAGAGTCGCTCCCCCTTCCTCAAACCTGACGAGCGGGCCCCCACTGAGATGGCCAAAGCAGCTCCGGGCAGCACCAAGCCCAAAAAGACCAAGGTCAAGGCCAAGGCAGGGGCCAAGAAAACCAAGGGGACCAAGGGAAAGACCAAGCCATCCAAGACCAGGAAAAAGGTCCGCAGTGGAGGTGGCAGCGGGGGCAGTGGTGGCCAGGTGTCGCTGAAGAAGTCCAAGGCGGATAGCTGCAGCCAGGCGGCAGGCACCAAGGGGGCGGAGGAGACTTCCTGGTCCGGGGAGGAGCGGGCAGCCAAGGTTCCTAGCACCCCGCCCCCCAAGGCAGCCCCACCACCCCCTGCCCTCACTCCGGACTCGCAGACCGTGGACAGCAGCTGCAAGACACCTGAGGTCTCCTTCCTGCCCGAGGAGGCCACTGAGGAGGCTGGGGTCCGAGGTGGGGCGGAGGAGGAGGAGGAGGAAGAAGAAGAGGAGGAGGAAGAGGAAGAGGAGGAGGAGCAGCAGCCTGCTACCACCACGGCCACCAGCACTGCTGCAGCCGCCCCAAGCACTGCCCCCAGCGCGGGGTCCACAGCCGGTGACTCGGGGGCGGAGGACGGGCCAGCTTCCCGTGTCTCCCAGCTGCCCACGTTGCCCCCGCCCATGCCCTGGAATCTGCCAGCTGGTGTGGACTGCACCACCAGCGGCGTCCTGGCCTGTGAGTGTCCCCTGGGGGAGGGTGGTGCTGGGGCAGGTGAGACAGGATGGGGACTGGAGGGTACAGACTTAGAGGCAGTGGGGTGCCCTGGCAGGGAGAGGTTTATAGGGACATAGACTGGGAGGGTGGGGGTGAGTAAAGGCCAGCCAGGCTCTAGGTGCCTGGGTGTACTGGGAGAGAGGGGCCGGTGAGAGCAGGTGGTGGCCAGCACAGACTGGAGTGGTGGGCTGGGTTCTGGGATTCCCCTAGACGGGGAGTAGGAGAGAGGGACCAGAAAGAATGGCTTGAGCAGGGCATCGTATTCCTTACGGATGGCGGTTGCCTCTACCAGACTGCAGAGGTGGGGAGAGAGGTTGGGACTGGCCACAGCGGGTCAGGAGGCAGAATCTCACTCCTGCCACTGTCTCATCACTGCATGACCCTGGCCAACCCCGCACCCACACACCTGGAGTCCCAAGAACATTCGTGGTATGGGCTGTTCTCTCATTGGCCAAGGCCCCCTTTTCCCAGTTCTGAGCGTGAGGCTTTGTGGCTGTTCTGGGGCCAAGGGCAGGAGATGACAGCAGGTGTCCAGGTGAGGTTCACCAGCTCCTGTCCTGTCACCTCTCCCATCTTCATGTTGTCACCTCTCTGCCTCCTGCAGTGACTGCACTTCTCTTCAAGATGGAAGAAGCCAACCTGGCGAGCCGAGCGAAGGCCCAGGAGCTGATCCAGGCCACCAACCAGGTGGGCTCCCCTGGGGGAGAGTCCCTGCCGCCCCTTCTTTTGTCCATTGCCTCGGGTTAGGAGAGGAACCGCGGGCCTGGCAGCTCTGGGGCAAGGTATCGGCCTGAAGAGGAGCCTGTTGCCTCAGCTGTGGGGAAGTCAGCGTGGGAACAGTGGGGTGCACGTCCCCTCTTCCCCTCCACCTCCCTTTACTCATCACCCCTCTGTCCTCGTCCCACAGATCCTCAGCCACAGAAAGCCACCCTCAAGTCTGGGGATGACCCCAGCTCCTGTGCCCACCTCTTTGGGTCTGCCCCCTGGCCCCTCCAGCTACCTGCTTCCTGGCAGCCTCCCTCTGGGGGGCTGCGGTTCGACCCCCCCCACCCCCACCGGGCTGGCTGCCACGTCTGACAAGAGAGAGGGCAGCAGCAGCTCTGAGGGCCGTGGGGACACAGATAAGGTGAGCTGGCCTGGGGAGAGGTGGGGCGGTGCTGACAGTTCTGTAGAGAATATGGACAGGAACTGAGACGCGGGGGCCCAAGGAGAAAGGGAGACTGAGGCAGGGAGACAGGGCCGTAGAGACCAAAGTCATGGAACCATAAGGAACTCCACTTTGCTGGAATGGGTGAGCAGGAAATGCGTTAGGCGTGTCCAAAGGAAAATCGCGTCTGTGCGTGTGTGGGGCTGTGTGCGTACACACCACATATACACACCCTGGAAGAGATGCCCCGCGCTGCAGCCCACCCCTTGATTATCTGTTGCTCGCGCTGTCTCCGTCTCTGTGAGTGGGGGAGGGTGGTTTCCGAATGAAAACTCAAGAACCTGTTTGTAGATGAAGCAGGGGAGAATGGGTGCCAGGCAGACAGTAATGTAGGTTCTTACTCAGCTGCTCTGGCCGGCTCCTACTCCTGGGCTCTGGAGCTGTTTCTCTCTTGGTCAGGTCTAGATGTGGGTTTTTGTTTTTGTTTTTCTTTGAGATGGAGTCTTGCTCTGTCACCTGGTCTGGAGTGCAATGGTGCCATCTCGGCTCACTGCAGCCTCCGCCTCCAGGGTTCAAGTGATTCTCCTACCTCAGCCTCCCGAGTAGCTGGGATGACAGGCACCCGCCACCACACCCAGCTAATTTTTGTATTTTTAGTAGAGACGGCATTTCACCACGTTGGCCAGGCTGGTCTTGACTCCTGACCTCAGGTGATCTGCCAGCCTCGGCCTCCCAAAGTGCAGGGATTACAGGTGTGAGCCACCGTGCCCGGCCTTGGTTGGTTGGTTTTTGAGACAGGGTCTCGCTTTGTCACCCAAGCTGGCATGCAGTGGCACAGTCACAGCTCACTGTAGCCTCAGCCTTGATCTCTCGGGCTCAAGGGATCCTCCTACGTCAGCATCCTGTGTAGCTAGGACTACAGGCACGCGCCACCATGCCCAGCTCATTTCTTAATTTTTTGTAGAGTTGGGGTCTCACTATGTTGCCCAGGCTGGTCTCAAATTCCTGAGCTCAAGTGATTCTCCCACCTCAGCCTCCCAAAGTGCTGGGATTATAGGCATGAGCCACTGCACCCAGCCTAGATGTGTTTTCTTACAGTCTAGTAGCCCATAGCCAGACGGTGACGTTGGCCACCCTTACACAGCTGTGTACCGTGCCAGATAAAGCTGTATAAACCCCATTAAACATCCTGTGTGAGCCGCAGAGGCGGGGCTGCAGTTTAGTCGGTCACTTGTCCGTAGCTTGTGCCTTGCGCTGCAGGACTCGGACGGTGAGGACCCCCTGGTCTACAGTGGCCCTTGCTCTGCCCTGGTCTGTGCTCTGCCCTTTGCCCCGCTTTGCCCATCCGAGATGGGTGTTGGGGAGCAGCGTCTCTCTAGAGACCCACATCCTGTGGGGCCAGGCAAGCCTGAGAAGTCCCTCCAGGGCAGCCTGTGTCTCTTCTGGCCACAGAGTTCCCTAACAGCTCAGTAGCTCGTCAGACAGTGTCACTGATGTTGCTCCTGGAGTCGGCTAGCCATTGTGCCCTGCCCTTCCCAGGACTCAGTTTACCTGCCCCTACTTTGATAGTCACCTGGCTTGGGAGGGCAGCTTCTCCAAGGGTGGTGCCAAGGGACTGTCCCTTGTGCCTGCAGAAGGCCTGTTCTTCTCTGGTCCCACGTGGCTCTCTGGCTAGAGGTTTCCTGTCTGCTTTTGCAAGGATTCTGCCTGAGGCCAGGGCTGCAGCTGCTGCCCCGAGCCTGCGGCTGCGGGATCTCCTAGCTTGCTGGCCACAGGCGGGAAGAGCCTTGCCTCGGAGGCTCTCTGCCCTGTCCCTGTTGCGTCCTCCCCTTTTCATCCCATGGCCATCCCCCTTGGAACAGGCACAGCTCCCCTGGATTGAGTCTTTGCTCTGTACCCAGCCTGTGCCATGTCCTCCATGTGTGTCGCTGTAGTACTGCCCATAGGTGCTGTCCCCGTTTTACAAATGAGCCACAAAGGTGGCCAGGCACGGTGGCTCATGCCTGTAATTCCAACACTTCGCAAGGCCGAGGCGGGTGAATCGCTTGAGCCCAGGAGTTCAAGATCAGCTTGGGCAACATAGTGAGACCTAGTCGCCACAAAAAGTACAAGAATTAGCCAGGCGTGGGGGTGGCACATCTAGTCCCAGCTATTCAGGAGGCTGAGGTGGGAAGATCGCTTTAGCCCAGGAGACCAGGGGTACAGTGAGCAGTGATTGTGCCACTGCACTCCAGCCTGCATGACAATGAGAGACCCTGTCTCAAAAACAAAGAAACAAAAAAGGAGCCACAAAAAGGTTTGGCTGAGCATCCCAGGGGTCAGAGACAGGGAGTGGCAGACCAGGCTTCTGATACAAATGGGCTCAAGGTCAGTCCCCACCCCCACTCCCCAGTGCCCCTCACCCCTAGCCACCCCCTCCATCCCCTGGGTGACCAGAGCAGTACTGTAAAAACCTAAACTGAGTCCTCCCCGCTCCCGCGGTGAAAAGCCCTGTGCAGTTTTCTACAGCCCCGCCTCTAGAGTCTGATTCAAAACCAGCTGCAATTTCTTGGCCAATGCCTGTCTTCTCATCAGACTGAACTTTGTGAGGGCAGGCGACACACATGTCCTGGTCCCGGCCAGGCCTGGAGCAGCCCAGGGTTCGGCCTGGAGGAGATGTTCAGTGACATGCAGAGGCCCAGGCCTGGCCTTTGGTCCCGGGCACCTGCAGCAGAGGGCGCATGGGACAGACCCTCAGCAGGACTTCCAGCCTGAGAGCAGCTGGACGGCCAGAGAGGTTAGGCTGGCAGCAGAGGCGAGTGGAGGTGGAGGTTCCGCAGGTACTCACTGGCCCTTGCTGTGTCTTCCCCCGCTGTCGCCACCCCACCAGTATCTGAAGAAGCTGCACACGCAGGAGCGGGCGGTGGAGGAGGTGAAGCTGGCCATCAAGCCATACTATCAGAAGAAGGACATCACCAAGGAGGAGTACAAGGACATCCTGAGGAAGGCCGTCCACAAGGTGGGCACCCGGAGAGAGGGGCAGACACAGGCCGGGGAGAGAACGAGCTGGAGGGACAGATGTGTGCAGACAGATGGACGCGGATGGGAGACGGGGAGGAGGTCAGTCTGGGAGGTGAGGAGGGTGACAGGATTTTCTCAAGGCCACCTGGGCCTGTTCCGCTGGCCCTGGGGCACCCATCGTCTAGGGGGACAGAGGGACTTTGGCCTGGTTATTGGGGAAGCTCCTCCTACCGCAGTTCCAAGCTGCGCCCAACAGTCCTGGGTGGATGGGGCCCCGGGAGCCTGGTGGTGACTCCAACTGTCCCCGGCCCCCCAGATCTGCCACAGCAAAAGTGGGGAAATCAACCCAGTGAAGGTGAGCAACCTGGTGCGGGCCTACGTCCAGCGCTACCGCTACTTCCGCAAGCACGGTCGCAAGCCAGGGGACCCCCCAGGGCCCCCACGGCCGCCCAAGGAGCCAGGGCCCCCAGACAAGGGTGGCCCGGGCCTGCCCCTGCCCCCTCTCTGAGAGCCCTGGCCAGCTCTTCGCCCCTCACCTCTTTGAAACTCTGGACGTATTTATGGCTCCACCTCCCCACCTCCCTCCCCCGTCAGTGGGATGACTGGGGGAGGGTTGCTGCAGGGAAGAGGAGAGCCCCCTGCCCTGCCCTGCCCCGTGTCCACCTCCCTTGCCCCCAAGCCTGTCCCCAGTGCCCCTCCCTTCTGTTTGTGCCCCTCTCCCCAATTTCATTAAAGATTTCATGAAACATTACCCCTGAGCCCCATGGTTCTAACCCTTTGTTTTCGGAGACAAATTTGCCAGAGGGTTGGGGAGGGACCCCCAGGAGGCTGAGGATGGGAGACAGAGACCAGACTGTGACTTGGGGCAGCTGCCTCCCCTGGGCCTCAGTTTTCTTATCTGTGTAGTGGGTGTTGTGATGATTGAACAAGACACAGGTGGAGCACTTAGCACAGTCTCTGGCTGGGAGCGAGCTGCTCACAGGGAGGCAGGGGCCGGACCCCACCTGATCAGCATCTTCCCAGCTCGGCTCCTGGGTGCCATGTGCCTGCCTTGGAATTGCTCCCAGAGCAGGATCTGTGTTCCCCATTGAGTTGGCTTCTCTTTTCAGCAGCCCCGTGAAGCTGGGGTGATCTCATCAACTGTCCTGAGAGGGAAACTGAGGCACAGAGCAGCAAGGGCCGAAGGGTGAGTCAGGGCTGCGCTGGCTTCTGCCAGTTTCATCACCCAGAACTGCGGCCCAACCAGGAGAGGTGACAGTGCCCAGGGTCACCAGGCAGGCAGGCTTTGCAGGCTCCAGGGTGGCCGCAGAGCCCCTTTACCAAGACCCCTCCAGCCCCACGTGGAGGGGAGCCTGAGGCCTGGAAGGAGAAGGACCACTTGCCCAAACTGTTCATAGGCAAGGCAGGGGGCCTGGGTTCTGGCTAGTCTTTGTGTTTCCTACTCTGTGACCTTTGCGCCTCTCCCAGCCTGTGTCTTGGTCTACAACACGGGGACAGCCATCACCCACCAGGTCCCTGGGCAGAAGTGAGGAGGTGTCAGCTGCCCCCTGCAGTGCTTGGTCTTCATGCATTGAGCACCTGAGTTGTATATAGCTGCACAGATGGGTAAACTGAGACCCTGAGCGGGAATAACAACCATATTGGGTCAGAGGGCACCCAACACCAGACACGCACAAGTGATCATAGCAGGAACCAGTTTATTGGTTGAGGTGGTGGGGAACAGGGGGGTTGGAGGCACACCATGAGGAGCGAGGGCTCAGCTCTCCCCAGGGCCCTGGAAATCCATGCCCTCCACCAAGTCCTGCAGGTAGGCCTTGTACTGGTCGGAGGTGAGGGAGAGTGGGTGGCTGTTGGAAATGTGCAGGTCCACAGTATTCTCCAGGGAGGAGGCACCCCCTACCCGGGCCATTTCTACCAAGGCCCTGAGGCACGTGGGCACAACCTGCAGGGGAAGTGGGGACAGGAGTCAGGGAAAACACCCAGCCACTGTCCACCAAGGTAGGAGTCAGGGCTTGGAGGACTACAACTCCCTGCAGCCCCTGCTGTAACCTAGGATGAACCATAGGCCTAGGGCTGCTGGGAGTTGTAGTTTTACACACACACACACACACACACACACACACACACACACACACACCCCCTGCTGTAACTGAACCATAGGCCTAGGGCTGCTGGGAGTTGTAGTTTTACACACACACACAAACACACACACACACACACGTCAGGGCTGAGCAGTCTGTGATCTTGACTCCTGGGAGCCACAGCCATGGCCTCACAATGGCAGCTAAAACTTGAGTCCACCAGCTTCTACATGGTTTAGAGCAGGGGTCCCCAACCCCCCTACGGCTTGTTAGGGACCAGGTTGCACAGCAGGATGTGAGCAGCGGGTGGGGGAATATTACTGCCTGAGCTCTGCCTTCTGTGAGATCAGCGGCAGCATTAGATTCTCAGAGGAGCACAAACTCTATCGAACTGCGCACGTGAGGGATCGGCTGCTCCTTAAGAGAATCTAATGCCTGATGATCTGCAGTGGAGCAGTTTCATCCCGAAACCACACCTCCCTGTCCGTGGAAATATTATCTTCCATGAGACTGGTCCCTGGTGCCAAATAGTTTGGGGGCCACTGGTTTAGAGAGTTCAAAACAGGTTCTGCAGGTGAGGCCATGGGAAGGAGCTCCCGGGGATGAAAAACTGGTTATTGCAGAGATCTTGGAAGTTGCAGTTTTTTAGAGGGCCCTCTGGGAGTTGGAGTTCCTGGGAGCAACCTCTTCCCTCTGTAAGGCCACCCCTTTCAGCCCCAGGGACTCAGGTCTGCAGGCACCTTGACCATCACGAGCCTCTTGGTCCACGGCTGGTCCTGGGGCCATGACTCCCCCACACAGAACCAGAGGGCATAGCGTGGTGAGCGTCCGCTTCCTTCCGTGAAGGTAATCAGATCTGGGGGCCCAGGAGCCTAGTCAGGGATGAGAAGAGGACCCTCTACCCACCCTTCCCCGTAAACTTGAATGATAACCCCCACCACCTCCCCTGACCTAAGGCCCTCTGCTGCCTCGACCAGGGGACTGCTTGTTTGGGGAAAGTCCCCTCCTTCCCTCCCTCCCTCCCTCCCATCAGGGTGGGGTTGTTGGAAGGCCACACCCCCAAGCCCCCAAGCCTCAGCATTCATAACAGGCCCAGAGTAGGGGGCCCATGCTCCCAAGGATGCTCAGTGAATCTGGAGAAGCTGGTTGGCATTCAGTCCTGTCTGAGGCTGCATTGTCCAATTGCAGCCATTAGTCATGTAAGGTTATTTCAGTTTAAATTGTAACCAATTAAAACGAATCACGTCCTGGTTGCACTCGCCTCACCTGAGTGCTTGGCCCCTGTGGCTAGTGGCTGCTGCACCGGACAGTGCAGGTGACTGTCATTTCCATCATGGCAGAAAGTGCCACTGCACAGCGAAACCCTAAGGGATGTAGCTTTCCTGCTATTGGTCTGTTCACCATCATTAGTTACGATGATGATGACAGTGGCAGCTAATTCCCTGAGCAGGCTCTGTGTACTGGGCCTGTGTCTCACCCCAGCGCTGGCAGGCAGGTAGAGAGAGGAGACCATCCTTGGATTCCACGGGCTCAGGGCAAAGTCCTTTGCCTCGGTTATACAGCGGGCCAAGGGCAGCCAGCGTCTGAATTCAGTCCTAATCATGAGTTCTTTTTTTTTTGTTGTTCGAGATGGAGTCTTACTCTGTCACCAGGCTAGAGTGCAGTGGTGCGATCTCAGCTCACTGCAATCTCCGCCTCCTGGGTTCAAGCAATTCTCCTGCCTCAGCCTCCCGAGTAGCTGGGATTACAGGCACGTGCCACCACGCCCGACTATTTTTTTGTATCTTTAGTAGAGATGGGGTTTCACTATGTTGACCAGGCTGGTCTCGAACTCCTGAACTTGTCATCTGCCCACCTCAGCCTCCCAAAGTGCTGGGACTACAGGCGTGAGCCACCGTGCCCGGCCAATCCTGAGTTGTTAACCACTGTGCAGGCTGCTTTGTACTGGCCAGGTCGAAGCCCCTGTCTCACTCACCTACAATGAAGGGCCCCAGGTCAAACACGCCTCCTTCCTTGTCCTTGGGGACCTCGCCATCAGGCCCATGCCCGCTGTTGGGGAGCAGCTCCTCGCTCACTGCCCAGTATGTGTGGCAGTGCCCCAGCCGCTGGGCCCAGAGCCACTGCCCGGCCCGCCAGAGAGCCAGTCCCCCACCCAGGCAGCTCAGCACATGCCTCACGTAGCTCATCACTCCCCTGTCTGTCAGGGACATGCCAGGGTCTGGCAGTGTGACTGGCCATCCAGGCAGCGTCCTGTCTCCCACTTCGGACCCCACCAGCCGCAGGCCCTCCGGGCAGGAGATGGTCTGCTGGAAGACTTGGCGGCCCCGGTAGAAGGCTGTCACCTCGAACTCCCACTCTGAGCAGCGGCAGCAGCGGCATGAAGGGGAGAGGGGTTGAGAATCAGGGGCTGCCGCCCAGACCTCAGCCCTCCCAGCCTGCAGCTGACACTCACCTTCCCCCGGCACCAACAGCCGCTTCAGTGGGTTCTCAGAGGGCCCCAGGTTTGGGAAGGGAGTGGGATTGTCCAAGCTGGGGCTCCGCAGGGGCTGAGGGCAGGGCTCAGGGGCTACAGCCAGGCTTGGGGGTCCCGGATCTGGGAGTGGGGCCAACACCATGTTACCCAGTAACTCATCCAGAATGTCTTCCTGGAGGGAAACAAAAAAAGAGAATCAGGCATTTCCATATCCTTTTCTGGAGACTTCATATGGACCAGGTCTGTTCTCAGCAACGCAGGGAGGTCAGGCTTGAGCTCTGCCTTCAAGGGGCTTCCAGCCTGGGGACAGAGCCAGCCATGGCATCAACAGCCAAACAAACACTAATGAACGCCAGGTGCTACCATTCCAACCCAAGGATCTGGCTCTATGCAGGTAAGACCTGGGCAAAGCAGGCTGGGTAGAATTTCAGAGGGGATGCTCCCCCAGCTTGGGCCTCAGCAGGATCAAGGTGAGGGAGTTTTTCAGTTCCCAAGAGGCTGACAGCCCCCTGCGAATCGAAATCCATGAAATCCCGGGAAGGTGTGCTCGGGCCTTGAATGCTGGGTGAAGACTTGGAATTTTCTCCTGAGGAGACCGGGGCAGGGACAGACAGGGTCAGCACTGGCTCAGGTGAGGGGCAGGCTGGAGGCAGGGGAGTGGGGGGATCGTCTAGAGGGAGAGGACAAGGCCCATGGAGACAGGTCGGAGACTGAGGGGCATGAAAGTTGGGCACATTCTCACCTGGGTATCAGAAGTACTGCCTCCACCATTGGTGTCCGGAGAGGTGTCTGGCTGGGAAAAGTCCCCAACTCCTGTTGAGAAAAGTGGTGAGGGGAGTAGGAGTGCCAGGAACCCTTGGGGCCCCAGCCTCCCACACGAACCCCAAGCTGGCAGACCTGAGTTCACAAACTCGTAGATTTTATGTGGGTCGTGAGGGTCCTTGCTCCGGTCCTCTGCTAAACGCAACCCTTCTTTGCGGTTGAGGGCAGAGCGGAAATTCCTCTTCCAGGTTGGCAGGTCTGGCTTATCCCTCCCGGGAACATATGCACCAGTGGCCTCGGCCCAGGCCTGGGGCAACAGTGGTGTCAGGATGGTGGGGGAGGACGACTTAGATCCTGCTCCTGGGGCCCTAACCCTGTCTCCCGAGTCCTAACACCACCCTCTTTCCCTGGCAAGTTCTAACTCTGCAAGGTCCATCCCCAAATCCCCCCGTCCCACCTACCTCCATCCCCCACCTCTAGTTTTCAAAAGGCTTTTTTTCTTTTTGAGATGGAGTTTCACTCCTGTCACCCAGGCTGGAATGCAATGGTGCAATCTCAGCTCACTGCAACTTCCGCCTCCCCGGTTCAAGCGATTCTCCTGTCTCAGCCTCCTGAGTAGCTGGGATTACAGGTGGGCACCACTACACCTGGCTAATTTTTGTATTTTTAGTAGAGATGGGGTTTCACCATGTTGGCCAGGCTGGTCTTGAACTCCTGACCTCAGGTGATCCGTCCTCCTCGGCCTCCCAAAGTGCTGGGATTACAGGCATGAGCTACTGTGCTCGGCCTCTTCAAAAGCCTTTGAAACCTCTTTGGTTTTTGTTTTGTTTCGCTTTTGTTTTTAAAGAGATGGAGCCTATGTTGCCCAAGCTGGCCTCAAACTCCTGGGCTCAAGCGATCCTCCCGCCTTGGCCTTGCAAAGTGCTAGGATTACAGGTGTGAACCACCGCCCCCGGCCCAAAAACCTTTTCTTTCTAAGCCAGGCTTCCAAGTCCAACTTGGTGTCTAATCCCGTGCACCACCTGCCCCGCGACACCCTCTGTGATAACCCCGCCCCTCACACTGTTTACCACCTCTGGCATATACTAATTCGGTAGTTAGGAACCTCAGATTTGGGGCTCCAGGCCTCACCTCTGATGTTTCAAGAACCATCCCCCAGTATCTATCCTACAACCAAGAGCCCCGGCCTCTAGAAAGCCCCAAACCCCCAGGATGCATTTCCTTTGCGTACTAACCGGCTTTCCCGGTTTTATTCCCGTAACCCTGCAGCTCCAACCCTGCTTGCGCCCCACCATCAGTCAGCGGATCCGGCTAGCCCCGCCCCTCCCGTTCTAGCCCCACCCACCAGCGTTGGCACGAGCCCGCCCCTCGCGCGCCACCTCCGCCTTCTCAGCCGGGCCCACTAGGAGTCCTTTCCGCCCAGCGCGCAGCTCCGGGTTTCCAGCGTCCCAGGTCGTCGCACGCACCTGGAAGATTCCGAAATCCTCCTGCTGTGCATCCTGCCGTAGGCCGTGCTTCCAAGGGATGCGGAAGCGCGTGCGGCTCTTGTTCACCCAGGCCACGCCCTCCAGTTGCCCCAGGTCCAGCTGCGACACCAGCCAGGGCAGGATCCGTGGCTTTGGGGTTCCCATGGTCCGGCCTGCGCGTATAGGGCATTTCCTGGGCGCGACCGGCCTCCCCCGGACCCACCTGGCCTGGAGTTTCCGCACCCAGACCTCCTTCTCACGGGCCACGGCACAGGTCCTTCACCCATATTTTCGGGGGTACAAACAGGAAACCTCCTCTTCCCATCCTCCCATCCTCCCGAGAGGCTCTCTAATCAGCTAGGGTTCCTTCCCATATCCATGGCACATCCTTCCCCAGCGTCTTCAGTGCAGACCCTCCACTCCCTCAATTCCGCCAGTATAGACCTCCTCCCTCCCCCACATCATCGAAAGTAAGTATCCCCACTTTCAGGGTAGCATCCTCTTTCCCTAGTTATTTCAGTGCAGAATCGATTCACGTGTAAGCCTCTACCTCCTGCACTTACCCCAATGTAGACCCCCTTCCACAGTCCCCCTACAGAAGATCTCCCAAAACATTTCCAACACAGAACTTCCATTCAATTCCCCTCCGACTGCCCGCCTCCCTCCTCCAGGACAGAGCACGCCCCAGGTTTCGAGACTGAACTACCCCCATCTACGGAGTCCACCCCTCCCTCTCTAGAACCCCCTCAGTGTAGACGCCTCCTCTTTTCCTCTTTCCTCCCTACTTTTTCTAGTTTTTCTGCAGCCGACCTCCAGCGTCGGCCACTGTAGCTCCTTCCTTGCTCCACTTTCCCCAGAGTACACAGCCTGCCTTTCCACTCTCCGTGCAGACCCATCCTCTTTCCCGCTCCTCGCTCTCGGACGCCACCAACGCTCTCCCGGGCTCTTCCGCGTTACCTACGATGGAAGGTCGGGGCGTGCGGGCAGCTGGAACCCACCCCTGTCTTGGAGCTCCGGGTAGCTCTCAAACTCGAGGCTGCGCACCCCCTTTCCCGTCAGCTGAGCTCTAGAGCGCTGGGGCTTTCTTTTTGATCGACTTCTTGAAATAAAACCAACTTTATCATTCTTTGGGTAACAGACCCAAAAGCCGATGGGACGGCCCGCTGGGCTGTTCCCGCCCCTATGCCCTTTTTTGGGTTTCCGGCCAGAGGCATGCTGGGAGCGTCACATGCAAATTGAGCGTGCACCCAGCGTTCCGCCCTTTCTACGCTGGGCCGGTTATCGACCCGGCCCAGTGCGCAGGCGCGGGAAAGTTGAACTAATAAAGTTTGTACGAGTTCAGTGGAGGAGACCGCAAGTTGAGTGGAGGAGGCGGCGGTGGGGCCCCGGACCAGGTCAGCGGGGTGTTGACGAGGGGTGGGGTGAGGAGGGAAGAGGAGGGGGCCGGGATCCAGTGGTGGGCACCCCAGTCCCGCTTCTCTGATATCCAAGGGTCCAGGGTCCTCTAGATTCCAGCAGGGGTCGGAGATTTGGAACTACACCTCACAGCAGGCTGCGCGGCGAAGAAGCGCGGACCTAGGGGAAGATTTGCCCTGAAACCTCTTGGGATTGGTAGTTCCCGATGCTTTAAGGGTTTCAGGAGTTTGGCATATGCCTCTTATAGAATCCAGGAGTTGGGGCGCTAAGCCTCTTCTTCCTGGGAGACCTAAGGGTCTGGGGCTCCAGTTCCTTTTTCTCTAAGACTCAGAAGTCCAGGACCCCAGCTCCCTCCTCCTTTAGACCCACGAATCTGGGCACCCAGCCCCACCACCTTTCCTTGGATCGAAGAGTCTTTTTCCTGATCGCTTTTTCGTCTGAGGACTCAAGAGTCTAGGCCCCCAGACCCACACTCTCCAAAGGACCCAGGAGTCCAGGCCCTCAGCACCTTCCTTGGGACTCACAAGTCCTGGTCCCCAAGCCTCCACTTCTTGCTAAACCCTTGGAGTCCAGTCCCTAACCCTCTCTCTCACAGGTGCCTCCATGGCAGGCTCTGAAGAGCTGGGGCTCCGGGAAGACACGCTGAGGGTCCTAGCTGCCTTCCTTAGGCGTGGTGAGGCTGCCGGGTCTCCTGTTCCAACTCCACCTAGGTAAGAGGAGTGGCCCTTCTCCCCCAGGGGCCAGCATTTGAGGCTCCCTCCTAACTCTTGCTCCTGGTCTCAGTCTGTCTCCTCTCTTTATATCTGGCTCTATTCTCTGTCTTTGGGGTTTTGGAGAGAGGTCCTCAGCGGGGGAGGGAGGGAGTTGGGGAAAGAGACTGCTTGCAGGGGATCTCTGGTGGGGTCAGTCTCTGAAGTCCTCCTCTCCAGAAGCCCTGCCCAAGAAGAGCCAACAGACTTCCTGAGCCGCCTTCGAAGATGTCTTCCCTGCTCCCTGGGGCGAGGAGCAGCCCCCTCTGAGTCCCCTCGGCCTTGCTCTCTGCCCATCCGCCCCTGCTATGGTTTAGAGCCTGGTAAGAGATTTCCATGATCATCTATGAAGCCGGCAGAACACGGGATAAGGTGCTAGTTTAAGATCACTCAGCTAGGGGGTGGCTGTGTGGAGTCTCTAGCACCAGCCTTCAGGACAGAACCGTCCTGTCCTCTCCCCTCCCCAGTTAGATTTCTGTCAATTCTGTGGGTTGGCTTTCAGAGAGCATTTGGTCAATCTGGTTGTTGTCTCTTTCCTTCCATAACTACTTCCCTGCCCCTAGGACTTTTGTAGCCAGGAATACCCCTGATAGAGGGGCAGAAGGGCTGGTTTTCAATCACATCTCCCTGGCTGTTTTAGTTGCGTGACTCTGGGGAAAATGCTTTCTCTTCCCTGCTCCCCTGTTTTTCCAATAGCAGAGTAGGAATTGGGGAGGAGGTCACTGGACTTGATCAAGGTGACCCACAAGTTTCCTCATAGGTGTGAACCTGGACAGACTAGTAATGGCTGCTGGGAGTGCTAGCTTGAAAAGGGGTTCACAGCTTGGGAGAGGAAGTGCTGTGATCAATTGGTGATGTCTGTAGTGAGTGAGGGAAGGGGATACTAACAGTAATGTCTTGTGTTTGCCTTCCTTGGATGAGATCATCTTCAAGGTCTAGTTGAGCTCTGACAGTCTTTTGGAGACAGATTGTTGCTCTGTCACCCAGGCTGGAGTGCAGGGGTGCAATCTCGACTCACTGCAATCCCCACCTCCTGGGTTCAAGCGATTCTCGTGCCTCAGCCTCCCGAGTGACTGGGATTACAGGTGCACGCCAGCATACTAGCTGATTTTTATACTTTTAGTAGACACGGGGTTTCGCCACGTTGGCCAGGCTGGCCTCAAACTCCTGGCCTCAAGTGACCCTCCCACGTCGGCCTCCCAAAATGTTGAGATTGCAGACGTGAGCCACCGCACCCTGTCAGCTCTGACATTCTTTTTTTTTTTTTTTTTTTTGAGACGGAGTTTCGCCCTTGTTGCCCAGGCTGGAGTGCAATGGCCCGATCTCGGCTCACCACAACCTCTACCTCCCGGGTTCAAGTAATTCTCCTGCCTCAGCCTCCCAAGTAGCTGGGATTATAGGCATGCGCCACCATGCCCGGCTAATTTTTTTTGTATTTTTAGTAGAGATGGGGTTTCTCCATGTTGGTCAGGCTGCTCTCGAACTCCCAACCTCAGGTGATCTGCCTGCCTCAGCCTCCCAAAGTGATGGGATTACAGGCGTGAGCCACTGCGCCTGGCCCCAGCTCTGACATTCTAAGTCCAGTCTGAGGATCTCATAAAGTGAAAAGTACAAGGGTTTTGGCATTTTTAACCAAGTTTTCTCACTGGGCCTCAGTTTACCCCATTATAAAATGGGAATCATGGCCAGGCTTGGTTGCTCACGCCTGTAATCCTAGCACTTTGGGAGGCTGAGGTGGGTGGATTGCCTGAGGTCAGCCTGGGCAACACGGTGAAACCCCATTTCTACTAAAATACAAAAAATTAGCCAGGTATGGCGGCGTGCGCCTGTAGTCCCAGCTACTCATGAGGCTGAGGCAGGAGAATTGCGAGACTCCGTTTCCCAAAATCAATACATAAATAAATAATAAATAAAATGGGAATCATTGCCACCTGCCAAGGTAGTTGGGGGAAGGAGAGAATCCGTAAGTTTCCAATGTCCTGGAAACCTGTCATTAACTCTTTTCACCCCAGGCCCAGCTACTCCAGACTTCTATGCTTTGGTGGCCCAGCGGCTGGAACAGCTGGTCCAAGAGCAGCTGAAATCTCCGCCCAGCCCAGGTGAGGCACAGAGGAGCCCCAGAGAAGGATGGCGGTGGGAGGATAGTCAGGGTTCTGCCCCCAGCCAAATTCTCTTCTGCCTCCAGAATTACAGGGTCCCCCATCGACAGAGAAGGAAGCCATACTGCGGAGGCTGGTGGCCCTGCTGGAGGAGGAGGCAGAAGTCATTAACCAGAAGGTGATGGGCATCTGTCCCACTCCTTGGCAAGGACAGGAGTTGCGGAATGGTGGGGCACTGGGATCAGAAGCTGGATCTGTATTTTCTTTGGATGGTCAGGTGGAAAGAGGCTGGGACAAGGTTTCAATGAAGGGTTGAGGCCGGGTGTGGTGGCTCACGCCTGTAATCCCAGCACTTTGGGAGGCCGAGTTGGGTGGATGACTTGAGGTCAGGAGTTCGAGACCAGCCTGGCCAACATGGTGAAACCCCATCTCTACTAAAAATACAAAAATCGGACAGGTGTGGTGGTGCGCTTCTGTAATCCCAGCTACTCAGAAGGCTGAGGCAGGAGAATCGCTTGAGCCCAGGAGGTGGAGGTTGCAGTGAGCCAAGATTGCGCCACTGCACTCCAGCCTGGGTGACAGAGTGAGACTCTGTCTTTAAAAAAAAAAAAAAAAAAGAATAGTTGAATGACAGGGGTATGGTTAGGGTAGTACTGTACCGTAAATTAGTTGTTTTAATTGATTGTTTAGAGGGGCATGGCCTAAATGCAGAGGGTGTGGCCATCAGAAACATTATCCACAAGAGACTGGCCAAGCTGGGGAAGTAAGTGAATGAATGTGGGGGTGGGGGGAGTGGCTAAAATCTTACTGAGCATAGAAGGGACCTGGCTTAGAATGTAGGGGAAAATGTACTACCAGAGGAGGTGTGGCTTGTGGCTGTGTCCTGGAATCTGATTGGCTTCGGAGCTTGGACAAGGTACATCGTCCTTTAATATTAATTGAATGGTAGAGGGCAAGATTGTTGTAGACACTAGGTTGGCCCCTGGGAAAGGTCACCAGGGGCATGGCTAGATTAACTCAGTTACAGTAGAGATTGGCCCTGATTGGCTGTTGAGGCAAGGGCCTGGCATGGCTTAGGGACTCACGTTCCAGGCCACTATCCCGGGGGTAGTTTGGCAGAGACCCTGGAGTCTGGCTTGATTGGCTAATATGGATGAGGGGTGGCCTAGAACCTTAGCATCTAGAACGATCCTGAACCGGGAAGCCACGCCTCCCGGCCCTCTATTGGCTGGCCCCGGGGGCGCTGCTGACGCGGACCCTGCCTCTTCCACCCTACAGCTGGCCTCGGACCCCGCCCTGCGCAGCAAGCTGGTCCGCCTGTCCTCCGACTCTTTCGCCCGCCTGGTGGAGCTGTTCTGTAGCCGGGATGACAGCTCTCGCCCAAGCCGAGCATGCCCCGGGCCCCCGCCTCCTTCCCCGGAGCCCCTGGCCCGCCTGGCCCTAGCCATGGAGCTGAGCCGGCGCGTGGCCGGGCTGGGGGGCACCCTGGCCGGACTCAGCGTGGAGCACGTGCACAGCTTCACGCCCTGGATCCAGGCCCACGGGGGCTGGGTGAGCCGCTGAAGCCTCTCTCTCCGGGCCTCACTTTACCTAACTGTCATGTGATAGAGGAGGGGCGGGGACTTCTTAGGTTCCTCTCAGACCTCAGGTATTCTCCCAGCTCCACTGCGTTCGTTCTGTTGAGCCCTTGCTGTATGCCAGGACTGCAGCGATGAGTGCAGACACTATGCCTGGCGTCAACGACTGGGTACGCTAATACTGTGAGCGTGAAACCAGTGACTGAGGTTACTCAGGGAGAGGCCGGACGGGGTAGCTCATGCCTGTAATCCCAGCACTTTTGGAGGCCAAGGCAGGAGAATTATTTGAGGCCAGGAGTTCAAGACCAGCCTGGACAACATAGTAAGACCCCATCTCTACAAAAATTGAAAATAACTAGCCAGGGTCGGGTGCGGTGGCTCACACCTGTAATCCCAGCACTTTGGGAGGCCGAGGCAGGTGGATCACCTGAGGTCAGGAGTTTGAGACCAGCTGGCCAACGTGGTGAAACCCTGTGTCTACTAAAAAAAATACATAAATTAGCCGGGCGCGGTGGCAGGTGCCTGTAATCCCAGCTACCGAGGAGACTGAGGCATGAGAATCGCTTGAACCTGGGAGGCAGAGATTGCAGTGAGCTGAGATCATGCCACTGCACTCCAGCCTGGGCGACAGAGTGAGACTGTGTCTCAACAAAATAATATAATAAAAACCTGGTGCGGTGGCTCACACCTGTAATCCCAGCACTTTGGGAGACTGAGGTGGGTGGATCACTTGAGGTCAGGAGTTTGAGACCAGCCTGACCATGGTGACATTCAGTCTCTACTAAAAATACAAAATTAGCCCGGCATGCCTGTAATCCCAGCTAGGGAGGCTGAGGCAAGAGAATTGCTTGAACCTGGGAGGCAGAGGTTGTAGTGAGCCGAGATTGCACCACTGCACTCCAGCCTGGGCAACAAGAGCGGGGCTCTGTCTCAAAAAATAAATAAATAAAAATTTTTAAAATTAATAATAATTAGCAAAGCATGGTAGCTCACACGTTTACTCCCAGCTACTCAGGAGGCAGAGGAGCCGGGAGGATCACTTGAGCCCAGGAGTTCAAGGCTGTGGTGAGCTATGATTGCGCCACTGTACTCCAGTGTGGGTGACAGAGTGGGACCCTGTCTCAAAAAATAAAATAGTGAGAGTAGTAGTGCTACCTCAAAGGGTCGCTCTGAGGGTTAAAATGGGGTCAATGTGGTAAGCCCTCTGTGCACTGCCTGGCATGCAGGCATTTTGTTGGTGAGGTTATATGGCTACCTGCTGCCTTTCCAACAGTGCCTGCCAGGATGCCCTCCCGGGGAACCCCCTGCCTCCGTCCTGCTCCTTCTGGTGGGCTCTGGTTTCACCCCCAACGAGGCCTTCCCAGGTCCCCATTGACAATCACAGCCACCTGCACACCCTCCCACCGCCCTCCTTCCCCCTTCCTGCTTTACTTTTCCTTCCATAGCACTTTGGGCCTTCCAACAGATGGTGGAATTGACTTGTTTTACTTGTCTTCTGGTTTATTTTTCTTTGTTGGTGTCTCCCACCTCTAACACATCAGCTTCAGGAGACCCAGAAGTCTTCCCCTCTCCTTTTCTTACTTTATCTCCAGTGCCGGTTTCAGAGTTGGATTGGGCTCCAGCGTGCTGGCCCTGTGGCTTGGCGACTGTCGCAGTCTCCCTGAGCGGCACTCTCCCCACTGGTCCAGTGAGCACCGTCTCATTTACCTGCCTTGGGGGGTCGCTGTGGGTATTCACTGAGAGAGGGACACAAGCCAGGCTCTGGATGGAACCGGTTTCCCTGGCAGGAGCTGGTCAAGTGTGTTTGAGGAGCAGGGAGGAGGAGGCCAGTAGGGCTACAGTAGGGTGAGCGGGCGACAGATGAGAGGAGGAGAGGCGCCGGGCCAGCCAGGACCCTGTGGTCACGGTGAGTGACAACTCGGACTTTGACTCTGGGTAAGCCAAGGTCTCTGAGCAGCGGAGGGACAGGCGCTGATTTAGGCGCTAATGGGCGCCCTCTGGCGGCTGCCTGGGGACAGACTGCTGGGGGCGAGGGCAGAAGTAGGGGCACAGGGAGGAGGTGAGTGGATCTCACCCAAGTCGGGGGCGGTGGAGAATGCTGGATTTAACTTAGCGGTGAAGCTGACAGATTTGGCTAATGGGCCAGATGTGGGGACAGACTAAAGGATGCTGGCCCGAGCAGCTGCAGGGCGACATCTTAAGTTCCCCGAGATGGGGAAGGTGTGGGGATGGGGGCGATGGGGGTGGGGAGCAGGACTGGAGGTGGTCCGGTCTACAGTAAGATCAGAACTCATAGCACATGTTGAGGGGAATGGATATAAGTGTTGGGCTCAGCAAAGAAGCTCGTTTATTTTATTTTATTTTAATTTTTCAGATGGAGTCTCACTCTATTGCCCAGACTGGAGTGCAGTGGCACGACCTTGGCTCACTGCAACCTCCACCTCCTGGGTTCAAGCGATTCCCTGCCTCAGCCTCCTGAGTAGCTGGGGTTACAGGCGCACACCACCATGTCCGGCTAATTTTGTAGTTTTAGCAGAGACGGGGTTTTGCCCTGTTGGCCAGGCTGGTCTCGAACTCTTGGCCTCAAGTGATCCACCCACCTCGGCCTCCCAAAGTGCTGGAATTACAGGCTGAGCTACCACGCCTGGACAATTTCTTAAAAAATTTTTTTAAAGTAGGATTGATAGCAGATGAGTTTTCTCGGTGGGCCAGGTCCTCTGCTAGGGATTTCAATGGAATGATCCCATTTAAACCCACTACAACCTCATGGGGCTCTTATTGTCCTCGTCTTGTGGGGGCAGAGAGGAAAAGTCCCCAGCATGCAGAGTGTTGGAATCTGGATTTGTACACAAAGCCACGACTCTGAATTGTTCAAATCCCAAGACTCTCTTCCCCATCTCTGACTCTGTCCCCCAACTCTTCACTCTCTCTGGATCTCTGTCTAATCCCACTCCAGTGTCCTGACCCTCCTCGAGCTCAACCTTTCCTCCTCCTGCTAGGACCCTGCCCCCTCATCCCTGTGCCCTTCTGTCTGGGTCTCTGTCCCCTTGTCTGGGTGTCTGTCACCCTCCGCTCTCTGGTTCCTCGCCTTCCCGTCTCTAATCTCACAGGGCTGATGTGGACGCTGCTGTATGGGGGGAACACCTGCCCTGCTCACAGGGCTCTGCCACTTTTCCCTTCCAGGAGGGCATCCTGGCTGTTTCACCCGTGGACTTGAACTTGCCATTGGACTGAGCTCTTTCTCAGAAGCTGCTACAAGATGACACCTCATGTCCCTGCCCTCTTCGTGTGCTTTTCCAAGTCTTCCTATTCCACTCAGGGCTGTGGGGTGGTGGTTGCCCTACCTGTTTTTGCCAAAAATAAATTGTTTAAAACTTTTCTTATTAAAAACGTTACAAAGTATTCAATTGTCTGTTCTTACACTTGGGAACTAAAGTTTTAAGGAGAGGAGATTTGGTTCAGAGATTTCTGTGGCTTACGCAAATTGAGGAAAGAACCAGTTCATTCATTCTAGAAATATTTATTTGCAGCACCTACAAGAGCCTGTCTCCTGGACATGTAACATATTTGAGAGAATACCTGTAAATATTCCAGCAACTTGCATTTTTTTTTCCTATTGCACGATCTGGTTATTCTAGCTAATGCTGTATGATGGTCATGGAGTCTTTCCAGTGAATTCCACAGAAAGGTACAGTCTAACTTCACCTGTGTCTAGGACACCACCCTCTTCTTGTTTTTCTCCTCCCATTGCTCCTTTCAAGTCTCTCTTGCTGGTTTCTCATCTACCTACAGACCAGTGGTTTGTCTCACACACACCCCCCACTCTCCCTTTTTTTTTGGAGATAGGGTCTTGCTCTGTTGCCTATACTTGCACTGTTATATAGATACAGTGGCACTATCATGGCTCACTGCAGCCTCAACCTCCTGGGCTCAAGTGATCCTCCCACTTCAGCCTCTCTAGTAGCTGGAACTAAAGGCATGCGACACGACGCCTAGCTAATTTTTAAAAAAGAATTTTTATGGGAGGCCAAGGCAGGTGGATCACTTGAGGTCAGGAGTTCAAGACCAGCCAGGCCAACATGGTGAAACCCCATCTCTACTAAAAATACAAAAATTAGCCGGGCATGGTGGTGGGTGCCTGTAATCCCAGCTACTTGGGTGGCTGAGGCACGAGACTCGCTTGAACCCGGGAGGCAAGAGGTTGCAGTGAGTTGAGATCACGCCACTGCACTCCAGCCTGGGCAACAGAGCGAGACTCCGTCTCAAAAAAAAAAAAATTGTAGAAATGGGGTCTCCCTTATGTTGCCCAGGCTGGTCTCCACCTCCTGGGCTCAAGTGATCCTCCTACCTTGGCATCCCAAAGTCCTGGGATCACAGGCATGAGTCACTGTGCCTGGGCGGTTTGTCTCCTTTATAGGGCCATATCCCCCTTCACAGAGTAATGTTTGTAAATTAATAAGTGAAATGTACAGGATTACAAACCGAACCAATTACAGTTGATCCTCAGTATTTGTAGATTATTTGCAAATTTGCATCCTTGCTACAATGTATTCATACCCCAAAAATTAAGGCAGTGCTTTTGTGGTGTTTTGGAGGGCAATGCTTATGCACAGAGCTGCAACAAGCTAAAGACCTGATGTGCATATTTGCAGCTGGGCTCCTCTTGCTTCAGCTCAAACACTGGAAACAAATGTCCTTTTCTTGGTTTGTTTAGTGCCATGCTTTTCAATTTTTTTTTTTTTTTTTAAAGTTAGAGTCTCGGTCTGTCGCTCGAGCTGGAGTGCAATGGCTTCATCCTGGCTCACTGCAACCTCCACCTCCTGAGCTCAAGCGATTCTCCTGCCTCAGCCTCCCAAGTAGCTGGGATTACAGGCGTGTGCCACCAGTCCTGGCTAATTTTTTTATTTTTATTTTTATTTATTTTATTATTTTTTGAGATGGAGTCTCGCTGTGTCGCCTAGGCTGGAGTGCAGTGGCACCATCTCAGCTCACTGCAACCTCTGCCTCCCGGGTTCACGTGATTCTCCTGCCTCAGCCTCTGGAGCAGCTGGGACTACAGGCGCCCACCACCACACCCGGCTAATTTTTGTTTTTTTAGTAGAGACGGGGGTTTCACCATATTGGCTAGGCTGGTCTCGAACTCCTGAGCTTGTGATCCGCCCACCTCAGCCTTCCAAAATGCTGGGATTACAGGCGTGAGTCACCGCGCCCGGCCAAATTTTTTTTTTTTTTTTTTTTGAGACAAGAGTCTCGCTCTGTCACCCAGGCTGGAGTGCAGTGGCGCGATCTCAGCTCACTGCAAGCTCCGCCTCCCGGGTTCACGCCATCCTCCTGCCTAAGCCTCCACGCCCGGCTAATTTTTTGTATTTTTAGTAGAGACGGGGGTTTCACCATGTTAGCCAGGATGGTCTCGACCTCCTGACCTTGTGATCCGCCCGCCTCGGTCTCCCAAAATGCTGGGATTACAGGCGTGAGCCACCGCGCCCGGCCGCCTGGCGTAATTTTTGTATTTTTAATAGAAATGGGGGTTTCACCATGTTGCCCAGACTGGTCTCGAACTCCTGATGTCAAGTGATCCGCCTGCCTCCGCCTCCTAAAGTGCTGGAATTACACCCGTGAGCCATCGCGCCCGAACCCTATTGTAAATTTTAAGTCTCAGGCGTTTGCCAGCGGCACGCCAGAGAGTATAGCCTGCGCGGAGGCCCAGAAACCAAAGAGCGAGCTCATTCCGGGATTGGAGAGAAGTGTGAGCAGAGGGAAGTAGAGGGATCGGGGAGAGGAGGGGCAGGACCCACGCATTCGGCCCTTTGCATTCAGCTTCATTCAACTAGGAACTTTTTCTGCAAATCAAGGAAAGCTTCCCGGAGGAAGTGGTGCCTAAGCTGTGCTCTGATTCACGTTTAGAAGCTGACCAGACAAAGAGAGGTGGGCGTTCCTGGCAGGGGGAGGGACTTGGCAAAAACCAAGTGGCTTGAGAGGGGTTGATGGTTTTAAAAAACTTGGAATGATTATGTCAAGGGCTAGGGATTTAATGTGTTGACGACGGACTCCTATTCCTCACTTGCTTCGGGACCCCAGCTATGCCCTTCCTCTCTCTGGGCCTCTCACCGATTCCGTTTTTCCCCCAGGTAATGAGCACAAGCTCCCTTTTTCCTCCAGACTCCCCCCGGGTTGGGAGGATCCACCGAGTGGACGAGGAGTGATAATTCCTTTGAGCCAATCGTTGGTGCCTGAAGCCCCGCCTTCTTCCCTACCCGTGGGCCAATTGCCGTGTTCTCCTTGAGGCCGGCCGCTTGGCGAGGGTGGGCCAAAGGCTGCGTGACGTCGCTTCCGGATAAACCAATGGCAGCGATTAGGAGGCGGGTCGTTTTGGTGATGGACAGGTGTTTCAAGACGCCCCTTTAGCGCGGGGCTCCCCGGGAAGCTTTGAGGCGGTGCTGGGTGTAAAGGGGAGGGCATTCCTGGTGGATTTTGCCCAATCACCAGTCGCGCTTCTTGCAATAGACGGGCAGTTTTCCCCATCCCGGGTCGACTTGAGGGGGCGGGATTCTGGACGCCAGAGTTGGCAAACCCCTGACCTATGATGGACGTATTCTCTAGCCAATTACTAGACGGTATTCTCAGACGGGCCGCCTCCATTGCCAATGAAATCTTCCAGCGGGGTCGCGGTAGGCGGGCCGTGGACCCTCTGGTATAAGGCGGTCCCGGGGGAGTGAGGAGAAAGGGGGGGTCTTGGCGGCCGGAGGAGGAGTAGGTGCGGGTGAAGATGGCGGCAGCCGAGGCCGCGAACTGCATCATGGAGGTGAGCGCTTGGAGCGCCGCCGTGGGCGGGAGGCGGCTTTGGGTCGGTGTTTCACGCCTCTGTGGTGGGGAAAGGGCTCTAAGTTGGCGATATGGGGTTGGAGGTCCCCCGCCGCACACGGGGGCGCCGCACGTTCCACATCCGGGGATATCGTTTGAGGTGACGGCTCCCTAGCTTCCAAGGGCCTTCGGCATCCGGCCTAGCGGAGGGTCTTATCCCCCCTCCCACGTGGAGGAGGGCTGGGGGCGCTTCCGGCCAGGCCCCCACGTGGCCGCTGCGCGGTGGGTGGGGAGGGGGTGTGCCGAGTCCAGTGGCCCGGCGGGCTCCACGTGCGGGACAAAGGCCCCGCCCCCGGCCGGGGAGGGGCGCCCAGGGGGGCGGGGAGGGGGTCCGACCCTCCTGACGCCCCCAGCCCTCCTCCCCGGGGACCTGGGCACACGCCGTGGGGTGTGATCGACCTGGGGCCCTCCACGATGTGGGGAGTCTCTTGGGAGGAGCAGTGCTTCTCAGCCCTTTACCAACCTCCTTCCGAGCTCCGGGGGCATCTGTTGGGATATCGGACCCGGTTTTGTGCGTTCTGGGTTAGGGACTGGAGGAAAACCAAGAATGGGGTCCCCCGCCGACCCCGTTTCCCCTCCCAGAATTCTCCCCCTCGCCCAGGGCTTTAGGAGTTGGGGGATGGGGCATGCCCCTGTGACCTCCCTCTGGGTGGTGGTGGGGCATCTAGATAGAGATTTTCCCATTAATAGGCGCCGTGCACCCCCTTGTGGCCATTTCTGGGTGTGTGGGAGGGACATCTTTTTCATGGGGCGTGTCCTGAAGCCCACCTCCCCTCGGATTTCTTCCTGGCGGGCGGAGGGAGGAGGGTATGTCCGCTGGGAAGGAGTTGTGGGAAATATGTAGGCTGAGAGCTTTACCCTACTGGAGCCGTTTATCTCCCCCGGGTCTTTGTGAGGGTGCGAGATGACCTCCTTCTTCCTGAAGCCCTGTGCAGGGTCCTGAGCCCTGGGGTCCTGAGAGTGGGTGCCTGAAATGGTTTCGAGTGAGGTTTGGTTCTCGTGCAGCCATGTGGGGGAGGTTTCAGTCTTGCGTTTCAAGCCCTCTGGGGCTGGGGTTGTCTGGCGGTAGTTTTCAGTGGTATTGAGAAATAGGCCCGAGTGGGAAACCCCCTCAGCACCTTTCTTCTTATAGGCATCCCCGCTAGCTTGGGAGAGCTGGAGGGAGGGTGCTTGGAGCCTAGTAGGTCATGGCCTGTGACGTGGCCCTTCTTGGAGACTTGGATAGTGGTCACATCTGGAAGAGATGTAATCTGATGGGGCCTCTGTCCTTCCACCCCTTACCTATGGCATTGGCTGGAGGGGCAGGTCAGCTCTCAGCTGTCAGGATGCAGCTCCCAGGGGTCACTGTAATGACTTCCCACCCTCTTGGCTGTCTCCTGCACCTGGGGCTCTATGGATGGAGGAAATAACTTTCCCAGAGGTGGCCTCAGGCTTGGCCGCACCTGGAAGTCTTCAGGGCCTGGGATGGGTGTCTGAATGGGGGCGATGGCCTGACTCCCCAAGCCACTTTTTTTTTTTTTTTTTTTGAGACGGAGTCTTACTCTGTCACCCAGGCTGGAGTGCAATGGCTTGATCTCGGCTCATTGCAACCTCCGCCTCCCGGGTTCAAGCGATTCTCCTGCTTCAGCCTCCTGAGTAGCTGGGATTACAGGCACCCGCCACCAGGCCCAGCTAATTTTTGTATTTTTAGTAGAGATAGGGTTTCACCATGTTGGTCAGGCTGGTCTCAAACTCCTGACCTCAGGTGACCCACCTGCCTCGGCCTCCCAAAGTGCCGGGATTGCAGGTGTGAGCCACCGTGCCCCCAAGCCACTTTCTGGAGTCCTCTCATTCTTAGAGGGTCCAGGAGCTGCCCATCTTCCCTGGGACCCTACCTTCGTGGGCAGAGGGTCATAAGGGAGGGGGTTGGTTCCAGCTGGTTTTGTTTGGGGCTCCTGAGTCCAAGGCAGGAGCTGGGGTCTGGGGTACTAGCTCTGGGGAAGTACCCGTGTGCCACACCTCTATTCTGGAATCCTCTCAGACATGAGACTGGTTTGCAGAGGTGGCAGATGCCCTGTGGGCATATCCTGCCAGCCCCGCTCCCTTCTGCTATTCATGGCACCCTAGGATAGGGGTGTGTGTGTCAGGAAGTGTCACCTAATCTGGAGGAGATTAGGTGATGAGAGGGAGCGACAGCTGGCGGTGGTGGGTGCCAATTCCCCTGGCCTGGATGGGGGAGGTGTGTGGTCAGCTGCCTGGCCAGAGAGGGGCAGCGTGGGGGTGGGCCACCATCTCTCCAGCCACAGCTGGGATAGGAGACCCCCCTTTCTTCTCCCCTCACTTTTCCCACCCTTTCTTAAACACCCCACCTCATTACTTGCCCCCTTCGCCACCACTCCCCACCAAGAAGGAGAATTGCTGGAAACCCACCCCCCGGCCAGAGCCCAGGTTCCGCCACCCAGCCCTCCCACAGCCACTCCCAGTAGCTAATCCTTTTTCCCTGTTACTCTCTCCTAGAATTTTGTAGCCACCTTGGCTAATGGGATGAGCCTCCAGCCGCCTCTTGAAGAAGTAAATATCCTTTTGTGAGACCCCTCCCCACCCTGACCTCCACATCAATATATCTTGCCACACATCTGGCCCTTTCTTGAGGTCTAACCATACCCCTCTTGCTTCAAACCAGTTTACCCCAGGCCCCCAGACACTTAGTAGCAACCCCTCCAGGTTCACAGCCCCCGCTGGCCTCCCCCAGTATCGCCGCTACTTCCTTAACTCCACCTCCAACCCCCCTTTGCCCTTCCCTGTGTCTGCCCCCATTTTCCTTCCCCTCCCCTCCCCAGCTGTGGGCTGAGCTAGAGACGGGGTCAGAGAGACTGGAGAGATGGTAGGCGTGGCTGAGGTATCGGGGTGCTCCCCTGGATGGTGCTCTGGGGGGGTCCTGGAAGTGGAAAATGGGGTTGTTAGGTTTTGGGGTTCCTGGGGGGGCAAGATGGCAGGCGGGGGCTGTAGGGTTGTCATGGTATGATTTTGGGGGTTCTATACTACTCTTCAGGGAAAAGTAGGGCGCTGGAGGTTTAAGAGGCTGTGGGGAGCCCCCAGATCTGACCCATGATCCCATCGGCCCCCTCCCAGGTGTCCTGTGGCCAGGCGGAAAGCAGTGAGAAGCCCAACGCTGAGGACATGACATCCAAAGATTACTACTTTGACTCCTACGCACACTTTGGCATCCACGAGGTCAGTGGGGACAGTCCCCAAGGCCCCAATCTTAGGGGGGCTTAAATGTTGGGGAAGGGGTGGAACCTGTTTTCCCACGCATGCGCACTGCTTCCCCTGGCCGCAGGCCGCCCCCCTGCCCCTCTGCTGCGCACTTCCTAGGGTCGCCTCGCCAAGCCGTTGCCTTGGAGACCGAGGTTAGCCTGAATCTCTGCAGGGGCCTCGCGCCGAAGGCTGGGGTGGGAGAGCGCATGCGTGCCTGGGGCCTTAGCCAGAGGTCGGGCAGGGCCCACTGGTCTCTGCCGCCCTCTAGTGACCGGCGGTGGGACTGCGCCCCGGCTGCTCCCGCCCTAACAGCTTCTGCACACTTCAGATCTGACTGAAGACACTGAAATCCCAGAACGAAGCTGGGGTGGCATTCTAAGGAATTTTCTTTTCCCCCTGAGGCCTTTTTCATAAAATTGTGGCAAAATATGCATAAAATTGCCATTTTTTATTTTTAGAGACGGTCTCGCTCTGTCGCCCAGGCTAGAGTGCATTGGTGCAATCATGGCTCACTGCAGCCTCGACCTCCCCGGCTCAGGTGATCCCCCCACTTCCACTTTCGGAGTAGCTGGGACCACAGGCGCGCGCCACCACGCCCAGCTGATGTTCTTATTTTTCTGTAGAGATAATCTTGCCTTGTTGCCCAGGCTGGTCTCAAACTCTTGGGATCAAGTGATCCTCCGGCTTTGGCCTCCTGAGGTGCTGGGATTACAGGCGTGAGCCACCGCTCCCAGCCTGAGGACTTTTAAAAGCCAGGGTTCACTGGTTCTTAGGTAGCAGTGGTGAAGTCCGGCCAAGATTGGAGTTTAGACCATCTAATCTGATTTTTTAAAAAGGGAAACTGGCTGGGCGCAGTGGTTCACGCCTGTAATCCCAGCACTTTAGGGGGCTGAGGTGGGTGGATCACCTGAGGTCAGGAGTTGAAGACCAACCTGGGCAATATGGTGAAACCCCATCTGTATGAAAAATACAAAAATTAGCCGGGCATGGTGGTGTGCACCTATAATCTCAGCTACTTGGGAGGCTGAGGCAGGAGAATCACTTGAACCCAGGAGGCGGAGGTTGCAGTGAGCTGAGATTGCACCATTGCACTCCAGCCTGGGCAACAGAGTGAGATTCCATCTCAAAAAATAAAATAAAATAAAAATAAATAAATGAATAAATATAAAAGGGAAACTGAGGTGCATGGAAGAAAGCGAGAGGGCCGAGCTCTGGCCCTCCGAGCTCTCAGGACACGCTGTTCTCCAGCTGGGGATATGGGGCCCCTCACGGCGTCTCTGTGCCATTCTTGCCCTAGGAGATGCTGAAGGACGAGGTGCGCACCCTCACTTACCGCAACTCCATGTTTCATAACCGGCACCTCTTCAAGGACAAGGTGGTGCTGGACGTCGGCTCGGGCACCGGCATCCTCTGCATGTTTGCTGCCAAGGCCGGGGCCCGCAAGGTCATCGGGGTGAGTCTCCAGGGTGGCCAGGCGGGGCCGGGCCTGAGGGATGGAGGGGAGCCCATCAGGGCTCAGGGATTGGATGGAGGTGATGGGGGCAGGGGATGGGTCTCACCCTCCCTTCTTCCTGGGCCCTCAGATCGAGTGTTCCAGTATCTCTGATTATGCGGTGAAGATCGTCAAAGCCAACAAGTTAGACCACGGTGAGCCCAGAAAGAGGATGGGTTTGTGGGAGTGGAGGGGGTGATGCCCTGCTTCCCCAGGGCCCTCTGAAGAGCAGTGGGGTCTACAGATGACCACAGATTCAGCAGCTCCCAACCCATGGTCTTTTGGGCTGCCGGCCGCCTGAGAATCTGAGTGTCAAAATCACAGGCTTAGCACCGCAGTCTTAAAATTAGGGCAAGAAGCACTCTCTAGTTTCTTGAATGAGTAATAGAGTCACGTGGTTGGCCACGGAAGGCCCACAGTGAGAAGCCTTCCCTGTTTCCCAGCTGCCCTCCTCTGAGTTTAACCAACACTAACTTCCAGAGAAGTCTGGACCTACAAACACATACATACGTAAATGCATTTACATTCTCGTGCATAATTTTCACGCCAGTAGCATTTCATACCAGCCTCTTGCCCTTGGCTTCTTACACCTGCTTGTCATGTCGTTTAACACTTTCCAGGATGTTGCGGCATCCGCTCTTTTGCATGACCACCATCATAGGTACATCCCCAGCATTTTTTTTTTTTTTTTTTTTTTTTTGAGATGGAGTCTCACTCTTTTGCCAGGCTGGAGGGCAGTGGCACGATCTCAGCTCACTGCAAGCTCCGCCTCCTGGGTTCAAGTGATTCTCCTGCCTCAGCCTCCCAATTAGCTGGGATTACAGGCGCCAGCCACCACGCCCGGCTAATTTTTTTGTTTTTTTAGTAGAGACGGGGTTTCACCGTGTTAGCCAGGATGGTCTCGATCTCCTGACCTCGTGATCTGCCTGCTTGCCTTGGCCTCCCAAAGTGCTGGGATTACAGGTGTGAACTTTTTTTTTTTTTGTATTTTTTTAGTTGAGACATGGTTTCACCATGTTGGCCAGGCTGGTCTTGAACTCCTGACCTCAGGTGATCCATCCACTTTGGCCTCCCAAAGTGCTGAGATTACAGGCGTGAGCCACCGTGCCATCCTGAAGTGATTTTTAAAAAGAGATTATTATAATGAACGCACGAGTCCATTTGAAGCAAATTCCCACTGTGATGTAATTTTCCCGGTAAATGCGTCTGCTTGTGTCTTATCTAATAGATAAAGGCTGTTTTGAGAATGTGATCATGCTGTTACTTATTATATCAAAACCACCCAGTTAAAAACAAAATCGCGGCCGGGCACAGTGGCTCACGCCTGTAATCCCAACATTTTGGGAGGCCGAGGCGGGCGGATCGTGAGGTCAGGAGATCAAGACCATCCTGGCCAACACGGTGACACCCTGTCTCTACTAAAAATACAAAAAATTAGCCGGACTTGGTGGCTGGCACCTGTAGTCCCAGCTACTCGGGAGGCTGAAGCAGGAGAATGGCGTGAACCCGGGAGGCGGAGGTTGCAGTGAGCTGAGATCACGCCACTGCACTCCAGCCTGGGTGACAGAGCAAGACTCCGTCTCAAAAAAAAAAAAAAAAAAAAAGTAACATCACCTGATACCCAGTCCACATAAAATTTCTGCTCCTGCCTCAAAAATGTCCAGAACGATGTATGAATTTTAAAACTGTTAGAAGGGTTCATGGCTTCTGCTCACGCAGTTCTCTGAACTGAAGTGGGGTCCCCAGGCTCTAGCCCCCGGGGGAGGTGAGGTGAGGGGCAGGCCTCCCGGGGGCTGACGTGGCCACCCTTGTCCGCCCGCAGTGGTGACCATCATCAAGGGGAAGGTGGAGGAGGTGGAGCTCCCAGTGGAGAAGGTGGACATCATCATCAGCGAGTGGATGGGCTACTGCCTCTTCTACGAGTCCATGCTCAACACCGTGCTCTATGCCCGGGACAAGTGGCTGGTGAGGCCCCAGCGGGACGGGTGCAGCTCGCGTGGGCTGGGGTCCAGGTAGAAGACGAAAACCACGCTCAATTTTTCCCACAGACGGGACTTACTGTGGGGGCTTAGCTGCAAGGTGTTAGAAAGCCACAGCCCAAGCCAGGTGTGACAGACCCTGGAGGGAGATGGTGCGATGTGGGGGAGGTCGTAGGAACAGGAAATCCGTAGCGGCGCAATAGCCCAGGTCCTTAGGCCCCAGCAGGCCTCCCCGGGAGAGGTGAGGTGACGGAGAGGTGGATGAAGCATACGGAGGGGCAGCCAGGGCAGGTGTGCCCTTGCTGCGTGTGGAACAGCAGGGAGGCCCGTGTGGAAGGAGGGTCTAGAACGGCAGCAGGAGGAGGAGTGGAGGTGAGGGGTGACAGGGCGTGTGCAGATTTTGTGGAGGCTTATGGGACCCCGTGCTTTTCCTCTCAGAGCAGCTAGGGAGGGTCTGAGGATCCCCAGAACCTCCAAGGGCCGGGAGCTGACTGGGGTGCCCCTGGGTGCCCTCTGGCGGCCGTGTGGGAAATAGACCAGGGGGCGAGGGGTGAGTGCCGCTGCGACATGAGGGTGGCCCAGACCAGGGCAGGAGGCCACATCTTGGAGGCAAGACTCAGGGTAGTGTTGCCAGGCCCCACCCTTCATGCCTCGCCCTGCCCCTCTGTAGGCGCCCGATGGCCTCATCTTCCCAGACCGGGCCACGCTGTATGTGACGGCCATCGAGGACCGGCAGTACAAAGACTACAAGATCCACTGTGAGCGCGGCCCGGGAGCTGGCGGGCGGGGCCTCGGGTGGGCTGCTGCGGGCTCACCCCCTCCCTGCCTGCCTCCCCAGGGTGGGAGAACGTGTATGGCTTCGACATGTCTTGCATCAAAGATGTGGCCATTAAGGAGCCCCTAGTGGATGTCGTGGACCCCAAACAGCTGGTCACCAACGCCTGCCTCATAAAGGTGAGGGGGTGGGCATGGCCAGGTGCCCCCTGGGTTGAAACCAAAGAGAGGCCATCACCTGGCCCTGGCATGGGACTTTGGGGCCCAGAATGTTGGCCTGAGGTCTCAGAGCCTGATCTGCCAGCCAGAGGTGGTGCTAGAGGCCCAGGAAAGACACTTCGTCCTTTAAATATCTTTGTGAGCGCTGCTGTGTGAGAACCATGCTTGGCACTTGGCTTCTGGCGGAGGAAACACCCAAAGCTGGCAGCTAAAGCCCACAGCCCATGCACGGAAAGGCAGGACCCCAGGGCGATGAGCGGATGCACATGCACGCGGGCCACTGCAGAAGAGCACGGGGCCAGGCTGGGCTCCGAGATGTGCCTGAGGTCCCAGCTACTCGGGAGGATCACTTGGGCCTGGGAGTTCAAGGCTGCAGTGAGCTGTGATCACATCACTGCACTCCAGCTTTGGTGACAATGTTTTGTTTTGTTTTTTCCTTTTGTTTTTTTTTACTTCTGAGACCCTGTTTAAAAAAAAAAAATACGGCGATGAGTATTTGTTGAGCTGGGATGTGTGAGCCGGGTGAAGCTGGGTGGCTGACCGGGGGATCCTGTCGGGGAGGAGTAAGTTGTTGAGTGGGGGAGGAGAGGAGACTACAGGGGCAGGGACCCCACTCGGGCCACCCTCCTGAGAGCCAGGGGAACTGGCGCAGGGTTTAGGTTGGCATTTGTGTTGCCGTTTGAAGCCATCATGTTGTTGGACTTGTCAAGGGGTTGGGGAGACAGTGGAGTGGGGCGCCTGCATTCTAGGAGGTCTGGACAGAGTTAGGGTGGCACTGCCAGGTTTGGGTGTTGGAGAGGAGGGAGCAAGGAATCTGGGCTCGAACCCACATGGTTTATTGGGAGCCGGATAGGCAGGATGCAGAGTGAAGGAGGAGCCGAGGCTGGGTGCCAGTGAGGGAGGGCTAGCAGGAAGGGGACAGCGAGGTCACAGGCCCTCTGGGAGCTTAAGGGAGGGAGGAGGGGATGAAGCGAGGTGGGGACGCATCCCGGAGCTCGCCCTCTCATGTCCTGCAGGAGGTGGACATCTATACCGTCAAGGTGGAAGACCTGACCTTCACCTCCCCGTTCTGCCTGCAAGTGAAGCGGAATGACTACGTGCACGCCCTGGTGGCCTACTTCAACATCGAGTTCACACGCTGCCACAAGAGGACCGGCTTCTCCACCAGTGAGGCGGGGCCCACAGGGCTGGGGGCCGTTCCCGAGCCAGGGCGGAGGCGCACCCACGTAGTGGAGGGGGTGACAGAAACGGGCAGAAGGAACCATGGGGACACGCGTGTTCCAGTGTGAGCTCTGCCATGTAGCAGTCACGTGGCCTTGGGCAAGTGACCTGAGTGTGCAGTGCCTCAGTTTCCTCATCCACAAAAGGCTGACACGGTCCCTGTCTCCAAAGCTCAATGACAGGGAGGTGACTCGCGGATAGCAGTCCCATCAGCTGTCATGGGGGTGGGCATTCCGACAGAGGGAACGCAAGGGTGGGGTTGGGGGGGGCAGCAGGCCGAGGCCGGCTGACCCGCCCGCGCCCCCAGGCCCCGAGTCCCCGTACACGCACTGGAAGCAGACGGTGTTCTACATGGAGGACTACCTGACCGTGAAGACGGGCGAGGAGATCTTCGGCACCATCGGCATGCGGCCCAACGCCAAGAACAACGTGAGGCTCCGGGCAGCTGGGTGGGAGGGTGGCAGCTAGGGCGGGGAGTGTAGATTGGGGGGGGAGTGGTGGGGGAGGAATGGTGGCAGCGGGGGTAGGGGATGGGGGCAGCCGGGGTGGGGGATGGGGGCAGCTGGCGGGGGCGAGCACCTCTGCCTATTCCCGGGTCCCCAAGCCCCTCAGCCCCATGCCTGTCTACACAGCAGGATTGCTTGAGCATTCACCGGAAGTTATGGGCCTGGGGACCCAGGCTGAAACCCTGCCCTCCTGGTGCTTCCACTCTAGACAAGGGGGTCAGTGACATGGTGATGCCAGTTGGAGGTGACCTCTGTCAGGCTGGGAGCAGGGCAGACAGGTGTTGGTGTAGGTGGGCTCCAGGGCAAGAGGCAGCCCCCAGTAGAGTGCACGGGGTTTTCTAGCCCAGCTGGGAGGCATGAGAGGAGAAAGGCAGCTTTTTGTTTTCTGCTCCCCTTTCTTTTTCCTCCTGAGCACTTGGCAGGAGCTGCCATCACCTGAGATCAGGGGGCTTCCGGGGGAGCTGGGGGGGCTTCTCGGAGACAGGGTCTGGGCAGAGATCCAGTGTGGTGGGTCTGAGCAGGCAGGAGGATGGAAGGCTTGGAGCCTGGAGTCGCCGGGAGTGGTCTGGGTTGGAAAAGTGGGTCCCGGCCGATGGGTGCGAGGGTGGGTGGCACTCAGGGTAGTCATGGAATGTGGACCCTGGGACACCCACGAGCCTGTGACAGCAGCAGTTGTCAACTGGGCAGTTTTACTGCCCCCTCCGCTCCCCGCCCCCCCCCAGGACGTTTGCCACCGTCTGTGGAAACATTTGTGGTTGTCACTCCGGAGAAGGGGTGGTCCTGGCATCTGGTAGGTAGGGGCCAGGGGGCTGGTAAATGTCCTGCAGCCACAGGACCACCCCCTACAAAGACTCATGCAGCCCCCGGGACCACGGCACTAGCTGGGAAACGGATACTGGAGAGGGAGGAGGAGTCCTCGGGCGTTGGTGACTTTGTCTCATCTTCATGTGCTGGAGGGTATGGGGGGAGGAGAGGAAGTGGAGACAGCAGGCTGGACCATTGTGTTTCACTGGAACGTTTGCCTGAGGAGGAAGTGGGCTTGGGAGAGGTTTTCTTTTTTATGAAAGAAGCAATCACTGCATTGCTGATGGGAATCATCCTGATGGAGAAATCCAAGGGCAAGGGACAGCAGCTGGGCTCTACTCCTGAGTGAGTCTAGTGGGCTTGGGGGTGTCCATGTGGTGCTGTCCCTTGGCAGGGTCAGGGCAGCTGCTAGGGTGGGACCAGCAGTTGGGGTCTGCAGCGTGGAGATGGGCAGGAAGCTGGAGCCCGGCTCATCGTCGCATAGCCTGCCTGCACCCGCCCCCCGCCACCACCTCCTGGTGGGTTCCGCCCTCATGCCCCACCTCTCCCTGCAGCGGGACCTGGACTTCACCATCGACCTGGACTTCAAGGGCCAGCTGTGCGAGCTGTCCTGCTCCACCGACTACCGGATGCGCTGAGGCCCGGCTCTCCCGCCCTGCACGAGCCCAGGGGCTGAGCGTTCCTAGGCGGTTTCGGGGCTCCCCCTTCCTCTCCCTCCCTCCCGCAGAAGGGGGTTTTAGGGGCCTGGGCTGGGGGGATGGGGAGGGCACATCGTGACTGTGTTTTTCATAACTTATGTTTTTATATGGTTGCATTTACGCCAATAAATCCTCAGCTGGGGTCTGGCTTTGTTTCCTGGGGGCAAAGGAGGTTTGGGGTTCCTTTCGCAGGTACTGCAGTGCCAGCCTCAGCAGTGGGGGGACCGGCCTTGGCACCTGCTGGTGGCTGCCATTCTGTGGATCTGCGTCTCCCGTCCCCCGTCTCTAGGCCTCTTGCTCCCCTTCCTTGGTTCCTTCTCGGGGTCCCTGTCCTCCACAGCTGTCTCTCAGGGTCTTTGTCCAACTCTTTTCATCCCTCTCCTGGGTCTGCGCCCCTCCCCTCTGCGGTACCCGTGTCCTGCCTAGTAGGGGATGGGGGTGGCTTTCCAGCACAGCCAGCCCTCAAGTTTCCCAGAACAGTCTCCCCACCTCCCCCCAACACTCGACATTGTTCCTCTCTGGCTGTTTTTTCCTGTTCGGGTCCCTTCAAGGCCCAACTGTGCCCAGCCCTCTGCAGCTGGGGACACTGAGTGGGTTGGGGGTGTATGTTTGCAAGGATAGAATTTCTCATGGGGGAGTGGCCCTGCTTCCTCCCCTAGAATGGCTTGGGGCTTAGGGCTGGGGACTTGCCCTCCATGGAGGTCAGTGGGAGTTGCAGCTGTAAGGTGGCAGGGCCTACCCATCTTACAGAGGTGAAGACGAGGTCCCTCTGCCTCTGCTGCAGACATGGCGTCTGCACCCACCCTTCCACCCTCAGGGCCTGGCCACGGGGTCCTGGGTCCCCCACAATACTGTGCACTCGACCTGGTTGACCCAGGACACCCTCCTCGTTGAACAGCCCTGGCTACACCTGCTTCAGTGCAACTGGAGCCCTCACCGGCGAGTGCCTGACACCTCGGCCTTTTCTCTTCCGGAGGGGCGCTCCTCAGTGTGTTTGGGGTCTCCCTCGCTCCACGCCCTCCAGGGGGCCGCATGTGCACTTGCCCTGCATTGCCTGGCCCCCGAGGTTCCAGGGTCCCAACTGTCTACTAACCGGCTTCCCGACAGGGTGAGGGTGAGGTCGCATCTACAACCAGAGCCAGCGCTTCCCCGCCGCCACCCCTTTTCTTGGAATCCCGCTGCTTAGCTACCTGCGGGTGTCATTGGCCCCGCCCCATTTCCCCACGCTTTGAAGGGGGCGAGTCTCCACAGACCTCCTAGGGGGATAGACAGCAGCTGGTGTGACCCCACACACCCAGTGAGGTCTCTGGAGCCGCGGTGCGGGAAGCGGGGACCCGGGTTTGAATCCTGCCCCTCTGGTGTGGTGCGGCCTCTTCCCACAGACTTTTGGCCTCAGTGTTCCCCGCCTGGGAAGTGGGGACTGGCCCTGGTACCTGGCTCCAGAGCTGCACCCAGAGGCGATCAGCCCGGTGCGGGAACGGGGCGGGGTGGCCGCAACTACGGGCCACGGATCCTGACCCGCCCTGCCCACGATGACTATCCACATCCTCATCCTGCTGTTGCTCCTCGCCTTCTCCGCCCAAGGGGACCTGGACACTGCAGCCAGGTGAGAAACCCGGGTGGCAGCAGGGACAGGGCGGGAGGGAGACCGTAAAGGGCGAGCGCCCTCTCCCGGCCGCGGAACGGGCAGGTGATCTGTAAGCCTCCCCGCTGGTCTTGGAGTGCTTGGGTGCCCACCTCCATCACGCTCCATCTCTCAATTCGGTTTGAACCCGGTTTTCTCCCACGCTCCCTCTCCAGGCGAGGCCAGCACCAGGTCCCCCAGCACCGCGGGCACGTCTGCTACCTGGGCGTATGCCGGACCCACCGCCTGGCGGAGATCATATACTGGATTCGCTGTCTCCACCAAGGAGCCCTCGGGGAAGGCCAGCCACGAGCCCCAGGACCCCTACAGCTATGGGCGCCGCCGGTGGCGCGAGGCGGAAGCCCGGCTCGGTTCCCAGGATTCCGGCCTGCAGCGAGGGGGCTAGCGCAGTGCCCAGCTCGCTGGGTGACCTCGGGCACGGCTCGTCCCCTCCTCGGCTTCAGTTTGCCTATCTGTATGTTGGAGCTTCTACTCCACATTTCTTCTCCCCTAACTCCAGCCCCTGAAACCGTCTTCCCCAGTCCCTCCCCGGGCTGCGACTAGGTTGGACCTAGAAGCACACGGGACCAGGCTGGGCGAAGAACACTGACGCCCAGAGCCGAATAAACAAGAGTTCCGTGTTTCAGTCTCTGCTTCTCTGTACCTATTTCGACCTCTCAGTCGAGGCTGGGTCTCTAATATACCTTTCTCTATTAGCCATGCTGCTTCTCCCTCACGGAAGTCCCACTGTCTACCTTGAATCCAACCCGCTGTGGCGCCTTTCTTGCCAACTCAATCCATGCACCTTCCGTGGGTGGTTTTGGCGGGCCGTCCTGACCCCCAAACATCCCTCCTCCCTCCCTGGCGTGAAAGGGCTGAGATTTGCTCCGGCACCCTACGCGCCTGACGTTATAATGCACCTGGGGTGGGCTGCGACCTCCCAGCTGAGCCTTGTTCCTCGAAGAGACAGGAGACTAAGAGACAATGAGCTGAGTGAGGAGCCCAGGAACCCGGGTTCCGAACAGCTGCGTAGAATGCGAGCGGCCAAATGGTGGAGAATCTGGCCGGGTAAAAGGAGACGGAGGACTGGGGATCGAACGGATGTAGGGGATTGGACGCCGTGGCTCGAAGGGGGCGGGGATAGAACGCGGGGATTGGAAGGAGGCGGGGATAAAACCCGGGACCTGAATACCCGGCTAGGGACACGAGAGAGAGGAATCGGGGTTTCTGGGTGACGGTGATCTCGGGGTGGGCAGGACTCCAAAGGCCCGTCGACCCGGTGGTGGACTCCTTGCACTGGGATTGGACATATGCAAGCGGGAGATTTGGGGCCGGCGCTCAAAATCGGGGGGCGGGGGTGGACTCGGGTTTGGACCCCAGGATCCGATCAGCGGACCCTTGATTCAACGTGGTAAGTACTGGACCCCAGGGGCTCGGGCTCCGGCGGGGCCTGGAGTCCTGTGTCTAGGGTTGGGCGTGCAAGCCTCTCCATCACTTGTCCTCGACGCTCGCCTCCGCTCACAGCCTCAGCATCCCAGGCTGCGAGGCATGCGCAGTGGGTGCTTCCTTCCCCATTCCCTCCAGCACGGGCGGGGGGAGGGGACGCTGAGCGGATGAATTTATAGACACCATCCCCCTCGCCTTGGCATGAAAAGCGGCAATGGGGTGGACAGCGTCAATGTCTAACAGGTGTTTGTTTCATATGGGTCTAAAACTAATGCTTTTCTCAAGACCCCGCAACTCAGCCTGGACCAGTTTCCCTCCTCCACCCACCCCCGAATCTTGAGAATCCTGTACTGGGGGGAGGGCACTGCCCCCGCACCATGTTCTTGGGAGAGCAGGTAAAGGGGTTAACGCGAGCTATCCCTCTGGCCTCTCTATGCGTTCCCAGAGGTCCCGAATTGACGTCCTTCCCTCAAAACCTCCGGGTCTACAAACCAGGACCCTCAAGACCCTTCAGGTGCTTAGAGAAGGATGAGCTAGGTTATGTAGTCCTGGGTCGGCGCAAAAAGGCAGCTGAAAGCGTGAGATCCCGGGTCTGAGGGAGGAGGGGCTGGGGCCTGGGCTTCTGGGTCTGAGGGAGGAGGGGCTGGGGGCCTGGACTCCTGGATCTGAGAGAGGAGGGGCTGGGGCCTGGGCTTCTGGGTCTGAGGGAGGAGGGGCTGGGGGCCTGGACTCCTGGATCTGAGAGAGGAGGGACTGGGGCCTGGACTCCTGGGTATGAAGGAGGAGGAGGGGCTGGGGGCCTGGACTCCTGAGTCTGAGGGCGGAGGGGCTGGGGTCCTGAAGTATGACTCTGCCCGACTCAGGGCTCCAGCGTGACATGGCTGAAGCGCACCAGGCCGTGGGCTTCCGACCCTCGCTGACCTCGGACGGGGCTGAAGTGGAACTCAGTGCCCCTGTGCTGCAGGAGATCTACCTCTCTGGCCTGCGCTCCTGGAAAAGGCATCTCTCACGTTTCTGGGTGAGGAGCGGTGCTGGTCGGTTTCCTTCCGGGGATCCAGGTTTCTGCTTCCGGGATGTCTGAGGCTCACTTCCGGCATTTCAGCTGGTTCATTTCTGGGAGACTATCACCCCTTTTTCTTAGAATTTTGATGTCTGCTCCCAGGACCCCTTTAGCAATTTCTCCGTGGCTCACTTCTGGGATCCACAGCCCCACCTGCTGAGAACCTCTGCTCACTTCTTTCACCCAAGAGGGGAACTGGGCCCCCCAAAAACTACCCACTTCCAGTTTCTAGAACTCCATATCCTTCCCTTATGGTGAAATTATCATTTCTTCCTTTCATCTCCAGCTTCTTTTGTAGTTGTTGTTTCTGAGACACAGTCTCACTCTGTCGCCCAGGCTGGAGTGCAGTGGCGGGATCTCAGCTCACTGCAACCTCCGCCTCCTGGGTTCAAGCAATTCCCTGCCTCAGCCTCCCAGGTAGCCGGGATTATTGGCGCACGCCACCATGCCTGGCTTATTTATTTATTTATTTATGAGACAGAGTCTCACTCTGTTGCCCAGACTGGAATGCAGTGGGGTGATCTTGGCTCACTGCAACCACCTCCCAGGTTCAAGCGATTCTCCTGCCTCAGCCTCCCGAGTAGCTGGGATTACAGGCATGGATTATACGCCCAGCTAATTTTTGTATTTTTAGTAGAGACGGGGTTTCAACATGTTGGCCAGGCTAATCTCGATCTCCTGACCTCAAGTGATCTGCCTCCCAAAGCGCTTGGGTTACAGGAATGAGCCACCGCGCCCGGCCCAAACTCCTGCTCTGTCCCTGTTCTGGAATGCGCATGCCCAATGTGTAACCAGCACCCATGTCTGTCCCAGGGTTTCTGGTTCTAGAACTCTTGCACTGTCTCCATACAGGGACTCCCTGCTTGTCACATCCTCTGTGTGTGAACTGGGGTCTGGAACACCTGTGGGGTCATGATTGAGTTTGAATCCTGACTCCACCGCTTAGTAGCTGTGTCATCTTGGGCAAGCACCTCTCTTGGAGTCGCAGTTTCCCCTCGTGGAAAACATGGGTGTTGACAGCACCTCCCTCACAGGATAGCCTTGAAGACTAAATTAATTCTTCTATGTCCTGGCCCATGGCGAGGTCTGAGTGTTAGCTTCTGATATTGTTCTTCATTCATTCACCATATATTTATGGGGCATCCGGTAAGGGCCTGGCCCTCTTTAGCATGGAGAACACAGCAGATATCAACAGACAGAATCACGCCTGGGCACTGCGGGCTCACGGCTTTAATCCCAGCACTTTGGGAGGCTGAGGCAGGAGGATCACTTGAGCCCAGGACTTGGACACCAGCCTGGACAACATAGGGAGACCCCATCTCTATTAAAAAAATAAAGACAGGTCGGGCACGGTGGCTCATGCCTGTAATCCCAACACTTTGGGAGGCTGAGACGGACGGATCATGAGGTCAGGAGATCGAGACCCTTCTGGCTAACACGGTGAAACCCCGTTTCTACTAAAAATACACACACACACAAATTAGCCTGGTGTGGTAGTGGGTGCCTGTAGTTCCAATTACTCAGGAGGCTGAGGCAGGAGAATGGCGTGAATCCGGGAGGCGGAGCTTGCAGTGAGCCAAGATGGCGCCACTGCACTCCAGCCTGGGCGACAGAGCGAGACTCCGTCTCAAAAAAAAATAAAATAAAATAAAAAATAAATAAATAAATAAATAAATAAATAAATAAATAATAAAGACAGAATCCTGCTTTTATAGAGTTCTCATTCGAGTTGGGGGAGAAGGCAATAAAACAGATGAGCAAAACAGAAGGCAATAAAACAGATGAGCAAAATATAGGGTATGGTGACATTCTATAGTGTCATCTGATATTGATGGTGACACATGCTATGGTGAATGATAAATCGGGTAGAGAAGAGTGATGTGGGGGTGTTGCAGTTAAATAAGGGGGTGGCAGGCCAGGTGCGGTGGCTCACGCCTGTAATCCCAGCACTTTGGGAAGCCAAGGCAGACAGATCACGAAGTCAGGAGTTCAAGACCAGCCTGGCCAATATAGTGAAACCCCATCTCTACTAAAAATACAAAAATTAGCCGGGTGTGGTGGCAGGCACCTGTAATCACAGCTACCTGGGAGGCTGAGGCAGAAGAATCACTTGAATCCAGGAGGCAGAGATTGCAGTGAGCCAAGATTGCGCCACTGCACTCCAGCCTGGGTGACAGAGCAAGACTCCGTTTCAAAAAAAAAAAAAAAAAAGGGGGTGGGAGCCGGCGGCCAGGAGGATCTCCTGAAGCTGGGATGCTTCAGCAGGCTAAACTGAACCTCTGTGGTCTTGTTGGTTGTATAATCTGTTCCAGTTGGCAAACAGCCACTGCCTTGAACTCCGAATCCCTCTCCCGCCCTTACCCTGGGACTCCTTGGGCCTCAGGCCAGTCTACCAACTAAAGTGTTAACATGTGACCATCCTTGGCCAGGCATGGTGGCTCACGCCTCTAATCCCAGCACTTTGGGAGGCCGAGGCGGGCAGATCACGAGGTCAGGAGATCAAGACCATCCTAGCTAACACAGTGAAACTCCGTCTCTACTAAACATACAAAAAAATTAGCTGGGCGTGGTGGCAGTCACCTGTAGTCCCAGCTACTTGGGAGGCTGAGGCAGGAGAATGGCGTGAACCCAGGAGGCGGAGCTTGCAGTGAGCCGAGATCGTGCCACTGCACTCCAGCCTGGGCAACAAAGCGAGACTCCGTCTCAAAAAAAAACAAACATGTGGCCATCCTTTTCGTGTGTTTAAATACATACATACATAGATACATACATATTTATAGACCTATAAATATATACATGCACACACATATATATGATAACATTACATGGAGAAAAATGCACAATTTTTTTTTTTTTTTTTTTTTTGAGACGGAGTTTTGTTCTTGTTGCCCAGGCTGGATTGCAATGGCATGATCTTGGCTCACTCCAATTTCCGCCTCATGGGTTCAAGCTATTCTCCTTCCTCAGCTTCCCAAGTAGCTGAGATTACAGGTGCCTGCCACCAGGCCCGGCTAATTTTTTGTATTTTTAGTATAGACAGGGTTTCACCATGTTGGCCAGGATGATCTCGAACTCCTGATCTCAGGTGATCCACCCGCCTTGGCCTCTCAGAGTGCTGGGACTACAGGCATGATCCACTGCACCTGGCCTTTTTTTTTTTTTTTTTTTTTGACATGGAGTCAGTCTGTTGCCAGGCTGGAGTGCAGTGGCGTGATCTCGACTTACTGCAACCTCTGCCTCCTGGGTTCAAGTGATTCTCCTGCCTCAGCCTCCAAGTAGCTAGGACTACAGGCGTGTGCCACCACGCCAAGCTAATTTTGTATTTTTAGTAGAGACGGGGTTTCACCATGTTGGCCAGGATGGTCTCGATCTCTTGACCTCGTGATCCGCCCACCTTGGCCTCCCAAAGCACTGGGATTACACGCATAAGCCATTGCCCCTGGCCTTTTTTTTGAGACAGCGTCTCACTCTGTTGCTGTTGCCCAGGCTGGAGTGCAATAGCAGGATCTTGGCTCACTGCAACCTCCATCTCCTGGGTTTAAGCAATTTTTCTGCCTTAGCCTCCTGAGTAGCTGGGATTATAGGTTCCCACCACCACGCCTGGCTAATTTTTGTATTTTTAGTAGAGATGGGGTTTTGCCATGTTGGCCAGGCTGGTCTGGAATGCCTGACCTCAGGTGATCCACCCGCCTAGGCCTCCCAAAGTGCTGGGATTACAGGCATGAGCTACTGCGCCCGGCCAAACCCCAGTGTTTTCATTTGTAAAATGAGATCATCTTAGTACTTATTTCACATGGTTTGGGGAGGATTTAAATTGTTAATCCTTGTAAATGGCACCTGGAATGTAGTAAGTGCTCATTAAACGTTAGTTATCTCTCTGAGGCTTCCAAAGGAGTTTAGTTAGTAACGCAGTGCTGTTGGTCGTTCCTCATTCATTCCATGCCCTGGTACTTCTAGAAGGCCTTACTGAGCTCCAGACCCTGCTCTGAATAGGGATCATTTTTCTTTTTCTTTTCTTTTCTTTTTTTTTTTTTTTTTTGAGACAGGGTCTTACTTACTTTGTTACCCAGGCTGGAGTGCAGTGTCACCATCACAGCTCACTTCATCCCTGAACTCCTGGGCTCAAGCGATCCTCCTGCTTCAGCCTTCCAAGTAGCTGGGACTAAGGTGTGTGCCACTGCGCCTAATTTTTTTTTCTTTCTTTTTTTTTTTTTGGAGACCTTGTCTTGCTCTGTCACCCAGGCTGGAGTGCAGTAGCGTGATCTTGGATCACTGCAACCTCAGCCTCCCGGGCTCCAGCGATTCTCGTGCCTCAGTCTCCCAAGTAGTTGGGATTACAGGTGCCTGCCACCATGCCCGGCTAATTTTTGTATTTTTACTAGAGACGGATTTCACCATGTTGGCCAGGCCAGTCTTGAACTCCTGGCCTCAAGTGATCCGCCTGCCTCAGCCTCCCAAAGTGTTGGGATTACAGGCGTGAGCCACCGCTGGTCTTGAACTCCTGGGCTCAAGGGATTCTCCTCCTTGACCTCCCAAAGTGCTGAGTTTACAGGAGTGAGCCACCACATCCGGACTGTTCTGCCTTTGACAGCCTCCCCTTCCAGGTCCTGCCTCAGAATATCCTCCTCCAGGGAGCCCTCCCTGATGCCCTCGAACTGTAACTTGGCAGCACAGGGCTCCTCCTATTTCTTGCCCTATAGCAATTAATACTTACTTCATTCTGGTCTGACCTCGCTGAGGGCAGGACCTGGATCTCTCTGTTCCCTACTAGATCTTGAGCCTCCAGCTCAGGGCTCCGCACTGGGTGCTCAGTAATGTCTGGGGATGGCACAGAACAGGGGCTCAGAGGAGAGGGCAGATGATTCAATGGATGCCCTTTCCTCCCCACAGAATGACTTTCTCACCGGTGTGTTTCCTGCCAGCCCCCTCAGTTGGCTTTTCCTCTTCAGTGCCATCCAGCTTGCCTGGTTCCTCCAGCTGGATCCTTCCTTAGGACTGATGGAGAAGATCAAAGAGTTGCTGCCTGACTGGTGAGGTCCCCCCACTCCAGCCCAGTAACCCCCAATCACTCTCCCTTCACCCAGTAAGTTCCTCTGTCATTGTGGTGTACCTGCTAAAGAAAAGTAACCTCTGAGACTTACATTGGGTCAGATTAATAAAGGCATGGCATGAAGAAAAAGGAGGTGAGGCCGGGCACAGTGGCTCACCCCTGTAATCCCAGCACATTGGGCATTGGGAGGCTGAGGTGGGTGTATCGCTTGAGGTCAGGAGTTCGAGACCAGCCTGGCCAACATGGTGAAACCTTGTCTCTACTAAAAATACAAAAATTAGGCCAGGCATGGTGGCTCATGCCTGTAATCCCAGCACTTTGGAAGGCTGAGGCACGTGGATCAACTGAGATCAGGAGTTCAAGACCAGCCTGGCCAACAGGGTGAAACCCTGTCTCTACTAAAAATACAAAAAATTAGCTGGGCGTGGTGGCAGGAGCCTGTAATTCCAGCTACTAGGGAGGCTGAGGCAGGAGAATCGCTTGAACCCGGGAGGTGGAGGTTGCAGTGAGCCGAGATTGCGCCATTGCACTCCAGCTTGGGTGACAAGAGCGAAACTCCATCTCAAAAAAAAAAAAAAAAAAAAAAGGTGTGAGCTTTGCTGGGCACAGTGGCTCATGCCTGTAATCCCAGCACTTTTGGAGGCCAAGGCAGGAGGATCACTTGAGCCCAGGAGTTTGAGACCAACCTAAGCAACATGGTGAAACCCCGTCTCTACTAAAAATAACAAAAAATTAGCCAAGTGTGGTGTCACTTACCTGTGGTCCCAGCTACCCAGGAGGCTGAGGTGGAGATCACCTGAGCTCAGGAGGTCGAGGCTGCAGTGAGCTGAGATCATGCCACTGCATTGCAGCCTGGGCAACAGAGTGACACCCTGTCTCAAGAAAAAAGAAAAATAGCCAAGCATGGTGGTTTACACCTGTAATCCCAGCACTTTGGGAGGCCGAGGTGGCCAGATCACCTGAGGTCAGGAGTTTGAGACCAGCCTGGACAACATAGTGAAACCCCGTCTCTACTAAAAATACAAAAATTAGCCGGGTGTGGTGGTGCGCGCCTGTAGTCCCAGCTACTCAGGAGGCTAAGGCAGGATAATCACTTGAACCCGGGAGGCGGAGGTTGCGGTGAGTCGAAATTGTGCCACTGCACTTCAGCCTTGGTGACAGAGCGAGACTCTGTCTCAAAAAAAAAAAAAAAGTATGAGCTTTGCCCGTCTCTAGTCATGTAGTCTTAGGCAAGGATCTCATCGTTGTTGATTGTCAAGGCCTTCATCTGTAAAATGAGGTATGAATAATTGCTTCTTAGTGTGCTTGGAAGAATTAATCAAAATCCTGCCTGTCGGCGGGATGTGGTGACTCACACCTGTAATCCCAGCACTTTGGGAGGCTGAGGCGGGTGGATCACCTGAGGTCAGGAGCTTGAGACCAGTCTGGCCAACATGGTGAAACTCTGTCTCTACTAAAAATACAAAAATTAGCCGAGTGTGGTGGCAGGTGCTTGTAATCCCAGCTACTTGGGAGGCTGAGGCAGGAGAATTGTTTGAACCTGGGAGGCGGAGCTTGCAGTGAGGCGAGATCACGCCACTGCACTCCAGCCTGGGCGACAGAGAGAGACTCCGTCTCAATTAAAAGAAAAAAAAATCATGCCTGTCATATAGTCAGTAGAGTGCCAGGAGGTCCTCATGGGAGTGGCTGCATTATTTTTATTGAGTTATTGTGATCTTCAGGAAGGGTCTGAAAACTGGGTGCAGGTGAGATGTCAGGTCTAGTTCTCGGATGAGTCCTCCCGGGGAGGAAGGTCCACATTTTGTGCAGATGGCCCCAAAGAACAGACCCAGGATCAGATGTAGACAATTCCAAGACGGAGGCCGGGCACAGTGGCTCACACTTGTAATCCCAGCACTTCGGAGGGCTGAGGCAGGAGGCTTGAGCTCAGGAGTTGGAGACCAGCCTGGGCAACATAGAGACCCCTGTCTCTAAAAAAAAAAAAAAAAAAAAAAAAAAAAAAAAAATTCCTGGAACGCTAGATTTACCCCCAGTCTACAGAGGGAAAGTGATTTGACCCAAGTCCTCCAGGTGACATTTGCAAACTTTGCAAACAAACATGTTGATTTAATGTAGCTTTAGACCAGCTTTTCCTAAATTTAAGCTTGTATTGGAATCACCTGGATGGGTTGTTAAACCGCTGACTATGGCCAGGTGCTGTGGCTCACACCTGTTATCCCAGCACTTTGGGAGGCCCAAGTGGGTGGATCACCTAAGGTCAGGAGTTCGAGAGCCGCCTGGCCAATGTGGTGAAACCCTCTCTACTAAAAATGCAAAAAATTAGCTGGGCGTGGTGGCGGGCGCCTGCAGTCCCAGCTACTCGGGAGGCTGAGGTAGGAGAATTGCTTGAACCCAGGAGATGGAGGTTGCAGTGAGCCGAGATAGTGCCACTGCACTCCAGCCTGGGCGACAGAGTGAAACTCCATCTCAAAAACAAAACATGCCGGGCGTGGTGGCTCACGCCTGTAATCCCAGCACTTTGGGATGCCAAGGCAGGCGGATCACGAGGTCAGGAGATCAAGACCATCATGGCTAACACGGTGAAACCTCATCTCTACTAAAAATAACAACAAATAGCCGGGCGTGGTGGTGGGCACCTGTATTCCCAGCTACTCCGGAGGCTGAGGCAGGAGAATGGCGTGAACCCAGGAGGCGGAGCTTGCAGTGAGCCGAGATAGCACCACAGCACTCCAGCCTGGGCGACAGAGCGAGACTCCATCCCAAAAACAAAACAAAACAAAAAAAAAAACGCTGATTGCTGGACCCCACCCTGAGAGATTCTGGCTTGTTAGGTCTTAAAGGCGCCCAGGAATATGCATTTCGAACAAGCTCCCAGGCAGTGCTCCCAGGAGCCACAGTTTCAGAACTATTGCCTTAGAGTAGTGATAGCTGGAAGGAAAAAGTGTCCCCTCAATAGAAATAATGGCTGTCATTTATTAAACACCTACCAACTTCCATGGAAAGTGACTTTGGAAGCTTGGTGCTGCCACAATGGGAGGGGGCTGGAGGGGGTGACAGAGCTCACACCTACTAAAATGACAAAAATGGGTTTCTCTGTCTGACAGCCAAAAGATCAGCGCAGGGGCTGGAGGGGGCTGGAAGGGAGGGAGGTTCTGAGGCCAGGAGACCCAGGCCCAGCCTCTGTTTCTCTCCCCGCAGGGGTGGACAACACCACGGGCTCCGGGGGGTCCTGGCAGCCGCGCTGTTTGCCTCGTGTTTGTGGGGAGCCCTGATCTTCACACTGCACGTGGCCCTGAGGCTGCTTCTGTCCTACCACGGCTGGCTTCTTGAGCCCCACGGAGCCATGTCCTCCCCCACCAAGACCTGGCTGGTATGGGAGGGGCATAGCCCTGCTCAGGCTCTCCTGGGACCCGCTTATCTATTCCCCTCTCTCTGGGTCTCTGTCCCCCTCTCTCTGGGTCTCTGTCCCTCTCTCTCTGGGTCTCTTCCCCCTCTCTTTCTGGGTCTCTGTCCTCCTCTGTCCCTGGGTCTCTGTCCCCCTCTCTCTGGGTCTCTGTCCCCCTCTCTCTCTGTGTCTCCGTCCCCCCCTCTGGGTCTCTACCCCCGACTCTCTCTGGGTCTCTGCCCCCCTCTCTCTCTGGGTCTCTGTCCCCCTCTCTCTGGGTCTCTGTCCCCTGTCTCTGGGTCTCTGTTCCTTTCTCTCTTGGGGTCTCCGATGCTCTTAAGTCTCTGTGTCCTTCTCTTTGGGTTTCTGTCCCACTGTCGACCCCTGCCCCGTCAACTCCCTGGCTCCGGTGAGGGGTTAATGACCCGGTAACTCCTCCTCCCCAGGCCCTGGTCCGCATCTTCTCTGGCCGCCACCCGATGCTGTTCAGTTACCAGCGCTCCCTGCCACGCCAGCCCGTGCCCTCTGTGCAGGACACCGTGCGCAAGGTGGGCCTGGGAGCGCGCAGACGGGCTGGGGCGGCCGGGGCGGGCCGGGGGCGTGACCTGCCCTCTTCTCCCCTTTAGTACCTGGAGTCGGTCCGGCCCATCCTCTCCGACGAGGACTTCGACTGGACCGCGGTCCTGGCGCAGGAATTCCTGAGGCTGCAGGCGTCGCTGCTGCAGTGGTACCTGCGGCTCAAGTCCTGGTGGGCGTCCAATTATGTGAGTCCCGCCACCGCCACCAACGCCCCACCTGAAGGGCTAAGGTTGTGAGCTCGCCTGCTAAACTTGCGAGTTATACGCCCTGCCCCACGACACGCCCACAACCCACACGCCCCCAGCCCCCAAGGGTCAATACCCTGAGCCCCGCTCACATACATCTATATCCTAACCTCCACATTTATATATATATAAAAATATATATGTATATATATTTATTTATATATAAATATATAGTGTATATATAAATATATATATTTATTTATAAATATATATATTTATATTTATATACAAATATTAATATTTATAAATTTATATATAAATATATTTATATATAAATTTATAAATAAATATATAAATATTATAAATATATTAAATATATTTATTTATAAATTATAAATATATATTTATTTATAAATTATAAATATATATTTATTTATAAATTATAAATATATATTTATTTATAAATTATAAATATATATTTATTTATTTATAAATTATAAATAAATATATATTTATTTATAAATTATAAATAAATATATATTTATTTATATATAGGCTTATATATTTATTTATATATATATGCTCATAACATATATATGCTCTCTCTATATATTTAATGTTGAAGTTTGGGGTATAGATGCTCCAGTATTCTGAGCTTCACCCTTGATCTTCCAAAGTTTGAACCAGAATTCCAGGACTTAGCCCTGGTGCAATGTCTCACGCCTGTAATGCCAGCAGGTTGCGAGGCCAAGGCAGGCGGATCACGTGAGGTCAAGAGTTCAAGACCAGCCTGGCCAACATGGTGAAACCCCGTCTCTACTAAAAATACAAAAATTAAACAGGTCTGGTGGCGCACACGCCTATAATCCCAGCTACTCGGGAGGCTGAGGCGGGAGGATTGCTTGAACCCAGGAGGCAGAGGTGGCACTGAACTGAGATCGCGCCACTGCACTTCGGCCTGGGCCACAGAGCAAGACTCTGTCTCAAAAAAAAAAAAAGAAAAGAAAAAAAAAAAGACAAAACCAAAGGAGTTGAATGGTGAGGAGTGGTGGGAGAGGCCTGAACTCCAGACTGAGGATCCTGGACTCTTTCCTGGGGGTACTAGGGAGCCATGGGAGGGTTTGGAGCAGGGAAGGGGCAGGGTCAGCTTTGGTGTGGGGGAAAGACTGGAGGGCGGGAGGCTGCAGAGGAAGCTACCGTGAGACCTACCATTGTAGGTCATTGAGACACTGGGCTGGGATGAGAAAAGCTGCAGCAAGAGTGAGAGGGGAAGGGAAGAGGGTCCCCGGCAGAGCCCCACGAGGCAGCTATGTGGAAGCCTCAGTTGGTCAAACCCAGCGAAGGGGACGAAATATCTGGAGAAGTAAAAGGGAATGCAGGCCTTGCTTTTCTGGTTAAATATTTTTTTCTTCACACTTTTGGACAAGATTCTGTTTACACACACACACACACACACACACACACACTCATTTCTTTCTTCCCTTCCTTCCCTCCCTCCCTCCCTCCTTTCCTACCTTCTTTCCTGCCTGCCTGCCTGCCTTCTCTCTCTCTTTCCTTCCTTTTTTTCTGTCTCCTTCCTTCCTTTTTTTCTTTGAGATGGAGTCTCACTCTGTCGCCCAGGCTGTAGTGCACTGGCACCGTCTCAGCTCACTGCAAGCTCTACCTCCCAGGTTCACGCCATTCTCCTGCCTCAGCCTCCCATACCTGGCTAATTTCTTTTTTTTTTTTTTTGTATTTTTGTATTTTTAGTAGAGATGGGGTTTCACCGTGTTAGCCAGGATGGTCTCGACCTCCTGACCTCGTGATCCGCCTGCCTCGGCCTCCCAAAGTGTTGGGATTTACAGGCGTGAGCCACCATGCCCGGCCTCTTTCTTTCTTTCTTTCTCTATCTTTCTCTCTCTCCCCCTCCCTCCCTTTCTGTCTCTCTCTCCTCCCTCCCTCCCTCCCTCCCTCCCTCCCTCCCTTCCTTCCTTCCTTCCTTCCTTCTCTCTTTCTCTCTCTTTCCTTTTTCTTTCTTGGAAGGGGTCTCACTCTGTCACCCAGGCTGTAGTGCAGTGGCGTGATCAAAGCTCACTGCAGCCTTGACCTCCCAGACTCAAGCCATCCTCCCATCTCAGCCTCCTGAGTAGCTGGGACTACAGGCATGTGCCCCTAAGCCTGGCTAATTTTTAAATTTTTTGTAGACATGGGGTCTTGCTATGTTGCACAGACTGGTCTCAAACTCCGAGGCTCAAGCTATCCTCCCACCTCAGCCTCCCAAAATGCTGAGATAAGAGGTGTGAGCCACTGCGCCCAGCCTGTATATTTTATTGTACCTCCAAGCCAACTGCCAGTGACACACGCACCATTTTTTTATGTACAACAACAACAACAAAAAACCCTACAAGAGCAGCTAAACCGTGACACAGTGCTTTCTTTTGTGTTTTTCATTGTTTGAATTTTATCATGGTATTGGCAAGGCCACAATTTTCATGTATTTACACATATGTATATTATTTCACATATTTATTGTTTTATAAATTTTACATTTATGTTCTGTTTTTCTTTTTTGGGGGGGACGGAGTTTCACTCTTGTTGCCCAGGCTGGAGTGCAATGGTGCGATCTCAGCTCCTTGCAACCTCTGCCTCCCCGACTCAAGCGATTCTCCTGCCTCAGGCTACCGAGTAGCCGGGATTACAGGCGTGCACCACCACGTGTGGCTAATGTTTGTATTTTTAGTAGAGACAGGGTTTCATCATGTTGGCCAGGCTGGTCTTGAACACCTGACCTCAGGTGATCCACCCGCTTAGCCTCCCAAAGTGCTGGGATTACAGGCGGGAGCCACCGTGCCCAGCTGTACCTTGTTATTTCCACCAGCTATGTAATATTCCACTGCCGGAGTATAACAGGGTTTAGCTAACTGATCCCCCATGGATGGATTTCTAGGTGATCGCTAGTTACTGACTACGATGGCTGACTTCTTTGGCTCTATCCTCCCTGCCTGACGCAGGAGCATCTGGGGCCTTCCCTGTCCTACTGTCCCTCCCCCAACAGGCCCCAGCCCCTCACTGTGTGTCTCCCCACCCCGCTCCCAGGTCAGTGACTGGTGGGAGGAATTTGTGTACCTGCGCTCCCGAAATCCGCTGATGGTGAACAGCAACTATTACATGATGGTGAGAAGGGGAGGGGTGAGGTTCATAGGCCCCAGGTCTAGGGTTGGGGGGTACCTGGGCGGAATGTGACGGTCATGCTCAGTGACCTGGATCTAGACGCGCCATCTGGGATTCATCATTCCACCCTCTTTTGGGGTCAGGACCTGTATTTGGGTCAGTGGCTCCATCGGGGGCAAACCTGACCCTGGGTGTTTTGCCATCCCCTCTCCTGGTCCCCAGGACTTCCTGTATGTCACACCCACGCCTCTGCAGGCAGCTCGCGCTGGGAATGCCGTCCATGCCCTCCTCCTGTACCGCCACCGCCTGAACCGCCAGGAGATACCCCCGGTGAGAGGGCCCCAGTGGGTTAGGGATGGAGGTGTGGTCCTGTGGCCTTTGGGCCACGTGGGTCCTGGAAGGCAGCTCACAGCCCACGGTTTCCTGCAGACTTTGCTGATGGGAATGCGCCCCTTATGCTCTGCCCAGTACGAGAAGATCTTCAACACCACGCGGATTCCAGGGGTCCAAAAAGGTGAGACCCTCTCCTGTCCCCACTGATGGAGGCAGAACAATATAGTGGCTAAGAGCATGTTTTCTGGAGTCCGCCTGACTGAGCTGGGAACCATTGCTTCCTTGCTGTGTGACCTTCTGCACGTTATTACCCTCTCTGAGCCTCAGCTTCCACTAAAGTGGGATAATAATTGTACCTAGGGGCTGGGCGCAGTGACTGATGCCTGTAATCCCAGCACTTTGTGGGGCCGAGGTGGACAATTGCTTAGGCCAGGAGTTCGAGACCAGCCTAGGGCAACGTAGTGAGATCCGGTCTATATACAAAATTTAAAAATTAGCCAGGCATGGTGATATGCACCTGTGGCCCCAGTTAATCGGGAGCCTGAAGTGGAAGGATCACCTGAGCCCCGGAGGTTGAGGCTGCAGTGAGCTGAGATCTCACCACTGCACTCCAGCCTGGCGACAGAGCGAGACCTTGTCTCCAAATACTAAGTAAATAAAAGTCCTAGGGTGCTGATGATTACTAGGGTACTTTGAACAACTGACGACACCTAAGAAGTATATAATAAATGGTCACTATTTTTATGTGTCTGGCCTTCCTGCCCCCATGCTTCTGCCAACGCCACCCCTAGACTACATCCGCCACCTCCATGACAGCCAACACGTGGCTGTCTTCCACCGGGGCCGATTCTTCCGCATGGGGACCCACTCCCGAAACAGCCTGCTTTCCCCGAGAGCCCTGGAGCAGCAGTTTCAGAGAATCCTGGATGATCCCTCACCGGCCTGCCCCCACGAGGAACATCTGGCAGCTCTGACAGCTGCTCCCAGGTAAGGGTCAGGGGTCAGGGGTCAGGGGCTCTCAGAGGCCGCCAGTGTCCTGAGACTGTGGAAGGGCAGGGTGGGGCCAGGTGGCGGCTGGGCAGGATGGACTCAGGCACATCCCGGGCCCTCCAGGGGCACGTGGGCCCAGGTGCGGACATCCCTGAAGACCCAGGCAGCGGAGGCCCTGGAGGCGGTGGAAGGGGCCGCTTTCTTTGTGTCACTGGATGCTGAGCCCGCGGGGCTCACCAGGGAGGACCCGGCAGCGTCGTTGGATGCCTACGCCCATGCTCTGCTGGCCGGCCGGGGCCATGATCGGTGAGTGAGTCTTGGGATGGGGCCCCCAGATGTGGCACCCGAGAATCCAGTATCAGACCTAGGACCCCTGACAGTAGACAGCCAGACCCTGGAGCCCACACCTGCAGAGTCTGTAGACCAGGGGCTGCATAGAGCTGAGGACCCCAGACCCAGTGCTTTGGGACCTGGAGACCTCTGACCTGGGGAACCCCTCAACCTGGGACCCAAGACCTATAAACCAGACCCAGTGACCCCCAAATCTGAGACTCCCAAACCCCTGAGCTGGACCCTCCGACCCAGAGAACTCAGCATCACAGACCCAGAGACCCCAGATCTGAGGACCACCAAACCCAGGACCCCTAGGCCCAGGGACCCCAGACTTGGCAACCTCAGCCTCAGAACTTGAACCATTCAATCCTCAGGCCTTAATGCAGGCACCCCAAATCCATGGCCCTAGACCCAGACTTCCAGACCTAGAGATTCTCAGGCCTGGCAGGCATCACTGAATTCCTAGGCCCCAGGGGGGTCCCGCTGACCTCCCAGCACCCCCAAAAGCCTTGAACCTTCCTCGGCAAGTTTCCTAAAAATCTCCAAACTCCAGACTGGGCATGGTGGCTCATGCCTGTAGTCTCAGCACTTTGGGAGGCTGAGAGGGGCGGATCACCTGAGATCAGGAGTTTGAGACCAGCCTGGCCAATATGGTGAAACCTCATCTCCACTAAAAATGCAAAAATTAGCTGGGCATGGTGGTGCATGCTTGTGATCCCAGCTACTTGGGAGGCTGAGGCGGGAGAATCACTTGAACCCTCAGCTACTTGGGAGGCGGAGGTTGCAGTGAGCCGAGATCGCGCCACTGCACTCCAGCCTGGGCGACAAGAGTGAAACTCCATCTCAAAACAAACAAACAAACAAAAAAACAATCTCCAAACTCTAAATCCCAGACATGTCTTGGAGACCTCCAGGGCCACTACTGGGGACCCCCAATGGTCCTAGAGATCCCCATACCAGCACCCCAATGGATTCCCACATCTTCCCATCTAGAAAACCCCCTCAAGTCCCACAGAAAGCACTCTGAGGTCCCCGTGCCCCTCGCTCTTGGTGACCCATCTGAACTCTCCCTGACAGCTGGTTTGACAAATCCTTCACCCTAATCGTCTTCTCTAACGGGAAGCTGGGCCTCAGCGTGGAGCACTCCTGGGCCGACTGCCCCATCTCAGGACACATGTGGGAGGTAGGGCGGCCAGCCCTCCCTGGTTCTGGGGACCCCTGCCCCATCTCCAAAGACCGTCCTCTCCAGCGCCTTAGTGTCAGAAGAAAAACTGAGGCTTGGCCGGGCACGGTGGTTCATGCCTGTAATCCCAGCATTTTGGGAGGCCGAGGTGGGCGGATCATGAGGTCAGGAGTTCGAGACCAGCCTGGCCAACATAGTGAAACCCTGCCTCTACTAAAAATACAAAAAAATTAGCCAGGCATGGTGGTGTGTGCCTGTAATCCCTGCTACTCGGGAGGCTGAGGCATGAGAATCGCATGAACCCGGGAGGTGGAGGTTGCAGTGAGCTGACATTGTGCCACTGTACTTCAGCCTGGGCGACAGAGCAAGAATACATCTCAAAAAAAAAAAAAAAAAAAAAAAAAGAAAAGAAAAACTGAGGCTCAGGGAGAGGCAGAGGCTGGCCCAGGGTCACCTGGCAAAGAAAGGGGACTGGGATGAGGACCTTCCTTTGATGAGTTGGTAACTGGGGCTCAAAGAAGGGAAGTGATTTTCCCAGAGTCACACAGCGAGGAGTTACAGAGCAAGAAGATGACTCCAGGCTGGGTGCAGTGGCTCATGCCTGTAATCCCAGCACTTTGGGAGGTCAAGGCAGGAAGATCAATTGAGCCCAGGAGTTTGAGACTAGCCTGGGCAACATAATGAGAACCTGTCTACAAAAAACGTTAAAAAAAAACAAAAAAAACAAAACCAGCCAGTCATGGTGGTACATGCCTGTGGCCCCAGCTACTCCGGAGGCTAAGGCAGGAGGATGGCTTGAGCCCAGGAGTTTGAGGCTGCAGTGAGTTATAATTTCACCACTGCACACCAGCCTGGATGACAGAGCAAGACCCTGTCAAAAAAGGAAAAGAAAATAAGGACAGTAAACACCAGTTGAGTATTGGTGTTAGTCCTGTTCTTGATGAACATGAACCTGAGACCGCATCTGTGAATATCAGAGGTTTCTGTTTCTCAGGGACTGCCCCCTACCCGAAAAAGGGCTGCATGAAAAGAGGTCCCGGGTTAGATGGCCTCAGTCCACAGGGAGGAAGGGACTCTAACAGCCTCTGTTTGCCCACAGTTCACTCTGGCTACAGAATGCTTTCAGCTGGGCTACTCAACAGACGGCCACTGCAAGGGGCACCCGGACCCCACACTACCCCAGCCCCAGCGGCTGCAATGGGACCTTCCAGACCAGGTGAGGCTGGGTTTCTGGGCCTCTCCTCCAAGTCCCAAGATTCCTAGCCTTGACTTCAAACTCATCCCCACCCCTAATCTGAACGTGAAAATCAACCCCATTCCTACCCCCAACCCGAAACCCATGCTTCCCCCACCCCCAAATCAGGCCATATGCATCCACAACCTCAAACCCCAACACGAACCTCATCTCCAGCCCCAACTCCAACCGTCCTCCCACTGCCAATCCCATCCTCAACCCCAACCCCATCTCTACCTGTTTCAGACTCAAAAACCACCACTGTCCAACCCCAGCACCAACCCCTACTCCATTTTCCTTCCAAATCCATCTCCATACCCAATCCCATCCCAACACCACCTGAATTCATTCCCATGTTCATCCTAACTCCACCCCATACCAAACCCTAACCCCATACCCAACCCCAACCCCATCCTGTACTCAGCCACGACCCCACTTCCAATGACAACCCATGCCCAACTCATCCCATACCCAACCTCAACCCCATACCCCACACCAACCCCATCCCGTACTCAGCCACAACCCCACCTCCAACCACAACCCATGCCCAACTCGAATTCACTTCCCATACCCAACCCCTTCCCCGTTCTATTCCCAAACCACTCTCAGTCCCTCCTCCATCCCCATCCCCAACCCCAGCTTCAACTGTGGCCCAACCCCAATCTTGTTCCAGTCTACACATGCCATCCCTATCCCCATTTTTTTTTTTTTTTTTGAGATGGAGTCCCGCTCTGTCACCCAGGCTGGAGTGCAATGACACGATCTCAGTTCACTGCAACCTCCATCTCCCAGGTTCAAGCGATTCTCTTGCCTCAGCCTCCTGAGGAGCTGGGATTACAGGTGCCCACTACCACACCCGGCTAAATTTTTTTATTTTTAATAGAGATGAGGTTTTTCCATGTTGGCCAGGCTGGTCTCAAACTCCTGACCTCAGGTGATCCAGCCACCTCAGTCTCCCAAAGTGTTGGGATTACAGGCGTGAGCCACCGCGCCCGGCATTTTTTTTTTGAGACGGAGTCTTGCTCTGTACCCAGGCTGGAGTGCAGTGGTGCGATCTCAGCTCACTGCAACCTCTGCCTCCTGGGTTCAAGCGATTCTCCTGCCTCAGCCTCCCAAGTAGCTGGGACTACAGGCACGTGCCACCACGGCCAGCTAGTTTTTTGTATTTTTAGTAGAGACGAGGTTTCATCATGTTGGTCAGGCTGGTCTCAAACTCCCGACCTCAGGTGATCCGCCCGCCTCGGCCTCCCAAAGTGCTGGGATTACAGGCGTGCGCCACCACGCCCAGCCCCTATCCCCATCTTTAGTCTCATCCTTCAATTCTCTTCTCTTCTTTGTCCCCATTTCCATATTCTGCCGCAACCTTAACTCCACATCCACCTCCGCTTCCAGCCTTATTCCTGGCTTTCACCCTACCCCCATCTGTAACCCCAACTACTCCTCTTCCCTCCTCCTCTGGCAGATCCACTCCTCCATCTCTCTAGCCCTGAGGGGAGCCAAGATCTTGTCTGAAAATGTCGACTGCCATGTCGTTCCATTCTCCCTATTTGGCAAGAGCTTCATCCGACGCTGCCACCTCTCTTCAGACAGCTTCATCCAGATCGCCTTGCAACTGGCCCACTTCCGGGTCAGTTGGGTTCCCCATCCACAGCCCCCGCAGGGTCTCAGTCCACCTGAGCCCCCAAGACCTGCCCCTCCACGGTTCCTTGTGGTCGCTGCCATTGTGGGTCGGCCATCTTGAATTCTCTCTTCCAACCATTCTTGGGCTGGCTGGAGGAGGCTGGAGGTCTGGACAGAGATAGGTCAAGTCTGTAAGATCTCCTGAGCCCAGCTGACAGACTCCTCTTCTCCTCCCTGTCCCCCAGGACAGGGGTCAATTCTGCCTGACTTATGAGTCGGCCATGACTCGCTTATTCCTGGAAGGCCGGACGGAGACGGTGCGGTCTTGCACGAGGGAGGCCTGCAACTTTGTCAGGGCCATGGAGGACAAAGAGAAGACGGTGGGTGCAGCCCTCGCTTGAGGCTTCAGTTATTTCTGTGTACTCACTCATCCACTTGCAAACGTTGATGGGACCTACTGAAGCCAGCCTCCACGAGGAGCACAAGGGACAAGGGATGAATCGGACCTGGCCTCTGACTTCAAAGAGCTCACTGATGGGGGGAGACAGCCCAGCATAGTGTGATATCTGCTTTCATGGTGGTCTCACAGGGCACTGGGGGTGCACCCAAGAAGGAACCCCATTTCTTTTTTTTTGAGATGGAGTCTTGCTCTGTTGCCCAGGCTGGAGTGCAGTGGCACAATCTCGGCTTACTGCAACCTCTGCCTCTCAGGTTCAAGCGATTCTCATGCCTCAGCCTCCTGAGTAGCTGGAATTATAGGCACCCGCCACCATGCCCAGCTAATTTTTTTTTTTTTTTTTTGTATTTTTAGTAGAGACGGGGTTTCACCATGTTGGCCAGGCTGGTCTCGAACTCCTGACCTCAGGTGATCTCCCTGCCTCGGCCTCCCAAAGTGCTGGGATTACAGGCGTGAGCCAATGCACCTGGCTGGAACTCCATTTTTACAACGTAACTCTGCCCATTTAACCTCTTTGTGACTTGTGACCTTCCTTTGCACCCCTGTACCCTCTCTGCCCAGATCCCACCTGCCCTGCACCTCTTCTCCCTTGCCCTACACCTAGCCCCGCACCTACAAGGTATTGTGGTTCCATGGAAGGAGTTTGGACTCTGGGGCCAGACACACCTAGGAACCCGCCTGGCTCTCCCTGGCTGTGTGAACCTGGCCAAATGATTTCCCCTCTCTAAGCCTCAGTTCCCCATCTGTAAAATGGGGTTGATATTCCCACCTTGCAGGGATGTGGCAAACTCAGTTGAGGCCAGATGTGCCGCAGGCCCAGCCCTAAGTCGACTTCCTGTCTTTCCATGACCTGTGACCTCCCTGGGGACTGCAGGACCCACAGTGCCTCGCCCTGTTCCGCGTGGCAGTGGACAAGCACCAGGCTCTGCTGAAGGCAGCCATGAGCGGGCAGGGAGTTGACCGCCACCTGTTTGCGCTGTACATCGTGTCCCGATTCCTCCACCTGCAGTCGCCCTTCCTGACCCAGGTTGGGGCACAGGGAAAGGGTTAGAGAGGGAAGTGGGAGACCATGGAAGAAGGGAGAGGTTTCAGGGAAGGAGGGTGATGTTGAAAAAGGACCCATCAAGGCCGGGCACGGTGGCTCACGCCTGTAATCCCAGCAGTTTGGGAAGCCGAGGCAGGCGGATCACTTGAGGTCAAGAGTTCGAGACCAGCCTGGCCAACTTGGCGAAACCCTGTCTCTACTAAAAATACAAAAATTAGCTGGGTATGGTGACAGGCACCTGTAATCCCAGCTACTTGGGAGGGCTGAGGCAATAGAATCCCTTGAACCCGGGAGGCGGAGGCTGTAGTGAGCTGAGATCGCACCACTGCACTCCAGCCTGGACGACAGAGCAAGACTCTGTCTCAAAAAAAAAAAAAAAAGGAGGGTGATGTTGAGAAAGGATGCGTCAGCAGAGAAGTCAGTTGTGGGGGGGCGGCAAGGCAGAAGGCGGAGAGGCAACGGGACAACGGGAGCAGACAAAAGGGGAGAGGGTCAGTGGGGTGGGGATAAGAGGAAAGGGCGTGGTCAGAGGAGGGGCGTGGTCCGAGGGAGAAGAGGAGAGGGACGTGGGTGTGGGTGGTGAGACGAGTGAGGGGCGTGGCCAGATAGGGCGTGGTCAGGAGAAGGGCGTGGTTAGGGAGAAGGAGGCCCGGATTTACGGGTAAAAAAAAAGCCAGGGATGCAGGGAGTGAAGTGGAGCCAAGGGCCGGAACTGCAGATCTCTGTCCTGCACATGTGATGGGCTCCTGTCCTCAGGTCCATTCGGAGCAGTGGCAGCTGTCCACCAGCCAGATCCCTGTTCAGCAAATGCATCTGTTTGACGTCCACAATTACCCGGACTATGTTTCCTCAGGCGGTGGATTCGGGCCTGTGAGTGGAGCTGGGCGCGCTGGCCCCCAGAGGAAAGAGGGGGCTGGGGGGCCTGCACTCCTGCATAGTGGGGGTGGAGGGGACCGGAGCTATTTTCTTCCCTTCACTCTTTCCGTCTCCAGGCTGATGACCATGGTTATGGTGTTTCTTATATCTTCATGGGGGATGGCATGATCACCTTCCACATCTCCAGCAAAAAATCAAGCACAAAAACGGTGAGACAAACGTGTATACCCACCAACTCCCTCTTTCCTCAGGAACCAGGAGTCTGGGCCCCCAGCCCCTCCTCCCTCAGACCCAGGATTCCAGGCCCCAGCCCCTCCTCCCTCAGACCCAGGAGTCCAGGCCCCCAGCCCCTCCTCCCTCAGACCCGGGAGTCCAGGCCCCCAGCCCCTCCTCCCTCAGACCCGGGAGTCCAGGCCCCCAGCCCCTCCTCCCTCAGACTCGGGAGTCCAGGCCCCAGCTCCTCCTCCCTCAGACTCAGGAATCCAGGCCCTTAGCCCTCTTGTTTCTCAGCCTCCAGGATCCCATCTCCCAGCTTCCCCTGGCTCTGACCTGTTCTCCTTCCAGGATTCCCACAGGCTGGGGCAGCACATTGAGGACGCACTGCTGGATGTGGCCTCCCTGTTCCAGGCGGGACAGCATTTTAAGCGCCGGTTCAGAGGGTCAGGGAAGGAGAACTCCAGGCACAGGTGTGGATTTCTCTCCCGCCAGACTGGGGCCTCCAAGGCCTCAATGACATCCACCGACTTCTGACTCCTTCCAGCAGGCAGCTGGCCTCTCCAAGGAATAAGGGTGAAATTGCCACAGCTGGCTGACACAGGACAGGGGCAACTGGTTTGGCAACCCCACATCCAGGCCAATAAAGATGTGTGAGCTGGGTGTGTGGTGTCTGCTATGCTCTTGGGCAGGGCAGGGGTAGAAGAGGTAAGGACCAGGGTGGAGGAGGACAGAAGCTCCCATCCATTCCCAGGCCCAGCCAGGGATTCCCAGTTGCAGTCACAGCTTCAACCACAGCCCGCAACACCTGCCCAGTGTACTTCATTTCCAGCTTCACTCATACCAAACCCAACCCTCCAAGGCCAGTGCCAATCAAACACAACCTCACAAGTTCTCCTGAGCCTAATTCCTGCTGCCCCAACACCACTGTCCACCTCAAATCCATCTCCAGGCCGGGCGCGGTGGCTCATGTCTGTAATCCCAGAACTTTGGGAGGCCAAGGTGGGCGGATCATGAGGTCAGGAGATCAAGACCTTCCTGGCGAACACTGTGAAACCCCGTCTCTATTAAAAATACAAAAAAATTAGCCGGGCATGGTGGCGAGCACCTGTAGTCCCAGCTACTCGGGAGGCTGAGGCAGGAGAATGGCATGAACCCGGGAGGCGGAGCTTGCAGTGAGAAGAAATCGTGCCATTGCACCCCAGCCTGGGGGACACAGCAAGACTCTGTCTCAAAAAAAAAAAAAAAATCCATCTCCAAACCTAAAGATCCAGCCACCCCAATTGACAATCCCCAAACGAACCCACGAAAATTTTTATTACCCAACCCCAACTCCAGCCATTTCTTTTTCTTTTTCTTTTTTTGAGAGAGAGTCTTGTTCTGTCACCCAGGCTGGAGTGCAGTGGTGCAATCTTGGCTCACTGCAATCTCTGCCTCCTGGGTTCAAGCAATTCTCCTGCCTCAGCCTCCCGAGTAGCTGGGACTACAGGCATCCGCCACCATGACCGGCTAATTTTTTTTTGTATTTTTAGTGGAGACGGGTTTTGGGGTTTCATCATGTTGGTCAGGCTGGTCTCGAACTCCTGACCTCAAATGATCCACCCACCTTGGCCTCCCAAAGTGCTGGGATTATGGGCATGAGCCACTGTGCCTGGCCTACTCCAGCCATTTCAACCTCTTCCTCAATGACGGATTCAGCTCCCATAACTAGGAAATGCACTGCCCAGTGCACACCACCCTAACGCTGCCATCATTCCAGCAATCAGCAACTCCATGATGCCACACCCCACTATACACAACAACTCAACTACAGTTCGAACCACACAACCAACACAACGTCCAACTCCAAGCTCCACCATCCCCACCAAATATCCCTTCTCATTTCCACCATAACCCACACTTTACCTTGACCCATAGTGATGACTTTATTTTTATTTATTTATTTATTTATATTTTAAGACGGAGTCTTGCTCCGTCGCCCAGGCTGGAGTGCAGCGGCGTGATCTCAGCTCACTGCAAGCTCTGCCTTCCGGGTTCATGCCATTCTCCTACCTCAGCCTCCCGAGTAGCTGGGACTACAGGTGCCCGCCACCACGCCCAGCTAATTTTTTTGTATTTTCAGTAGAGACGGGGTTTCACTGTGTTAGTCAGGATGGTCTCGATCTCCTGACCTCGTGATCCGCCTGCCTCGGCCTCCCAAAGTGCTGGGATTACAGGCGTGAGCCACCGCGCCCGGCCAGTGATGACTTTAAACACCATCATCCCCGAGCACACCTTCACTGTGCTCCACCACCCCCACCATTACAATCTCCACCAGCCCAACTACAGCCATCAACACCAAACCCAATCACCCACCCCACCAATACCACGGTTCCAACGCGCCATCAATCTAACCCTCACTGCTTCTGAGTCAAACAATAATACAACCCAACAACAAAATCAAAATTCTAAATGGCTCAACCTCTACCAGCCCAACCACCCCAGCCAGACTGCCAACTCTGTGATGGTTTAAAAAATGTCCACAAGTGGGGGCTGGGCACGGTGGCTCATGCCTGTAATTCCAGCACTTTGGGAGGCGGAGGCGGGTGGATCACCTGAGGTCAGGAGTTTGAGATCAGTCTGACCAACATGGAGAAACCACATCTCTACTAAAAATACAAAATTAGCTGGGCATGGTGGTGCATGCCTGTAATCCCAGCTACTCAGGAGGCTGAGGCAGGAGAACTGCTTGAACCCGGGAGGCAGAGGTTGTGGTGAGCCGGGATCGCGCCATTGCACTCCAGCCTGGGCAACAAGAGTGAAACCCCGTCTCAAAAAAAAAAAAAAAATAGTGATTAGGTCACAAAAGACATTGTGGCTTTCTTTTGGCCGGGCATGGTGGCTCACACCTGTAATCCCAGCACTTTAGGAGGCTGAGGCGAGCTGATCACGAAGTCAAGAGATCGAGACCATCCTGACCAACATGGTGAAACCCTGTATCTACTAAAAATGCAAAAATTAGCTGGGTGTGGTGGCATGTGCCTGTAGTCCCAGCTACTCAGGAGGCTGAGGCAGGAGAATCGCTTGAACCCGGGATGCGGAGGTTGCAGTGAGCTGAGATTGCACCAGTGCATTCCAGCCTGGCAACAGAACAAGGCTGTGTCTCAAAACAAAACAAAAAACAAAACAAAACAACACAAGACATTGTGGCTTCCTTCTTGCTCTGTTTCTCAATCACTTGCTCTGGGGGAAGCCAGCCACCATGTCATGAGGACACTCAAGCTGCCCATGAAGAGGCCCACGTGGTAAAGAACTGAGACCTCCTGCCAACAGCCAGTGAGGCACACATGAGTGAGCCATCTTGGAAGCAGATCCTCCAGTCCCAGTCAAGCCTTCAGATGACTGTCACCCGGCTGACAGCTTAACCACAACTTCATGAGGGACACGGAGCCAGAACCACCTTAGCTAAGCTACTTTTGATTTCCTGACTTTTAACAACTATGTGAGATAATAAATGTTTGTTAATTCAAGTTGCTATACTTTGGGGTAACTTTTTTTTTTACACAGGAATAAAGAATACAAACTGCAAACACCTCAGCCTCAACCCTCATATTCTTTTTTGAAATTTGCTTTTATTTTTATTTATTTTTTTGAGACGGAGTTTTGTTCTCGTTGCCCAGGCTGGAGTGCAATTGCACAGTCTCGGCTCACCACAAGCTCCACCTACCCCGGTTCAAGAGATTTTCCTGCCTCAGCCTCTCAAGTTAGCTAGGATTACAGGCAGGCACCACCATGCCCGGTTAATTTTGTATTTTTAGTAGAGACGGGGTTTCTCCATGTTGGTCGGGCTGGTCTAGAACTCCTGACCTCATGTGATCTGCCCGCCTCGGCCTCCCAAAGTGCTGGGATTACAGGCTTGAGCCACCGTGCCCCGCCTGTTTGAGACCGAGTTTCACTCTGTCACCCAGGCTGGAGTGCAGTGGTGCAATCTCGGCTCACTGCAACCTCCTCTTCCCAGGCCCAAATGATTCTTGTGCCTCAGTCTCCCGAGTAGCTGGGATTACAGGCGTGAGCCACTGCACCTGACCAAGAAATTTATTTTTGGTTGGAATACTGCCTGGCGCAATCTCGGCTCACTGCAAGCTCCGCCTCCCGGGTTCACGCCATTCTCCTGCCTCAGCCTCCCGAGTAGCTGGGACTACAGGCGCCCGCCACTACACCCGGCTAATTTTTTTGTATTTTTAGTAGAGACGGGGTTTCACCATGTTAGCCAGGATGGTCTCGATCTCCTGACCTCGTGATCCACCCGCCTCAGCCTCCTAAAGTGCTGGGATTACAGGCGTGAGCCACCGCGCCCGGCCACGACTTTTTTTTTTTGCAAGTAGTCTTTCAAAAATATATTTGGTCCTCAGGGGTACAGAATTGGATTAATCATAATTGCTGGTCCTTGGCACATACTATTATTATGTGTACCACTTCTTAAGCTATTATCTCTTGGCTTCAAATCTATTTCCCAGCACTGGGCTTTGGGTAACTGGGAATGGGACTCTGAAAACCCCACTTTCACTTTGCCAAGTGGTGTGTTAGCCTCTGCCAATAGGGGGTGCCAGACTGACCGTAGAGCCTGAAGGAGGAAAAGGGTTCTTGCTCCTTCCTGTTTGCTCTCTGCTTACTTCCCGTTGGTTTCCTGTTCTCATCTGCGTCAGCAAAGCTTCTTCACCCTGTCCAAGGCAGTTCTTTCCTGTAGCAGCAGCTAAATCCAATTTGCAGTTTTTCCAAACTTGCACATCCTCAGAGATGCCAGACCATTTGGGGATGCCAGACCAGCACCCCTGCCTGAGAAAATTCCAGTCTCGGGCCGGGTGCGGTAGCTCACGCCTGTAATTCCAGCTCTTTGGGAGGCTGAGGCGGGTCAATCACGAGGTCAGAAGATCGAGGCCATCCTGGCTAACACGGTGAAATCCTGTCCCTACTAAAAATACAAAAAATAAGCCGGGCATAGTGGCGGGCACCTGTAGTCCCAGCTACTCGGGAGGCTGAGGCAGGGCAATGGCATGAACCCGGGAGGCTGAGCTTGTAATGAGCCAAGATCACGCCACTGCACTCTAGACTGGGTGACAGAGCGAGACTCCGTCTCAAAAAAAAAAAAAAAAGAAAGAAAATTCCAGTCTCTAGTGATCCTCCTCTGAGCTCAGAAACACCAGCACCATCTGAGCAGTGCCTCCTCTTCAGAGCCTCAGTTTTTTTTTTTTTTTGAGACAGAGTCTCACTCTGTAGCCCAGGCTGGAGTGCAATGGCGTGATCTTGGCTCACTGCAAACTCCATCTCGCGGGTTCAAGTGATTCTCTTGCCTCAGCCTCCCGAGTAATGGATTGCAGACGTGCGTAACCACGCCCAGCTAATTTTTGTATTTTTAGTAGAGACAGGTTTTCCCCGTGTTGGCCATGCTGGTCTTGAACTCCCAACCTCAGGTGATCCACCCGCCTTGGCCTCCCAAAGTGCTGGAATTACAGGCGTGAGCCACTGGGCCCAGCCCAGAGGCTCAGTTTTATGTCCACTGGCTCCTGATCCAAATGTATAGTTTTTAATAACTCTAACCTTTGTCTTTGTTTTTCATACCCTAGTGAGATAGGAATTTGGCAAGACTGGTTTCCAAGACAACAGGACACAAGACCTCACTCATAAGACAGAAAACAGCAAAAGAAACTGGCTAAAACCAGCTAGAACCAAGAGGACAATGAAAGGGACCTCTGGGGCCGGGCCCGGTGCCTCATGCCTGTAATCCCTGCACCTAGGGAGGCCGAGGCGGGTGAATTACCTGAGGTCAGGAGTTCGAGACCAGCCTGACCAACACGGAGAAACCCTGTCTCTACTCAAAATACAAAATTAGCCCGGCGTGGTGGTGCCTGCCTGTAATCCCAGCTACCTGGGAGGCTGAGGCAGGAGAATTTCTTGAACCCGGGAGGCAGAGGTTGTGGTGAGCCAAGATCGCGCCATTGCACTCCAGCCTGGGCAACAAGAGCCAAACTCCATCTCAAAAAACAACAACAACTAAAAAGGAAGTGACGTCTGGTTACTTTCACTGCTCATTATATGCTAATTGTAATGCATTAACATGCTAAAAACACTGCCACCAGCACCATGACAGTTTACAAATGCCATGGCCATGCTGAAAAGTTACCCTGTGTGGTCTGGACGGGGTGAAAGCCCAGGTTCTGGGAACTCCCTGCCTCTTATCTAGAAAACCCATGTGTAATTCACCTTTTATTTAGCATATATTCAACAACTAACCATTAAAATAACCAACCAACGATCCTCAGAGCTACTCTGCCTATGAGGTTGCTACTCTTACTTTCCTTTCTTTCTTTTTTTTTCCAATTGTAAAGTGCTGATCCTGTTTATTTGGCAGGAAAACGAGACAATCCAGCAGCCCAGGAGGGACAGGTGGACTTAATCCTCCTCCTCGTCGTCTCCAGCCCCACCCTCACCCTGGCCCTTCTTGGCGTTCTTCCTCTTCACGCGGCCGGGGCGGCCACCCCATAGGGAGAGCGCAGAGACAAGTCGATGCGCTTCTGGGAATCCAGGCGGACAATGAAGGACGGGATGTTCGCCACCTGATTGCGGACCCTGACACGGCGCTGGCGGATCAGTACGCCAGCGTGGTGGATGGACTTGGCCAAGCCCAGCTTGAAGACCTGGGTCTGTAGGCGTCTCTCTAAGAAATCCTCTATCTTCAGGCCCAGGATGTAATCCAGCTTCGTCTTGCCCTCATCCAGCACCCCAATGCGGAGCAGCCGCCGCAGCAGGACGTTGCCTTCAAACAGACGCCGTGGGTCCTTCTCATCAAGCGTCAGCAGTTCCCGGGCGGCCTTGCGGATGTTGGCCAAGGTAAATTTGACCCTCTAGACCTCACGTTTGTTCCGGAACCCATACTCGCCGATCAGCTTCAGCTCTTGGTCGAGACGAGATTTCTCGAAGGGTCTCCGCGGGGTCACATAAGTTTTGTGACAAACCCAGCTCCGGGCCACTGGCATGTTGGCTCCGCTTCCCCGTCTGCGCCTGAGTGCAGGACCCGTTCACTGAGAAAGAGCTCCTTTCTTTTTCTTTTCTTTTTTCCTTTTCTTTTTTTTTTTTTTTTCTTTTTTCTTTTTTTTTTTTTTTGAGACAGTCTCGCTCTGTCGCCCAGGCTGGAATGCACTGGCGCGATCTCGGCTCACTGCAACCTCCGCCTCCCGGGTTCAAGCGATTCTCCTGTCTCAGCCTCCCAAGTAGCTGGGACTACAGGCGCCCACCATCATGCCCGGCTAATTTTTTGTATTTTTAATAGAGATAGGGTTTCACCGTGTTAGCCAGGATGGTCTCGATCTCCTGACCTCGTGATCCGCCCGCCTCGGCCTCCCAAAGTGCTGGGATTACAGGTGTGAGCCACCACACCCAGCCCAGCCACACCCTTTATAACCTGCCTTGTCACCTGTCTCAGGCCTTTTCTCGTATTTTACTTTTCTGCTCTTAGTGCCAAAATGCATGCTTATGACGCTTATTTCACTGTTGGACTGGTAGCATTTCTTCTGGCTATTTGAGCAATTTTTGCTATTCTGTATCAGGTAGGGCACTTTCCTTGTTTTGAATTCTTTATTTTGGAGAGGAACCCCTTTGTTCTGACTCTGGGATGCCGGAGTCACATTGTTCCATAGCCTCAGTTGTGCCTTTGGGGTTCACTGTTGGCCACCCTCAGGATGCTCCAGGGTTTTCGGCATTTGGTGTGGGGACCCTTGGTGACTGATATCTGGAGGCCCCAGGTCTTTTGGTATTTGGTGCCCTGGATTCAGGTTGCGTGGTTGTACTGGTAGCCAGACTCAAATTTGTTTTTTTTGTTGTACGGAGTCTCACTCTGTCGCCCAGGCTGGAGTGCAGTGGTGCAATGGCTCACTGAAACTTCCGCCTCCCAATTTCAAGCGATTCTCCTGCCTCAGTCTCCCAAGTAGTTGGGACTACAGGCCTGCACCACCACACCCAGCTAATTTTTTTTTTATTTTTATTTTTATTTTTTTTTTTTTTTGAGACGGAGTCTTGCTCTGTCACCCAGGCTGGAGTGCAGTGGCGGGATCTCGGCTCACTGCAAGCTCCGCCTCCCGGGTTCACGCCATTCTCCTGCCTCAGCCTCCCAAGTAGCTGGGACTACAGGCGCCCGCCACTATGCCCGGCTAATTTTTTGTATTTTTAGTAGAGACGGGGTTTCACCGTTTTAGCCGGGATGGTCTCGATCTCCTGACCTCGTGATCCGCCCGCCTCGGCCTCCCAAAGTGCTGGGATTACAGGCGTGAGCCACCGCGCCCGGCCTAATTTTTTATATTTTTAGTAGAGACGGGGTTTCACCATATTGGCCAGGCTGGTCTTGAACTCCTGACCTCGTGATCTACCTGCCTTGGCCTCCCAAAGTGCTGGGATTACAGGTGTGAGCCACCGTGCCCAGCCTGTTTGAGACCGAGTTTCACTCTGTCGCCCAGGCTGGAGTGCAGTGGTGCAATCTCGGCTCACTGCAACCTCCTCTTCCCAAGCCCAAATGATTCTTGTGCCTCAGTCTCCCGAGTAGCTGGGATTACAGGCGTGAGCCACTGCACCTGGCCAGAAATTTATTTTTGGTTGGAATACTGCCTAGGTCATTACAAACTGGAAAACCAGAAATTTTAGCCTAAAAATAGTTCTTTGCGGCCAGGTGTGGCGGTCATACCTGTAATTCCAGCAGTTTGGGAGGCCGAGGTGGGTGGATCACAAAGTTAGGAGTTTGAGACCAGCCTGGACAGCATAGTAAAACCCCGTCTCTACTAAAAATACAAAAAATTAGCTTAGTATGGTGTCATGCCTTTAGTCCCAGCTACTTGGGAGGCTGAGGCAGGAGAATTGCTTGAGCCCAGGAGGCAGAGGTTGCAGTGAGCTGAGATCATGTTACTGCACTCCAGCTGGGTGATAGAGACTGTCTCAAAAAATATCAATCAATCGATAAAATAGAGGACGTGCGCCTCTTTCTGAGTCTGATTTGGCTTTATGTAAGGATAAGTTTGGCCAGTTTTTGGAGAATCCAGTAATTTATTGAAGAGTTTGTTAAGTTGGCCATGTCCTGTGACCTGACTTGGCATGACTAATGGATATTATTGTCTACCTGCTCTACAGTAGAGGAAAAACAGAGGATTCTAGGCACTCCCCATGAAACCACAAATGGAATGGCCACTTGCAATCAAAGCCATGCCATTTATTGGGAGGAGGGAATGCAACCCCAGATTGGCCCCTGATCTGGTTTTGGCTGTGTCCCTGCCCAAATCTCATATTGAATTGTAGCTCCCATAATTCCCCCATGTCGTGGGAGGAACCCAGTGGGAGATACTTGAATCATGGGGGAAGTTTCCCCCATACTGTTCCGGTAGTGAATAAGTCTCATGAGATCAGATGGTTTTATAAGGAGTTTCCGCTTGTGCTTGGCTCTCATTCTCTCTTGCCTGCCACCATGTAAGACGTGCCTTTTGCATTCTGCCATGATTGTGAGGCCTCCCCAGCTATGTGGAACTGTAAGTCTATTAAACCTCTTTTTCATCCTTTTTTTTTTTTTTTTTTTTTTGAGACAGTCTTGCTCTGTCGCCCAGGCTGGAGTGCAGTGGCACAATCTCGGCTCACTGCATCCTCCACCTCCTGGGTTTAAGCAGTTCTCCTGCCTCAGCCTCCCAAGTAGCTGAGATTACAGGTGCCTGACACCACTCCCGGCTAACTTTTAAATTTTTAGTAGAGATGGGGTTTCACCATGTTGACCAGGCTGGTCTCAAACTGCTGAACTCTAGTGATCCGCCTGCCTTGGCCTCCCAAAGTGCTGGGATTACGGGCATGAGCCACTGTCCCTGGCCAGTAACAAAGTTTTAGAAGTACAGAGTGTTAGGGCCAGGTGTGGTGGCTCACGCCTATAATCCTAGCATTTTGGGAGGCTGAAGTGGGTGGATCACCTCAGGTCAGGACTTGGAGCATTTTGGGAGGCTGAAGTGGGTGGATCACCTCAGGTCAGGACTTGGAAGAAGAGCTGAGGCAGGGCTTGCTTGTCTGACATAATGTAAAAGAGTCTGGAACATGTCCTGGGTCCAGGGTCTCAAACCCCTCGTGGCCTATGGAACACCAAGCTCTGTGCCTAAGGGTGGAAGGCTGCCCTGCCACACTGCAATCTAAGCCCAGGACATAAAACCCCTCGTGGCTTGTAAAGAATCCAGGGCTCTGGGCATAAAACCCCTCATAGCCTCTGGAATGTGTCCAGACTCGCTGGCCCCTTGCTCCTTGCTCTCCCAAGATCATAAACTGGTTGTGTCTTGAGTGAAAAGAACCTGTTCTCCTTTATCTCAACTAGCAGAGCATACGCTAAACCGTCATAGCTACGCTTGGTGCACCACTACCTTTCTACCCCCATGTCCGCACGTCCTCACCACCTGCTTCTTTGTTTGATTACCAATAAATAGTGTGGGCTCCCAGAGCTCGGGGCCTTTGCAGCCTCCATACACCAGCGTTGGCCCCCTGGACCCATCCTATGTACTCTTAACTTGTTTTGTCTCATTCCTTTGATTCCGCCGGACTTCGTAGCCCCCACGACCTGGTGTTGGGTCTGATCACCCCAACAAGCCTGGTCAACATGGTGAAAGCCCGTCTCTACTAAAAATACAAAAATTAGCTGGGTGTGGTGGTGAATGCCTGTAGTCCCATCTACTTGGGAGGATGAGGTAGGAGAATCGCTGGAACCTGGGAGGAAGAGGTTGCAGTGGGCAGAGATGGCGCCACTGCACTCCAGCCTGGGTGACAGAGCAAGACTTCATCTCAAAAAAACTAAATAGGCTGGGCGCAATGGCTCACACCTGTAATCCCAGCACTTTGAGAGGCCAAGGCAGGTGGATCACAGGGTCAGGAGATTGAGACCATCTTGACTAACAAGGTGAAAACCCGTCTCTACTAAAAATACAAAAAAAAAAAAATAAAAAATAATTAGCCGGGCGTGGTGGAGGGCACCTGTAGTCCCAGCTAATCGGGAGGCTGAGGCAGGAGAATGGCATGAACCCGGGAGGCGGAGTTTGCAGTGAGCAGAGATCGCTCCACTGCACACCAGCCTGGGGGACAGAGCGAGACTCTGTCTCAAAAAAAAAAATAAATAAATAAATAAATAAAAAATAAAAAAAGAGGAAAAGGTAGTAGCCCTAACCCCATTGTGTCACTCTCTCTTGAGCCTGCCCACATGCCTTTTTCTTGTGTACTTTTTGCTTTGCAATAAGTCTCCTTACTTTCACTATCTTCTGACTCATCCTTGAATTCCTTACTTCTCGTGATGATGTCAAGAGCCTGGCATTTGGGGACCTCTCACAGCCCACTGGTATCACCTTTTTTTTTTTTTTTTGAGACAGAGTGTTGCTCTGTCGCCCAGGCTGGAGTGCAGTGGGACGGTCTCAGCTCACTGCAACCTCCACCTCCCAGATTCAAGTGATTCTCTTGCCTCAGCCTCCAGAGTAGCTGGGATTACAGGTGCCTGCCACCATGACCATCTAATTTCTTGTATTTTTAGTAAACACGGGGTTTCAACAGGTTGCCCAGGCTGGTCTCAAGCTCCTGACCTCAGGTGATCCGCCTGCCTCAGCCTCCCAGAGTGCTGGGATTATGGGGGTGGGCCACCATGCCCGGCCAACAATGATGTTTCTTTTCCTCGCCGTCTTAGACATTGCTTTAGGAAACACTCTCTATTCGAATTATTTATTAGACCTCGCCTGCTCCCATAGGAAACTTCCCAACTAGACGGCTGTCCCTTTAAAACTGTTTTCCTGCAATGTTACCCACCTGGCCTGGCCTCAGTACTATAATAATACCCATGCCATCTCTCCTACAGGCAATGGTATCTACTTTGTACCACTTATTCAATGCCATTTATAGGGCAAGTTTTTTTTTGTTGTTGTTGTTTTTTTTTTAACAAAGTATCGCTCTTGTTGCCCAGGCTGGAGTGCAATGCGTGATCTCGGCTCACTGCAACCTCTGCCTCCCAGGTTCAAGCGATTCTCCTGCCTCAGCCTCCCAAGTAGCTGGGATTACAGGCACCTGCCACCATGCCTGGCTAATTTTTTTGTATTTTCAGTAGAGATGGGGGTTTCACCATGCTGGCCAGGCTGGTCTTGAACTCTTGATCTCAGGTGATCCGCCCGCCTCGGCCTCCCAAAGTGCTGGGATTACAGGCGTGAGCCACCGCGCCTGGCCAGGGCAGGATCTTTTAACACTACCTGTCAAGTAAATGCCACACATTTTTGCCCTGATGGTACCATCAAATACATTTCTTCTTGTCTCCCTGGAGGGTCTTAGTCCCTCTGTAGACAATTATGCCCTTCTCTACTCCCATAGCTGCCTCTCATAATAATGGTATTATTTTAAATTACCACTTTCCAGTCAAATTCTTTTTTTCTCTTTTTTTTTTGAGATGGAGTATCACTCTGTTGCCCAGGCTGGAGTGCAGTGGAGAGATCTTGGCTCACTGCAACCTCCACCTCCTGGGTTTAAATAATTCTCCTGCCTCAGCCTCCTGAGTAGCTGGGATTACAGGCACCCGCCACCACACCCAGCTAATTTTTGTATATTTAGTAGAAATGAGGTTTCGCCATGTTGGCCAGGCTGGTCTCAAACTCCTGACCTCAAGTGATCTGCCCACCTCAGCCTCCCAAAGTGTTGGGATTATAGGCGTGAGCCACTGTCCCTGGCCTCCCCCCAAATTCTTATCCCATTCATGCTTAAACCAAAGCGTCACTTAGATAACAGAGATGCTCAACCTTCTTAACTCCCCTCCCACATGGGTTTGTGCTCCCAATGGATACCTTTGGCTATATGGACGCTGTAGTAGTCCGTTGTCACACTGCTATAAAGACATAGCTGAGACTGGGTAATTTATAAAGAAAAGAGTTTTAATTGACTCACAATTCTGCATGGCTGGGAAGGCCTCAGGAAACTTACAATCATGGAGGAAGGGAAAGCAGGCACGTCTCACGTGGTGGCAAGAGAGACAGAGGGGCAAGCGCAGGAACAACTGCCTCATAAAACCATCAGATCTCATGAGAACTCACTCACTACCACGAGAACAGTGTGGGGAAAACCACCACCATGATCCAATCACCTCCCGCCTGGATCCTACCTCGACGTGTGCGGATTACGGGCATTACAATTTGAGATGAGATTTGGGTGGGGACACAGAGCCAAACCATATCAGATACCCATTCAGTCAGCCTCCAAATAACTTTTCTTTCATTTGAAATCATAAAACCCATGGTTAACAGTGTATTGATAACATTTGTTTCAGGGGTCAATGTATAACAGGACAGGCAAAGCCCTCTAATATACAGTTACATGACATCACTCACCCAAGTGCTAAGCAGGCAGTTGGCCTTATCTTGGCTGAAGTTGGGGCTGCCATCAACTTGTTGGCCCCATGGGGAGGATTTGCCCATCATGAGGCAACTCTTCAAAACTTTACTTCTTCACTTAGCCAGGCACGGTGGTTCACACCTGTATTCCCAGCACTTTGGGAGGCCAAGGCAGGTGGATCATGAAATCAGGAGATCGAGACCGTCCTGACTAACATGGTGAAACCCCGTCTCTACTAAAAATATAAAAAATTAGCCAGGTGTGGTGGTGGGCGTCTGTAGTCCCAGCTACTCGGGAGGCTGAGGCAGGAGAACAGTGTGAACCCGGGAGGCGGAGCTTGCAGTGAGCCGAGGTCACACCACTGCACTCCAGCCTGGGCGACAGAGCGAGACTCTGTTTCAAAAAAAAAAAAAAACAAAAAAAAAAAAACTGTACTTCTTTACTCTGTACACTGCTGTCTCATAGACTACAGGACAGTTTAGATAAATTGAGACTGTCCCTTGATTCTGTAACAGATGTAGTAATGGGTAACAGATTAGCATTAGTCTATCCATGGTCTAATGGAACATTAGTAATTAGTATGGTCAGTGGAACAACTGTAATTAATAAAACCTGCTGTACCTATATAAACACCTCAGATCAAATGGAGAAAAATATCAACAAGATATACAAACAACTACCTGGCTACCTTCATCATACTCAGACTGGTACAGAACAGCTGGGGTCCCGGCTAAACCCTATCCTTAAGCCTGGAACCGCCGCCCTAAGTGAAAACAGCTGACCCCATTTTTCCATCCAAATGTTGCCTTTTTGGCCTGCCACACCTCTATCCTGTGCCCACAAAAAGACTGCCGCTGGCAGAGCAACACAAGCGGCTGATGGCTGAGCATCAAAGACTACGGATAGACACGGCTAACTTCAGATGGCGCAGCTTCAGGGAAAGATCACCTTCTTCCCACACCCTCCCCTGGCCTCCATTCCACTGAGAGCCACTTCCATCACCCAATAAAATCCTCCCCATACACTACCCTACAATCTGTTCGTGTGACCTAATTCTTCCTGGACACCAGTCAAGAACCCGGATGCTGAGAGGGCAGGGGCTTGGACGCTCCCGCACAGAGCCTGCTCCCACCAGAGAGGAGTGACTGGCCGGCTCCAGCGTTTGTTCCCTTCAGTTCCTGCACTCGCTTGCTCCCACGCTCCCTCTCATGAGGAGTCACCAGCAGCAGGCTGAGCCAAAAAAGCCACTCCAGTTCCCGCCCATGAAGAGGATCAAGGTCAAGGTGATGTAGGAGTTAAGACGAAATCACTTAGACTGATAGGGCAAGGGAGTCCTTGGTAAGGCTTTCCTTTTTAATGAAAAGCAGCCCCGAATCATTTTCTAATGAAGAGCGGCTTGTAAAGTTGAGCTGCAGAGATAGGCATGCAAGCTGGGAGCTTGCCTGGGTGAACGCCGGCCTGGCGGGAACAAGGAACTAGGGACTAGACATGTTCAATATGGTGGCTCCATCTTCCCTTCTCTGCCAGCCACGTGTACAGTTAACGAGCAGACAAGAGGGCTCTGGCCATGGGGAGAGTTCATTTACATAATAAGATTAGGGTGGGGAGGGCTTGGCTCGGTGGCTCACGCCTGTAATCCCAGCACTTTGGGAGGCCAAGGCGGGTGGATAACCTGAGGTCAGGAGTTCAAGACCAGCCTGGCCAAAATGGTGAAACCCCATCTCTACTAAAAATACAAAAATTAGCTGGGCATGATGGCGGGTACCTGTAATCCCAGCTACTCGGGAGGCGGAGGTTGCGGTGAGCCGAGATCGTGCCATTGCACCCCAGCCTGGGCAACAAGAGCGAAACTCTGTCTCAAAAAAAAAAGAAAAGAAAAAAGAAAAAAAGATTAAGGAGGCCTATATAATGTTTGAGCAGGGAATAAAGTAGGAATTTGGCAGGACTAACTTCCAAGACAACATGTGACACGACCCTGCTGATAACACAGGAGACAGTAAAAGAAACTGGCCAAAACCAGCTGGAACCAAGACAGGATGAAAGCGACCTCTGGCTACCCTCACTGCTCATTATACACTAATTAGAATGCATTTGCATGCCAAAAACACTTCCACCCGCGCCATGACAGTTTGCAAATGCCACGGCCATGCTGAGAAGTTACTCAGTATCATCTGGATGGGGGAGAAAATTCGGGTTCTGGGAGCTCCCTGTTCCTTACCCAGAAAACTCATGTATAATCCACCCCTTATTTAGCATATAATCAAAAAATAACTATAACCATAAAAATATATCAAAACAGCCAACCAATAGCCCTTAGGACTACTCTACCTGTGGGGTAGCCACTCTTTGATTCACTCCGTTTTTTTTTTTTTTTTTCTGGAGACAGGGTCTCCCTCTGTCGCCCAGGCTGCTGGAGTAGAGACATATTCTCGGCTCATTGGAAACTCCACCTCCCAGGTTCAAGCATTTCTTGTGCCTTAGCCTCCTGAGTAGCTGGGACTACAGGCACACGCTACCACACCCGGCTAATTTTTGTATTTGTTTTGTTTTTTGTTGTTGTTGTTGTTTTGAGACGGAGTTCCACTCTTGTTGCCCAGGCTGGAGTGCAGTGGCACCATCTTGGCTCACCGCAACCTCCGCCTACCGGGTTCAAGAGATTCTCCTGCCTCAGCCTCCCAAGTAGCTGGGATTACAGGCATGCGCCACCACGCCCAGCTAATTTTGTATTTTTAGTAGAGATGGGGATTACAGGCGTGAGCCACAGCGCCCGGCCAATTTTTGTATTTTTTAGTAGAAATGGGGTTTCACCATGTTGGCCAGGCTGGTCTTGAACTCCTGGCCTCAAGTGATCCACCTGCCTTGGCCTCCAAAGTGCTGGGATTACAGGGGTGAGACACTGCACCCAGCCCCTTTTTTCCTTTACTTTCTTTTTTTTTTTTGAGACGGAGTTTCACTTTTGTTGCCCAGGCTGGAGTGCAATGGCGTGATCTCCGCTCACTGCAACTTCTGCCTCCCGGTTTCAAGAGAGCCTCCTCTCTCAGCCTCCCAAGTAGCTGGGATTACAGGCACATGCCACCACGCCTGGCTAATTTTTGTATTTTTAGTAGAGATAGGGTTTAATCATTTTGGTCAGGCTGGTCTCGAACTCCTGACCTCAGGTGATCCGCCCGCCTACACCTCCCAAAGTGCTGGGATTACAGGCATGAGCCACCACGCCTGGCTATTCCTTTACTTCCTTAATAATCTTGCTTTCACTTTACTGAATCCACTTGCTCTTCAATGTATTATTTTTTTTCTAGACAGGGTCTCACTCTGTTACCCAGACTAGACTGCAGTGGTACCATCATGGCTCACGATAGCCTCAACCTCCCAGACTCAAACAACCCTCCGGCCTCAGCCTCCCAAGTAGCTGGGACTACAAGTAGGCACCACCATGTCCACTTGGCCAATTTTTAAAATTATTTTTATTTTCATTTATTTATTTTTTTGAGACAGAGTTGCCCAGGCTGGAGTGCAATGGCACGATCTTGGTTCACTGCAACCTCTGCCTCCTGGGCTCAAGCGATTCTCCAGCCTCAGTCTCCCAAGTAGCTGGGATTACAGGTGCGTGCCTCCATGCCCAGCTAATTTTTGTATTGTTAGTAGAGACAAGATTTCACTATGTTGGTCAGGCTGGTCTCGAACTCCTGACCTCAAGTGATCCGCCAGCCTTGGCCTCCCAAAGTGTTGAGATTACAGGGTAAGCTACCGCGCCTGAGCTAAAATTATTTTTAGTATAGACAGAGCCTCACTATGTTGCACGGGCTGGTCTTCAACTCATGTTGCTCTTGAATTCTTTCCTCTGTGAAGCCAAGAACCCACTTGGCCTCCCAGACTGAACCCCAATTTTGGGGTGCGTCCTGTGACAGCAGGACCAATATAATGCTGTTTCCTGTAGTTACTGCCACCACAATACCACAGGGTCCTCTTTTTGCCTTTTCAGTTTCCTAGTTACCAATCCTTTAATACCTAAATTTATTTATATTCGATCATCTCTGTTAAAATAACCAGTGTGATTTCTGTCTCCTGAATATACCCTGACTGACACAGATATTTGTAATAGGAAGGAGCTTTCCAAAGGTAGGTTTTGGAAAATTGTTTATTCATTTATTTATCTATTATTATTTTTTGAGACAGGGTCTTACTCTGGCGCCCAGGCTGAAGGAGAGTGGTGTGATCATAGCTCATTGCAGCCTCGAGCTCCTGGGCTCAAGCAATCCTCCCACCTCAGCCTCCTGAGTAGGTGGGACCACAGGCATGCACCACCATGCCCAGCTAATTTTTATTTTATTTTATTTTATTTATTTATTTTTGAGACAGAGTCTCACTCTGTCGCCCATGCTAGAGTGCAGTGGAGCCATCTCGGCTCACTACAAGCTCTGCCTCCTGGGTTCACGCCATTCTCCTGTTTCAGCCTCCCGAGTAGCTGGGACTACAGGTGCCTGCCGCCAAGCCCAGCTAATTTTTTGTATTTTTAGTACAGATGGGGTTTCATTGTGTTAGTCAGGATGGTCTCAATTTCCTGACCTCGTGATCCACCCGCCTCGGCCTCCCAAAGTGCTGGGATTACAGGCGTGAGCCACCGCACCCAGCACAAGTTTCTAATATGAAGGTTTGGGCATCAGTTGAAAATGAGTGGGACTTTGAAACTTGAGGCTGGGTGCAGTGGCTCGCACCTGTAATCCCAGCACTTTTGGAGGCTGAGGTGGGAGGATCACGAGGTCAGGAGATCGAGACCATCCTGGCGAACATGGTGAAACCCTGTCTCTACTAAAAATACAAAAAAAAAAAAAAAAAAATTAGCCGGGCGTGGTGGCAGGCGCCTGTAGTCCCAGCTACTCCAGAGGCTGAGGCAGGAGAATGGCGTGAACCTGGGAGGCAGAGCTTGCAGTGGGCCGAGATTGCACCACTGCACTCCAGCCTGGGTGACAGAGCAAGACTCCGTCTCAAAAAAAAAAAAAAAAAAAAAATCACCCAGGCATGGTGGCATGTGCCTGTTGTCCCAGGACCTCAGGAGGCTGAGGTGGGAGGATTGCTTGAACCCAGGGGGTCGAGACTGCGATGAGCTATGTTCAAGCCACTTCACTCCAACCTGGTTGACAGAGCAAGACCCCATCTCAAAAAAGTCATTCCTTCAGTCTCCTTCAACCATCACTCCAGTGAAAATACTTTTGTTGCTCAATGCTATAATCAGTTTCCCGGTTCTCATCGTAGCTGACCAACAGAAGCATTTGGAATTGATTGCTCCCTTCTCATCGGTACATTTTTTCACTGCCTTCAAGGACATCGTCTTATTTTATTTTATTTTATTTTTGAGATGGAGTTTCACTCTTGTCACCCAGGCTGGAGTGCGATTGTGCAATCTTGGCCCACTGTAATCTCTGCTCCCAGGTTCAAGCAATTATCCTGCCTCAGCCTCCCGAGTAGCGGGGTAGTAGTGGTGCCACCCACCACGCCTGGCTAATTTTTGTATTTTTAGTAGAGACGGGGTTTCACCATGCTGGCCAGGCTGGTCTCCAACTCCCGACCTCAGGTGATCCGCCCGCCTCGGCCTCCCACAGTGCTGGGATTACAGGCGTGAGCCACCGTGCCCGGCCACATCATCTTATTTTGATTCTCCTCCTACTCACTGGTTATTCCTTTTCGTTTTCCACCGTGAGTTCCATCACTTATTTGATTTTAGGCTTCTGAATTTTGGAGTGCTCTGAAACCTAGGTTGTTCTCTCACTCGCTGTCGCTCTAAGATGAGCTCAGGACTTTAAACTCTCAGCTCCAGAAGGAGTTATTCCAAAGAGCTCGCAAACCTGTGGGTATGTGTAGCAATGGATTCTAAGGGTTTTGGACCAGGGAGGATGGAATGTAAGGTTTGATCGGACTGAAGTAATTAATTTTTTTTTTTTTTTTTTTGAGACAGAGTCTTGCTCTGTCGCCCAGGCTGGAGTGCAGTGGTGGGATCTCAGCTCACTGCAATCTCCACCTCCTCGGTTCAAGTGATTCTCCTGCCTCAGCCTCCCGAGTAGCTGGGATTACAGGCGCCCGCCACCACGCCCAGCTAATTTTTTGCATTTTTAGTAGGGATGGGGTTTCACCACATTGGCCAGGCTAGTCTCAAACTCCTGACCTTAGGTGATCCGCCCACCTCGGCCTCCCAAAGTGCTGGGATTACAGGCATGAGCCACCGCGCCTGGCCTGAAGTAATTAATTTTTAGTTTTAGTTTTTTGAGACAGAGTCTTACTCTGTCACCCAGGCTGGAGTGCAGTGGTGTGATCTTGGCTCACTGCAACTTCTGCCTCCCAGGTTCAAGCGATTCTCCTGCCTCAGCCTCCAGAGTAGCTGGGTTACAGGTGTGCACCACCACTCCCAGCTAATTTTTGTTTTTTTAGTAGAGACGGTGTTTCTCCATGTTGTCCAGGCTAGTCTTGAACTCCTAGCCTCAAGTGATCTGCCCACCTCGGCCTCCCAAAGTACTGGGACTATAGGCATGCACCACCACGCCTAGCTAATTTTTGCATTTTTAGTAGAGACGGGGTTTTGCCATGTTGGTCAGGCTGGTCTCCAGCTCTTGACCTCAGGTGATCCACCTGCCTCAGCCTCCCAAAGTGCTGGGATTGCAGGTGTGAACCACCACGCCCAACCTAGTTTCTTAGAAATAAACATTTAATAGGGACTTAAGAACAGAAGCTGGACCAGGGACAATGGCTCATGCCTATAATCCTAGCACTTTGGGAGGCTAAGGCCAGTGGATCACTTGAGCCTAGGAGTTTGAAAACAGCCTGGGCAACATGGTGAGACCTTGTCTCTACAAAAGATAAAAAAATTAGCCAGGCATGGTGGCATGCACCTGTGGTCCCAACTACTCGGGAGGCTGAGGTGGACGAATCAGTTGAGCCCAGGAGGTTGAGGCTGCAGTGAGTCATCTTTGTGCCACTACACTCCAGCCTGGGCAAGAGAACCAGACCTTGTCTCAAACAAACAAACACAGAAGGCTGGACACAGTGGCTCACGCCTGTAATCCCAGCACTTTGGGAGGCCAAGGCGGATGGATCACTGAGTCAGGAGTTTGAGACCAGCCTGACCAACATGGCGAAACCCCGTCTCTACTAAAAATACAAAAAATTAGCCGGGCGTGGTGGTGCGCTCCTGTAGTCCTAGTTACTCAGAAGGCTGAGGCAGAAGAATCGCTTGAGCCTGGGAGGTGGAGGTTGCAGTGAGACAAGATCGTGCCATTGCACTCCAGCCTGGGCGACAGAATGAGACTCTATAAAAAAAAAAAAAAAAAAAAAAGACAGCAGATCCCTGCACTGTTACCCCCCCAGACCTAAAGCTTATAGACCATAAAGAAAAGGTGATTGGCCGGGAGCGGTGGCTCACACCTGTCAGGCTGGAGTGCAGTGGCGCGCGCGATCTCAGCTCATTGCAAGTTCCACCTCCTGGGTTCATGCCGTTCTCCTGCCTCAGTCTCCCGAGTAGCTGGGATTACAGGCGCCTGTCACCATACCTGGCTAATGTTTTGTATTTTTAGTAGGGACGGGGTTTCACTGTGTTAGCCAAGATGGTCTCGATCTCCTGAACTCGTGATCCACCCGCCTTGGCCTCCCAAAGTGCTGGGATTACAGGTGTGAGCCACCATGCCCAGCCTAAACTGGAAATCTTAGGGCCCTTCCCAGAGCTGGGGTGAGTCAGATGCCAACATGGCAGATGAGCATCCAAGATGAAGTTGCTTTTCCCTCTACCAGTGGTCTCAGAAAACAGATGCTAGACTGAGCGCGGTGGCTCACACCTGTAATCCCAGCACTTTGGGAGGCCAACTGCACCTGAGGTCAGGAGTTTGAGACCAGCTTGGCCAACATGGCGAAACGCTGTCTCTATTAAAAATACAGAAATCAGCTAGGCATGGTGGCGGGCGCCTGTAGTCCCAGCTACTCGGGAGGCTGAGGCAGGAGAATTGCTCAGACCTGGGAAGCAGAGGTTGCAGTGAGCTGAGATCGCGCCACTGCACTCCAGCCTGGGTGACAGAGTAAAACTCCGTCTAAAAAAAAAAAAAAAAAGATGCTGAAGACGGGATTCTGGGATTAGGTTATTCACCTCTTTGCTCTTTGATGAGCTGTTTAATGATGTGATGATATCCTGGGAGGTGGAAAACGGGATGACAGTTATTGCATGTAGTGCCATCATTCATTATTTATTATCTTTGGTTGTTTGCAATGAGGTTCCAGTAAACAAATCAAAAGCCTTGGCTGGGTGCGGTGGCTCACGCCTGTAATCCAAGCACTTTGGGAGGCCAAGGTGGGCGGATCACCTGAGGTTGGGAGTTCGAGGCCAGCCTGACCAACATGGAGAAACCCTGTCTCTACTAAAAATACGAAATTAGCCAGGCGTGGTGGCACATGCCTGTAATCCCAGCTACTCAGGAGGCTGAGGCAGGAGAAGCACTTGAACCAGGGAGGCAGGGTTGTGGTGAGCCAAGATGGCGCCATTGCACTCCAGCCTGGGCAACAAGAGAGAAATTCCGTCTCAAAAAAACAAACCAACAAACAAACAAAAACAAAAGGCTTTAGCCAGGCATAGAGGGCACACCTGTAGTCCCAGCCATTGGGAGTCTGAAGCTAGGGGATTACTTGAGCCCTGGAGTTCAAGGCTGCAGGGAGCTGTGGCATTGCCCTCCAGCCTGTGTGACAGAATGAAATTCTGTCTCTAAAAAAAAAACCTTCTGTTGTTGTTGTTGTTGTTTGTTTGTTTTTGAGAGGGGGTCTCGATCTGTTGCCAGCCTAGAGTGCAATGGCGTAATCTAGGCTCACTGCAACCTCCGCCTTCCGGGTTCAAACGATTCCCCTGCCGCAGCCTCTCTAGTAGCTGGGACTATAGGCACGTGCCACCACGCCTGGCTAATTTTTTGTATTTCAGTAGAGATGGGGTTTCACCATGTTGGCCAGGATGGTGTTGATCTGACCTCGTGATCTGCCCGCCTCAGCCTCCCAAAGTGCTGGGATTACAGGCGTGAGCCACCGTGCCCGGCCAAAAAAAACCCTGTTTTTAAAGACTTTAGAAAATCAACTAACTGCTGACCTTGACCAATATAGTGGGAGCGATGAGGGCTGTGGAACAGAACAGCTATTTCTGTCACACTGGGAAGATGACATAAAGAAAATGATGAGCTCAGGACTTTAATCTCAGCTCCAGAAGGAGATGGAGATGCTGTGTATTTCCAAAGAGCTCGAAAACCTGGGTGTATGTGTAGCAACAGATTCTAACAGTGTTGGACCAGGGAGGATGGAATGTCAAGTTTGATGGGAATGAATTAATGTATTAATTCTGAATTTAATGTGCTAGCTTGAGCAGCTGTAAGTAGCTCTAATAATAATGGACCAAAACTTGGGTTCAGTGATGGCCTACATTTAAGTAGGTTAATATCCCAGAACCTCCCTGGTAGAATGTCAAGAAGAGAAGATAAAGTGGCCGGGGGGGTGGCTCAGGCCTGTAATCCCACCACTTTGGGAGGCTGAGGCAGGCGGATCAGCTGAGCTCAGGAGTTTGAGACCAGCCTGGCCAACATGGCGAAACCCTGTCTCTACTAAAAATATAAAAATTAGCCGGGCATGGTGGTGCGCATCTGTAATCCTAGCTACTCAGGAGGCTGAGGCAGGAGAATCTCCTGAACCTGGAAGGTGGAGGTTGCAGGTTGCAGTGAGCTGAGATCATGCCACTGCACTCCAGCCTGGGTGACAGAGTGAGACTGTCTCAAAAATAATAAATAAATAAATAAATAATAAATAAAATAATCTAAAGGATTTGGGAGGTAGCAACTCTGGAATAGACTTGTTATGTGCAATCATTTGTCTCTCCTCCTGTATATACCCCCGGGAGTACACAGGAACATTCTTTTCATTGAGAAATGAACTAGGGAGGAGTATAAATAAGTGGATGGATGGATGGATGGATGGATCAATCAATAGATCCATAGAGTGCTCTCCATTCAACAATTGAAGCACACACATTTTTTTCTCAAGCACACTTATAAAAATTGATCTGTACTAAACCAAAAGAAAGCCCCGATAAATTCAATGAACAGGTATCATACAGATCAATGTTTCTGATCACTATGCAATTAGATCTCTAGTTAATGTCAAAAAGAGGAATTTAAAATCCTCATATATGTGGAAATTTAAATTGTTTTAATTTTTGCTTTTGAGACGGGGTCTTGCTCTGTCACCCAGGCTGGAGTGCAGGGGCGCGATCACAGCTCACTGCAGCCTTGACCACCCAGACTCAAGCCATCCTCACACCTCAGCCTCCCTAGTATCTGGGACTATAGGCACGTGCTACCACGGTAAGCTAATTTTTTTTTTATTATTTTTAGCAGAGACAGGGGTCACTATGATGCACAGGCTGGTCTTGAACTCCCGGGCTCAAGCAATCCTCCCGCCTCGGCCTCCCAAAGTGCTGGGATAAGGTGTGAGCCACCACACCCGGCTTTCCCTGCATTCCAGGGGACTTGTTTACAGTCTTTTAACTTTGAATTCTTTTGTTGTTTTAAGTGTGTTTCTTTCTGTCTTTCTTTGTTTTTTTTTGTTTTGTTTTGTGTTTGAGACAGAGTCCCACTGTGTCACCCAGGTTGGAGTGCAACGGCGCAACCTCGGCTCACGGCAACCTCTGCCTCATGGGTTCAAGCAATTCTCCTGCCTCAGCCTCCCAAGTAGCTGAGATTACAGGCATGCGCCACCACTCCCAGCTAATTTTTGTATTTTTAGTAGAGACTGGGTTTTACCATGTTGGCCAGGTTGGTCTTGAACTTCTGACATCAGGTGAACCGCCTGCCTCAGCCTCCCAAATTGCTGGGATTACAGGCATGAGCCACCGCCCCCGGCCAGTGTGTTTGTTATAAAACAGCATTGATCTGGATTTAGTGTGTATATGTTTTAATCCATGTTGTCAAACTTTGTCTTTTAACTGGTGAAGTCTTGTTAATTTACATTTAATGATTAATATAATTGACATTGTTTATCATCTTCATGTATTATATTACTTCAGTTTATCTCTCCCTCCTCAAACCCCAAAATGTGAATATAATCTAGACTTTAAATTCTTAACTATTGAGGATATATTTTTCTGTTTCTTTTTTTGTTTATTTTTTTTTTTTTGAGACAGAATCTCACTGTCGCCCAGGCTGGAGTGCAGTGGCGCGATCTCGGCTCACTGCAGGCTCCGCCCCCTGGGGTTCACGCCATTCTGCTGCCTCAGCCTCCCGAGTAGCTGGGACTACAGGCGCCCCCCACCTTGCCCGGCTAATTTTTTTGTATTTTTAGTAGAGACGGGGTTTCCCCGTGTTAGCCAGGATGATCTCGATCTCCTGACCTCGTGATCCGCCCGCCTCGGCCTCCCAAAGTGCTGGGATTACAGGCGTGAGCCACTGCGCCCGGCCTATTTTTCTGTTTCTTACACTGAAGTTTCATTTTAAGACAACAGAAAACTTTATCAAATTATTCTAACCACTTTACTTCATATGTTTCTTGCAATATCTTCTGGATTTGCATTTTTTTCTCTTTATTATTTTATTTTATTTTTTGAGACAGAGCCTCATTCACTCTGTTGCCCAGGCTGGAGTGCAGTGGCGTGATCTTGGCTAACGGCAACCTCCACCTCCCAGGTTCAAGCGATTTTCCTACCTCAGCCTCCCTAGTAGCTGGGATTACAGGCATACTCCAACATGCCCAGGTAAGTTTTGTATTTTTAGTGGAGACAGGGTTTCACCATGTTGGCTAGGCTGGTCTCAAACTCCTAACCTCCAGTGATCTGCCTGCCTTGGCCTCCCAAAGTGTCGGGATTACAGGCATGAGCCACTGTGCCCGGCCTATTGCCTCATTTTCACCTGAAGAAATTGGCTATTCTGCCAGACACAGAGGGTATTTCCAGGTATATTCTGTCTGTTAGAGAGGGTATTTTTACTTTGAGGAACTGCCAATTCCCTATTCTGTCTTTTATGGAGGGAAATATCATAACTCTGTGCTTTCCCTCTGAGCTCAGAGGTGTACTGGCGGGGGAGGGGTATTAAATCTATGGGTGAAAAGCCCTGGGTATAAAAAAAAACATTGTCCGGCTGGGCACAGTGGCTCATGCCTGTAATCCAGCACTTTGGGAGGCCAAGGCAGGAGGATCCCTTGAGTCTAGGAGTTCCAAACAAGCCTGGGCAACATAGTGAGACACTGTCTCAATTTTTCAATGTTTTTTTTTTGTTGTTTGTGTTTTTTGTTTTTTTTTTTTGAGACGGAGTCTCACTGTCACCCAGTCTGGAGTACAATGGCGCGATCTCAGCTCACTGCAACCTCTGCCTCCCGGGTTCAAGCGATTCTTGTGCCTCAGCCTCCCGAGTAGCTGGGACTACAGGTGTGTGCCTGGCTAATTTTTGTATTTTTAATAGAGACAGGGTTTCACCATGTTGGCCAGGCTGGCCTCAAACTGCTGGTCTCAAGTGATCCACTCGCCTCAGCCTCCCAAAGTGCTGGGATTATGGGTGTGAGCCACCGCCTCTGGTCCTGGCTGACATCTTGACTCTAACTTCATGAGGATCTCAGCCAGGACCTAACCCCAGGAGTGAGGTTAACTGATTGTATTTCTGACCTTCAGAAGTTGAGATACATTTGTTATCTTAAGCAACTAACTTATGGGGTATTTTTACACAACAATAGACAACTAATATAGTTATCTAGTAATAATCAGCCTAAAAAATGTTGACTTGACAGACCTATACTATACCACAGAACCTTGTTTCTACCACCATTGCCATCTCAAAGAACTGTACCACCACCAGCACCTCTGTGGGGACCACGACATCCTGTTTGCTGAAAATTAAATAAATCACAGTGGGCTGGGTGTGGTGGTTCACACCTGTAATCCTAGCACTTTGGGAGGCCAAGGCAGACAGATTGCCTGAGCTCAGGAGTTTGAGACCAGCCTGGGCAACATGGGGAAACCTTGTTTCTACTGAAAATACAAAAACTTAGCCAGGCATGATGGTGTGCGAATGTAATCCCAGCTACTCGGGAGGCTGAGACAGGAGAATTGCTTGAACCCAGGATGTGGAGGTTGCAGTGAGCCGAGATCACACGCACTTCAGCCTGGACGACAGAGTGAGAATCTGTCTCAAAAAGAATAATAAAGTTAATTAATTAATTAAAATAAATAAATCACATTGGGCATAGAGGGAGTGCATGGTGTGTGTGCAATTCACTAGGACTCTGGTCCCAAAAAGCAGACAGAATTCATGCTAGCATGAGAGGCCATTTATTGTTCAGGGGCTGAGCCCCCCTGTTTTGGGGGGGTTCCTGCACTGCTGCCTCCCCCCATTGTTCCCGTGGACCCCTCAAGTGGCAGGTTGCTGAGATGATCGTGGAGGGAGCACATCTTCAAGTGTAGATGGTCCAGAGTGGCCATCTTCTCCCTGTCATGAGGCAGCGGGGAGTTGATGGCGGCATGGCTAGGTGCTGGGGTGTTGGAGTGGAAGGGGAGATCAGGCCCTTTCCCCAAGATCTCACCCTCCTCCCATGCCCTCAGCCTCCTTCCTCACTCTGGCTTCATCTTGTCTGTCAGCAGTAGGTTCTTGGCCCGCAGGGCCTCGTCTTGGGCCAGCCGAAGGGTGGAGCTCAGGGCCTCTGCCCTGACGTGTTTGGCTAAGGCCTGGCGCTCCAGCTCCTGGGGAGAGGAGCGTAGGCGTAGCTGGGCTTGCTGGACTGGGCTGGGGGTGGAGGGGGAACTGGATTGCGGAGGGCAAAGGGTAGGGTCCCATGGGGCCCACATTTCTCCCTCAGAGTTTCCCATCATGCCTTGAGCTTGAGACTGACCCCAGCATCCCACAATGCACTGGTCTCCAGATTCCGCTGTGGACTAAATCTGTGTCTGTCCTATTGTCTGTCCCATGATGCACTGACCTATGTCCCAGCAAGCACTAAATCAGTGCCTATCGTCTGTCTCCTAAGCTCATGAACTATCCTACATTTGATATGTGTGTGCACCCCAGTATTCTACCACATGGTGACCTCCTACATTCCATAATTTGGAAGACCCCACATCTCCTTATCCATTAGACCAGCACCTCTCACACAAAAGTCCTGGCCGGGCGCAGTGGCTCACGCCTGTAATCCCAGCACTTTGGGAGGTCGACACGGGTGGATCACTTAAGGTCAAGAGTTCGAGACCAGCCTGGCCAACAGGGTGAAACCCCATCTCTACTAAAACTACAAATATTAGCTGGGCGTGGTGGTGTATGCCTGTAATCCTGGCTGCTCAGGAGGCTGAGACACGAGAATCGTTTGAACCTGGGAGGTGGAGGTTGCAACGAGCCAAGATGGCGCCACTGCACTCCAGCCTGGAGCAACAGAGCGAG